>NC_000008.11:96964222-97589222 GCF_000001405.40 Homo sapiens
GTTGGATATATAACGAGGAGTAGCATTGCTGGGTCATAGTTTTGTGTATGTTCAGATTTAATAGATAAGCCAGTTTTTCCAGGTGGTTGAATGTACTTACACTAGCAATGTACAAGAGTTCCAGTTGCTCTACCTCCTCACCAATATTTGGCATATTTTGTCTTTTTCATTTTAGCCATCTGGTTCAATATGTATTGAATGTGGTTTAATTTATATTTCCCTAATGATAATGAAGCTGAGTATCGTTTTTATGATTATTAGTAATTTGCATATCTTTCTTTGTGAATTGTCTGTTCATATACATATATATATATGCTGAATATTTTCTGTTTTTCCGTGGGTTACCTTTTCACTCTCTTAGTGGGGTCTTTTGATGACTAGCTTTCCTAGTTTAAAAAAAAACACTCTCACATATTAAAGATCTTAGTAAATATTTAGAAAATTGTTAACCAATGTGTGAGGATCTCAGTAGTGACATGTTTAACTCAAAATGTAATTTATTATTTTTTTCTTTTATGGCTTATAATTTTTGTGTCCAGTTTAAGATATCTTTGCCTACTCCAAATTGGTGAAGTTATTCTATGCCTTCCTCTAAAATCTGTGTTTAGATATGTAATTCATCTGACTACATATTTGTATGTTTTATAATGATCAAGATACATTTTTTTTCAAACCAATATTCTATATACCCCAGCATCACTTTACTTGGTTTATAACTTGTTTGAAATGTGTCCACAAAATTTAGTTTCAGTGAATTTTTAAATATTTTCTTATAATTACTAATATTTCCTAAGAAGAATTTTAAACCTGTGATGATTTCAAATGTGTAATATAATTTCTAGATTTATTTAATACTAATGTCAGTTGAAATTTCCCTTAAAAGTTCTCCTGTTCAATTGGATCTAGTTTTGAAATCCAGCTATTTATTTATTCAACATCAATCTATAATGCATAAAACAATTTTTTAAATAAATTATTGTTCTCATTTTCTCATTTAAATCAATTCAACACATGTTTATTACGTTTCTTCTAGAATTTGGGACAGTTACGAATGTGGTTGAAGTTTCAAGCTTCATTTTTATATCCTTTAGGTTTTAAGCCATATAATAAATTTATCAAATATCTGTCAGTAATAAGCCAATTTCTTTTCTTTTTTTTTTTTTTTTTTTGAGATGGAGTCTTGCTCTGCCACCCCGGAGTGCAGTGGCGCAATCTCAGCTCACTGCAAGCTCCACCTCCCGAGTTCACACCATTCTCCTGCCTCAGCCTCCCAAGTAGCTGGGACTACAGGCGCCTGCCACCACACCCAGCTAATTTTTTGTATTTTTAGTAGAGACAGGGTTTCACCGTGTTAACCAGGATGGTCTTGATCTCCTGACCTCGTGATCCACCCGCCTCGGCCTCCCAAAGTGCTGGGATTAGAGGCGTGAGCCACCGCACCCGGCCAAGCCAATTTCTTTAGTAGTCAAAATTATATTAATAAAGAAAGGTACAAAGTGAGGATTTTTATTACTATTAGGATAGACTTAGACCCCTTATACAATTCCTCAATACCAAGTTTTCCACTAATAATGACACATATCTTTAAAGACATAAAAATAGGAAAGAAAATATAAAAGTTTCATTTTTATATTTTGAATACCTATAAATGTTTACTCTTTGATGTCATTTTTGCTTAGTTTTATTTTTTAACTTTTTATTATTTGTTCTAGGTTGTACTGGTCAGTGGACATCTGGACAGCTGGGATGTTGGGCAGGGTGCCATGGATGATGGCGGTGGAGCCTTTATATCATGGGAAGCACTCTCACTTATTAAAGATCTTGGTAAATATTTAGAAAATTGTTAACTAATGTGTGAGGATCTCAGTGACATGTTTAACTCAAAACACAAAATACTTAACAGATTAGTTACTATGGTATGTTCAAAGATCCTCTTGAGGTCAGTTGATTCCCAGAAAAGAAACAACTTATGCTCTTAAAGAAATTTTTATTCATGTGTACGCCAGACATCTAAAGTGTCAAATGTTATTATCAGCCACTGGGGAAAATGAACAAGCAAATAAAACTGAAGCAAATGTAACCACACCAGCTAAAGAATATGCAAGGAAAATATGATGAAATGCAAAGAAAAATCAGCAGCACCTCCTACTTCCTTTCCCTTATTCATCTTAACACATTATCAGACTATTAGGACAATGGATAAAGGCTGGTCGTCTTTCCATCATAGAAATAAAAGAGTAACCTAGATAGAAAGAATGATTTCCATAGCCACAATAAGGAATCCAGGCAGATAATTCTTTGTTGCAAGGTCTGTCCCATGCATGATAGGATGTTTTGCAGCATCCCTGACCTCTTCCCACTAGAAGCCAGTAGCACCCTCCCCTAACCTCAAGTTATGATAACAAAAATGTCTCCAGACATTGCCAGATGTCCCCTGGGGGGCCAGGGAAGCAGTTGCCCCATTTTGAGAACCACTAATATAAACTAATAAAAATATCTAGGTAACCTGAATACAGGGTCATTTTGTTAAAGAAAACAAACTAATTGGAAATCTTACATTGTATATACACTTTTACCATAATTACCATACATGACAGAAAATATTTTGACCACCTACTTTGCTTTTTATAAAGCACTTTGTAAAAGCTGGGCATATAGGTTTAAAGGATGTCCCCTGTTCTTAAGACTCTTAGAATGGAGTGGGTAACCTTCACACATACATACACACATAGTTATCAATATAGACATAATTTCAACATCTAATTTTAGAATTGGGGAAGGTTTGAGAGAGAAGTTATCCAGCAAATAAAACTGAAAATCACACATTCCTTCACAGAAAATCTGGGAGACGCTATGTTAATTCTCTCCTCCTCTTCTCTTAAAAATATTCCCTTGGCTATCTCTTCTTTCTGTTTCTCATATCATTCCAGAAAGAAGTGGGTTCTAGAGGAAAGCAGGAAAAAGTCGAACATTTTTCCTCTTCAAAAATCACCGATAATGATTTTGGACATTAATTTTATTTCAGTATGTTCAATCAGCTTGATTGGAAGCACAGTGGTGGAGTAAAAAGAGAAATTTTCTTTAGACCCATTTGAATTGGACTTTAGGTCACTTTACTATATTTTGGTCCTTAAGCAAGTCATTTGAATGCTCTGGACTTCATTTTTCTCATCTCTATTAAACTGTAAGCTTCAGAGTATTTCATTTGCTCTAGATTGGAATAAAAATTGTATCTTCTTTAAGCTTTGAATCTTACTTCTTCGGTATTCAGCATGGGACCCTAAATCACTGTTAATTGAATTGAATTCAGTTGCATGGACAAATGTTAAATACCATGCAAAAGTGAATTGAGTATCTTTTACCAGTTCTCAAAGTACATCGACTTCAGTTGCTTTTGATAGCTAGTGACCAGTCTCTTTAATTTGGGACTTAAATCTCCAAAAGATTTCTGAAAGTCTATGTAAAGATATGAATAGAACTCTAAAATAAAGAGTAATATTTCTTTTGAGTAGGCATTATGAGGCACCATAGTATACTGTTAAAAACATAGGATTCTGGAGCCAGACTGCCAGGGTTCAAATCTCAGCTCTGCAGTCTGCTAGGTGTGTGGCCTTAGGCAAGTTACTTTGCCTCTCTGTGCCTCAATTTTCTCATCTGTGAAATGGGATAATAATAGTTCCTATCTCATAAAGTTGCTTTGAAAATTAAATAAGCAGAGTATACTTAGAACATGGGCTGGCCCAACCCAAGTTATCAATAAATGTTAACTTTTATAACTTAACTTAATAAGCATGATTCTGACAGTACCATTTTTTTAATATAAGAGAAGATGATAATTTAGTTTACCTCCATCCCCATTAGTGATTGCTTTGCCTCCTAACTTTTAGTATATTAGCTATACTAATGTAACTTTAGGGCCAGTTGCTATGTATCCCTAAAATATCCTTTCCCTTTACTACTTAAGTCACCATCCCTTGTATGATAGAAACCCAGTGACCCCTCCACTTTTTTTCATTTCACACTAAATTTTTAGAAGTCTTAAATTTCTCCTGGTTACTTCTATATCCTGCTTATGTTTAATGCCCAGTATCTACTCTGCACCTCACTTTCCATGATTGCACCCATTGAGTCTTACTCTTTAATTTTGAAATTGTGGATTTCTATTTGTAGATTGCCTATGTATTTTAACATGAAGAGCTAGGTTCAGCATGTGATGTGTATGAATTCTGGATGAAAATTGCTGATATACTTGAACTAGAAATATGCCCTTGGGCTTGAGGCCAAGAAATAGGTTCATAATTATATTACTTAATTACATGGAATCCAATCTGTTTAATTGGTAAAATGTGAAAGCTCTGTGGCAATCTCTTTTTCCAAGAAAAATGAGACTCCTTTTGGATGCTATTCCTTGGATGATGTGTCATGCAGCATGTCAGAGTCCCTCAGTGGAGCGTGTTAACTTGAAGAGCTGGTCCAGTGGGGATCTCTGATATTTGGAAATATTTTTCTAAGATTCATCCTTCTGGTATCTTCTTCTTTGTCTTCCCCTCTCACCACTCTTATAGATTCACTTTTTTGCTCAAGCCTTCAGCTTAAATTATATTCAATTAATCTAACAGAAGAGTTATTTGTGCTTTGTAAATATAATCAGTCTTTCCCGAGTAACTGTCTACAGAAGGCTGTTTGCTGTGAAGCGTCGTTGAATACTTTTCTGTGTCTGTGGTTTACTGGACTTGAAACTGTTTATTTGAAATGTTATTTTCTGGAATGTTCTGGTGTCAGTGGACAAAGCCTATGGCCAATGATGCTCCAAAATGCTCATTTGGCACTTAGAAAATAAACTACCATCCATCCCAAATTCTTCCAACTGTATCATTTTCTATGAAGTTAGAATTTTGAGTTTCCAGGTCTAAAGAAATGAAAGATATGAGAATTAACAGTATTACCTGGTTGTTGGAATGTGGAATATATAAGAAACATTTTTCCAGAAAAAATGTAAATGTTGAGCCTCCTGACTGTGATTACTATAGAGCTTGAAAGTCTATGTCTTAGAAAAATATTTTATTGGTATGTTTCTTCATTCATTCACTCAACAAATACTTGTGCATTGACTGCTGGTTCATGTATCAGATGCCTTGCACTAAAGAGGAAAGAGAAATGGCCCTTTAAGTCCTTGAAGTAGGAGAGACATTTAATTCAAAAATTGCAATGAAATTGTGGTAAGTTCTCTGAATGTAGGATGTACAAATTACTTTGGGCACCTGGTAAAGAAACAGACCAACATGGCTTGGCTGGGTCAGAGCAACTTCACTAAGATGTTATTTGAACTTTCTTTCATAAAGATAAATAGAAATTCCTGAGATGAACAGTGCAGAATGAAGTATTCCCAGCAGAGTACAGAGCTTCCAGTTCTGTGTGTCATTAAAAATGAGAAGAAAATTGTTGACAGTAGCAGTCTTGGGATTATAGGGGGAGACAGGAGTTGTGGAATTACAGGAGAGGTTCACTTTTTACCTGATATATTTGTATAATGTTAGATTTTTGTGTAATAAGTATGTGTTACTTCAGTAATCAAGAAAAAGCTATCAAATACTCCTCTACCCCTACTCCCAAAAAAGAAATTAAAAAGAAAAGAAAGAGTTTTGGTATTGTCATTATCATAAACACCCTGTTAACAGAAACAACACAGCAGAGGTAAGGAGTTGGAAGAGTTGTCCAGGAGTCACCAAGCCTCCCTGGCCCAGAATACAACCATGAAGACAGCCAAAGGCATGCCAGGGCTTTGATGCAAGTTCCACTGTAGCTAGAGCCTTATGCAGCCATTTCCAATGCAGTGGGTTCTCTCTTAGAAATGGGGACCCATCTGGGAAGAAGGTTTTCTTCCCTAAGGCTCTGGTCAAGACTGTCTTGGAAAAGCCCCAGGAAATGTAATTCAGAGTAACAGAGAAGAAAATGAACAGCCTCCAGTGAAATGGAAGCCTAAAGGGTAGAGCTAGAGATGGCTGGTGTCCTGAAACGAATCTGGGACTAGCCCAGACCTACAAAAGATATCTCCTTTGGAAAGGACCTCCCCACTGGGTTTAGCCATACCGCTGGGTATAATAAAAATATTGAGAGCTAGCATTGACTGAAGATTACTATTGTAAGCATTGTGCTAAGCACTCCACTGAGTACATATTCTCCTTTATTCCTGAAAATAAACCCAAGCAGTAGGTAACTCGTGTTATATTCATTTTACAGAAGAGGAAACCAAAGCAGAGAAAAGCTAAGTACCTTGCCCAAGATCACCAGCTATTATGTGAAAAATTTAAATCTAGGCAGCCTGACGCCATGCCCAACACTCTTTTTTTTTTTTTTTTGAGACGGAGTCTCGCTCTGTCGCCCAGGCTGGAGTGCAGTGGTGCGATCTCGGCTCACTGCAAGCTCCGCCTCCCGGGTTCACGCCATTCTCCTGCCTCAGCCTCACGAGTAGCTGGGACTACAGGCGCCCGCTACCACGCCCGGCTAATTTTTTGTATTTTTAGTAGAGACGGGGTTTCACCGTGTTAGCCAGGATGGTCTCTATCTCCTGACCTCGTGATCCGCCCGCCTCGGCCTCCCAAAGTGCTGGGATTACAGGCGTGAGCCACCGCGCCCGGCCACTCTTAAGTACTTTATAATATTGTTTTAATGGAAAAACACTGCCAGTCTGTTTCTAGGAACACTCATCCTCAGGATAAAAAGAGATATTATAAAGAAAGGGGGGAAAAGTGTCCTATGGTCAGATAAGTTTGGGAACTCCCTCTTGGTAATTTCTTTATTTGTAAATAACATTTGTTGGGAGAGTATTCACTCCGTGGGTATAGCGTACTTTGGAACACAATGCCCTGCGGCATTTTTTGAGGTGGCAGAACTGAGTAAGGATACAAGAATCCTTACACAGATGCACTTCTGGAAGTGAGTACAAATAGCCTTGGATTTGTTTTCATTCTAGATTTTCTAGGCTACCTTTGGGAGCCTGAGATTGCCAGAATATTGACAAGCTAGAACCATATGATGATTCCTTAATTGGCATGATAGAGCCTATTGTTGTGTCTCTCCCTGAAGAACATTTGTATCCACCCAAGTGCAAACTCTAGCTGACAACTAACTTTTTATCCACACTATCTGAGTCTATTTTTTCAAAATGAACGTAGTATTATTGGAAATATTTGAAATATGCTAATGACTCTATCAGGTTTTTCATGGCCCCAGATGAATCAGAATTTGTAAGATTTTTATTTTCTAGAAGGAATTTTTATTTTAAAACATTCCATGAACTCTCCCTATTGCCATGTTGGATACGCTTTCTGCACAATTATTTGGGAACAAAGGAAGGGAGACTAATGGCCCTGGGAAAGGTATCCTATTAAAATCACTGGTCCTCAATATGTTTAGTGAATAATACATCTGCTTGTGAAGCTGTCCAGTCTGAAGCTGTGTTTTAAGTCTTAAATATTTCCCCCAACATTAAATTTTATTTTTATTAATTTAAATGTTAATGCGTAGATGCTGCTTGCTTCTTTGGTTCTGAATTTTGGTCTTGATGTTTTATAATTGCACTTATCGATGAAAGTACCTAAACCAGTAGAAGAATTAGAAACTTGAAGAAATTGTGAAGAAGGATTAAAATGGCAGATAGGAGGCAGGACTAGTTTGCAGCTCCCATTCGAACAGACAGAGCAGTGTTTGGAGACTCACATAGTGAACTTTTGCTCTAAGAACTACCTCAAGAACATATCAGGAAAGCCAAGAGAATCCACAGACCCTTTGAAGGAACTGGATCACCACTGCAGGCTTCCTGAGATGCCAAAAAAAACTATGAGTCTGTTTGCTTTCTCAAAGGAGAGGCTCTTGGTCTGGGGCAAGTTCTCAGCCCTAGTTACCTGTTGCCTGGAAATAGATTCAGTGCTGTTATGGGGGCACTGTGGGAGTGAGACCGGCCTTCAGGATTGCAGGCTGCATGGGAGCAGGGTAAGGCCTGTGACTGCCAGCTTTCCTCCACCTCCCTGGCAACTTGTATGACTCAGTAGAGACAGCCATAATCCCCCTGGGAATATAACTCCATTGGACTGGGATCCACACCCTCATAGCCCACAGCAGCTGCAGCAAGCCCTGCCAAAGGAGAGGCTGAACTCAGACATGCTTACCCCTTCCCCCACCTGGTAGTCTTTCTCTACCTGCCCTGGTAGCCAAAGACAAAGGTCATAATCTTTTGGGAGCTCTATGGCCCTACCTATCACCTGAGAAACCACTTAACCAAGTGTTCCTAGGGCAACTAGGAACACAGCTGATACACTCTTGTCAGTGCCACCTCCTGGCTGGAGGCCAACCAACACAAAACCAACACTCTAAACAAAAACACAACCAAGGACCCTCGCAGAGACGACTTCACTCCCCTGCTAATTCCATCAGAGCAGGTGCTGGCATCCATGGCTGCAAGACCTGAAGACAGATCACATCACAGGACTCTTTGCAGACACTCTCCAGTACCAGCCTGAAGCCCAGTAGCTCCTCTGGGTGGCTAGACCCAGAAGAGCAAAAACAATCACTACAGTTCAGCTCTCAGGAAGCCCCATTCCTAGGGGAAGGGAAAGAACATCACATCAAGGGAGCATCCCGTGGGACAAAAGAATCTGATTAGCAGCCCTGAATCCCAGACCTTCCCTCTGACCTAGTCTACCCAAATGAGAAGGAACCAGAAAAACATCTGGGTAATATGAGAAAACAAGTTTCTTTTACATCCCCCAAAAGATGATACCAGTTCACCAGCAATGGATCCAAACCAAGATGAAATCTCCAAATTGCCAGAAATAGAATTCAGAAAGTTGATTATTAAGTTAATCAAGGAGGCACCAGAGAAAGGTGAAGTCCAACTAAAAGAAATAAAAATTATGGGATATGAAACAAAAAGTCTTCAGTGAAATAGACAGCATAAATGTAAAACAATCACAACTTCTAGAAGGCAAGAAATGCAAAATGCACTGGAAAGTCTCAGCAATGGAATGGAACAAGCAGAAGAAAGAAATTCAGAGTTCAAAGACAAGGCTTTCAAATTAACCTAATCTGTCAAAGACAAAGAAAAAAGAATGAAAAAATTGAACAAAGCCTCCAAGAAGTTTGGGATTATGTTAAACATCCAAACCTAAAAATAATCGGCGTTCTCAAGGAAGAAGAGAAATCTAAAAGTCTGAAAAACATATTTGTTAGAATCATCAAGGAAAACTTCCCTGGCCTTCCTAGAGATCTAGACATCCAAATACAAGAAACTCAAAGAACTCCTGGGAAATTCATTGCCAAAAGATCATCACCTAGGCACATAGTCATCAGGTTAACTAAAGTCAAGATAAAGGAAGGAATCTTAAGAGCTCTGAGGCAAAAGCATCAGGTAACCTATAAAGGGAAAACCCCATCAGATTAACAGCAGATTTCTCAGCAGAAACCCTACCAGCTAGATGGGATTGGGGTCCTCTTTTTAGCCTCCTTAAACAAAACAATTATCAGCCAAGAATTTTGTATCCAGCAAAACTAAGCTTCATAAATGAAGGAAAGATAGTCTTTTCCAGACAAACAAATGCTGAGAGAATTCACCACTACCGAGCCAGTACTACAAAAACTGCTAAAAGGAGCTCTAAATCTTGAAACAAATCCTTGAAATATACCAAAATAGAATCTCCTTAAAGCATAAATCTCACAGAAACTACAGAACAATAACACAGTGGAAAAAAAGGTAATCAGGCAACAAATAGCATGATGAATAAAATAGTACCTCACATGTCAATACTAACATTGATTGTAAATGGCCTAAATTCTCCACTTAAAAGATAACAGAATGACAGAATGGATAAGAATGCACCAACCAAGTTTCTGCTGTCTTCAGGAGACTACTCTCACACATAAGGACTCACGTAAACTTAAGATGAAGGGGTGGAAAAAGATACTCCATGCAAATGGACACCAAAAGCGAGCAGGTGTAGCTATTCTTATACCAGAAAAAACAAACTTTAAATCAACAGCAGTTTAAAAAGATGAAGAGAGACATTATATAATGATAAAAGGACTAGTCCAACAGGAAAATATCACAATTCTAAATATATATGCACCTAACACTGGAGATCCCAAATTTATGAAACAATTACTATTAGACCTAAGTAGTGAGATAGACAGCAACACAATAATATGGGGGACTTTAATACACCACTGATAGCACTAAACAGGTCATCAAGACAGAAAGTCAACAAAGAAAAACTCTACCTAAATGATACCCTACAAGTGAACTTAACAGATATTTACATGACATTCTACCCAGCAACTGCAGAATATACATTCTATTCATCAGCACATGGAACATTCTCCTAGACCATATGATAGGCCACAAAACAAGTCTCAGTAAATTTAAGAAAATCAAAATTATATCTAGTACTTTCTCAGACCACAGTGGAATAAAATTCGAAATCAACTCCAAGAGGAACCCTTAAAACCATGTAAATACATGGAAATTAAATAATCTGTTCTTGAATGATCATTGGGTCAACAATGAAATCAAGATGGAAATTTAAAAATTTTTTGAACTGAATAATAATAGTGACGCAGCCTATCAAAACCTCTGGGATACAGCAAAACTGGTGCTAAGAGGAAAGTTCATAGCATTAAATGCCTAAACCAAAAATCTGAAAGAGAACCAATAGACAACCTAAGGTCATGCCTCATGGAGCTGGAGAAACAAGAACAATCGAAACCCAAACCCAGCAGAAGAAAATGACGAAGATCAGAGCAGAACTAAATGAAATTTAAAAAGAAAAAAGATAAATGAAACAAAAGCTGGTTCTTTGAAAAGATAAATGAAACAGATAGACCAACGAGATTAACCAAGAAAAGAAGAGAGAAGATACAAATATGCTCAATTAGAAATGAAATGGGAGATATTACAACTGGTACCACAGAAATACAAAAGATTATTCAAGGATACTGTGAACACCTTTACACACATAAACTAGAAAATCTAGAGGAGATGGATATATTGAAAGTATACAATCCTCCTAGATTAAACCAAGAAGATACAGAATCTCTGAACAGGCAGTGAGATTGAAATGGTAATTAAAAAAAATTCCAAACAAAAAAATTCCAGGACCAGATAGATTCATGGCTGAATTCTATCAGATGTTCAAAAAAGAACTGGTACCAATTCTACTATTTCAAAGGATAAGGAAATAGAGAATCATCCCTAACTCATTCTATGAAGCCAGTATCACCCTAATACCAAAACCAAGGGAGGACATAACAAAAAAAAAAGAGAGAGAGAGAGAAAACTACAGACCAATATCCCTGATGAACGTAGATGCTAAAATCCTCAACAAAATACTAGCAAACTGAATCCAACAGCATATCAAAAAGATACTTCACCATGATCAAGTGGGTTTCATACTAGGGATGCAGGGTTGATTTAAGAGACATAAGTCAATAAATATGATACATCACATAAACAGAATTAAAAACAAAAATCACATGATCATCTTAATAGATGCAGAAGAAGCATTTGACAAAATCCAGCATCGCTTTATGATTAAAACCCTGAGCAAAATTGGCATAGAAGGGACATACCTTGAGGTAATAATAGCCATCTACAACAAACAGATAACATTATACTGAATAGGGAAAGTTGAAAGCATTCCCCCTGAGAACTGGAACAAGACAAGGATTCCCATTTTCACCACTTCTATTCAACATAGAATTGGAAGTCCTAGCTAGAGTCATCAGACAAGAAAAAGATATCAAGTGCATCCCAATCAGTAAAGAGGAAGTCAAACTGTCACTGTTTGCTGATGATATGATTGTATATGTAGAAAACCCTAAAGACTCATCCAAAAAGCTCCTAAAACTAGCAAATGAATTCAGCAAAGGTTCAGGATACAAAATTAATGTACACAAATCACTAGCTCTTCTATATACCAACAGCAACCAAGCTGAGAATCAAATTAAGAACTCAACCCCTTTCACAATAGCTGACAAAAAAAAAAAAAAAAAAAAAAAAACCTTAGGATTATACCTAACCAAGGACGTGAAAGACCTCTACGAGTAAAACTAAAAAGCTCTGCTGAAAGAAATCATAGATGACACAAGCAAATGGAAACACATCCCATGCTCATGGATGGGTAGCATCAATATTATGAAAATGACCATACTGCCAAAAGCAATCTACAAATTCATTGCAATTCCCATCAAAATACCACCATCATTCTTCAAGAAGTAGAAAAAACATCCTAAAATTAATATGGAACCAAAAAAGAGCCCGCATAGCCAAAGCAAGACCAAGCAAAAAGAACAAATCTGGAAGCATCACATTACCCTACTTCAAACTAAACTATAAGGCCTTAGACACCAAAACAGCATGGTACTGGTATAAAAATAGGCATATAGACCAATGGAAGAGAAGAAAGAACCCAGAAATAAAGCCAAATACTTACAGCCAACTGATCTTTGACAAAGCAAACAAAAACATAAAGTGGAGAAAAGACGCCTATTCAATAAATGGTGCTGGGATAATTGGCAAGCCACATGTAGGAGAATGAAACTGGATCCTCATCTCTTACCTTACATAAAAATTAACTCAAGATGGAACAAAAACTTAAATCTAAGACCTGAAACCACACAGATTCTAGAAGATAAAATTGGAAAAAGTCTTCTAGACATTGGCTTAGGCAAAGACTTCATGACCAGGAACCCAAAAGCAAATGCAACAAAAACAAAGATAGACATATGGGACTCAATTAAACTAAAAAGCTTCTGCACAACAAAAGAAATCATCAGCAGAGTTAACAGATAACCACAGAGTGGGAGAAAATCTTTACAATCTATACATCTTACAAAGGACTAATATCCAGAATCTAAGAACTCAAATAAGCAAGAGAATAACAAATAATCCCATCAAAAAAGGGCTAAGGACATGAATAGACAATTCTCAAAAGAAGATATACAAATGGCCAACAAGCGTATGGAAGAATGCTCAACATCACTAATAATGAGGGAAATGCAAATCAAAAACACAATGCAATACCACCTCACACCTGCAAGAATATCCGTAATCAAAAAAAAAAAAAAATAGATGTTGGCAGGGATGCAGTAAAAAGGGAACACTTTTACACTGATGGTGGGAATGTAAACTGGTACAAGCACTGCGGAAAACAGTGTGGATAATCTTTAAAGAACTGAAAGCAGATCTACATTTAATCCAGCCATCTCACTACTAGGTATCTACCCAGAGGAAAAGAAGTCAGTATATGAAAAAGATGCTTGCCCACTCATGTTTATAGCAGCATGATTTGCAATTGCAAAACCATGGAAGCAGCCCAAATGACCATCAATCAATGATGGGTATATATATATCATGGAATATTACTCAGCCACAAAAAGGAACAAAATAATGGCATTCACAGCAACCTGGATGTAATTGCAGACCATCATTCTAAATGAATTAACTCAGGAATGGAAAATCAAACATCGTATGTTCTCATCCACATGTGGGAGCTAAGCTATGAGGATGCAAATGCATAAGAATGATACATTGGACTTTGGGGACTCAAGGGAAAGGATGGGGGACAGCAAAGGATAAAAGACTGCACATTGGGTGCAGTGTATACTTCTCAGTTGATGAGTGCACCAGAATCTCAGAAATTACCACTAAATAACTTACTCATGTAACCAAACACCACCTGTTCCCCAAAAACCTATTGAAATAAAAAAAAATTTTTTAAAAGAATTTGTTCCTTTCCTTTTTTTAATTACATGTAAAACTAGGTTTATGGCCATGGGGCATCTGTGACTCCTCCTCTTTTTCTTTAGAGATGATCTTCTCATTTTTTATTCTGATATGTTATTTCCTCTAGCGGCAACTTATGTTAGTGAATGGCTTTTCTGTAAGACCCATGGCAGATACATATTTTTTTTTCTGCTGGGAATTGCTGAGAGCTTTTCCTAAGGTTTGAACACATTTAGAAGCTTCACTAACACACTCAACAACCTTATGTCTCATCAGTTTACATAGACATTTCTACTAGGATGTGTAAAAAGACAAATTGTGTGTAAATTGATTTGCAAAATACATCTGTGAGATAAAGCAAGATTTGTTTACAATGAGTCACTTAGAATGTGGTCTACCTTTTAGTCTGGATTTGGTATGAGAGATTCCATAGTCATTTTAGAGCCTTAGGCTACATGAATATTGCTGTTGTTATTGTATCATTTAGTTAGAATATACAATTTCTGTGCAAAAGTAGACACCACCCAGGGTATACAGCATAATAATGACCAGTTCTTTTCTATCTGACAGTCTGGAAGGGTGGCAGATGAATGCTATGAGAGGGCCCCCTTTTCTACAGCATGCTTAGCTTCCTCCCCGATGTATGCTTTGATTTGGCCTTAGAAAGTGAAGGCATGTGGTTGTAAAGGAAGCGGAAGCTTAAGAAATTGGTATCATTTATCCTGGAGAATAAGGGCCATAGAAAATCTTACTAATGGTATCCTTAGTGCCCCAGTGGATTTCCTCCCACCCAAGAATGGAATACATACAAATCCATGGTAGGGCTGTCTGGAAAACCTAGGCTACCTTATTGCAATGGTATCATCACTGTATCACACACTTGGCTCACAAGGAGACGTCTTATTTCAATAAGAAGCTTTGACTGCCCACTTCATGTCAGGCAAATAATATGGACAGGACACAGTTCCTTGCGTCAAGGAGCTCATAGTCAGGCAACAATGGCTTCACATGGATAGAGGCATTTAAACCAGGCCTTGAAAAGTTAGGAAGTGGTAAAAAAAAAAAAGAACAAATTAGAACTCATGAAAGTACATAGTTTGAGGAGTAGAAGATGTCTTCATAAATCTAGAGTAATGGGTGAGTGAGGAGGGGGTGGGAAACGAGTAAAGTGAAGGATGAGAGTTTGTGAAGGGTACTGGATGCAAAGCTAAAGGTTGGAGTTGGTGCTATAGGCAGCAGGCACCACTGAGGATTTTAAGCATGATAGGACTTCTTTCTAAAATAGGGATATCACATTGACTATTTTAACTGCTAAAGTACTATGATAAATAGAATAGAGATACAGAAAAACAGAGTAGGGAGATCCCAGTTATACTGAGCCTAGAGAACTACAGCTTTGGAGTTGCTTAGCAAATTTTATTTGCTGTGGTGGATGAGCCAGCTTCTACTTCTCTATGTTAAATATACCAAAGAGGAAGTGATGGGGTTTCCAGGGATGCTGTGTTCTTCGCCTACACGCTTCTCTGCATCATGCTAATGCTGCATTTTGCAAAAGCTGTGGTTTACCCAGCTTCCAATGAATTTTGTTCCAGTAAACTTGCCTAAAAACAGAAGTCTGCAAAAAATAAGAAAATATGCTATGAACATCTGATCGGACCTTTATGGTTAACTGGGTTTTTTTAATTGCCGTGGAACGTAAGGGTTTAGTTAGTCTATTCTTAGGCTCCTCGACTCCTGCAAACATTCTCAAAAATAAGCACTAGGAAAAGAACGTTTCTACTGGGTATGTGACAGGATAAAGAAAGTATTGAGGGAAGTTGATTATTATAAGAGTACTTATTTATAATCCTGCTCGTGCCCTCCTCATATTAGATAATCATTATCGATGAGCTGATGCTTGGCCCATGTGCTTGCCTGACACTAGCATTTTCAGACTACATGTGACCCAGATCTCACTGATTTTTCAACCTTTAAGTCCTCCTTTCTTAATCCTTAAATAATTCAAAATCTCTAGGTAAGTGAGAGGCAGCATGGATAGTAGAATAAGCATGTGCTCTATGTTAGAACATCTTGGATTCCAATCCTTCTGTGCTATCTAGTAGTTGTATTTTCCTGGACAAATTATTTAACATTCTATCATTATATATAGATTTTGAAACAGAGTCTCGCTCTGTTGCCCAGGCTGGAGTGCAGTGGCACAATCTTGGCTCACTGCAACCTCCGCCTCCTGGGTTCAAGTGATTCTTGTACCTCAGCCTCCAGAGTAGCTGGGATTTCAGGCACACACCACTATGCCCAACTAATTTTTGTATTTTTGGTAGAGACGGGGTTTCACCCTGTTGGCCAGGCTGGTCTCAAACTCCTGGTCTCAAGTGATCTGCCCACCTCGGCCTCCCAAAGTGCTGGGATTACAGGCATTAGCCACCGTGCCCAGCCTAAATTATTTAACATTTTAAATCTCAGTTTTCTCTTTTTACAATGGGAACAATTTATCTTCAGTTCTTGATAGGATAATTTGAAATAATATACACAGTAACTGGCCCCTGCTAAGCCATCAATAATAGTAACTATTATTATCAGATTCTAATTGCCAAAACAGCAGGTTGGATGTTCCAGGAGAGGTTATAATCCCAGTATCAACTCTCAGCTCTCGAGTCTTCATGTCTGTATCCCATTGCAAAGTTCAGCTTGGTCAGGGGAATCCTCACAGTGAGGAGGCCCTCATAATAAAGCCCACATGTGAGTTTGGCCTGGATAAGTTAACTCACAAACCTTCACCCCAGTGTAGCCACCATCCATGAGTATACATGAGGCTAGTGTATAAGGCTAATTCTCTCCTCACTGTTGTAGTGAAGAGCACTTAATAGATGTGTCATAAATGTTATGCAGACTTAACACTCTGAGGACATGGGGATGCACAGATCATTTTTCCCATCCCTTTTGCTCTCTCTGTGATGTCCTTAACCTAAATAACAGTGTGTAGAGAAAAATTTATAATATTCCTGAGGAAAAGAATAGTAGAAACAGTAAATAGCTGTTAAGGTCAATATAATTTACTACAAAATAAGTTGTTTGAGATACAGAAAAAAATCAAGGCAGAGAAAACACAACCAAATCTAGTGCTTACTATTTACAATTTACCCTGGGGCCTGAATTTTCAAGAAATCTTTCTGTTTTTTAATATAGTCACAACACCACAATTTTTAAGCATTTTCAGAAGATCCTCATGCATAAAAAACCAAGGATGGTGACCACTGATGCTTGTATTATTTTCCTTTCTCTGAAATAATGGCATCTTTTAAAAGGAATATATTTAAAATGTAATTGAAATTATTGAGTTGTTGCTCTGATTAATGTATGTGGGAAAATAGAAGTCAGGAAATGTTTCAAAAGCTATATTTCTGTTCTCATCGCCAATCACCATAGACCCTAGATCCATTTAGCCATCCCATATTCACTTGTTTTAGGCAGGATGTTAGAATAAAGAAATATTTTATGAAGTGCTTCATACTGGAATTTACTCCTTTTCTGAAAGAGGGAAGTGTGAATTTATCTTTTATAGTGAAATAATTTTACCTGAAGTCATTTCAATGTCATTTTTGGTCATAAATGAAGAGTTTGGTAGAGGAATCTTTGAACTAATTACCTTTCTGAAACCTTACAGTATTTTGTTGCAAAAAACAATGGTTAAACTTATAAAGCAGAGGTTTTTGGTAAAGATGCAAAACATCTACCTAAGAAAGCCCCATGTCCTATATTTTCATTTTTATAATCTATAAACATTAATTGAACACCTGGGAGAATGGAGGAGAGAACCAATATTTACCTCCTATGTGACAGTTACTTACCATGATCTTTTTAAATCCTCAAAGCCGCCCTGTAAGGCATGTATTATTACCACTGGCAGGTCATTGGGCCTGTCTGGGACTCAGTTCCTTATCAGTAAACTAGATGGTAACATGCTTGCAGGACTGTTATATGGATCAAACATAATCTAGGAAAAACACATGTCTATTAGAGTTGCAAAGATGGAAAATACATGGCACATGATGTTAAAGAAAACTGTAGTGGCAGTGCTGCTACTAATGGTGATCATCTCATGGCTTGAATTGAAACAGAGCACTTTGGTGGAGCAGTGATGTGGGATATAGAGTGACAAGGCAATGTTCATAGTGGTTGTGATAAGGAAGAACTTCAATAATGTCCTACAGCGTTTTATAACAGAAGCATCATTTTACTAATCACAAATATATAACATTTCCCGATTTTTTTAAATAAAAGAATTGGCAGTGAATACTCTTGCTTTAGGACTTAAATGAAGTAGAGTCAAATAAGATTTCTCATCCAGGTCTTTTATTTTTTTTCTTTGATATGGAGTCTTGTCTCCCAGGCTACAGTGCAATGGCACATCAGCTCACTGCTGCCTCAAATTCCCTGGCTCAAATGATCCTCCCACCTCGGCCTCCTGAGTAGCTGGGACTACAGGCATGCACCACCATACCCGGCTAATTATTAAAATTCTTTTTTATAGAGACAGGGTCTCACTGTGTTGCCCAGGCTGGCCTCAAACTCCTGGACTCAAGCAACCTTCCTGCCTTGACCTCCCAAAGTGCTGGGATTACAGGTGTGAGCTACTGTACCTGGCCTCATCCCAGTCTTCTTAAATTGATGTGAAGATGGTAGTAGATTATTTCAGATTTTAGGATGAACTAATAATAGCAGTTAGCATGCTTGAACAGACTGTATCTAGTTCTGAGCTAAATGCTGGATATGTGATTCTCATTGAGTCCAGGAGGTAGGAACCACTATTACTCCTTTGACAGATGAAGGGACTAAGACTGATAATCTCACAACTTGCAAAACTAGAAAATCTCATATTTCTTTTTTGTAAGGTTGTTTTTTATTCTTTGCCCTTTTTTAAACTAAGAAATATTTCAAATATTGAAAAATAACATTGAATATCCTCCACCTAGATTTCATAAATGTTAACGAATCTGGATATTTGTTTCAGATCCTTAGTTCAGAAGAAATTAAAAGTTACCAATACAGTTGAAACCTGTTTTCTACCTCTCCACAATCCATTTCCTTCTCCCTCTGCAGATGTAACCAGTGTTCTGAGATTGTTTTAAACTCACTCTAGAATATGTATATAAAAAATGGTATCATATAGTTTTTGTGATTTTGAATTTACATAACTGGTATTTTCTTCCATATTCAGGTTTATCCTTTTGTTTATTTCTTCTATCTTTTTGAGGTAAATATTTAGTCTATTAATTTTCAGTCTTTCTTATTTTCTAATGTATACACTTAAGGCCATGCATTACCCTCTAAGTACTAGTTTAGCTGCATTTTGCAAGTTTGAAATAGTGCCTTAAAGTTTCCAAAATAGAGAGTTATTACTGCGTTACTGAGCTCCAATTTTGTTGCATATGAGTTGTAGTGTGGTCTATAGAATACCAACTTTTTGTTATTTATTGAGAGTTAACTTTGGCTCATTACTGGTCAATATTTTTTTAAATGATTATATTGACTTGAAAAGAAGATATAGCCTCCCTTTGCTGGGAATAGAGTTCTACATAGTTCATTAGAGCAAACTTACTAACTATTCAAAAGTACTGTGTCATTTGAAAGAAGTATATTAAAAGGCCCCATTAGGATTGTGATTTTATAAATTTCTCCTTTAATTTCTATCAGCTTAGCTCTATGTAGTTTGGGGTTTTATTGCTTTATACAGTTTAGCCAAAAGACCTTCTTTATCCTTAATGATGAATTTTCTCTGCAAGTCTATTTTATCAAATATTAATATCATAGAACCAATTCTTTTTTGGTTACTTTTTTTTTTTTTTACTATTCCTTTTCTGACTTACCTCGGTTGTTGTGTTTTAGTTGATTCTGGTATATTTTAAAATATCCAATCTGACAATAGCAGTTAACAGGGAAGTTTGTCATGTTTATTGTGATTACTTACATTTTGTGATTTTCTAACATTTTCTATTAAAGTTGCTATTTTGCTCCTTTTTTTCTCCTTGTTTGCTTTCTATTGGATTCAGTGGTTTTTCTTACCCTCTCTCCTCATTTTCTCTCCACTATTTAGAAACTTATACATTCCCTTTCTTTTTTTTAGTGGTTACTATTAAATATCACATGTATATTTGTCTTAATTAAATAATATAGTAACCACAGATTGCTTCAATATATCCCCTTCCATCATATATATTATTGTTGATTAGTGTTTTAGTTATGCCTTGTTTATAAACTGTCCCCAGATTTGTTATAACATGGTCATTATTATCTGCTGTGGTCTGAATGTGTCTCCCAAGTTTCCTATGTTGGAAATGTTGGAAATCCTCAATGCAACAGTGTGGGGAGGTGAAGTCTCTGGGAGCTGTTTAGGTCATGAGGGATCTGCCCACATGAATGGATTGATGCCATTATAAAAGGGCTGGAAGGAGGGAGTTCACCCCATTTTTCCCTTCTGTCTTCTATGTGAGGACAGTTTCTCCCCTCTGGAAGATGAATTGTTCAATGTGCCATTTTGGAAGCAGAGACTGGATCTTAACCTACAGTGCCTTGATCTTGAACTTGTCAGGCTTTAGAACTGTGAGAAAATAAATTCCTGTTCTTTATAAATTACTCAGTCTCAGGAATTATGTTGTGGTAGCACAAAATGGACTAAGACATTATTTGTTTGGCTTTGCCACTTACTGGCTGTATTACTTTGCAAGTTTTTTAGATGTGTGATGCCTAGTTTCCTCATGGATATACTGGGGATCATAATAGTATCTAATTATAGGTTTATTGTGATAATTAGATGAGCTTCATCAGTTCCTGGCACATAACTGCTCAGTGAATTTCAGCTGTTATGATTTAGTTAGTACTTATTAGATTGTCAACATGTTCACTGATATGTTTATGAACTATTATTTCTTTCTCCTGGTTCAGTTACCTTCTTCCTGAAGTAGGACTCATAGTAGTTCCTTTAATAGAGTTCTGTGAGTAATAAACTATCAGTTTTATTTGAAAACACGTTTACTTTGTTCCATCTTTGAATGATGTTAGTTGAATGTGAAATTGTAGATAGCAGTTATTTTTTTCCCAGAATTTGGAAGATATTATTTTATTTTTTCTGGCTCTTATAGTTGTTCTTGAGGAATCTAGTTGTATCAGTGATGATCTGCATTTTCACCATGATTTGTTTAGGGACACTTTAAAAAAATATTTCCTTGCTCTTACTTTTTTTTCTTCTTCAATCTGAGAACTGGGAGCTCTTATGTTTTTTTTTTTAATTCAGTAATGTCATAAGCTATTATTGCCTCAAATATTGCCTTCCTGCATTCTATTCTGTCCTTCTGTAATCCATACAGAATAAATCTATCATTTTGTCTCCCATGTCTCTCAATCTCACTCTCAGGTTTTCCATCTCTTCAACTTGCTTTACAACTTTCTGTGTGATTTTCTCAGGATTCATCCTTTCAATTTATTTCTCTTTGGTTGTGTTTTTAATTCTATTTAATCCTTCCATTTAGTTTTTTAGCCTGATGCTTGGCATCTGGAGAAGACAAGAACAGGAAAATCAGGACAATGACCTGACTGTGTCACCCATTGGCATGAAATAATGAGGAAGGGGTGAGGAGAACTATGAAAAGCATGAATGGCATGTTCAGTGATCCTCAATCAGTTTACCAACAAGTTTTCTTGGTATTTTAACCTTTTGTGTGTGTTTTCAAAGGCGTTGTAAAAAACAAAACAACATATAAATTTGTTAAATAATAATAATGTATCTCCAGATTTTGCTTATCACAAAAATTTATAACAACCATACTTTAATTTAAATGACCAGTGTTACTGTATCAAATTGGTATTCTTTCAACTAAGAGAAAAGAAATTAAATTTGCCAATTTAGTTTATTTGGGGTACCATCTCACCCATAAAGATATAATTTTTCTATGTTTTTTAGAATACTTGAAACTGGTTCATAGAGTCCCTTTCGTGATCATAGGTTTGTAAACACTGGCATAACATTACTGATTGGAGCTCTAGAAAGCGGGAAGTCATTCTTGCCTACCATCTTTTATTCAGCATTTAGCTACTGGCTGATCTAGAAACTGCATCTACAGCCACTGCTCATTACCTTCTTGACCCAAGTTGCAGCATCTACAGAAGATGGAGATGCAGTTTGTAAGTGGTCCAGGAATGAGTGTTGGTTAGCTTTTAGAGGATGTTGCTTGGACTAGCACAAGGAGTATCATACAAAACTCTCTTGTTGCCACCCTTGACAAATGACCCTAATTTTCATATCGGATTAGAAAATTCGATTGGACCATCAAAGCAAATGTGTTCTTTTATGGTTTATTAGTGATTCTTCCCAGCTTTGGTAAGTGCAATTTATATAATCAGCTCTCAAAGATTTTCACTATGGGTTTTTATTTATTCTTGCAGAATAGTGCCTTAGAAAATTTTATACGGATTTTTTTTTGCAACTATTAAGCAGTTTTCCCTTATTCCCACTCTCTCAAACCCCAATGCCCAGCATGAAGAAGAAACAAATCTCTATTTTCAAATCTAAGCCACTCATGACACACCCAGCTGGGCTTACTCTGAAATTGGATTTCCATTGAAGGACAGTGGGCAGAACACTAATCACTTGGGGGCCTGGGGAAACAGTGGGAGGGTGAATCAGGAAGCCATCAGGAGATGCAGCCCTCTTGCTGCTTTATGTAGTTAGAGAGAGAGCATATTTTTAGAATGGACTTTGCTAGGAGGATAAATAATACAGTTCTATTATTTGGACGTTTGAATCACACACGTCTAGCCCTTTAACTCATCTGATATACCCCTATGTACTATTATTTTTCCATAGGGAGAAAAAGGCATTAAGTGAGGGATAGGTATATTAATGAATATACTTAGAGTTACTATATTGAAATCTGGGGAATATAGATACAGAGACCAAAATGGGGAGTGGTGTTGATCATTGTTGGCTAGTGGCCCTGAATGGAGCAGGGAGTAGGTTCCTGAATGGGCACAGGTAGGAATCATGTGGGAAATGGGCACGTGTGCATCTTTCAAATCCCTCCATAGGGCTGCTGCCTACTGCTTGTATTAAAAGGCATTTTATGTTGCATCTACTTGAAGATGCCTAAATATGCTATACTTTCACCTCTCCTCATTCAACATATGTCCATATGTTATGTATACTTCCATTGTCAGATTTGAGCTCTTGAAGCATGATTTTTAATCTGTGCATGCCCACATCCAGTGCAAAGTAAAAACCAATAGTGTCTTTCAGGTTTAGAACTGACCACAGTCAAGTACTTTAGGACAGGAAAGTGAGAGGGCCAGAGGGAAGCTTCGCTTTGGGGAGTAAAAGAACCAATCTACAGAGGCCCTTGGTCTCCCACAGAAACACAGAAATGATAAGGAAGTATAACTATGACTAAAGAGAAAGGAAAGAAGAGAGAGAGAAAGTGAAGAAACACAGCCAAGTAGAAGCAGAGCCTGCTCAGGGAAGCATAGATGGGTTAGAGGAGGGACATTTGGGATGCACATCAGAAAATCAGATGAGAAGTCCGCGTTTGTCTGTTTTGTCTGGTCACCATAATTGTGCTGGCTCTGAGTTTCAACCTTTGTTAATCATACAGCCTTGTTTAAATATGGAATCATTTTTCTTTTGTCCTTCCTTGACTCCATCTTAAACATCACATTACTGATAACTCAGAGAACTTTTAACCTAGGCAATCTTCATGTGAGTTCCATTCAGTTCCTTTTGATATACACATATTTAAAGTGACAGTTATTTCCTCTTATGGAAGATAGATTTTATTTAATAATTTTTTCAAGCGGAGAGATTAGTTGTGGTCACAGTAGAAAATTTTTCATAATTCTCCAAGTACTATAAAAAGTAACTTGATGGCATAAAGTGAATTCCCATGATGAGAGTCATCCTGTCACTGTGAATTGCTGTGATCATCTTTAAAGTGATATATCTTTCCACACTGTCTGTCAGCAACTATGTAGGGTTTGTTTTAGATTCAAAAATGTGTGAGATTAGTTGATCTATATCCAAAGAATTCAGACACTTTTTGTTGTTTTTGGATCTAGTCACTGTTCACTAGTTCAGTTGTGGGGTAGTTTTCTTATGTTTATCTGTCCTGAAGTTTTATATTCAGAGGCAGTTTTTACATGCTCTTTTTTTCTTACCCTTCACTTAATGAAGCAGGGTTATAGGAGAAAAATAACCTTTTATCTTTCCTCAGTGATATTAACTTCATTGCATTTAACTTTTTAATAAATCGTATGCCTACTAATTTACAGAAGCCTTATTTCTAAAAAATGTAATATATATGACTTAAGACTGATCAACATCTTCCCCTTTCTACTACATACATATTCGGAGTTTTTATTTTGTTTTCTTTCTGTATATTTCAGACTGGGAAAAAATGTACTATTTGTAAGCAGATGATTTAATTTCAGTAAATGTTTTTTTATTTCTCTCTCCCTTTGATTTATTGCTTGGAAACCATGAGAAACATCCAAGTGCAGATGCTGTTTTCCCACTCTGACAAAACATTGCTTGTTGACCTCGCAAACTTAGAAAGATTTATCTCCTGTGATTCAATGGTGGAAGTAATAATATTAGCAGTTAAAATTTTCTAAGACACGATCAGGAAAAGGAGACTTCGGTCGTTCTGCTTCTTGTTAAGAACAGCTGGCAATTTAAAAAGCAGAGACTTGCTAAGGGGGAAGGAGGTAAAGAAGATCAAACAGAAATGCCTCCCCCTTTAGTGAAGTATGAACTGAGGGTGCTGCATAGTAGCAATAAAATCAGATTCTTAAATGCTTTCCCTTGTTTAGTGTGTATATGTGCTTATTTTTATTTAGTCTTCAAAGATGACTTTCCTTATATATTTATTCTCTTCGCAGGAAATACATCTTGACCAAATATTTTTTGCCAAATACTTGTTGTATATTAAAGCCAGCTTAAAATGTCATATTTGCTGTGGCTATGTTGAGACTCTGACAAGATTATCTGCAGTGTGAGTGATGTCTGCAAGAGTGGCCTCTCACCATGCCTTCTGCACATTGATTCCACTAATCTGCCAGGAGGCAGAGGTGATTCCTATCATTCTGAGAGCTTCCTATAGAAGGCAGGGCCTCTGCAGTCTCTAGAACTGAGGAACTAAATGAAGGCCACCAAAGTGACCATTAAGTTCCTTAATTGTGAGGAAGCATCTTTAAGAGGAAATGATTCTACAGCCAGAAATATGCGTGACCAGTTCTACAGGATGTGATGTCATGTGACTGGTGGAGCTTGTCTTTCTATCAAAGGCTTGTACAGAAAAGGGAAAAGAAATGGGCATGTTTCAGGTCAGTTCTGAATAATGGAAGAAAGAATGAAAGGAAGGAGAGGGGAGGGGAGGGGACAGGAGCGGAGGGAAGGGGAGGGGAGGGGAGGGGACAGGAGCAGAGCGGAGGGGAGGGGAGGAGAGGGGAGTGGAGGAGAGGAGAGGAGAGGAGCGGAGAGGAGAGGAGAGAGGAGAGGGGCATGTGAGCTGGATTTCTTCAAACCCCACCAACCTGGACAGTGAGTCCTGGAATCAAAATAATGGTGAGCCTCAGCATCTAACATCAAACACCCAGACTTCCTTCTGGTTTAAGAAATTCCAAAGGCTCTCAGCTGTGATAAAATTAAAAGGACATATTCCTATTTGTTCTTTTTGTTATTGGTTCTCTGTCTCCCCCTGAACCTTTAGCCAGAAATAGAGATGCACCCTTTCTTCTTCAGTAGCTTTGAGGATCAAAGAATCTTAGTTGCCAGAGCTGGGAGGGGAATCTCAAAGATTGCCTAGTGGAACAATATGATTGTTCATGTGAATAAACTGAAACTCAGAGAGAATGTGGTCTATGCAAGACATGGCCCATAGTCTGTGTCAAAAGCCAGGTTTTCTGACTTGTGGCCCAGGGCTCTCTGTAGTATTCTGGGCCAGCAAAATCCCGTGTCTCTCCAGACACATCTTCTCTTGCACCAAATGGGCCTCCTTGCTGTGTCCTCCTCAAACCACCCTCACTCCCACCTCTGAACCTTTGCTGATGTTCACACCCTGCACAGAGTGCCCTTCTCCTCCAACTCCTCTGCTCAGCACATCACATCCCCTAATGCTCAGCCCGATCTCATTTCCAAAGTTAAGGCTCTGCTACTCTTCCAGCCCAAATTGATGTCTCCTCTCCCTAGACCCCTTCAGGTCTTTTTTCATTCCCTGTTTCATGTTTGATTTTAACTTCTCAACCAGATGATACTTTCCCAAGCCTATGTTTTTGTCTTTTCCACAGCAGTCCTCCCAGCACCTACTGCCAGGCCAAGTGCTTTTCTCTACTTCAGTCTTCTTCTCTGTTAAATGTGAATAATAACACCTGCTCTAAATCTAAGCCTAGTGGACTCCCAGCTTGTTGAAGGGCATGTTGAATAGTCTTATGTACTGGAAGTTTGAGCTTTTGGGAGGGTAAAAGAAGGGACAGGGATGCCTAGGCACACAGAACTCAAATGCAGTTATTTGGGTTTTCCTCTAACTTAGCCTCCACTGGTCAAATGTTTTTAGCACCTGCACCAGCAGCCATTTCCATGTATCCCTTCTCCCTGGAGACAGTACAAACAAGAGATAATTCCTATCATTGTTGGGACAGAAGTCTCTCAAAGCCCTTACCAATATTATAGTTTTGAGATTCACAGTTTCCTCTGAAACTTCCCCTTTAGGAGGGATGGAAACCACAGGATGGGCATTCTGGTAAATGCTCAACATAGATACCTATGGACTGGGTAGCAGGTGACCCCTAGGAAAACCTCAAATATCCTATAAGGTCCTAATAAGGGCCAGTTATTCTAAGCAAAGGAGCTTCTGTGAGTCATAGTGCAATCCATAGATATGCTTGTTAGCTCCTTATTTAAACCCTTCCTGAAACAACAGCCAAGAAAGGAAAGGACTCAAGGTCACCTCTGGAATCAGAATCTACTCAGTCTTTTCCCATCCTAGTTTGTATTCACCATATTCAGCCCTCAGCCAACTTGAGGCAGAGTGCCTTGGTAGAAAGTGGTTCTTAGAGACAGGCATCCAGGCAATGTAGCAAAGTAGAAAGAGCCCTAGACTAGAAGTATAAAGACCCAGGTTTGAGGCCTGACTCTGCCACCTGCTGTCTCAAAAACTGCAATAATATAAAGTCTCTTACCAATTCTAGCTTCAGTCTTCTCCTTTGTTAAATGTGAATAACAATAATGCCTTCCCTGCCAGTCATGGTGGCTCACACCTCTAATCCCCCCTACTTTGGGAGACCGAGGTGGGCCAATCACTCGAGGCCAGGAGTTCAAGACTAGTGTGGCCAACATGGCAAAACCCCATCCTACTAAACATACACAAATTAGCTGGGCGTGGTGGCAGGTGCCTCTTGTCCTGGCTACTCTAGAGGCTGAGGCACAAGAATCACTTGAACCTGGGAGGCAGAGCTTGCAGTGAGCCAAAATTGCACCACTGCACTCCAGCCTGGGAGACAGAACAAGAGTCTGTCATAATAATAATAATAATAATAATAATAATAATAATAATAATAATAATAATGCTTTCCCTACATCTAGCTATAATTATTTCTTTAACATTTCCTTCCCTGCTACATTGTCAGCTGCATAAGAGCAGGGTCTATGTGTATCTTGTTTAACACTGTATCCCCAGAACCCTAGTAGGACATGTACTGTATTAACTGGTTGGTTGACTGAGCAATAGGGAGAAGTTTAGAGCAAGTGCAAGCTATTATTATGATCCTTATTATGTTTGATGTTGTTGTTATGTCTCCCTAGAGTTTGGTGGATTTTGGTTTGGATTTCCATTCCACTCTCCATCATTGAGAAGGAACTGAGTCAAAAGACCCATAGTGGATCAGCAGAGACCAACCACTCACCATGGTCATAAGTAATTTCAGAGCCCATAGTATCTCTCTGTAGATTCTTCCCTAGTCTCAGTACTTGGCCACAGAGTGGATGGCTTTGATCTTACACAGATTGATTCTATATCCCTTGATGGGTGTGTGGCAGCAATCATCAACAGCAAGGTGACCTTCTCTGCTTATCATGACTGGCCCCTTTTCTTCTATAATTTTCTTCTTTGGTTTTTGATGTATGAGTATTTTTAGTGACAAAGATAATTAGGTACTTTAGTGACAAAGATAATTCCAATGGTACTGTACTAAATGTGGCTTCTGCCTGAGGATGCACTTGTGTCTGAGGAGGATCTAGACTGTCCAAGTGAGCTCTTATTTTAAAGCCCCTCTTACAGGTTGGCTCTTAAGGACTGAGGAGAAAGCAGGGCCTTTAGCATCAGACAGGTCTACTTTTGGAAGCCCATGTAGTTGACAATCTAGCTACATGGGACAATGTAGCTACAGGGAAGGAAATGTTAAAGAAATAATTATATGTGTGAAGAATACCTAGATGTAGGGCAGATATTATTATTATCATTTAACATGAGGAAAACTTAGTCTGAGAGAAGCAAGAAGCTTTGCTCCAAGTTTTTGAGACAGTGACACAGATAAGGTGTCTCTCCTTATTGTATAATAGGGACAATAATAAAGCCATCTTCAAGGGATGTTGTGATGAATCAGTCAGAAAATGTATGTGAAGTTAATGAGCAAAGAGTCTGGCCATAGTATTAATTAGTATTAATACTATTAATAAGTATTCAATAAAGGAGAGTCTCCCACTTTCTTTCCTTCCACTCTGTTTTCCATAAATTAACCAGAGATAAAAGTGGTGGAATTAGACTTCAGTCCTGTAATGGTGCACCTGAAGTGCTTCCTCTCAATTCATATCCATCTTCCAGATTGCTTGTTGTACCCATATTTTCTGTTAACACAAATTGGAGGGAGTATCATGACTTTCATTTGTTGACAGATACACAAATGGGCAGAACACAATGATGAATGTCTCAATTCAGACAGGAATTGAATGTTGCCTGTGGGGTAGGCTGGCTCTGCCACCTGCACTGACAATACATCATCCCTGGAAATTAACCCATCTTCACCATAGCCATTGAAATGGAAAGAAGTGCTTGTTCATTAAAAACACCTTCAAATGGAAAGGATGAAGGTCTAGCGTAGTATATATGGTGCATTAATATCTATAATCATGTTTAATTTGCATTAGTCTAACTCTGCCACTTGGAAACTGTTTTTAAGATATTGTGTTGCCTGAATGGGTTTGTGTATGCATTATTTGCTTCTTGAATAAGAGCTGAACAGAAGCTAATAGCTTTATATAAAATATAGTGATTACCAAATTCAAGAGTCAATGTCCTGTTTCACATTCATTCTTGCTCACTTTTAGTACAAGCTTATGCATCATCAGGCATGTTGTATACAAAAATAATGATGTGGGTCCTGGTCTTTATAGGTCTAATGGGTGGTAGTTCCATATTTCTGTAAATTTTAAAAGCATTATTACTCACTAAATATGGATCATTTTAAAATAATTAGATATATGTATGAATAGGCTTCATATCACAAAGTTTTATTTTCTTTGTTAAGGATATGAATCCTAATGTCTTTACTATTGAATCTGCTAATTCAAATAATATCTATCAGTAGGTAGATGAGCTAAACACTAAGCCTGTATGTCAAATTTTATACACGATATTATGCTTAGATGCATACATAGCAAAACCAATATTTACAATATATTGGTGTACAAACAATATATTGGTGTAAAAAAATGATTAGTGCTTCATCAAGTTAATACATTCAGGTATCATAATTATGTATTATTTCATAGTGTATCAACAAGGAGAAGAGAAACTAGTTATTTCAAGCAGGAAGTGATTTAATTTAGGGAAATAGATTCTATAACAGAAAGAATTAATGTTTACCAAACACTATATTGTTCTCCCGTTCTCTCTTGCTGTTAATTGGGACCCTGTGATAGTCCTGGCTGAAGGACTGTGAAGGGGAGGGAAGAATTAATATCCCAGGGCCTAACTGGTTAAGAGCTTGTGTGCCTCTTTCAACCCTCACTTTCCCTGGAATAAACCTTGGAGCTATATGTTGAAATAGAAAATAAAAATATGGATGAATCTTGGTCGTCTGAGTCACCAGATAGAGGAGATCTCTTGCCAATCTGCACGGGATTTTGCATGAACAAAAAGTCACCTTTTACTGGGATAAGCCACAGAAATTTCAGAGTTTTGTCTATTGAGACAGCTAGGGTTAGTTACTGTAAAAATACTAGGGCCTGGAAAAATGTTGGAAGGATTGAGAGAGGGAAGATCAGGTTGCAACTACTAGTATGCAGAAAATCATAAAGCATAGGAACTGCAGGAAACTGTCACCAATGATCTCAGCTGTCTACAGCACCAAAGTGAGTGGTCAGTAGGAAGATACTTGGAAGCTGTTAGCAAAAGCTCACATCTGGGGTCTACCCAAGTCCATGTGACTGCCTGTCTCAAAAGAGTAATAATAGTTCTATTTATCTTTTGTCTTTGAAACCTTGCATGAATGAGTCTAATTGTCTTAATTTAAACCATAACCCTGCTGGCAGAGATTCTAAGAAATGTAGTTCTCATGCTTCCAATCCCTATAATACTAAGGAGAGCGTAGAAGGAGAAAATGGTGTCAAATTGCCAAAAAAAAGAACCTGGCATATAGAAGTAGCCCAATTATTAGGTGATGACATGCCCCAGTTTGTCTGGGACAGTCCCAATTTATTCCTGTTGACCTAGAGTAATTTTTGATAGTACCCCGTTTCAATCTCAACATGTTCCCTGCTTGGACACTAAATTATATGGACATCGACCTATTAATAACATGATAAAAATACTTTATTTCATCAAAAAACACTTATTCAGGATATGCTAAGTGCTAATCATTGTGTGGGACATTGGTCAACAGAGGCATTTATGACCTTGGCATTCATGAAACTTAGAGTCGAATCTAGTGAATGATGGGAGCCTAAACAAGGCAATAGCTATGAGGATGGAGCAGAGGAGGCATACTCGAAAGAGGTTGAAGAACTAAATCATACAGGTCTTGATAACTAGCATACTGGTTAAGACCCTTAGGCTCTTACGTCAGACTATCCAGGTTTGAACACCAGCTCTATCACTTGTTGGGTATTTTAACTTGGGAATTTACCAACTAATCTCTGCCTCAACTTACAACTCTGTTAAATGGGAATTATAATAATACTTATAAGATTGTTGTGAAAATTAAATGAGATAAAAATTTATAAAGTTTATAAGAGGGCCTAAAATATAGTAAATGCTCAAGAAATATCATTATAGTGAAGAAATTGTGGTGGTTGTTGTTTTATAATGGCTGAATATGAGAGAACTGTTAAGAAAATCCTAGGTTTCTGACTTGAATATCTTGATGGATGGTTATGTAAAATAATAAATGCAGAAGAAGCTGATTTATGTGGGGGAAAATAGTGCATATAGTTTGAATGGATTGCTAGAAGAGTAAACAGAGGAATTGGCATTCTAATTTAAGTGGGGGAAGTAATGCATTTGGTTTGATTATGCTGAGTTTGAGGGACTGGTGGGAAATCCAAATGGCAAGGTCTGATAGCAGCTGAATAGTTAGAATTGGGGCTCAGATAAAGATCTGAGCTGAAATTTAGACTTGTGAGGTTTTTTTTTTTTTAAAAAAAAAACACTTCTATTTTAAGTTTAGGTGTGCAAGTACAGGTTTGTTACACAGGTAAACTTGTGTCATGGGGGTTTGTTATACAGATTATTTCATCACCCAGGTATTAAGCCTAGTACCCATTAGTTGTATTTCTGGATCCTCTCCCTCTTTCCACCATCTCACACCAGTCAGAATGGCTGTTATTAAAAAGTCAAAAGATTTGTGACTTTCTAGATGGTAGCTGAAGCCAAGGAAATTTGGGAGATGAATTAGAGAAGGTATTCAGAGTAGACCAGAACTTTAAAGGGCAGAGGAAAAGAAACATATGAGAAAGACAAGAAGGAATTGCCAGAAAAATAGAAGAGAAGCAGGCAAGTGATGTGAAGGAAGGCGAGGAAGGAGAGAAAGCCAGAAAGAACAGGGTGGACGATGGTGTTAAGTGTCAAGCACAAATCAAGAAGATGAGAACAGAAATGATTTCCACAGATTCAGCAATTGAGGGCTTTTGCTGATTTTAGTAAGAATAGATTCAGTGGAGTAGGGAAGGTGGAAGTCTTCTCAGGTCACCAAGGGTAGAGGTAAGAATGAGAAGAGAGAACATATAGATCATGAAATATTAATCTTCAGGGTGCTTGGCTGTGAAGGAAAGGAAAGGGTCAACTGGTGGCTAGAGGCTTTTTAAAAGCACAGCCTACAAGATCCTTTGGTCCTAGAGTTGCACAAAGGATTTGCAGACCAGGAAAGGTTTAGATAACATGACCACCAAAGTCTTCCCCATTTCAAAGTGTTTATTATTTCATGATTCTCTGCTTAATAAGTACCAAGGTTCAGCTTTTATTTTCACAGGTTGTTACCTGTAAAGAGGGTACAAAATCTGTTTTATCCTAACAAATTTAAGTTAGAATTTAGTTTGATCTTACGAGTCTTTAGGGAAATATATTTTAGGAGTCAAAATGTGTATCTGTACATAGTATATTTATGAATATTGTTCTTAATTTTTAATTCAGTACCTTTACAAATTATTTTATAATTGGTTCCTGTTTTCAACCAGTTGCTTGTGCTTATATATGCAATTTGTCTATTTTTTTCATATCTGTTTTCAGCTTCTCCCAAAGAATTATCATTAGGTCATAACACTGGGGGAGGTTTACTGAATGATCATTCTTTTCAAAGACTTTACCATTTCCCCCAGAGCCTTGGTTGGTTTATTGACTAGAGCAAAGCAGTTAGTTTGCTATTAGTGGAATAAGGTAGGCAAAGCATCTGGAAATGTTCTACCAGGAGGAGCCAGTGGCCTTGTTTTCGAAAAGTCCCAGGTCTCCCATCACTCCCTCCAGTCTTGCTAGGGCATGAAAGAATCAGAATTTATAACTGCATCATAATTCTGTACTACAGCCTTTCATCTGGGATCTTCTGTTTGGAAAGTCTCTTCAAATGTTTTCTTAGCCTCAAGGGAAAAATTTCTCCCAGAGATACCTCAATTTTGATCAAAAGCATTCACAAGTCCACTTTTAGTTTTTTCTCTACCAATTAAAGTCCTCTTAGCTTGGTAGATTAAAGCTCATAAAACTGGTTCCACTGGTTTATTAGAAAACTCACTTTAGCTAGAAGAGTCGAAGTTTTGATATACACAGACCCTAGAGAGCTAGGAAAATCTTACTTTTCTCCAAAGGATTCAAGTCCTATTATTTAATTTTCATCTGATTTTGGCCAAGTTCAGATTTTTGCTGACTGTGTAACATAGCCTATTCATTTCAGCTACAAATAGTTCTCTTTTGTTTCCATTTACTTAGAAATTAACAAAATATTGCCATCATTTTATGTGTTTTCATAAATGTATTTAAAGCCTTTTATAATTATGATATTTAAATATTCTGTTTTTAAATTCCAAATAACATTAGTTGAGAGATGCATCTTTGACATAAAAAAAAATTTCAGGAGAAAAATTTCTTGTAAAAGCTTCTCAATGAGTGTATACATTGATCATAAGACCATTCTAATTCTAGAAACATTAAATATGAAAAAGTATACTTTTGGAATTGAAAAGATATGGCATTAATGGTCATTTCACTTGACTTGAGGCTTCCCATGTGTGGGATTCATCATTACTTCATATGCATCTATCTAATCTTCATTTATCCATTCAGCTCACAGTTATTGAGAACAATATTAAGTCTTAAGCTCTTTTGCTAAGCAACGGACAATGAACACTCCCTGGTGCTAGTTAGCATCCGAATTTGTAAAGTGAGCCATTTGTTGTATGTTTTAACCTTTTAAAAAATTCAGCATTTTTCTCTAAATATTTTGAAATCTAACTCAAGAAAAATAAAAATCACCCAGTGGCTTTTTCACATAATTTTAATCACCTTTATTCTTCTGCTTATCCTGTCTCCTCAGTCTTACATTCCCCTACACTATGCAGCAACCTGAGTTGATAGCTATCATACCACGCCATGCTACTCTCATCATCATACGGTGGCATGATTAAGACAGAGAAGACTTGAAAATAAGTATGCTTAAAATCTTCAGAAAATAAAATGTGAATAACATCCACTAAAAAATAAAAACAGGAGTTTATGAAATAACAATTAAGTGGTAATCAAATTAGAACATGCAGATTCAAAAGACAACCGATTGAAATGATTAGAAATAAAAATGTATAGTCATTTAGAATTTCTAGAAAAAAATCTAAATAAAAGGAATAAATAAAGAGAATGCTGTCAAAGGGAGACTTTATAAATTGGATCACGGAAATTAGAAATTACCAAACTGTGCAAAACAGAGAAAAGAGAACTGAAAATATAAAAGATTTTGTAATGCAAGAAGTTCTATTATATATAAGTAAATAGTTCCAGTGGGAGAAAATAGAGAAAATTGCTGAACAGTTTCTAGAATTAAGGCAAGATGTGAGTATTCATATTCCAAAAAGGACAAATCATGCCAAGCAAGATGAAAATTTTAAAACCTCTTTCTATATTTACATTATAATGAAGCTAAAGAACATCAAGGGCAGAATATTTGCTTTTCTGAATGGGGAGATATGAAATATCATTGAAGCTTTCCTTGATTACTAGAGGTTTATTCCTGCATTCTGTTGTGATAACACTTTCTTCTATGTTGATTTAGTTATTTGCCTGCTGTAACTTCTCATGCAGTCATTGTACTGGCCTCCAGCTCACTTTTGTTTACTGCTGTTCTATGCTATTTGCTGGACAAACCAAAAAACTGCCTTTGTTAAAAGACTTACAATAAACAACAATAGCTTATTAAACGAAGAATTGGCTTTAAAGAAGGTACATGATACTAGCGTAGCAAAAGCTAACATTAATCAGGTGTTTTCTATCTACTAGACATTTTTACAAGATTTTTCTCACTTAACCCTCACAATGTCCCCATGAGGCTGGTATTACTCTATCACCCCCATTTTACAGATGAGGAACCTGAGGCTTAGTTAGAGAAACTGATTCACTTGCCCAAGATCATGTGGCTTTAGCAAGTATGTTAAGTGGTGCCTCCTAGATTTTAACAAAGTCAAATTCTAAGCCCAAAATTTTTAAATACTCCTTTTTCTTATCCTTTTTTTTTTTTTAACTTTTATTTTAAGGTCAGTGGTACAGGTGCAGGTTTGTTACCTAAGTAAACCTCTGTCATGGGGTTTGTTGTACAGGTTATTTCATCACCCAGCTATTAAGCCTAGAACCCATTAGTTATTTTTCCTTGTCCTCTCCCTCTTCCCAGCCCTCATCCTCCAAAAAGCCCTAGTGTATTTTGTTCCCCTCTACATGTTCATGTGTTCTCATCATTTAGCTCCCACTTATAAGTGAGAAGATGTAGTATTTGTTTTTCTGTTTCTGTGTTAATTTGCTAAGGATAATGGCCTCCAGCTCCTTCCATGTCCCTGCAAAGAACATGATCTCGTTCTTTTTTATGGCTGCCTAGTATTCCATGGTGGGTATGTACCACATTTTCTTTATCGAGCCTAACATTGATGGGCATTTAAGTTGATCCCATGTCTTTGCTATTGTGAATAGTGCTGCAGTGAACATATGTGTATGTGTCTTTATAATAGAATGATTTATATTCTTTTGGGTGTATACCCAGTAATGACATTGCTTGGTTGAATGGCATTTCTGTCTTTAGGTCTTTGAGTAATTGCCATGCTGTCTTCCACAATGGCTGAACTAACTTACACTCCCACCAAAAGTGTATAAGTGTTCCTTTTTCTCCACAACCTTATCAGCATCTGTTATTTTTGACTTTTTAATAACAGACATTCTGACTGGTGTGAGATGGTATCTCATTGCAGTTTTGATTTGCATTTCTCTAATGATCAGTGCTGCTGAGCTTTTTTTTTTTTGTATGATTGTTGGCTTCATGTATGTCTTCTTTTGAGAAGTGTCTGTTCATGTCCTTTGCCCACTTTTTAATAGGGTTGTTTGTTTTCTTTCTGTAAATTTAAGTTCCTTATAGATGCTGGATATTAGACCTTTGTCAGATGCAAGTTTGCAAAAATTTTCTCCCATTCTGCAGGTTGTCTGTTTACTCTGTTGATAGTTTCTTTGGCTGTGCAGAAGCTCTTAAGCTTAATTAGATCCCATTTGTCAAATTTTGCTTCTGTGGCAGTTGCTTTTCATGAATCTTCATCATGAAATCTTTGCCCTTGCCTCTTTCCAGAATAGTATTGCCCAGGTTGTCTTCCAGGGTTTTTATAGTTTTGGGTTTTACATTGAAGTTTTTAATCCATCTTGAGTTAATTTTCATATACGGTATAAGGAAGGGGTCCAGTTTCAGTTTTCTGCATATGGCTAGCCAGTTATTCCAGCACCATTTATTAAATAGGGAAACCTTTCCCCATTGCTTGTTTTTGTCAGCTTCGTTGAAGATCAGATGATTGTAGGTGCATGGCCTTATTTCTGGGCTCTCTATTCTGTTCCATTGATCTATGTGTCTGTTTTTGTACCAGTACCATGCTGTTTTGGTTACTGTAGCCTGTAGCATAGTTTGAAGTCAGGTAGCATGATGCCTCCAGCTTTGTTCTTTTTGCTTAGGATTGCCTTGGCTATTTGGGCTCTTTTTTGGTTCCATGTGAATTTTAAAATAAATTGTTTTAGTTCTGTGAAGAATGTCAATGGTAGTTTAATAGGCATAGCATTGAATCTATAAATTACTTTGGGCAGTATGGCCATTTTAAAGATATTAATTATTTGTATCCATGAGCATGGAATGTTTTTCCATTTGTTTGTATCATCTCTGATCTCTTTGAACAGTGGTTTGTAGTTCTCCTTGTAGAGATCTTTCAGTTCCCTAGTTAGCTGTATTCCTAGGTATTTTATTCTTTTTGTGGCAATTGTGAATGGAAGTTTATTTATGATTTGGTTCTCTGCTTGCTTATTGGTGGTATATAGGAAGGTTAGCGATTTTTACACATTGATTTTGTATCCTGAGACTTTGCTGAAGTTGCTTATCAGCTTAAGAAGCTTTTGGGCTGAGACAATGGAGTTTTCTAGATATAGGATCACGTTATCTGCAAATAAAGATAATTTGACTTCCTCTCTTTCTATTTGAATACACTTTATTTCTTTCTACTGCCTGATTGCCCTGGCCTGAGCTTCCAATATTATGTTGAATAGGAGTGGTGAGAGAGGGAATCCTTGTCTAGTGAAATCTGATTTTCAAGGGGAATGCTTCCAGCTTTTACTTATTCAGTATGATGTTGGCTGTGGGTTTGCCATATATGGCTCTTATTATTTTGAGATATGTTCCTTCAATACCTAGTTTATTGAGATTTTTTAACATGAATCGTTGTTGAATTTTATAGAAAGCCCTTTCTGCATCTATTGAGATTATCATGCGGTTTTTGACGTTAGCTCTGTTTATGTGATGAATCACATTTCTTGATTTGCATATGTTGAACCAAACTTGCATCTTGGGGTTGAAGCCTACTTGATTGTGGTGGATAAACTTTTTGACGTGCTACTGGATTCAGTTTGATAGTCTTTTGTTGAGAATTTTTGCATCAATGTTTATTAAGGATACTGGCCTGAAGTTTTCTTTCTTTCTTTCTTTCTTTTTTTTTTTTTTTTTTTTTTTGTATTTCTGCCAGGCTTTGTTATCAGGATAACACTGGCCTATAGAATGAGTTAGTGAGTAGTCCCTCTTCAATTTTTTGGAATAGCTCCAGTAAGAATGGTACCAGCTCTTTGTACATCTGGTAGAATTCAGCTGTGAATCCATCTGGCCTTGAGCTTTTTTTGGTTGGTAGGCTATTTATTACTACCTCAATTTCAGAACTCATTATTGTTCTATTCAGAGATCCAGTTTATTCCTGGTTCAGTCTTGGGAGGGTGTATGTATCCAGGAATTTATTCATTTCTTCTAGATTTTTTAGTTTATGCGCATAGAAGGTTCATAATATTCTCTGATGGTTGTTTGTATTTCTGTGGAGTCAGGGGTAATATCCCCCTTATCGTTTTTGATTATGTTTATTTGAACCTTCTCTCTTTTCTCCTTTGTTAGTCTAGCTAGCAATCTATTTTATTAATTTCTTCAAAGAATCAACTCTTGGACTTGTTGATCTTTTTAATGGCTTTTTGTGTCTCTATCTCCTTCAATTCAGCTCAGATTTTGGTTATTTCTTGTCTTCTGCTACCTTTGGGATTTGCTTGCTCTTGGTTCTCTAGTTCTTGTAGTGGTGATGTTAGGTTGTTAACTTGAGATCTTTCTATCTTTTGGATGTGGGCATTTAGTGCTATAGATCTCCCTCTTAACACTGCCTTGTCTGTGTCCCAGAGATTCTGGTACGTTGCATCTTTGTTCACATTAGTTTCAAAGAACTTCTTGATTTCTGCCTTAATTTCATTGTTTACCCAAAGGTCATTCAGGAGCAAGTTATTCAATTTCCATGTAATTGTATGGTTTTGAGTGAATTTCTTAGTCTTTATTTCAATTTTGATTGTGTTGTGGTCCAAGAGACTGTTAATATTTCCGTTCTTTTACATTTGCTGAGGAGTGTTTTACTTTATGTGATTTATTTTAAAGAAAGTGCCATGTGGCGATGAGAAGAATGTATATTCTGTTATTTTTGGGTGGAGAGTTCTGTAGATATCTATTTGATCTAGGTCCATTTGATCCAGGGCTGAGTTCAGATCCTGAATATCTTTGTTAATTTTCTGTCTTAGTGATCTGTCTAATATTGTCAGTGGGGTATTAAACTCTCCAGCTATTATTGTGGTGCAGTCTAAGTCTCCTTGAAGTTCTCTAGGAACTTGCTTTATGAATCTGGGTACTCCTGTGTTGGGTGCATATATATTTAGGACAGTTAGATTTTCTTGTTGTACTGAACAATTTACTATTATATAATGCCCTTCTGTGTCTTTTTGTTTATCTTTGTTGGTTTAAAGTCTCCTTCGTCAGAAGTTAGAATTGCAACCCCTGCTTCTTTCTGTTTCCTATTTGGTAGATTTTCCTCCATCCCTTTATTTTGAGCCTGTGTGTGTCATTGCATGTGACATTGGTCTCTTAAAGACAGCATACCAATAGGTCTTGGTTCTTTATCCATCTTGTCACTCTGTGTCTTCTATTTGGGGCATTTAACCCATTTACATTTAAGGTTAGTATTTATATCTATGGATTTGATCCTGTCATCATGTTAGCTGATTATTTTGCAGACTTGTTTATGTGGTTGCTTTATAGTGTCACTGGTCTGTGTATTTCAGTGTGTTTTTGTAGTTCTAAACCCAAATTCTTAATGACTACTCTATATCTTTTTTAGTGGAAAAAAAGACTTTATTTCTTAGGACCCCACACACTATAAGCCCCTATATATTTCTCTTGAAGCCTGAAAGTCTTGACTTATTCTTCAGCTGTAATCAGCTGTGGTGTACTTTGGGGACCCATCACTAGATTTGCACTGTGAGGTTACCTATGCTCCATTTCTCCAGTGGCCTGGTGCTATCTGACTCAATCTGGAGTAATATGCATGCTTTGCCAAGTGAATTTGATGACTGAAGGGTTCCATAAGGGTCTAAGATAAGCATAGATGCATATTGGCATCATCTGCTTGGAAGGGGCCTTTAAAATGTCACCATTCCTCACTATGCTACACCAAGGAAGGGGGGATAATTATCATTGCTTGTGGTAGGTGAGGCAGGATGGTCAGAGCACGTACTTTGAACCTCATCATTCTGCTAAGTACTACTATACGTTATTTTTTTGACTATCATTATCACTGACATCTAGGATATAAGCACCTGTCTTTACTAATCAGACTTAGTAAGACATTTTGGTATGTGTTGAGAAACAGTAATATTGAACATATAACCTTACAGATGGAATTACATTTTGGATTTAACTATCCTGACATCTTTTTCTTTAACTCTCCTAATTGATTTCCATTATGTTGAAATCCAAGTCCATCCTTTGAAATGTTAGCGGGAAGACTGAGGATTGAAATGTGTAGATAGAAAAATCACAGAATTTAACTTAAAGTACATGAAAAAATTCCAATGAAATTATAACCATTAATATCCTTAATACATAAAATATTCATACAAATCAATAATAAAGAATCCCCATGACTGCAATAAATAAATAAGTAAAGGTCCAAAATAAATAATTTGTAAAAAAAAAAAAAAGTTTAAAATGTTAAATCCCAGTAGCAATCAAATACATATAATTCAATTCAAAACACTGAAATGACACTTGTAGTCTTTTAAATTAGTGATTTTAAAAAAACAAAACAACAAAAAAACAGAATATTGGTAAGAGAGCAATGAAAAATGAGTTTTCATACACTGTGGGAAAATAATTTGGTACCAACTATTTAAAAAGCAATTTGGCAATACTGTATACATCAAGAGCTACAAAATTACCCTTTGACTAATTTTACTTCTCATAAATTATCCTGAAAAAAATTCAAATATCTGGAAAAGCTTTAGTTCAAAGCTAATCATTACAATGTTATTTGTAATGTTAAATATCAGAAATAAATGAAAATTACTAAAATTGAAAAACAGTTAAAGTTTACTTCATCCTTAAAAGGAATATTTCACAGAGAATACAAATAGAAATACAGAGAGACTGTGAAATAGCACAGATAAATGTCTAAGCTTTAATGTAAAATGAAGAATATACATATGTAATGGATCAACTATAAGAAACTTAAAAATATGATTAAGAAAGAAAGATTAAACAAAAATACCAAAATTTCAACAAAGATTATCTCTTGTTAATGGGGTTTGACTATTTCTTTTCTGTGTTTCCCAAATTTTTATGATGAATGTGATTTATTCTATTTTAAGAGGGAAAGAAAATTTTTTTATGAAGAAAAATTGAATTAAAATAAATTTTTATGGGGCTGAAGAAAAGGCCTCTATAAATGTGACTTGATTGGGAAGCTTGTGAATTTTTTCTGTAGGAACTGAGTATTTATGATCTTTTTTTTTTTGAGATGGAGTCTCACTCTGTTGCCCAGGCTGGAGTGTGGTGGTGTGATCTCGGCTCACTGCAACCTCCGCCTCCCGGGTTCAAGCGGTTCTTCTGCCTCAGCCTCACAAGTAGCTGGGACTACAGGTGTGTGCCACCACACCTGGCTAATTTTTGTACTTTTAGTAGAGACAGGATTTCACCATATTGGCCAAGATGGTCTCAATCGCCTGACTTCATGATCTGCCCACCTCAGCCTCCCAAAATGCTGGGATTACAGGCATGAGGCACCGCTCCTGGCCTATGATCATTTTATATGGACTGATTTAAAATCTGTTTTGAAGCCAGGTGCAGTGGCTCACGCCTGTAATCCCAGAACTTTGGGAGGCTGAGGTGGGATAATTGCTTGAGCCCAGGAGTTCGAGACTACCCAGGACAACATAGGGAAATTCTGTCTCTATAAAAAATAAAAATACATTTAAAAAATCAAATAAAATCTGTTTTGAATAGCCATCAAAAACAACTTCTCCTACACTAACATTTAAGAGCGTGAAAGGTGGCAAGAAAAGTTCTATCATAGCTTAGATCCTAAACTATTCTACGCAAGTTTTTGATGGGCTCTAACATGTTAATAGCATATATGTAACACTAATTACAAAGAAACCTCATTTCTTCATTGAAAAGGTTATCAGTTTAATGCAGTGAAATCTGACTATGTGAGTGTGAGTATATACAGTTGTGCTAATATCAGTTTGTAGTCGTTCAAGGCTAATCTTCCCACTCCAGAGGAAATTTTTTTATCATATATGCATACATTGCTGCACTGAATAATGGGAACCTAAAATAAAAAAGATCATTGCCTATTTTATATGCTCCATAAAATTCACTGACAGTAACCACCAACATCCCAGGTATCGTCTGCAGTTTAGAATCCTGAATATTTTCCCCAAAAATGTCCGATAAGGGAAGCAATTTAAGCAAGGCAGACAGTGCTGCTAACAGAGACCATACAGTTTCAGCCAGCGAGTCTGCTGACTGAAATGAAGTCCTTGGACCTGTGGTTTTTTTGTGGGGTTATTTGCTCTTGTAGAATAAGGCTCTCAGAATTTCAATAAAAGGGTGAAAACAGTTTTGAAACTGAGAAGACTGTTACACTGCCTAAGAGGAATAGAGGTGTGATTGAGATGTGGTGAAAGAATCTGAAAGTTGAGTTGTTTTTTTTTAAGTCTCTTCCCGTGTCTATGTCCTGCCATTTCTTAGATTTATACAAACCCGACCCAAAAAAGGGTGTCAGGGGCTTGAATCCAGCAGGCACTCTCATACAGGTCTGTTATACCACTTCACCTTTTATAGTCAGTCGACAGGACAGGGGGAATTACTTAGTATACAAAGAAGTGCAAGGGAAATAAAACCTATGCAAATCACATTTGTAGCCTTCTAAATATTTGACCTATATGAAAAATTCCAGCTTTGATTTCTTAGTCCAAATTGCAAATCAGCCAAACGTAGCTGATTCTGTCCTATATGAATTGGTTATTACTGTCTTTCCCTTTCTTAGAACCCCTGGGAACAAACAAGAAAAAGTAAGGAAAACAAAATACTTATTAAAATGTAAATACAGTGGCTGGTTCCCTGATATGTTATGCTGACAACCCTTGCTGGCAACCCAGGAGGACCCAGGTGCACCAGGAACCGACTTATCTGGTCACAGAACATCGGGGGCTGGAAATTGACAGCCTCTGAAGGGGGCCTTTTGTTACTTGACTTCTGTGGCAGGTTGCTGGCTCATTCTCCTGCATGGAAGAGTTGAAACTCGTCTTTCAACTAAATGGAGTACATGAGGGCAGAGATTCTTTTTTGGTTTGGCAACCCAAGTATATTAGGAAAAAATAGGCACTGCAAAATAGCAGGAAAGCATGAAGAATGCTTTATGAAGAAACATAAAAGAAAACCAGAGGAAAGCATATTCAGCCTCAGTCATTAAAAAGCACACTACTGTTCCCAGTCTTGCCTTCTCCAAAAGTTTGTTTGTTTGAAGTTTCTTCTGCAGAACTCTAAGCAGGTCTCCAATATACCGACATCTTTAACAGCATTCTGGAATGAGAGGAGTGTCTATTAAGGGAGACATACTCCTCTATTTCATTTGGAATTTTACACAACAGTTTTCTGTGTGGCTTAATTTTTGGCATCAAATTGTTTTAACAGAAGCTGTGCTTTTCAGTTAGATCTTTATCTTTGAGTTCTAGTGTCCTCCCACGATGCCCCTAGGAGCCTATCAAAGCAGGCCAACCCTGCAGAAATGCCTAGAATAAAATAACATGCAAATGCCACTAAGAACTTGCTTCCCTCCTGACTCATATTTTAGTTTCTATAAAGTGTCTGTTTTCAAAACTGACAGTGTCTGTAGCCTGTTAATGGAAGATAATGATTTGCACACCAAAATGGGAGTAATCACAGGGCTATTTGACACTGTCCTTAGAAAAATTCCTTACTTACTCAAAAGCCAAAGCAAAGAACTATTTCTAAAATGACAAATGTGTGTAAATTTTCAAAGTGGATTGTGATTTCACCCAGGAAAACACAGGCAGCCAGAACACAGTTATGCTTTAGTGTATATGGTGATCTAATTCTTGAAATAAAACTTTATTCTGGGCAATAGCATGCATTTCTAGATGAGAGGAGAAATTGTTATTGCTCATAATAAAGGACGAAATGTTTTTCTTATTTGGGAACTTCAGGGGGATGAAGTAAGGAAGTGGGCTGCAGAACACTGGGATAAATCTTATTTATTTAACATTTAATGCTATAGTCTGTTAGGAAACAAACTCACTGCGGTATAATTATTTAATACTGGACAGTAAAATCATCTGCTAAGATTAGATTAAGTAGTTGACTCAAAGTACTCCCCAGGTTCAAGGCTCAAAAATGAATAAATCAACATGCTTACTGTACAGAGCCCTTGAACATTATGTGTGCTGGGATGGTGGCTTCCTGAACTATCGCCTCTTGTTTGGGTCTGTTGTGAAGTCAAGGCTTGAGGACATGACCTGACCTCTTTATTTAAAAAAAAAAATCCATTTAATATCAGTTATCACTTGAAGAATTTAAAGACAGAATTATTTGCTCAGAAAAATTTGATGCTTTGTGCTATTAAACCCTCAGTACACAGAAATAGATTTAAGCAACATGGTGGTGAATCAAGCCAAGGAGAGCTGGGAAGCTGGAATTGATGGCTCAGTATTCTCTGTAATAATGTGTCAATTTATGCCTGGACATTTTAGGATGTCTGTTTATACAAATGTGAACAAATGTACCTTTGACTTGTAGCCAGGGTGAACCCAGTGCCAAAAGAATAGCTCTTCTCTTAGACTGGGTTTCTCATTTTTTTCAGTTTTGTGACTGGCCTAGGGTGTATTTTCCTTATTGGAGCCTTGTGTTGTTGTCACCTTCATCCATGCCAGGTTCTCATAGGACTAATCCCCAAGGAAGTCATCCCCAGTCTACTGGGCACACTGAGGGAATCCACGTGTACAATGGAGGCTTAAGCTGTGAGCTTTGCTATCAGGAGAACCTGGCTTTAAGTCCTGTTTCTGCCCATTATTATATATGTGACCATAAGTGAGTTGCTTAACCTCTCTAAGCCTCAGCTTCCTGATCCATACAACAGGAAAAGTACTAGTACCTGCATCCTGTGTTACTGTGAGGTTCAAAAAGTAAAGGAACTAATGCACATAAAGTGTTTAGCATATTGCCTGGCACAGGATAGGGACTCCATAAATGCCAGCTTTCTTTATACAAAGAAAAACGTCTTTGCCCTTTAGTTAATGTTCTCCTGTCCATGTCAAGGTCAGCATGACACCATGGTAGTCTGTCTAGCTTGTATTTGTGTCTGCTGCTCACATAATTGTTTCTTCACTTGCTGACCTGGTTGGCTGAAGTTTTGGCCATGGGCCACCCTGTCTGTGCCCCCTGGCTTTGGATCCCATCTCGTCCTATCCACAATGTCAGGAGCAAAGCCACTTCTTTACATACGTGGCAGAATCCAGCCAGACACTCTGCATCAGCAACGTCTCCACAGCCAGTTGCTTGGTCTTCAGCCTGTCAGGCGCTGAGCACTTGTTCTCCATCTGAACCAGCTCTGTGCTGGCCTCTAGCAATTATAATGCACCTGCTGATGCCTCAGAGAGCCAGGCCAGACTGACACTTTCCTCTCGGTATTCTTTAATTCTATGCTTGACCAGTTCCAGCATTCTTTCTTCTTGGTCCCAGACACTTTCCACCTCATCTCCTACATGTCACATCTGATTTGTCCTTATTGTAGAAGGTAGGTGTAAGGCCTAAAGAGTGAGTGTGGTTTGTTGTCAGCTGCTCCAAATGGGGCAGCATTGGCAGGAGGTGCAGGAACTGATAGAATAAGATTTCTATATCTTTTCTTGAGTTTGTGACAGTGCTGTTTATGGTCACCAGTTTTTATTTGAGGAATTATCCATTTATGCAAAAAATGTTTTTTATTCTATATATCCTTTAAAAAGACATACAGGTTGCCCTCTGGAAATGAGTCTTAAGCATGTCTATAGTATAGCTATATCATCCACATCTTGAGTCATTTTGCTCAGTGGATTTTCTTAATTCTCAATTAATTTGTATTCTGTCAGACAGTCTAGTGAGGGAGTAACGAGTGGTAAGTTAGAAGGTGACAATTTTATCCGAGGTCTGTGCATAGGGTACAGTGGAAGAATGGAGACGGTGATGCCTCATGGCCTCAGCTTACAGTGTGATTTGTACATTTTCTGTGATTTCTATAAGTAACAGGCTGACAGTGTTGGATTTGCTGTGTTGTGCTTTGTATCTACCTTTGTACTGCCTCTTTTTTCCCCTCCCACGCTGACTTTATCTCATTCCTTGTTTTCCTTGAGAAGATTGCACTGGAAAACTTGAAGAGGGGTTAGAAGGTGGGGCCATAGTAGATACCAGTAGGAAGACTTCAGAACAGACCCTGTCCCCTGCTGTGATGATGCCTTGTGACTTAACACTGATGACCTTACATGGAGGATTTAGTGAAAGTTATATTAGAAAGCAATTCAGTTACTTCCAGATTGTTATTGAAGTCCAGCCTCTGTGGTCTACCTATGCCATTAGTATTTGTCCTAGGTTATTTTTGCTTTCGTATGTCAGAGAATGGTCTCAACGTAAGGGGGTCTGAGTCAGGGTGGTCTAGTTGAAAAGGTATGGGCATTGGAGTAAAAATATAAAAAATCTGGATTCATATCCAGCCTCTAGCACTGAATAGCTCTGTGACATTGTGCAAATTGCTTACATTCTTTTAACTTTTGTTTCCTTATCTGTAACTTGGGGATCCAGATATAATAATACTGTCAGGTATTATAGAATTATTGTGAAAATTAAATGAGATAATGTCTGGAAAGAACTTAGCACAGCGTCTGGCATAGTGTTAAGTACCCAGTAAATCCTGATTCTTTCTCTCCCCCAGCCTCACTGCCTCACCAGCTGCCCAGCTGTCTCTAAACACAGCATCAGTGGAACTGTAAATACTTTCACAGTTATGTAATCGCTCTCCACAAATTCACTCTTTGATCACCTTTCTGCCCTCCCTCCAGATCTATTCCTAAACTCAATTTTGACTCTCCCTCTGGTATAATCTCCTTCTCTCTGCAGAGAACAGTAAGACCTTAATGTTTAAAAAAATCATTTCTTCTTAAAACTTAAAGGCCCTAAAACATCATTTTGAGTTTTTGTCTCCAGCAGGGTTTATTTCTGACAACAAAATTAATATATTTATATTTAATATTTGGAGCTTTTATTTTACAATCATCTTGACAGTAATATTTTTCTGATATTTGAAAAGCCCCATGATTTTTCTGTGCAGAGAATGCATTTTGTTAATTTATCTAAGTGGCTGCTAGGCTTTTAAGGTTTTAGGTTCATTTTTTATTTTTCTGGAGCTCAGTCCCCTAAAATGCAAATGAGTCTTGAGCAGCTCTTCCAGAAGATAAATTATTCTTCTTTTCTGTCTCCTACTGTTCAAAGTTAGTGATAATTTTTAGACCCAGCAGTTGAAGATTTTGACATTCCTGTTGATATAAATGTGGACATTCCAATGTTGTTCAACTTCTGACTGTCTTAGGGACTGATTGCTTATCTCTATCAGCCAAGAAAATGCCCTTTGCATTGGTCTCATCTCTCACCCACACCAACCAAACACATATATGCAATCTAATGTCTATAGGTCACATTCTTGCCACTTTATCTCTTTAAAATTGGATAGTTTTAGATGGAATTTGCAGGTGCTAATATGGACCACTGGGTAACAGGGATAGATACAGTAGCATTGTTAGATTATATTCTCTAAGTTGAGATTTTTCACCTAAAAAGAGACAGAAGAAGATGGAGGTTGCACAGTACTGGTCAGATCTTCCCATGCAGTTTATCTTTTGGAAGGGCAACAGTATAAAGCAGTTAAGAGCATTAATTGGACATTAGGCAGTCCTAGGTTTGAATCCTGGCTCTGACACTTATTGGCTGTATAATACTGGTCAAGTGACTTAATTTCTCTACCTCTCAGTTTTATTATTTGTGAAACAGGATGACAATATTACTTGCTTTGCAGAATTAAATGAGGTAATATTTTGAAAATTATATGAGCTATTATCTAAAAACATTTAGCACAGTGACTGGCACAGCATAGAGTGCCCAGTCAATCTTGGTCCCTTCTCCCCAGTTTTGCCCTGAATGTTGGCCAGCTTTGCTGCAGATGCTTTCTCCACTATGCCATTACTCTCATCCAATCCTTTCCTTTATTAGCTTTCTTCCCTAGCCCTCACTTCTTCTCTTGGACCCAGTGTGCGCGCTCTCTCTCTCCAGAAAAATAATAATTTTAAAAAAATCAGTTCTTCACATGAATGCAAAACACCTACTACAATGATGTGGGTGATGGTGATGATGATAAGAATAATGTGGGAACTTTTTACCCTTTTTGTCCTCTGGATTGTAAGTTTCATGAGTTCAAAGATAATGATTTCTTCAGCACCAAATGCCTTGGTTCCTGGACCAGGAATAGTTGGTGAATGGATGAATCTGATATTCAGAGTTGCAATGATTGCGGCATTTAATCTTTTTTATTTCTGCACAGTTAATCCAAATGAGTATTTATTGATTTGTATATATATTTACTACTTCTATTGCAAAATTTTAGTTTCTTCTTTTATGAAATAGAATTCTTAAATGCATGCTTGTGCATCCAAGAAGGACAGTGATGATGTGTTTCAATGTATTAAATGTTGAAATTTAAATGTTGGGGCATGTTCTTGAAATGGTGACTACACAGGGGAAAAAAATTTAATAGATTGGTTTTAAGGTTTGAGGACGGGGGTCCTGGGAAAGTGCTGAGAATGGAGGCATAGCATTCCTTCCCACACTCAGCACATAACTCTGCATGGATTTGGTTTCATTTCAAAAACGGAGTGTTCACAGACTGAATACACCTCTGTACACTTGACCCTAGGAGGGCAGCAGATAAACTTGGGGAGTCTTTTTTAGACAATATTCCCCTGAGGTTTTAAGTAAATTTTTACAAGCTCCTAGAAATACTTTTAAGAATCTATATAAAATTTCTCCCTTACCTTAACAGCTTTTACTTAGAAGATATATCAAAATGACCCCAAAAAGCAAAAGCTCTATAAGGTCAGCTAATCCATTACCTTAGCAATGTGAGGTGCATAAAATGTGAACCACTGAAATTTCATGTAAACACCTCGCAGTTTGCTCTAAATTTTCTTTTATCTCAAGGATGCAAATGTGTCTTGTGCTTCCCATAATTGAAGAATGAAAATGTTTGAGATAAATAGCCCTTCCCCTGAGAGGCCAAATACTTTCCTTGAAGAAATGCCAGTCCTATGTCCCTGTGGGTAGGGTTCAGTATTTGTAGAGTCGCCAATTATAATGGCCCAGATCTAATAGGAACTCAAGGATTCCAGCCTATTTCCACCTACCCCACCTGCCCAAGACCAGCCTTATTTCCAGGCTTTACTCTCCCTTAGGCATATGTGGTGGCAGGCACCTGTAACCCCAGCTACTCAAGAGGCTGAGGCAGGAGAATCGCTTGAACCTGGGGGGCAGAGGTTGCAGAAAGCCGAGACCATGCCACAGCACTCCAGGCTGGGCAACAGAGCAAGACTCCATCTCAAAAAACAAGTAATAACAATAATAATAATAATAATATTAATGATTTAATGTTCAAAAATATCCTATGTCCAAAAGTTCTTTTTATAAATCTGATCCATATCGCTATTGTTGCAGCTTAAAATTCTGTTACACGTGGTAATACATACATTAACAAATACGTATAGGGCTCCTTGATTTACCAGGGGCTGTGTGTGAAAACTACATTAATCATAATTAACTGCCAAATGGTTAGAACAGAAAATAACAGCTTTGAAGTCCAGAGAAAGGAGAGAGTGGAGCAGGAGGAATTGGAGCTGGATCTTGTAAGATAGTTGAGATATGCATAAGTTGAGAGAAAAAGAAAGGACAAACCAGATGGCATAAATGGTGTGAGGAAAATCACAGAAATGGAAAGAAAGTGAGGAGGCCAATTTACATGGAAATGAGGCTTTTGGAAAAGGGAGTAGTTGGAGGTAACTCTTGGAGGCAGATCGGAATCTATCTACATAGGGCCTTGAATGCTATACTAAAGAGGATGGTCTATCCCATAGACCAGTGGTGTCCAAAGTTAGGAAGTGTGTAGGAAAATACATTTGTATATAGAAAAAGATGTATTCTTTATATAGAAAAAGAAATATATTTTACTAATAATTTCTTGTATTGACAATGTTGTATATGTGTCATTTATATGTAAATATGCTATGTGGTGATCCACACTCAAAATTGTTTTATTGATAGAGATACATGTTCAAAAGAGGTTGGAGGCAGATGACTGCTATAGGTGATAAGGGATGATTAAAGGTTTTCATGCAGCCAGTGACATGTTCAAAGCAGTATTCTAAGAAGATGAATCTGGCAGCAGTTATACCGAGAGGATTGGTGGAAGCAGTTAGTTGGCGATTGCAACAATTCAAAGGGCTTAAATTATGATAGCCACAGTAGGAATGTAAAGGAGGGGGAGAGTTCCAGGGATGTTCGGATAATCTTATTATTTGCATGGTGAGATTTTCCTTTAGCAAGAGTATTCAGCAATCTCTTTGGGGGCTGAGAATAGAGCAGTGCTCAAGAAGGTGAGTTTTTGTTTGAAACTGATTTCAAAAGTGGGTTAGTGGTCAGGCGCAGTGGCTCACACCTGTAATCCCAGCAATTTGGGAGGCCGAGGCGGGCAGATCACTTGAGGTCAGGAGTTCAAGACAAGCCTGGCAAACATGACAAAGCCCCATCTCTACTAAAAATATAAAACTAGCTGGGCATGGTGACAAATGCCTGTAATCTCTGGAGGCAGAGGCATGAGAATCACTTGAACCCAGGAGTCGGAGGTTGCAGTGAGCTGAGATTGCGCCACTGTACACCAACCTGGGTGACAGAGGGAGACTCCATCTCAAAAAAAAAAAAAAAAAAGGATTAGTACTACCCCAAATGTACTATGGTCTGAAAACCTAAACTTAAATGTGACCAATAATTAAAAATTACATTAATTACTGGTCAAAAACAATATAGGATTAATCCTTTAATTGAGTATAGATAACTTCATAACTAATTTTATACACAAGGAAAATCTTTGAAAATGTAGATAACATCTTCTCCACCATAATCATAAAAAGGAGCATGATAACAGAAGTAGCTTAATAATGGTTCCTGCATTATATTAAAAAAAACTTATGCTTCATATTTGCTGTTTGGTGTTGAAAAGGGATCCCAGAAATTTTCTCATCTCAGTTGCTTGTTGGAGATGCATTACTTTTTTATAATACATGATTCAAGTACAAACAGTTGTTTTTCCTCACACAGCTTGATCTTCACAAAAAATAAAATTTAAAAAACCATTTTGGTAAATGTAAATTTGTAAAAGGAGGTTTTGGTACTTGTACTTGATTTACCATCATTTTCTTTAAAATTGTACTGTTGTTTAACTTCTCACCAGTTGATGTTTTTGTAAGGTAGAACTCTTAACAAAAGTGTGATTCAGAGTTCAAATCTATTATTAGCCAGGCTTCTCAATTTCTCCTTGCACATAAAAACATGGTAAATAATGATAGAGAAAAAGAAATAGCATGTTTGAAAATGCCAACTAGATCAGGCTTGTGATTCCTACATGATACTAGCATTATCTTAGACATGTGTTGATAAAAGAGCCCTACTATCAGGCAATTTAAATTAAAAAAAAAAACAAATTCACATATTTTAACTCTTGCCAGGCATCGGATATAAACTTAACAATTATCTCAATCAAGGTAAAATAGACTATAGATTGTGTGTGCATATGTGTGAAAATGAACAGAATATAGTGTAGAAAAATAGATACAATATGACACATAAAAAAGAAGATAAGATTTTAAAGTTCTACATTAAGCAAAAGTAACTTTTCTCAGGCATTGCTGGTAGAAATATAAATTGGTAACCTTTCTTTAGGGCATTGGTGGCATGTGTCAAGAGCCTTAAGAATGTTTATACTGTTTAAACTCAGTTCTATATTTCTATTTTTAAGAACTTGTCCCAAGAATAAAATCCTTAAATGCCCAATAATAAGGGAGTAGCTAAAATAAGTGAAGAACCATTTTTGAACATTATTGATTATAATAAGGACCATATGTGCCCTGACTTTAAGTGGAAAGGGCAGTAGAAAACTACTATTGTTTACATACATTTATAATTTTTGTACGTACATATTTGTATACATACATTTGTTTACAAAAAATGTAAAGAAGTATAACAATATTCTTACAAGTTGTTTTGGTTTCTAATTTTTTGTTTCTCTCAATTTTAAATTTTAAAAAAGATATGTTGCTATATATTGTATTTATATTCAGAAAAATTATCAAAATAATTTTAAAAATAAAATAATTAAAGAGAGCTCCCAGAGTTTAAAATGTAAATACCTATCATTTAATTCAGTTAGCTGATGGAAAATTTTGGTGACCATTACATATTTATTTAATGACTTAGTCAACAAGAGCTGTTGATGTATTAAATTTTGAGTAGACCCAGCTGTGCTACAAAAGTAGGTAATGTAATGGCAACTAAAGCAAATGTCAAAGCTGAAGCACATTTAATTATCTTGGCTACTGGGGTGTTTTAACCTGTGTTACTTGTGCTTTGGTCTCACAAAAATGGCATCTTTTACCAACTTTCTAAACTGAGTAGGCAATGCATGCTTTAGATTAAATGAAAAGGTGGTCCCTTTTATTTATATTTATACAAATATATTCATTCAGTCAATCAAATAAACAAACATTTATTCAGCAATTGTCAAATGTCAGGTATTGGGCCAGATTATGAAAAAGGGAAATGAGTATCAGAAAATTAATGGTCTAATGGGAAGATCAACATTTAAGGGTGGCTGAAAATGAAAATAGAGTTATGCATGCAGTTCTAGAGGAACATTGAGAAAGGGGCAGCCAACTCTGCCTTTGAGTTAGGGGAGCCTTCCCAGAGAAAGTATTATAGAGATAGGCTTTGTTCAATGAATAGGAGTTTCCTAGATGGAAAAGGTGAAGAGGTATTCTAGATAGGAAGAAGAGCATATACAAAATGTCAAAACTCTGAGATAACATGGCCTGTTCAGGGACTGGTAGGAAATATGGTATAGCTAGAGCTTAGGATGAGAAGCAGAAGCAGATCATGATGGCAGACCAGAAGCAAGACTAGATTGCAGCTGTCACTCGGATGGACAGAACAGTGTGTGGAGACTTGCATTGTGAACTTTTACTCAACAATGACTGCAGGAATACATTAGGAAAGCCAAGAGAACCCATAGACCCTCTGAAGGAAGCAGATTACTCCTGCAGGACCTGGGAGACACCCCAAATACTGTAAGACACCCCAAAAAACTGTAGAAGTGGGAAAAGGAGATCATCTGCCCCTGAACATATATCCCCACTGGAGAGGGAACCTGAAGTTCTAGAGTACGGGAGAAGATTCCGACCTTACATGCAGCTGAGTCAATGTAGAGGGCCGAGCAAAATATGGGGTTAGAGGAAGCAGGAGAAAAGTCCCTGTGGGCTCGCTGGCTCCCCTAGCAAGCCACTTCTGCCTCACCTCACAGGGGTCCTTGAGGAGGGGTGCTAGAGGCACTGGGAAAAGGCCACAGGGAGAAGGAAACCTCCAGCTGAACTTTGTAACAATTTGAGCTGATCAAAAAGTCTCCTGGCCAGAACTGGGGGGAGGGCATGAATCCAGTGTGCAGACTCCACAGGCAAGGGAAGAAGGAAAGCCCTACTTACTTTTGCAGCTGGGAGGCAAGTAGCCTGGGGCAAGTTCTCAGCCCTGCTCACCCACCACCTGGAAACAGACTTGGTGCTGTTGGGAGGGGCACAGTGAGAGTGAGATCAGCCCTTTGGGTTGCCTGGGAGCTGGATGAGGCCTGTGACTGCCGGCTTTCCCCTACTTCCCTGACAACCTGCATTACACAGCAGAGAGAGCCATAATCCTTCTAGGAACATAACTCCATTGACCTAGAAACTTCAACCCCATCCTCCACAGCAGCCATAGCAAGAGTCTGACATGCCTAGCCCTGCCCCCACCTGGTGGTCCTTCCCTACATACCCTGGTGGCTGAAGACAAAGGGCATATACTCTTGGCAGTTCTAGGGACCCACCCACCACCTGTTCCTCCCCATATTACCACAGATGATGCTCTCTTGAATGTGCCACCTCCCAGCAGGAGGATAACCAGCTCAAAAATAGTGCACTAATCAATCAAAGCTAAGGTATCCTCACAGAGTCCATTTCACCTCCTTGCCGCCTCCACCAGAGCAGATGCTAATATCCATGGCTGAGAGACCCATAGACAGTTCATCACAGGACTCTGTGCAGATGACCCCAGTACCAGCCCAGACCTGGTAGACTTGCTGGGAGGCTAGATCCAGAAGAGAGATAACAATCACTACAGCTCAGCTCTTAGGAAGCCACATCCCTAGGAAAAGGGGGAGAGTACTACATCAAGGAAACACCCTGTGAGACAAAAGGAACTGAACACCAGCGTTGAGCCTTAGACCTTCCCTCTGACAGAGCTGACCCAAATGAGAAGGAACCAGAAAACCAACTCTGGTAATATAACAAAACAGCGTTCTTTAACATCCCCCCAAAAAATCACACTAGCTCACCAACAATGGATCCAAACCAAGAAGAAATCCCTGATCTACCTGAAAAAGAATTCAGAAGGTTAGTTGTTAAGCTAATCAGGGAGGTACCAGAGAGAAACAAAGCCCAGTGTAAGGAAATCCAAAAAAATGATACAAGAAGTGAAGGGAGAAATATTCAGTGAAATAGATAGCATAAATAAAAAACAATCAAAACTTCAGGAAACAATGGACACACTTATAGAAATGCAAAATGCTCTGGAAAGTCTCAGCAATAGAATTGAACAAGCAAAAGAAAGAACTTCAGAGCTTGAAGACAAAGTTTTCGAATTAAGCAAAGACAAAGAAAAAAGAATAAGAAAATATAAACAAAGCCTCCAAGAAGTCTGGGATTATGTTAAACTACAAAACCTAAGAATAATTGGCATTGCTGAGGAAGAAGAGAAATCTAAAAGTTTGGAAAATATATTTAGAGGAATAATTGAGGAAAACTTCCCCAGCCTTGGTAAAGAACTAGTCATCCAAATACAAGAAACTCAAAGAACACTGGGAAATTCATCACAAAAAGATCACCACCTAGGCACATTGTCCTCAGGTTATCTAAAGTTAAGATGAAGGAAAGAATCTTAACAGCTGTGAGGCAAAAACACCAGGTAAACTATAAAGGAAAACCTATCAGATTAACAGCAGATTTCTGAGCAGAAACCCTGCAAGCTAGAAGGGATTGGGGCCCTATCTTCAGCCCCCTCAAAACATTTTATCAGCCAAGAATTTTGTACCCGGCGAAATTAAGCTTCATAAATGAAAGAAAGATACAGCCTTTTTCAGACAAACAAATGCTGAGAGAATTTGCCACTACCAAGCCACCACTACAAGAACCGCTAAAAGGAGCTCTAAATCTTGAAACAAATCCTGGAAACACATCAAAACAGAACCTCTTTAAAGCATAAATCACACAAAAATACAATTTAAAAACAAAAAGCAAAAAACCAAAGTATACAGGCAACAAATAGCATGATGAATGGAATGGTACCTCACACCTCAATACTAATGATGAATGTAAATGGCCTAAATGCTCCACTTAAAAGATACAGAAATGCAGAATGGATAAGAATTCACCAACCATCTGCTGCCTTCAGAGACACACCTAACACTTAAGTGCTCACATAAACTTAAGGTAAACGGATAGAAAAAGAGATTCCATGCAAATGGACATGAAAGTGAGCAGGAGTAGCTATTCTTTTATCAGACAAAACAAACTTTAAGGCTCTAGCAGTTAAAAAAGACAGAGGGTCATTATATAATGATAAAAGGCCTTGTCCAACAGGAAAATATCACAATTCTAAATATATATGCACCTAACACTGGAGCTCCCAAATTTATAAAACAATTAGTAATTGACCTGAGAAGTAAGATAGACAGCACCACAGTAATAGTGGGGGACTTCAGTACTCTACTGACAGCACTAGACAGTTCATCAACACAGAAAGTCAACAAAGAAACAATGGATTTAAACTACACCCTGGAATAAATAGACTTAACAGATATTTACAGAACATTCTACCCAAGAACTGCAGAATATACATATTCTATTCATCAGCACATGGAACTTTCTCCAAGATAGACCATATGATAGGCCACAAAACGAGTCTTGATAAATTCAAGAAAATTGAAATTATATCAAGTACTCTCTCAGACCACAGTGGAATAAAACTGGAAATCAACTCCAGAAGGAACCTTCAAAACCAGGCAAATACATGGAAATTAAATAAACTGCTCCTGAATGATCATTGGGTCAAAATTGAAATCAAGATGAAAATTAAAAAATTCTTTGAACTGAGTGACAGTAGTGACATAACCTATCAAAACCTCTGGGATACAACAAACGCGGTGCTAAGAGGAAAGTTCATAGCATTAAATGCCTACATCAAAAAGTCTGAAAGAGCACAAATTGAGATTCTAAGGTCACATCTCAAGGAACTAGAGAAACAAAAACAAACCAAACCCAAACCCAGCAGAAGAAAGGAAATAACTAAGATCAGAGCATAACTAAATGAAATTGAAACAAGAAAATACAAAAGATAAATGAAACAAAAAGCTGGTTTTTTGGAAAGATAGATAAAATTGATAGACCATTAGCAAGATTAAACAAGGAAAGAAGAGAGAAAAGCAACATAAGCTCAATTAGAAATGAAAGGGACATATTACAACTGACACCACAGAAATGCAAAAGGTCATTCAAGGGTACTATGAACACCTTTATGTGCATAAACTAGAAAACCTACAGGAGATGGATACATTCCTGAAAAGATACAACCTTCCTAGCTTAGATCGGAAAGAATTAGATATTCTGAACAGACCAAAAACAAGCAGCAAGATTGAAATGATAATTAAAAAATTACCAACAAAAAAAGCCCAACACCAGATGGATTCACCCAGAATTCTACCAGACATTCAAAGAAGAATTGGTACCAATTCTATTGACACTATTCCACAAGATAGAGAAAAAGGGAACAGTCCCTAAATCATTCTATAAAGCCAGTACCACCCTAATACCAAAACCAGGAAAGGACATAACCAAAAAAGAAAACTAAAGACCAATATCCCTGGTGAATATAGATGCTAAAATCCTTAATAAAATACTAGCTAACCAAATCCAACAACGTATCAAAAAGATAATCCACCATGATCAAGTGGGTTTCATACCAGGGACGCAGGAATGGTTTAACATACACAAGTCAATAAATGTGATACACCACATAAGCAGAATCAAAAACAAAAATTACATGATCATCTCAATAGATGCAGAAAAAGCATTCCACAAAATCTAGCTTCCCTTTATGATTAAAACTCTCAGCAAAATCGGCATATAAGGGACATACCTCAATGTAATGAAAGCCATCTATGACAAACCCACAGCCAACATAATACTGAATGGGGAAAAGTTGAAAGCATTCCCTCTGAGAACTGGGACAAGACAAGGATGCCCACTCTCACCACTCCTCTTCAACATAGAACTGGAAGTCCTAGCCAGAGCAGTCAGACAAGAGAAAGAAATAAAGGGCATCCAAATTGGGACTCCCGCTGTCTGCTGATGATATGATTGTTTGCCTAGAAAACCCTAAAGACTCCTCCAGAAAGCTCCTAGAACTGATACAAGAATTCAGAAAAGTTTCCGGATACAAAATTAACGTACAGAAATCAGTAGGTCTTCTATATACCAATAGTGACCAAACTGAGAATCAAATCAAGAACTCAACCCCTTTTAAAATAGCTGCAAAAAGATAATATAATAAAATACTTAGGAATATACCTAACCAAGGATGTGAAAGACTTGAACAAGGATACAAAACACTGCTGAAAGAAATCATAGACAACGCAAACAAATGGAAACACATCCCATGCTTGTGAATAGGTAGAATCAATATTGTGAAAATGACCATACTGCCAAAAGCAATCTATAAATTCAGTGCAATTCCTATCAAAATACCACCATCATTCTTCACAGAATTTAAAAGCAAACAAACAAACAAACAAAACCAGTCCTAAAATACATACAGAACCAAAAAAAGAGCCCACATAGCTGAAGCGAGACTAAGCAAGAAGAATAAATCTGGAGGTGTCACATTACCTGATTACAAACCATATTATAAGGCCATAGTCACCAAAACAGCATGGTACTGACATGAAATTAGGCACATAGACCAATGGAACAGAATAGAGAACCCAGAAATAAACCCAAATACTTACAGCCAACTGATCTTCAACAAAGCCAACAAAAACGTAAAGTTGGGAAAGGACACCCTATTCAACAAATGGTGCTGGGATAATTGGCAAGCCACATGTAGGAGAATGAAACTGGATCCTCATCTCTCACCTTATACAAAAATCAACTCAAGATGGATCAAGGATTTAAATCTAAGACCTGAAACTATAAAAATTCCAGAAGATAACATTGGAAAAACCCTTCTAGACATTGGCTTAGGCAAGGATTTCATGATCAACAACCCAAAAGTAAATGCAATAAAAACAAAGATAAATACTGGGATTTAATTAAACTTAAGAGATTTTGCGTGGCAAAAGGAACAGTCAGCAGAGTTAACAGACAACCCAGAGTGGGAGAACATCTTCACAATCTATACATCTGACAAAGGACTAATATCCAGAATCTACAGTGAACTCAAACAAATCAGCAAGAAAATAAACAATCCCATCAAAAAGTGGGCTAAAGACATGAATAGACAATTCTCAAAAGAAGATATACAAATGGCCAACAAACATATGAAAAAATGCTCAACATCACTAATGATCAGGGAAATGCAAATCAAAACCACAATGCGATACTACCTTACTCCCGCAAGAATGACCATAATCAAAAAATCAAAAAATAATTGATGTTGGCAGGGATGCAGTGAATAGGGAACACTTCTGCACTGCTGGTGGGAATGTAAACTAGTACAACCACTATGGAAAACAGTGGGGAGATTCCTTAAAGAACTAAAAGTAGAACTACCATTTGATCCAGCAATCCCACCACTGGCTACGTACCCAGTGGAAAAGAAGTCATTAAATGAAAAAGATACTTGCACACACGTTTATAGCAGCACAATTTGCAATTCCAAAAACATATATATATACTGTATATAGTATATATATACAGTATATATATACTATATATAGTATATATATACAGTATATATACAGTATATATACTGTATATATAGAAACTGTAGTGTATATATATACACTATGTATATACTATATATATACACACTATATATATATACTATATATGTTACTCAACCATAAAAACGAATGAATTAATGGCATTCGCAGTGACCTGGATGAGACTGGAGACTATTATTCTAAGTGAAGTAATTCAGGAATGGAAAAACAAACATTGTATGTTCTCACTCATATGTGGGAGCCAAGCTATGAGGATGCAAAGGCATAAGAAAGACACAATGGACTTTGGGGACTCAGAGGGAAAGGGTGGGAAGGAGTTGAGGGATAAAAGACCACAAATTGGGTGCAGTGTATACTGCTCAGGTGATGGGTGCACCAAAATCTCACAAATCACCACCAAAGAACTTACTCATGTAACCAAACACCACCTGTACCCCAATAACCTATGGAAATAAAAAAATAAAAAATATAATAAGCAGAAGCAGAGGATGAGAGTGGAAAACTGGGCTAGGCCAGAAATGGCCTTTATGCACTTGGAGTCATAATGTTTCTGCTTCACCAATGATTAACAGTGATTTTCCTGGCTAATAGAATCTTAATCATTATAATGAGGTAGGACTGTTGCCTTTGAATTATGGAAATTATAGCTGTTAAGACCTGTTCCACAAACACAGGTTATACATATTATCACATCTCTTTAATCTTCTTTACAGTTAATCACCCAAGTCTCCACAGGGCTTATTAGCAGGAAGGCTATTATCTCCTCTTGAGATCCCTCCCACTGCCCCTGAATTGTCCATGAATCCTGACTTTACTCAGGCCAAATGGGTCAGTCCTCCTGCAGAAGCCCATAGCTGGATCTGTCTGTGACTGCTGCCCTCTCTGGTGTCTGCTATATGGCACCATTTGCACATCCGTGTCACAGGGTACCCATTTTGGGTGACAAGGTTACAACTCTCTTTGTTTACATTTCCATCCTCAGCCATTGTTCCCTAAATCATAACCACTGTGCCAGGCTGGCTGGTCTGGAGGCGCTTCTGGAGTTGGCCTCATGCTAGTCTGAAATTAGTCCTTCTCCTAGAATCTGAGGCCATTTTGTTGAGCCCAGATCAACAGCCCAGATTCCGCCCTTCTTTAGGATCACTTTATTTCCATGGCTTCCAGGACCTTCCCTGCTCCGGGACCTTAGTCAGTGTCATCCTGACCCAATAGATCTCTCATCCCCGGCCTCCAGTTCGAGGAAACGGGGATGAAGACACTAGGGCTTCCCTCCAGAAGGCCCTGGGCTCCTTTTTCCACACAGATTCTCCTCCTGCCAAGTGTGCAGATTGTTTCTCGGGGTGGCTCAAAAGGTAGCAGTTTGCAAGATGGAGTTTAAAAAACAGTTTGTTGCCCTGCCCTAATGCTCCCCCAAAATGCCTAATTGCTTTATATTTACATAACTAAGAAAGACACCAAGGGATTCTTCCAAAAACAAAGATCTTCTTCAAGGTGATCTTCTGTTCTGCCTTTAAAGAGAAGTAGTTGCAGTTTACTTCACTAAAATAATTAATTTTTGTCTAACCATGTCCCTATTTTATCAGTGATAATGTGCTCATAAATTATACGACAGATTATGTAATTTGCCCAAAGCAGAAAGAGGTCTCAGACCCCAAACCCATGCATTTAACCACTCTGCTTTACTACCTCTTGTCATTCAATTCACATGCTACCATGTCATTATTTACTTTTATGTCTCGGATACTGTACTCTTATTAGTTAAGTTTATTGCAGGAATATAAATCTCTTTAAGTGTAGGCACTCTCTTCTGGGCTGTTGCTGAAAGAGAGTGGGACAACAGGTGTATTTGTGAACTAGTAGAAAATGAGTATATTTACTGCAGAAGGAAGTTGTGTTTTCTCTGCAAAGTTAGATCACAGAAGGGAGAATGATACTTATCTATAGTTCTGGAGGGTTGAAACCGAATAGTAAATGGGTGTTAGGATCAATACATATTGTTAAGAAACAGTGTTCTATAAATTTCATGATTTAGGAAAGCTGTCTACAAAGCTGGATTAATCTTTTTCTGCTGAGGGCCAAGTTTACTTTGCTCTGCCCCTCTCTGTGCAAGTGTAAGACAGTCAACTGACCTTTCAGATTATCAGCTTAATGATAGTTCTCTCTCAGAATTCTTTAAATTTAAGAATAATGAAAAAAAAGTCCAAAGAGATCTTTTTCATCATTTCTCTTCTCCCTATTATTATTACTCTCCTCAATGAAATGAAAATGAAATGCCTGTGTATCCTATTTCATAAACCAAAACCAAGTTCTGACACATTATTGGAAGTTTATGTTGCTTTAGAGGAAAACCATGTTGGCTATAAACTGTTGCATTATCTGGAAATCATACTGTAGATTCCAGGAGGTCAAGGCGTCTCTGGCAACTTCTATATATTTATAGGAGAACCGACTGCCTCTCCTCTAACAAAACCTCAATGAGACCTGACTCCTAGCCAGCTAAGACTCGGCATGGTCCTCCCTGCGTCTTCAAATTCTAGGACTTTCCCTCATGTGCTTGCCTTGGACTGGAGCTGCAAGCTACCAAGCCAGTGCCAGACTGGGGGCCAGGCTTACAGCAGAGCTTCCACTTACCCCAAATCTGCCACAGAATTAATTCCCTACGTTTGACCTCATATTACTTTGTTTTGTTACTATCATTGTTACTGCTTTAGTATTGTTGTTGTCGTTGCTTTCCTGTATATATTTAAGACTTGTGGCTTTTAAAACTAGTTTGGATTTAAGATACACAATAAGTTCTATCATTTGAAAATGATAAATATAGATGTCCTTACATCAATTGTCTTCAGATTTCGGATATATTTAGCCTTTTGACTTTATCCAAAAACTAAACATTCTGATTGGCCCTCATTTTAAAAGGGAAGAACCTGTTTCTATTTATTTAGATTTGTATATGCTCTATATTGGGATGAGGGAGCTTTTTGTACTGAAAGAAGTTATGTATTTTCCTACAGGTTAGATAAAATCTGTGTTTTCCCTTGGCTAGGTTTATGCATGCTGTATAAACAAAGGTGTTCTGGGGCTCCTAAGGAAGCGGTCTGAGGACCATGTGTCTCACCTAGTTCTCCCACATGCTCTCCCTGGTGACTGTTGGCACTGACCAGAAAGGTCTAGAGTGGTGGAGAGAGAAGCTAATAAACAATTCTTGAAAACCTACTATGTGCCAGGACTATGCTTGATATACATTTGCTTTGTTTTATTTAACTTTCATAACAATCCCAGCAGGCAATTACCATTTTCCTTATTATATAGATGAAGAGATTAGGTATTATAATTAATCTAATCTCACAGAGCCAGAAGTGGCAGAGCCAGGAGTAAAACACAGCTCAGACTCCACAGCCAATGCCTTTCTGTACCCTACACCGTCCATCATGGATTTAGGTAGCCTGGGGACCTGAACTCCCCACTAGGTTTAAGGTCTAATTCTTGAATGAAACCTCACGCATTTCTCTTAGGTTCAGGGACAATCAGATTGTCAGAGTAGAAAGAGACTTTGGATTCAACATTTGCTAACCCACTGGCTTCCTAACTTCTTCCTAAGGCCTTCACTCTGTGAAGTAGGTGCTAGGGTTCCCTGCTAATGAGTACTAAGCTTCTCAAGGGCTTGAGCAGGCTTGTTAGTCTTTTTAGGGCCAGCTGTGCACCAACTATGCTGTTGTTGTGTTGAGGCCTTAGCATTCCTCACTTCAAATCAATTACTTCTTTATTACCTTAATACATCACTGGCCATGTGGCTGATTTGGAATGTAAAGGAGACTAACCCTGTAGGATAATAACTTTCACTTGGCACACAAAATCTATACGGATATTCAGAGCATTTGCTTTTAAAAAATGAATATTCTGTAGCCTGTGCTGCCTGTTTATTCTTATTTAGAGAATTTCGTCATTTTAATAATTTGGTAATATTTTACTGGTAGGTGCGGAGATATGTAAAAAAAAGTGTATTTTTTTCTTTTCTTGTGGATTTAAAAAATGTTTAGAATTTTTATTTGCAGCCTATAAACAATAATAGTACTTTATCCTTTCTTATTTTTGCCTATATTACAAGCAAGTAATTTCATTTAAATTGACTTTAAGCACATTCCTTTGAAAGAAACCGAAGATTGTTATCTTTGGCAATCCTGATTAGATTTCTTCCTCAGACAACAGTTTATTAAGTTTGTGCTATGAATGTGGGCAGGTGGTTTGACTCGGTGGAGCAAGTAGTGGGCACTCTAGAATTCTTTTTCTCCAAGTACTCAAAGGCCTTTGGAAGAATTTCCTCTCTGAGCATTTAGATGTTCCTTCTACTCTGTGAGGTGAAAGTGTGTTATGTGGTTTTATTTTTCACTTATTGAATGCCAATTACATGCCAGCCCCAGGGTTGTCTTACATGTGTTATCATATCTCATTTAATCTGAAAAAGGATTATGGCATAGGCACATAATATTATCTTCATCTTTCAGATAAAGAGGCATAAGTTCAGGTAAATACATATCCCAGTAGTTACACAGCTAGTGCCTAATGATAGCAGGATTTACCAGATCTGTCTGCCTTTTTCAAATATAACACCTTGCCTGGGAATGAGCTAGCAGAAGACTTTTAGAAGATGAGACTGGAGAAGTGGCTTCAAATTTCATTCTAATCAAGACACTAAGCTTTGCATTTATTTATTCCTTCATTACCATTTATTGGGCACCTAATGTGTGTCAAACAATCTAGGAATTGGCGACATTACAATGAATAAAAAGCATAGATCCCTGTCTTCCAGAAGTTTACTTCTGGTTATTGGAGGTTTTGAGCCAAGAAATGACATGATCTGGCTTAGCTTTTACAAAGACCCTCCTGGCTACAGTGTGAAGCATCACCTGAAGAGAGGTGAGGGCTTCAGCAGCAAGCCCAGTTAGGAGGCCACTGCAGCAATCCAGACAACTGCGGGGCTTGGACCACAGTAGTGGCCAAGATGAGAATTTGGATTTTATATGGACTTAGATGGAAACACCAATGGGATTGCTGAGGAACTGAATGTAGAAATTGCTTGTCCATGTTTTAACTGCAACTATGGTCAGCCTGCATCCTAAACCTATGCTTTTTAAGTTATGTTAACATGCTGAAGTACAAAGTGACTTCACAACTATATTCAATTTCATGAAAAACTGTAGCTCCTCCTTTTCAGCTCCTTAGGCTTAGGAAAGGAGAGTGCCTCTTGGAGCCTGGAAGAGGCAGGAGAGAGCTCTGTGTCCCAGAAGCATTTGTCATCCAGGCTGCAGTTAGCCAGCTGGCTCCTTCAAAAGCCACACACCTGGGTGGCAGCACATATGTGGTTATACCTGAGATATGTGGTGTGTCCATCTCAGAGCCACTCAAAGTCCATTTTAACCCTTCCCTATGGCTCCCCATGAGGAGGTGGGAAAACGAATCCTCTTAATAAGATTTAAGCACAGCTTCACATTTTTCTGTCTTTGTTATTTCTCAGAAATGCCATTATCAGTCTGAGTCAGAACAGATATTAATTCTTGGTCACAAAGTAGCACTTTTGGCATACTCTCACCATTTTTTTAACTTCAGAAACAGCTTCCTTGTAGGTAACTTTCACTGAGCTGACATTGTCAGCCAAAAATGGTTCTGGAGCCACTTCATCTGCCATAAAATTTAATAAGTCCAGGATACAAATTTGTGTATCACAAGTCAATAAAATTGCCACCAAGCTGTTTGTGTAGTAATAAGGTCAATAAATGTCATCCTCATTCAATTAATTTTCATTGACCTTAAGGAAATGACCTTCTATTTCCAAGTAGGAGAAGAAATTGGCCATGGAGAAGCATAACTGTTGCATCTGCTTTTCAGTTATTACATTACTGAAGATAGCATGGGCATCTAGCTATGCTTGTATATTCAGACTAAAAAGTAATCTACATGGCTTATCCTGAAGTAGACCCAAATGATTTAATTACAATTAAGATCATTGAAAGACCCCACAATATGCTTGGGGTCATCCTAACTGCATCTTCCAGATATGATCTAATATCTCACTGATCTTGGCCATCCATTGGGTTCTGCTGGGCAGGATATCAAGTTAAGGATGTGATGAGAGGCTCTCACTTTCTGGCCTGCAAACTGCATTTGTCACAACCCCTTTCTCCATTAACCTGGCCTGGAGATCAGCCCTGAAGTTGCTCCTTTGCTGTGCTGGCCATACCCTGAAGGAGACAACCACACCAGTGAGAGTTGAATGCCTCTGATTTCCTCCTTCCTCCACAAGGCAGATGAGGGACCCTGCCATTTTTTTATAAAATTCAAAATCAACTAAAGTATCACTTTTTTATTTTATTATTTTCCCAGGGCTGCGTCCAAAGAGGACTCTGCGGCTGGTGCTCTGGACTGCAGAAGAACAAGGTGGAGTTGGTGCCTTCCAGTATTATCAGTTACACAAGGTAAAAACCCAGCTGTGGATTGCTAAGCATTTGTACATGTAATATACAAAAATCCCTCTCATTGTCCATTTAAGACTTCAATAATACTTTCTGGTCAACTGGCCCTAGGAAACACCCTTGTATGAGCCTTCTCCCTCCAGCCCTGTGAATGAGAATGCACTGGTAAACCAATGATGCTGTGGTGTAGAGCTGAGGGCTTTTCTTCTTCTACACCACAGTCTGAGGCCAAAGAAAAATTCCAATTGCCATGCTGCCATTTTTTTCAAGTCTACCTAGTTCTGCTGTATTCATGTATGTCAGAGAAATAGTTATAGGCAAACATTCCCTCTCCCCACCGAGCCTATCCCCATACCTCAATGCCCGCCATATTCCCAGAAGCCTTGGCATTTGAGAGCCAGGTTCCAAGTCATTGAGTCTGCCAAGAGCATTGCCATGATGGTGGTGGAAATGGCAGCAGCCACAGGCCTCTGTCCCAGGAATGTGGAGGACAGCTTGGTTTGACACCAGCTGTCATTACACAAGTGTGAAGCTTGAAGCAGGAAGGTTATTGTGGATGGTCATGATTAGAAATACAAGACCACATGGAAGAGAGGGGATAGGGAGATTAATATCAAGAGCAAATTTTGAGACAGCAAAATATACAAGCTGAGAAATACTCTAGATCAAGTCAAATGTTAGTTCAAAGAGGAACTCCAAAATCAACGCGCATATGCTGGCAAGCAGTGATGGTTGCCCAGAGAGGAGCATTTGGTCTGCTGCTGCTGCTGGATGGTTTCCCCTGAATGTCCAGATGAGAAGAAGCAGATCTTGCAAGCTTAAATTATCCAAATCGGAGAAGGGTTTCTTTTGTGAATTGTGTGTATGTTATTTTTGACCTTTTTTTTTTTTCAAAGTCAGTCTCTATTACCCTATTTCAGTCAGTTAGAGTATAATGAGTTCAAAGTCATGAATTTGGTCACTGAATACAATTATTTACTGTACAAAGGACAACTTATGACCTATGCCCTACTCTTTCACCACTTTAGTTCTTTTGGCCTCAGGTGATCCTGGGGATAACATAATTCAAGACAAGTGTCCTTTGGTTGGTAGGTCAGTAACATCATTTTCTATGTGTTGTGGTAGACCACAACATCATATAAGGGTTGTTCTAGATTCAGCAACATTCAATTAATATTTTCTGAACATGTACTATGTTCCATACACTATGTTATGCATTAATGTTAGCATCAAAAAGATCTACCCTGACCTTACAAAGCCTACATTCTAAAGGACACTGACGATTAACTTGAATTATAAGGTGTTAAGTCTTTCTGGGAAAGAAATTACATCTAAGCTGAGACCTGAAGACTGAGTGGAAGTAAGCTAAGGAAAATGGAGAGGGAGGGAGGAGGTGGGTACTGCACCTTGGCAGAGGGACCTGTGTGTGCAAAGGCAGGAGATGAGACAGAGGAAAGCACACCAGAGAAATGGAAAGGAATTCAGAGTGGCTGCTGCATAGAATGCAAGATGCACAGTGGTAGGAGGGTGGAACAGAGACGTAAACAAGAGCCTGAACAAGAAGAACATATGAATCATATTTAGACGTGCGGACTTTATCCTCGAGGCAAGAGAGTAACTTATTTTTAAGAAGAAGCTCTAAAATTCTATACATATTGGACTTTATATAAAAAAAAGAATAGTTAAAAGAACTATTCTTTTTTTTTTTTTTTTGAGATGGAGTCTCACTTTGTTGCCCAGGCTGGAGTGGAGTGGCACCATCTTGGCTCACTGCAACCTCCGCCTCCTGGGTTCAAGTGATTCTCCTGCCTCAGCCTCCCAAGTAGCTGGGACTCCAGGCGTGTGCCACCACGCCCAGCTAATTTTTTGTACTTTTAGTGGAGATGGGGTTTCACCGTGTTAGCCAGGACAGTCTCGATCTCCTGACCTTGTGATCTGCCCGCCTCGGCCTCCCAAAGTGCTGGGATTACAGGTGTGAGCCACCGTGCCCTCTTTTATTCTCAGTAATACACTCTACTCCAAGAAAAATATTGGATTTAAATTGCAATTGATCTGGCTAAAAATTTTATCATCACTGAAATTCCTAGAATGTGAAAAAAGAAGGTTTATTTTTCTGTAATGTGAGTTTCACTGTAGCCTATCAAAGCACATGGATGAAATCGGAAATGCCTAAAATTCTGAGGTTGGCAGAAATACACACACTCAAAGGACATGCAATCACATAAACAGAACTACTTTATCTTGACAGCATCCAGGCTGCCTCCATACAAATGTAGCTTCATGTTGGTGGCTAGTCTGCATTGCATTTTCAGAGATAGAAAGAAGAAATTCCAGAAAGGGAAAACATTGGCATTTTGTTTTACAGTAACTCTTTACCTCGCCTTTAAAAAGACATTGTGCATGCTTTACATGATACAGCCAATTTCAAAGGACTTATTCTGGATTCTTATGATTAGCATATTGATATTGACATTACTAAGACTATAATCATTTCAAAAGTGGCTGAGTTTAACTTAAAAGTTAATATAATAAGCAAGTCACAAACCACAAGGGTAAATTAGATTGTCTTTAGACTTCTCTGTGGCATTACTGAATGCCAGCAGACAGTCCAACAATATCCAGTTCACTCCAGTCACAACAGAGAGATCATCTGTTCCAAATAAGGTTATGCTAACTGCTGAAACAAATAATAGGTCAAATTTCAATGACCTAACATAACCCAGAAATATATTCCTTGCTCACTTAACATCCAATCTACAGTAGGGCTCTGCTTTATACAGGTATTCAGTGATCCAAGCTGACATACCCTTTAAAAACATGGCTTTAATATGCCTTTGAGTATTGACATCCAGCTGGCAGGCAGGGGGATAGTAGGAGGTTTTTATGGGACAGTTCTAGAAGTGGCTGACGTCATTTCTACTCACACTCCATTGGCAAGAACTAGTCATGTAGTCCAACTGTGTGAGAGGCTAGGGCATACAGGCACTGGCTGAGCAGCCACTTCCCAACAACAGCTCTATACTGTAGGCTGGGAGCATTCTATAGCTATATTCTCTATCTTTGGCAGAAAGCTGACCCACTCTAGGGTCTTCCTTTCACTTCGTTCTGGCTTTCTAAACACTTTAGCTGCACAAGAGGCCAACTGCCCTGAGGTCTTTACCTCCCATGGTGCTCAAAGTTGAGATCAGCTCTGTGAGCTGCCTAAAAGTACTCATCTTCACCACTACCAGGATGCCTTTGTCTAGCAACACACAAAAAGAAAAGGAGTCACAGTCTTTGACCAGAAGGACCTTACATTTTACTTCAAAAATAACTTTAAATGCACACATAAGAAAGTTAGTATAACAAACCATATATAATGAAGTTTTAAATAATGTACTAAAAGTATTTTATTTTTATGGATGATGCTATCATTGACAAAGTGCCAAATGGTGTAAAGGCTGAACAGAGTAAATGGAAAGGATTTAGAAAAGGGAGAAATCACTATGGCATGTTAGTCGTGAGGAAGGAGGCAACACCTAATCCTTGCAGAGCAAGTGGATTTCAGCCAGTGATCAAGAGGGGAGAGAAGGGACAGCAGCTCCCCTTTAGATGGATGATAATGGAGTCTCGAGGTCTGCCTTTGGCATTGGTGTGGGTGATACCAAATAAGAACAGAACTTTTATGGCGGGGGTGGGGAGATCTATTTTAGTGATTGTAGAAATAAAAGGTGTGAACTTTTTAAATGACTCTGCTAACATTTTTATGATACAGTTATGGTTATTAGTGATCTATGTCAGGAATCAGAAAATTATAGCTGATGGACCAAATCCAGCCTGCCACTTGTTTATGTACAGACTTCAAGCTAAGAAGTTTTTTCATATGTTTAGCTGATTATGCTACAGAGATTGTATGTGGCCCACAAAACTTAAAATATTAACTATCTGGGTCTTTACAGAAAAAGCTTACCTACTTCTGGTCTATAATGATAAAAGTCATAAAATATCATCACATTATTTGTATACAATGATCTCTTTCTCGTTTGTATGACCTAAAATATAATTTTGTAAATTTTGTTTCGAGCCTAATATTAGCCTATGTAAGTATATTGTAGGAAGATATTATTGTAATGATAAAAGCTTGCATGCACAATCTTTTTTTTTTTTTGCATTCTTATCTGGCAGTCTTTAATAATAAAGTTGGCTAAACCTACATGGCACTAGCTAGGGAGAAAAACAATACGTAGATTATTATTTCTTCTTTTTGTTTTTCTGAATGTAACATTCTTTCTTCCCCCTCACAAAGTCTTTTCAACAGCGAAAGTTCTACAAAGGCTATTTTAATAATAAATCAGTTTGTGGAATAATGAATTATTAATATTCATTATCCTTTCCTTAGTAAATATATCTTTGTTTACACTGTACTCTAATTAATATATGCAGAAAATATAAAATAGTTATTTTAAATTGTGGGTAAAATGTATTGCTGAACTAATTTTCAAAATTGTAGTTGGATTAAAAGCTACCTTTACTTCATAATTATGCTTTCTTATGACATATCAGCTCAATTATTATAATACGTGCTAGAATTTACTAAATTTACTAAACAATTTATTAAATTATAAAGGATGTGAGGCTATTTATAGCTTGTGTATACATTTTGAAATTCATATGCAACTTTATTATAATGTCTAAAACACTTCAAGGAAACAAACTTTGGCAAAAATGGTCTATAAGCATTTTAGTAGCAGTTACTAAGTAAATAACTCAAACAGGAAGTGTTGAATATCTCACTGTAGTACTATACACTAGAATATAAATCATTCCTGAGATCCATTCAGCATGCCTCTAACAGTTCATAGCGGAAAGTCCCATAAAAGATTTCTCTTCTTAAGAAAATGCAAGTTCACATGTTTCAATAAGTTGTTAAATTTTCTCTCCTTATTTTAAAGTCCTTTTCACCATGTCTTTGATTGTCTTGGTATTAGCACATAAGCTTGAGAATGACTTATATGGACAGTATATTGTTTGTGCTTTATTTAGAAGCTTCTTTTAGAAGCAACTCATTTTTCTTGCTGTTTTATTGAAGTTTAATTAGCATTTGGTAAATGCACATATCTTAAGTACACAGCAAAATAAATTTGGAAAATGTATACCCCTATGTAATCATCCCCCAGATCAAGGTATATAGCATTCCTATTACCCTAGTAAGTTTCCTTATGTCCCCTTCAAATCAACTTCTGACTCTACCAAAGACAACTACTATGCTCCTTTGTAACTCCAGATTGGTTATGTCTGTTCTTAAACTTCATATAAATGGAACCATACAGTACATAATCCTGAGTCTGACGTCTTTCACTAAACAGTATGGTTTTGCAGTTTATCCATGTTGTTGCATTAACAGTAGTTTGTCCCTTTCTATTTTTTTTTTTTTTTTCGAGATGGAGTCGTGCTCTGTCCCCCAGGCTGGAATGCAGTGTGGCACGATCTCAGCTCACTGCAACCTCCGCCTCCCGGGTTCAAGCGATTCTTCTGCCTCAGCCTCCCAAGTAGCTGAGACTACAGGCGTGTGCCACCACACCCGGCTAATTTTTGTATTTTTAGTAGAGACAGGGTTTCACCATGTTGGTCAAGATGGTCTCGATCTCTCGACCTCGTGATCCACCTGCCTCGGCCTCCTAAAGTGCTGGGATTACAGGTGTGAGCCACCACGCCCAGCCATCCCTTTCTATTACTGGGTAGTTTTCTATTGTGTGAATATACCACAGTCTCTTTATTCTCCAGAACGAATGAAGCAAGAATATTCTGTTGATGGACATGTGAGTTGTTTCCAGTTTTAGCTATTATAAATGAAGTTACCATGAACATTTATGTACAAATCTCTGGGTGGACCTATGCATTTATTTTCTTTTCTGGGAGTATAATTGCTGGGTCATATGATAGGTGATGTTTAACTTTACCAGAAACTGCTGAAGAGGTGGGAAGTTGTACCATTTTACATTTCCACCAACAACATGTGGGAGTCCTAGTTGCTCCCTATCTTTCCCAGTATGTGGTATCATTAGCCTTTTTATTTTTAGCCATTCTTATAGGTGTTATGTGTTTATATTTTTCAAAGTACAGTTCTGAAGAGTTACAAGAAAAATCCTGACTCCTCTCCTAATGGCCACTATTCTTTTGCCCTCCCTGCTTCTTCTTGCCTTAAGACTTTTTGTTTGTTTGTTTGTTTGTATTGTTTTGTTTTCTTTTGTATTTGAGACAGAGTCTCGCTCTGTCGCCCAGGCTGGAGTGCAGTGGCGCGATCTCGGCTCACTGCAACCTCCGCCTCCAGGGTTCACGCCATTCTCCTGCCTTAGCCTCCTGAGTAGCTGGGACTACAGGCGCCCGCCACCACACCCGGCTAATTTTTTGTATTTTTAGTAGAGACCGGGTTTCACCGTGTTAGCCAAGATGGTCTCTATCTCCTGACCTCATGATCCGCCCACCACGGCCTCCCAAAGTGCTGGGATTACAGGCGTGAGCCACCATGCCCGGCCGCCTTAAGACTATCTTCATTTCGGTGTTCTGCTTTATGATTTCAGGGAGACCAAAGGCCTTTTTACCCTGCATGAGGTTTGTGGGGCTGTTCATGGTTGGAGGGACCTTATTTCAATTTAGAGAAACATCTTGGCAAGAGGAGGACATAGAAATGCCGTCCTGCTCATAACCACGGCCGACTCCCAAGAACACATGGGGGCTGTTGAAACTCAACTGGAGCCCAAAGGGGAGGACGATTCCCTCAAAGGGCATGAGGAGGAAGATTTCTCTTTTATGCCCAGAAAAGAGGTTATTCTAGGGAGAGGGGAAAAGTCCAGAAAATGCCTTTATGTTATTCTTTATTGATAAATTACATTTTTTAAAAATATGAACTCTATTGGTTAAATTTAACTGGCATTCACTTAAAAGGAAACTTTACCACATAGAGAAGCATGTTATTGCACTCTAGTGAATAAGAGTTTCATTATAGGAGTGGAATTTGACTTTGAAATTTGAAAATATAGATGAGTTTATTGAATTTTCAAATCAGTGAATAAAGTGAGGGTTGTCCAGGTACCATTTGCCTAATCTGCTTTTCATGGGAATAATGTTGCTGTCTTCTCTTCTCTTCTCTTGGAAGGAGAACAGGATGTCATTTCTCATGTCCTGAAATGGACAAAGGAGAAAAAACATACCTAGCTTCAACTGGATTTCTGGCATTTGTTAATCTTTTCCATTTTAAGGAAAAATATGATCTGGCATAATTATAATGAGTAAGGTAATCTGGCCTTGAGAAAGCCTCATTACACAAGGTAATCAAATAAAATAGATTGATATGTCTTATTCTGGCATGAAAAATATTTTAACCTTTTCCTGATTTATTGCACAAACTTCTGGCAATTGAATTACAGGGATAATGAACACTGTTGTGTTCTGGTAGTCATTAATAAGGGCAATATTTTAAATAGGCTTTATTAAATGAGGGATGGGATGTATGGTCATTCCAAATACACGAATTTATCTGAACTCTAGCCAACTCTAAAACTGAAAAAGCAAAATTGAATATTTTGTCACAATTTCCTGTTTTGTCATACTGAGGAACAAAAATTCCTCTTTATGTATAGAAATACACTAAAGTGTTAGCTTCTTTTAGCAGTGAAGTTCTTGCCAGCTTCCCAACCTGCATTAGGTTTCATGTTTCACTCTAAAATAAAAGAATATGTTAGAAATGCTTTTGAGACTTCTTCGTGCTATCTGGGCAAATGTGTTTCTTTGGCATTTTTATTTTACTAACTCTATTTCCTCTATATGATGCTAATTTAGATAGAGTGACACTGCTAGAGTAAGGGTATTATACTCATGTTGAGCTCTGGTTATACAAATAATAGAGCTGATGTACTCATTCAGCATAATTGTGTCCGGACTATGTCTCCAGCACAGCCTTTCTTATATCTTTAATGTTCTGTGCAGTATAGACGTACTAATCAGAGGTGATTGTCTCAATCATTACTGCTGGGCCTTTATGCATCCTGTATTTTTCTTTCAGTGCCTAGATATTGCATTAGTCTCTCAAGCACATCACAAAACTGGTTTAAATTTCATTTGTCTCAGTGTTTTCTTGGTCTGGAGCCTTTGTAGTTCCTATATTCACATGATTTATACTGCACACCTGGGAGCTCTTAAGGGTCTTATTAGAATTTGTGGATTTTATTTTTGTAAAAAAAGGAAAGGATTGTCTTTTGAGTTTGCTTTCTCCTGTGTAGAATTCCATTATGACTAGGGGACTTCTGAATCTTATGTACATATGGTAATTATATATCAATGTATGCCAGTCTAGGCAGAGCTATCAAAATATCCCCTTTGATACTAGGAGAATCATATACCACCTTGCGAATAAACATGAGTAGGTTTCAACTCATCTCTTTGCTTTATCGCTCTTTAGAAGGGATCCTTCTTAACTGGCTTTTATTATATTTTTCTATATAAGAGAAAACAGTTTAAAGTAAAAAGACTATGACAACTAGAATGGAATTTTTTCATGTTTCTGGGAGAGCAAGACCTTGCCTACCATTCTGAGATAATTTTGTTTAATTCAATGCCTTATGGTTTCAGATTATAGTGAAGTTTGACTTGAGTGTTGGTTTTAGCCCAGTACCTTTAAAGAAAAGAGAAATATCCCAACTTTTCTGCTACCATTACTAACCTAAGTAAAACAATTGCCTTTTAAAGTTACTCCTAAGAATGTTGTGCCAAAACTTTGAGGTTTCTTGTCAATTATTTGGCTGGCATTTATTCTCCCCTCCTGAAACCGTGAAGAATGGCTTCAGCTTGTATCTAGTCTGTTTTACCAGCTTACAGGAGAGTGCCTTCTGGCACAAATAGTTTCTGCCTCAGTGCCTCCCTACTCCTAACCAGGTCATGACCTGACCCAGAAGGACCCATAGGATATCTAGTGCATGAACTTCCTGAGGAAATCAAGTTGGCACACCAGGATGCACAAATCTGAACTGAGGCATCATGCCTTGGGCTCACAAGTGAACTGCATGGGTCAGAGGCTTTGGGACTAAATTATCTCATTACATGTACTGGGGCCTTACTAAGTTACAGAGTCAGCAAACCACTTTTCAATCACCAGCACTATTTTATTTGGCCTGAAGTTGTCTTCTGCCCTTTTGTTTTCTAAATCAGGGGTTGGCAAACTTTTTTTTTTTAACAGTCCAGATAGGAAAGATTTTAGGACTGCAGGTCATATGGTTTCTCTACTCAACTCTCATTGTAGGCAGTCATGGGCAAAACTAGACAAATGAGTATGGCTGTATTCCAAAAAAACCGTATTTACAAAAAAAAAAAAAAAAAAAAAAAAGAATAAAGGCAGGTCAGATAGTTTACTGACGCCTGTTCTAAACTGTTACAAGGCAGAAGTTTAGAAAACTTTCTTCTGAAGCCTTTTCTTATATCACGGTCACAGCTTTTAGTGAAAGAGATTTGTAGCACATAGTGGAATTCTAACGTTTAGAGATTATGTCTTGGTAGGCTAATAATAGGACTGTTGGTAAGCTTAGCATTTACAAGGTTGCAGTTGTTTCCCTGTAGGTATTTGGCCAACAGAGGCCAACAGAACACACCATCACCAGATCAGTCTAGTGCCTTACTTATATCCCACTGAGCCACACAACAGGCATAATTACCTTGTTGGAGGAAGAAGTTAATGTACTTCCCGAGTATTTCTAAAAGCAAGAACAGAACCCTTTATAAAGATAGCTAAATGTGTACTGGAAAATATATTTTAAAGGATATCTATTTTAAATGTTTACACATATAGAAGGGTCTTTTAGAGAAATGAACATTCCAATACATTTTGGCAATTTCACTGTTTAACCACATCCTAGTTTTGTCCATTGGTTTGCTTACACTATTTCTTTTTTATTTTTTTTAATATTTCCTTTCCTTTTTAATATTAAACAATTGTGATTCTTTTTTTTTTGAGTGACTTCTTTTATTATTATTATTATTATACTTTAAGTTTAGGGTACATGTGCACAATGTGCAGGTTAGTTACATATGTACACATGTGCCATGCTGGTGTGCTGCACCCATTAACTCGTCATTTAGCATTAGGTATATCTCCTAATGCTATCCCTCCCCACTCCCCCCACCCCACAACAGTCCCCAGAGTGTGATGTTCCCCTTCCTGTGTCCATGTGTTCTCATTGTTCAATTCCCACCTATGAGTAAGAACATGTGGTGTTTGGTTTTTTGTCCTTGCGATAGTTTACTGAGAATGATGATTTCCAGCTTCATCCATGTCCCTACAAAGGACATGAACTCATCATTTTTATGGCTGCATAGTATTCCATGGTGTATATGTGCCACATTTTCTTAATCCAGTCTATCATTGTTGGACATTTGGGTTGGTTCCAAGTCTTTGCTATTGTGAATAGTGCCACAATAAACATACATGTGCATGTGTCTTTATAGCAGCATGATTTGTAGTCCTTTGGGTATATACCCAGTAATGGGATGGCTGGGTCAAATGGTATTTCTAGTTCTAGATCCCTGAGGAATCGCCACACTGACTTCCACAATGGTTGAACTAGTTTACAGTCCCACCAACAGTGTAAAAGTGTTCCTATTTCTCCACATCCTCTCCAGCACCTGTTGTTTCCTGACTTTTTAATGATTGCCATTCTAACTGGTGTGAGATGGTATCTCATTGTGGTTTTGATTTGCATTTCTCTGATGGCCACTGATGGTGAGCATTTTTTCATGTGTCTGTTTTCTGCATAAATGTCTTCTTTTGAGAAGTGTCTGTTCATGTCCTTCGCCCACTTTTTGATGGGGTTGTTTGTTTTTTTCTTGTAAATTTGTTGGAGTTCATTGTAGATTCTGGATATTAGCCCTTTGTCAGATGAGTAGGTTGTGAAAATTTTCTCCCATTTTGTAGGTTGCCTGTTCACTCTGATGGTAGTTTCTTTTGCTGTGCAGAAGCTCTTTAGTTTAATTAGATCCTATTTGTCAATTTTGGCTTTTGTTGCCATCGCTTTTGGTGTTTTAGACATGAAGGCCTTGCCCATGCCTATGTCCTGAATGGTAATGCCTAGGTTTTCTTCTAGGGTTGTTATGGTTTTAGTTCTAACGTTTAAGTCTTTAATCCATCTTGAATTAATTTTTGTATAAGGTGTAAGGAAAGGATCCAGTTTCAGCTTTCTACATATGGCTAGCCAGTTTTCCCAGCACCATTTATTAAATAGGGAATCCTTTCCCCATTGCTTGTTTTTCTCAGGTTTGTCAAAGATCAGATAGTTGAAGATACGTGGCATTATTTCTGAGGGCTCTGTTCTGTTCCATTGATCTATATCTCTGTTTTGGTACCAGTACCATGCTGTTTGGGTTACTGTAGCCTTGTAGTATAGTTTGAAGTCAGGTAGTGTGATGCCTCCAGCTTTGTTCTTTTGGCTTAGGATTGACTTGGTGATGCGGGCTCTTTTTTGGTTCCATATGAACTTTAAAGTAGTTTTTTCCAATTCTGTGAAGAAAGTCATTGGTAGCTTGATGGGGATGGCATTGAATCTATAAATTGCCTTGGGCAGTATGGACATTTTCATGATATTGATTCTTCCTACCCATGAGCATGGGATGTTCTTCCATTTCTTTGTATCCTCTTTTATTTCATTGAGCAGGGGTTTGTAGTTCTCCTTGAAGAGGTCCTTCACATCCCTTGTAAGTTGGATTCCTAGGTATTTTATTCTCTTTAAAGCAATTGTGAATGGGAGTTCACTCATGATTTGGCTCTCTGTTTGTCTGTTATTGGTGTATAAGAATGCTTGTGATTTTTGTACATTGATTTTGTATCCTGAGACTTTGCTGAAGTTGCTTATCAGCTTAAGGAGATTTTGGGCTGAGACAATGGGGTTTTCTAGATATACAATCATATCACCTGCAAACAGGGACAATTTGACTTCCTCTTTTCCTAATTGAATACCCTTTATTTTCTTCCCCTGTCTAATTGCCCTGGCCAGAACTTCCAACACTATGCTGAATAGGAGTGGTGAGAGAGGGCATCCCTGTCTTGTGCCAGTTTTCAAAGGGAATGCTTCCAGTTTTTGCCCATTCAGTATGATATTGGCTGTGGGTTTGTCATAGATTGCTCTTATTATTTTGAGTTACGTCCCCTCAATACCTAATTTATTGAGAGTTTTTAGCATGGAGGGTTGTTGAATTTTGTCAAAGGCCTTTTCTGCGTCTATTGAGATAATCATGTGGTTTTTGTCTTTGGTTCTGTTTATATGCTGGATTACATTTATAGATTTGCGTATATTGAACCAGCCTTGCATCCCAGGGATGAAGCCCACTTGATCATGGTGGATAAGCTTTTTGATGTGCTGCTGGATTCAGTTTGCCAGTATTTTATTGAGGATTTTTGCATCAATGTTCATCAAGGATATTAGTCTAAAATTCTCTTTTTTGGATGTGTCTCTGCCAGGCTTTGGTATCAGGATGATGCTGGCCTCATAAAATGAGTTAGGGAGGATTCCCTCTTTTTCTATTGATTGGAATAGTTTCAGAAGGAATGGTACCAGTTCCTCCTTGTACCTCTGGTAGAATTCAGCTGTGAATCCATCTGGTCCTGGACTCTTTTTGGTTGGTAAGCTATTGATTACTGCCACAATTTCAGAGCCTGTTATTGGTCTATTCAGAGATTCAACTTCTTCCTGGTTTAGTCTTGGGAGGGTGTATGTGTCGAGGAATTTATCCATTTCTTCTAGATTTTCTAGTTTATTTGCGTAAAGGTGTTTGTAGTATTCTCTGATGGTAGTTTGTATTTCTGTGGGATCGGTGGTGATATCCCCTTTATCATTTTTTATTGTGTCTATTTGATTCTTCTCTCTTTTCTTCTTTATTAGTCTTGCTAGCAGTCTATCAATTTTGTTGATCCTTTCAAAAAACCAGCTCCTGGATTCATTAATTTTTTGAAGGGTTTTTTGTGTCTCTATTTCCTTCAGTTCTCCTCCGATTTTAGTTATTTCTTGCCTTCTGCTAGCTTTTGAATGTGTTTGCTCTTGCTTTTCTAGTTCTTTTAATTGTGATGTTAGGGTGTCAATTTTGGATCTTTCCTGCTTTCTCTTGTGGGCATTTAGTGCTATAAATTTCCCTCTACACACTGCTTTGGATGTGTCCCAGAGATTCTGGTATGTTGTGTCTTTGTTCTCGTTGGTTTCAAAGAACATCTTTATTTCTGCCTTCATTTCGTTATGTACCCAGTAGTCATTCAGGAGCAGGTTGTTCAGTTTCCATGTAGTTGAGCGGTTTTGAGTGAGTTTCTTAATCCTGAGTTCCAGTTTGATTGCACTGTGGTCTGAGAGACAGTTTGTTATAATTTCTGTTCTTTTACATTTGCTGAGGAGAGCTTTACTTCCAACTATGTGGTCAATTTTTGAATCGGTGTGGTGTGGTGCTGAAAAAAATGTATATTCTGTTGATTTGGGGTGGAGAGTTCTGTAGATGTCTATTAGGTCCGCTTGGTGCAGAGCTGAGTTCAATTCCTGGGTATCCTTGTTAACTTTCTGTCTCGTTGATCTGTCTAATGTTGACAGTGGGGTGTTAAAGTCTCCCATTATTAATGTGTGGGAGTCTAAGTCTCTTTGTAAGTCACTCAGGGCTTGCTTTATGAATCTGGGTGCTCCTGTATTGGGTGCATATATATTTAGGATAGTTAGCTCTTCCTGTTGAATTGATCCCTTTACCATTATGTAATGGCCTTCTTTGTCTCTTTTGATCTTTGTTGGTTTAAAGTCTGTTTTATCAGAGACTAGGATTGCAACCCCTGCCTTTTTTTGTTTTCCATTTGCTTGGTAGATCTTCCTCCATCCTTTTATTTTGAGCCTATGTGTGTCTCTGCACGTGAGATGGGTTTCCTGAATACAGCACACTGATGGGTCTTGACTCTTTATCCAGTTTGCCAGTCTGTGTCTTTTAATTGGAGAATTTAGTCCATTTACATTTAAAGATAATATTGTTATGTGTCAATTTGATCCTGTCATTATGATGTTAGCTGGTTATTTTGATCGTTAGTTGATGCAGTTTCTTCCTAGCCTCGATGGTCTTTACAATTTGGCATGATTTTGCAGTGGCTGCTACCGGTTGTTCCTTTCCATGTTTAGTGCTTCCTTCAGGAGCTCTTTTAGGGCAGGCCTGGTGGTGACAAAATCTCTCATTTGCTTGTCTGTAAAGTATTTTATTTCTCCTTAACTTATGAAGCTTAGTTTGGCTGGATATGAAATTCTGGTTTGAAAATTCTTTCCTTTAAGAATGTTGAATATTGGCCCCCACTCTCTTCTGGCTTGTAGAGTTTCTGCCGAGAGATCCGCTGTTAGTCTTATGGGCTTCCCTTTGTGGGTAACCCGACCTTTCTCTCTGGCTGCCCTTAACATTTTTTCCTTCATTTCAACTTTGGTGAATTTGACAATTATATGTCTTGGAGTTGCTCTTCTCAAGGAGTATCTTTGTGGCGTTCTCTATATTTCCTGAATCTGAATGTTGGCCTGCCTTGCTAGATTGGGGAAGTTCTCCTGGATAATATCCTGCAGAGTGTTTTCCAACTTGGTTCCATTCTGCCTGTCACTTTCAGGTACACCAATCAGACGTAGATTTGGTCTTTTCACATAGTCCCCTATTTCTTGGAGGCTTTGTTTGTTTCTTTTTATTCTTTTTTCTCTAAAAATCCCTTCTCGCTTCATTTCATTCATTTCATCTTCCATCACTGATACCCTTTCTTCCAGTTGATTGCATCGGCTCCTGAGGCTTCTGCATTCTTCACGTAGTTCTTGAGCCTTGGCTTTCAGCTCCATCAGCTCCTTTAAGCACTTCTCTGTATTGGTCATTCTAGTTATACATTCGTCTAAATTTTTTTCAAAGTTTTTAGCTTCTTTGCCTTTGGTTTGAATTTCCTCCTGTAGCTCGGAGTAGTTTGATTGTCTGAAGCCTTCTTCTCTCAACTTGTCAAAGTCATTCTCCATCCAGCTTTGTTCCGTTGCTGGTGAGGAACTGCCTTCCTTTGGAGGACGAGAGGTGCTTTGCTTTTTAGAGTTTCCAGTTTTTCTGCTCTGTTTTTTCCCCATCTTTGTGGTTTTATCTACTTTTGTTCTTTGATGATGGTGATGTACAGATGGGTTTTTGGTGTGGATGTCCTTTCTGTTTGTTAGTTTTCCTTCTAACAGACAGGACCCTCAGCTGCAGGTCTGTTGGAGTTTGCTAGAGGTCCACTCCCGACCCTGTTTGCCTGGGTATCAGCAGCGGTGGCTGCAGAACAGCGGATTTTCGTGAACTGCGAATGCTGCTGTCTGATCCTTCCTCTGGAATTTTTGTCTCAGAGGAGTACCCGGCTGTGTGAGGTGTCAGTCTGCCCCTACTGGGGGGTGCCTCCCAGTTAGGCTGCTGGGGGGTCAGGGGTCAGGGACCCACTTGAGGAGGCAGTCTGCCCATTCTCAGATCTCCAGCTGCGTGCTGGGAGAACCACTGCTCTCTTCAAAGCTGTCAGACAGGGACATTTAAGTCTGCAGAGGTTACTGCTGTCTTTTTGTTTGTCTGTGCCCTGCCCCCAGAGGTGGAGCCTACAGAGGCAGGCAGGGCTCCTTGAGCTGTGGTGGGCTCCACCCAGTTCGAGCTTCCCGGCTGCTTTTTTTACCTAAGCAAGCCTGGGCAATGGTGGGCGCCCCTCCCCCAGCCTCGCTGCCGCCTTGCAGTTTGATCTCAGACTGCTGTGCTAGCAATCAGTGAGACTCCGTGGGCATAGTACCTTCCAAGCCATGTGCGGGATATAATCTCCTGGTGCGCCATTTTTTAAGCCCGTCGGAAAAGCGCAGCATTAGAGTGGGAGTGACCCGATTTTCCAGGTGCCGTCTGTCACCCCTTTCTTTGACTAGGAAAGGGAACTCCCTGACCCCTTGTGCTTCCCGAGTGAGGCAATGCCTCGCCCTCCTTCAGCTCGCGCACGACGCACTGCACCCACTGTCCTGCGCCCACTGTCTGGCACTCCCTAGTGAGATGAACCTGGTACCTCAGATGGAAATGCAGAAATCACCTGTCTTCTGCGTCGCTCATGCTGGGAGCTGTAGACCAGAGCTGTTCCTATTCAGCCATCTTGGCTCAGTATTTCTTTTTTAAACCTGAATTATTTTCTGGGAGAGAGGCTCTTCCCAAGTGACCCAAAGATCATTAGGTCTTTGGGTATTCAGTAGCCCTTCTGGAAGTTCATCTTCTACTTCTGGTTACTGTGATTTTCTGTGCTTCCACGACACTAACACGTAAACATCAAAGAGTGGTCTCTCTAAGACAGCTTGAGGAGTGCACGAGCAGAAGTACTGGCAGGGCTGTTCATAAAGCCAATGCCAGAAAGCAGCTCCTCGCTGGCACATCCACTTTGTACTTTGAGACGCAGTATCCAGAAGCCAGGATGGGCAATACCCAAACTATGTTACTTTAAGGGCTGAAGATCAGGCAGGGAACTGAGCCCCAGAATTGTTAGACATTGTTGTGAGTGCAAAGTGAGCACTTTTGTCTTTCTTTCTGCTACTCATCTTACTTGATCATTCCTGAGTATATTAACCAAATCCTGTGGTGTCTTAAAGATACCATGTGTGCCCTGAGAGGCTGGTCTCGGTCTAGCTTTCTGATTTCCTTATCAATTGGGTCACATCTGTATTTTCTGCTGACTCACTTATGTGTGTAAAAAACACAAAGGCATACTTTTTTTTTTCCTAAGCAGATCGGAACTTCTATTCCTTTTTTTTTTTTCCAGAAGACCTCTCTCGTGTACTCTCATCAAATGCTTGTCCTACATTTGTAATTATTCATTCTAGAAGCTGAGGTTGCCCCTAGCAACCAGCAGTTTTGTCTAAACTGTTTTGGTTTCAGGGTTGTCTTAAAGGAGAGTTTCTCAAAATCCATTTCCAAAGAGCTTTTATACCCCACACAGCAAAACATGTATAAACAACAATTCAAATTTAGGGAGCTTAACAAGGCCTTTCAACAAAGGTTTAAAGTGGTTTCATCATATGATTTATTTAAGATTAAACAGAATTTCTGTTACTAGTTAAAACGGGAGTGTAATTTGCTTTTATGGATTCCTATAGTTTCATTTAATAAAACTCATCCAATCAGATGCACTCCCTCCCCTGTGAAATCAGAGGCAGTGCCATATTTGTAAATGTGTTTCAGGCAACTCTCCAGGTAGTAACTGAGGGCTGGAAGAACGTACAGCATCCACCTGCCCTCACTGCCATAGCTGGCAGTGTTTTTTCCCCTCCAAAGCTCTGGAAAATACTTTATTATAACTCACAGAGCCAAATGAGAGGCAATCAAACTGTTTTGTCATTTGAATTAGGAAAGGTCAAAGGGAAAGGAACATAATAGTAGACAGACAGAAAAGTGCTTTGTGAAAATTACCCATTTTTTCCACGTAAGGAAAAGTAATTTGTTTTTTTTCAGTGCTAGAGATTTTTGTTTTGATAGATTTACAGAGAGAAAAGAAACCACCAAGAATTTTGAAAGGTCCCATTTCCCAAACAAATATGTAACAAGTTCTTACCATTTAAAAGATGGCATTATAATCTCTTGCATCTATGTGATCATTTATAAATTACGCTTTCGTGGACATCAAGTCATTGATGATAGTAATGACCCTGGTGGTTGCCAGACCATGTACTGTTTTCCTTATTTCACACATGAAGAAACAGAGGCTCAAAGAAGTGAAGAATGTACCCAAGTTTGCATAGCACAGCCCATAAGGTGCAGAGCCTGAACTTGGACTTCAGCCATGACTTCTATGACCACATACTTCTCTGTCACCATCTTAAATGTAGATATCTACTAATTTGTCATAAACTGAAGGACATACATAGCAGCATATTTAGGAATGCTGGATAATCAGTAACATATAAATAGATGAAAGGAGAAGTTGCTTCAAGGTGCTTAGTTTAAAACACATATAGCATGGTATCAATTCTATACAATGGCCAAAGGATATTGTGTAACCATGCAGACATCAGTTGTCACTAGTAATTCTCAATGTTTTATATTCACACTTTCTTGGTATAAAAATAAATATTTGTATTTGTTCACGAAGTTAATTCTATAAATCCTGCTACAATGAGTTTTAAAAAAATAACCAACAACACTTCACTTCAGTCATCTGTGTAATTTTCCTTTAGTTTGGGGCATTTTCTAGGTAAAGTTTTAGCTAAACAATACAGAAAAATTAAAAAGTTCAGAGATCTTTTAATGATATGAAAAACTGTTTCTAATAATAATAAATGTTAAAATCATTTCACTATTCAAAAGACTGCGTTCAGAGCGGAGGCACCCTAACATACTACTCTAGGACATTTCTCACTGCCTTCATCTTCAAATAAAAGTGAGAATAGAACCCTAACCTTTGAGAGATGGAAATAATGCATGTATATGTCTGTTTTTATATCTTTCCCATGTGTATAGAGCTTAGACACTCTATATGTGAAGACCCTCCAAAAATCAAGTCTGGCTTTCTTCTTTCAGGATAACCATTCCCGAAACACCAAGGACAGGGATACATCAGAATGGACCCCTACCTGTGCTATATTTAAAGATCTCCAAGGATAGAGATTTTACGTATGTCAGTATTTTTTAACACTATCAGACAATGAGAATATTCCTGGCCAGGTCCACTTAGTGATTTCTTCATTGAAGGATACAATTTAGAAGATTGGAGGAGCAATTATAAAAGAAAGTAATACAATTTAGAAGATTGGGGGAGCAATTATAAAGGAAAGTAGCTGTAGGTCTCCAAAAGTTAAAGTCCCTTAATCCCAGTTGCCTTAGTAGTTCTTGCATGAAAGCACTAAGGAAGGATCAATGACTGGGAGATGGGATGAATTCTGAATTGCAAAAGAGACATTTAAATATTACTTGCAAACTAAACTCAAAGCACAAATAATTTAACACTGTTTTGTTTTAGTTTCTAAAAAAGTGGACTCTAATTCATTCTTTCCTTGTTCAGGAGATAAAACTATTTGTAACCTTTAACATGTTCTTTTCTTCACAGTTGAGAGCTCAGTTTGTTAATACTTTCTTTCCCAAACTGTTTTCTGAATGTATTGGAAAACTGCACCTGCCAGAATGGATTGGTGTTTGTTCTTCTTCAATGAAAGGTGGCTGTGATCAGGAGCTGCCCCTTTTAGAGAGCTTAAGCTGCCAAAGCCTAATACAACAGAGGTGGAACGGAAAATGAGAATGAAGGACATATTCAAAAATTTAACAAATTGTTGGTGCCTCAGGCATGAAGCCCATTGGTTTCCAAAGAATTTGGCAGAAAGATTTCTATCTTCTCATCTTGTAGGCAATTACCTTAATATGGCACACTTTTGTGATGGCTTTCATTGAAAGGCTCTGTTTAAACATCTTTTTCTGAATCACCAAGATAAGAATGGAGCAAATGAAGGGAAAAAAAATATTCACTTGTACACAAAGCTGCTACCTTCAATTCTCTGAAATTGTAGTTAATGCCTAATTATACTGACATTCCTATTGTACAAAAGTGTTGAGAATGCAAATATAATTTCCCAGCTAATTATTTCATTACATGGAAGTGACATGAGTGAAGTAATAAATTAGCATCGTCTTTATAAGAACCAGCAATTCTGGACTTTATAATATTGAAATTTTCAAGTGGAGTGAAGTGCTTTTTTCTTATGACTACTCTGATTAGGTGAAAAATGCCTTTTAAATTTATGTGTATAATACACCTCCTTCCTTCAGCAGATATTTTACCATTAATATAGGACAGTGATATTTATGTGAGTACATTATTACTGAGAAGGAGACCCAAAGGATGTCAAAGGGCAGAGCTGCCAGCTGCGACAGTCTGGCTTGTACTGCTTTTCTTAAATGTGGTTCAAAGCAATCAGATTATGAATTGCAGTGAAATAAACTTACTTTTATTTTTAAAATACAACCACCATTAACAGCTCCCCAGTTAGAACAACTGAATGTCAAATAATTGCATTCTCAAATTTAAACTAGAAAATAGTAGAGCTTGAGGAAGGGGAGTGGAAACTCAATAGTGACACATTGAGATGGGTTAGAAGGTATTCAGTTCTCCATTTCTTTGATTTAAGGATCGTCAATTGTTAGTGGTGCGATTAAAATTAATACAAATTTTCAGGAAAAATAAAACTACATTAAATGCACAGGGGTTTTTAAACTGACAATATCATACAGTGCCCAACACTTTTGTTTTTAGAATCAATCCATGTCTAAAATACCTTCAATCCAGAGTCTGCAGATGTCTCTGAACCCTTTGGTCATTAGCAGTGAAGCATTGGCATTAAGGTGCCAGGCCACTTTGTGTCACCCATGCTCCTTGTTTTGACAAGGTGCTAAAGGTGTACCCTTGTGGTTGGCAGCCTATTACAAGGCATATTGAACACGTTTTTCCTCTGTACTTTCAATTTGGCCAAGTTTTTTACACTTAATTTTTAATTTTAATATTTCTGTAAGCCATATAGCTTCTCCTGAAACTCTAAGGGAGCTTTTGGCAAATTGCTTAGTACCTGAGTGGGAGGCCTCCATGATTCATGGCTGGCTACACCAGTCTTTGCTCACCTTGAACACTCTAGAGTCTATTCTGAAGATTTGGCGATTTCTATTGTTTTTCATTGTTTTGCCTCACACATGAAAATCAATCTTCTGTGTACATCAAAATATAATGAAGAATTTTAATCAATAATTATGGACTGTAATTTAAAATTTAATGATCTGTGTTGATACCAGTGTAAATAAGTGAAGTGTAAAATACATTATCCAGGGCCCTTTCTGTGTGATGAAGTTTGCATGTGGACAAACAATGACAATGAATATATGAATACAATACAATGAATATGTTTGTTTATTTGCCTAGAATTTGGTAACTTTCTTATGGAATGCATCAATAACAAGATACATTCCAATTTCCAAAATGCTAAAAAAGGAGAATACTGTGATTCTTACATTTAGGGAAATATGGTATTTTATCTTTTGAATTTTATACTGGCAGAAACAGGAGATGCAAAAAATCAGAAAAACAAGCCAGACGTGGTGGTGCACATCTGTAATCCCAGCTACTTGGGAGGCTGAGGCAGAAGGATTGCGTGAGCCCAGGGTTTGTGATCAGCCTGAGCAACGTAGCAAGACCCCATTTCAAAAAAATTAGAAAAATTGTGCTTAAGTAGCCTTTTGGTCCTGATTTGCTTGAGAGTCCAGCTTGTACCCATTGTCCTGACATAATCATTAATAGAATCCCTTTTCACTCTCAAAAGTTTCCTGGCCTACATAGCAACTTAAGTAATGGTTACTCTACTTATTAGTCACTTTTGTTGGTAATAACAATGCCTCGAGAGAACAGAATAGCTTGGTATATTATAGCCCTTCAAATAAATATATTAAATTTATATAATCCTCAGAACAACCCTATTAAATAGCCCTTTCTTTTTGATGAGGATATGAAGCTCAGTGAGATTAATGGTTGCCAGGGTCATTTAGCTATTATGTGACAGAACCAGTACTCCAACCCACAGGTCCAGGGCAAATTAATTCCATTGAGTTTAATAATAATAACACTATGAATGATCATCATAATCACCATTACTACCTTACTAATAAAGCTACCATTTGCCCAACAGAGGTTCTTGACCATTGCTGTGCCACAGGCCACTTTGGTAATCTGGTGAAACCTATGGACCTCTTTTCAAATAATATTTTTGAATGCATAAAATAAAATGCATAGTATTACAAGGATATGAATTTTATTAAAATATAGTTACCAAAAATTTTAAGCTAAATTTGCAATATAGTTATATATGTGGTTTTCCAAATGAATTAAACAAGATCTTGAAGGATTATTTAATTATGACTATGATATCAAAGTAATGATGAACATAAAGAATACTTAGAGATTTCTGCAACAAGTCTAATGTGATATGAAAAGATCTATGATTTCTACCAGCAACAAAGTGACAGGTTTTGCTAATACTACTGAAGTTTGTTGCTTACATTCATAAGTAAAGAAAATTCTAAATTTTACATAGAGGTTAGTAAAAATAAAGATGTAATTTTTTCCCATTCAAGTTCACAGAGCTCATCCAAGTGTATCAACCCCCAAGGGACCCCGATTAGGACTTGCTGCCTTGGAATAAACCTGCAAAACAACTATTATTCCCATTTTACAAATGAGTAAACTGAGGCTCAGAGTAATTAAGTAACTTGCCTAATATTATTTACCTTATGGCTGAGAAGTGCATCAAATGGCATTGGCACTTGTACATCACCTCCTTTTGCTCCCCAGTGGCAAGCACTATAGAGGTGGGTATTGTAGTGTCCACCCCTCTCTGAGACTGACAACCTTTTCAGCATGGTTGCCCTAGTCACTTGCACATCCTTTAAACACCAATGATGCCCTTGATGGAGAACACAGATATCCAAAGAGAAACTGGAGGAGAGGTCTGAGTGTCTGACTAATGCTTTTTATTCAACCCTCCTTGAGGATTTCTAGTGTTCAGTATCCCGTCAGTGGTCCTCACATGGCTCCCCAGAATGATCATTATTCCCGACATATTTGCTGCTATTTTCTACCATAGCTATTTTCCTCTTCTACCTTTAGGTGATTATTGCTGCTACTTATTACTATTCTCAGATGAAGGAAATTGTTTTTCTTCACCTCCCTTAGTTCAATACAGGTACCTATTTGGATTTTTTCAGTAATTGCTATAATTCCTTAGCCTCTCTTTATCTAAACTATACCCATTAAATTATGTTAACTCTTCTCAAAGCTAAATTGCCTCATCTGTTTATTATTTTCCTCATCTTGCCTGAATATTTTAAAACTTACAAAATATGTGAAGCGATTGTTAAAAATCTAAGTAGTCCCAGGACACATTTATTAGTTACTGTAATTGAGTCTTACTGATTACACATGCATTATAAGCCTCATGATGTGCTAACTTTAGCACAACAAAGATACAGTTTTAAAATATTATATATTTAATATTTTTTAAATTCTATGTTGTCAGTTCAGTTACTGTTGCTCATCTCCTTCTCCTCCTGAGTAATGGCCAAGTTATTTTGGTGAGTCTAACATATGGGAGTCTCATCTTTGATAGCAAAATGATGATGACATATAGTCTACTGAGAATATATTCAGCCCTGTTTTCACCTGAGAAGGAGGAGATTTTGCCACCTAGCCTCCAAAATAAGAGCATCTTATTCCATTATTGAAGGGACCTTTGAAGTTTCACTTGTATTTTGATAATTTATGGCCACTTCTTAAAAAATCACTATCACTCTATATATCCTCCTGGAAAGCATTTGTTTTAGCACTTATAATGGATGTTGTAAACATTTGTATATTATTAAGTGCTTTATAACATACACAGTAAAGATTCAGCTAATAACTTTAATTGTGGAACTGTAGGTTTTCTTGAGAACATTTTTTTAAAAAGGAAAACAGATTCTGAAAAACTGATGTTATTTTATCACCAACATGAGTAACCACATCATCATCATCAACATAATCATTATCTTCACCACCACCACCATCATCCAAAATGGCATCTAGTTACATGCTCGCATGGGTTCACATATACAAATATACACACATATGTGTTTAAACACACACATACATGCATATATTTATTCATTCAGTCAGCACATGTTTACTGAGAGCCTACTAAGTGCCAGGCAGTGTTTTGAGGTCTGCCCTCATCTTGCTTCCATTCTAGTGAATCAAGACTGATAATAAATTGGATAAATAAGTAAAATTGTATGTTAGATGAAAATAACTGCTAAGGAGAAAAATAAAACAGGGAGCAGAGATAGAGTACATGAGGAGGGGGCTGTTTTAATTTTTGATAGAGGGGAACAAGGCAGACTTTATGGAGGTGGTAATATTTGGTTAAGACCTGAAAGGATGAAGAGGAGAGCCACGTGGATACCTGGAGGAGAGCATTCTAGCGAAGATGGAGAGTTGTTCCAAAGGTGCTGCTGGAGGCCATGCTTGACATTCAGGGGATAGGGAGGAAGCCAATGTGCTTGAAATGGAGCAGTGAAAGGAAAGCAGTAGGACAAGAAGTCAATATAAAGAAGCCCAGGCAGAGTCAAGCCCCATGGGCCATTTTCTCTGAGTGAGGTTGGAACTATGGGAGGCTTTTGAGCATAGGAGAAACATGATCTGAATCAACTTTCTAAAATAATCATTCTGGCTGCTTGGTTGAGAACAGACTAAAGGGGAACCAGAATGGAAGAAAGATAATAGCCTAGGCAAGACAAGAGTGTAGTTTGGAACAAGATGATAGCTGTGGAAGGCATAGCAAGTTGTCAGGCTGCAGATAATATTTTAAGGAAGGAGCGAACAGAATCTGATGGTGGATTGCATATGGAGTATGAGAGAAATAGAGGAGTCAAGCATAAACTGACAGTTTGGGGCCCAAACAACTGAAATGAGGGGAGTTAGGCAGGGGGAAAAGGGGGAGATAAGGAGTATGGGTTTGAACCTGTTAAGTTTGAGATATCAGACTTTCATGTGGAGAGGTCAAGTAGGCAGTTTGGTAAAAAGTATAGAGTTCAATGAATTGACATTTCTCAAAAGAAGATATACAAATGGCCAACAAACATATGAAAAAATGTTCAACATCACTAATCATCAGGGAAATGCAAATAAAAACCACAATGAGATACCACCTTACCCCTGGGAGAATGGCCATTATTAAAAAATCAGAAAACAATAGATGTTGTCGTGGATGTGGTGAAAAGGGAACTCATACACTGCTGGTGGGAACGTAAATTAGTATAGCCTCTATGGAAAACAGTATGGAGATTCCTCAAAGAACTAAAAGTATATCTACCATTCTATCCAGCAATCCCACTACTAGGTATCTGCCCAAAGGAAAAGAAGTCATTATATCAAAAAGACACCTGCACATGTACATTTATCACAGCATGGTTCACAATTGCAAAGATATGGAATAAACCTAACTGTCCATCAATAGATAAGTGGATAAAGAAAATGTGTTACATACATACCACGGAATACCACTCAGCCATAAAAGAGTGAAATAATATCTTCTGCAGCAACTTGGATGGAACTGGAGGCCATTATTCTAAGTGAAGTAATTCAGGAATGGAAAACCAAATACCACATGTCCTCACTTATAAGTTGGAGCTAAGCCATGGGTATGCAAAGACAAACAGGGTGGTATAATGGACACTGGAGACTTAGAAAGGGGGAGAATGGCAGGTGAATGAAGGATGAAAAACTACCTATTGGGTATAATGTATACTATTCGGGTTACGGGTGCACTAAAATCCCAGGCTTCACTGCTATACAGTGCATCCATGTGACCAAAAAACCACTGTACCCCTAAAGTTATTGAAATAACAAAATGTTTTAAGTATAGAGTTCAGGGGGGAAGTCTACAGATAGCCATAGGCATGGAGTTTTCTTCATATAAATGCTCCATCTGAATGGAAAATAATAGTTACCCTCTCACAACACCCCTGTCCCCCTGTCCAATGGAAGCTCAGCTTCTATGTTTTCAATGCTGTGATTGTTGGTTTTGCTCTCCAGGGAATATAGTGCCCTTAGAGGCTCTGTCTCTTCATCTTGAAGATCCCCTGGTCCTAGGGTCTGGATTCTCCACAAGCCTCCTTTATCACATCATCATGATCCTCACTGGAATCAGTCTCTCTGAACTGTTTTCTTCCTCCTCCTGATGTCTCACTCCCCTCTCTCCTTTCTCCAGGGCTATTGTTGCCACCAGTTCCTAAAGCCATTGGTTGCACCACCTTTCCTTCAATAAGTCAGCTGATGTAATTGGATAGAGATGGTTTTGTGGCTAACTTTTTCAGCCTTTTGAGGTTCAAGTCCATATTCTGTAGACAACTTGAGGCTTCTTTAGTCATAAAGCCAAATAAATAATAACTCAACTCTCACCTTCAGATTCTCCCTGACCAAGATCATTTCTCCCATTTTCTAAATAGGCTGAAGGAAGGCAAGGGCTGAAACGGAGACAGGATGCTACTGCAGTACTCCACGTGAAGGCTGGTGGTCGCTTGGACTGAGTCAGAACAGGGAAACTGATGGGAAGTTGTCGGAGAGTAAGTCTATGTTGAAAATAGAGCCAACAAGATTTGTTGATAGATTGCATTTTGGGTGTACAAGCAAGAGAGGAGTTCCAGAAGAAACCAACTCTACCAGCACCTTGATTTTAGCCCTGTAAGGCTTATTTCAGACTTACAACCTCCAGAACTGTTAGAGAATAAATTTTTAGGCCGGGCACAGTGGCTCATGCCTATAATCCTAGCACTTTAGGAGGCCAAAGTGGGTGGATCACCTGAGCCCAAAAGTTCAAGACCAGCCTGGGCAACCTGGCGAGACTTTTCCTCTATAAAAACACAAAAAAATTAGCTGGGCGTGGTGGTGCACCTGTAGTCCCAGCTACTCAGGAGACTGAGGTGGGAGGATTGCTTGAGCCTGGGAAGCCAAAGCTGCAGTGAGCCAAGATCATGCCACTGCACTCCAGGCTTGGTGACAGAGTGAGACCCTATCTCAAAACACACACACACACACACACACACACACACAAATTGTGTTGTTCAAGTCAGTGACTTTGTGGTAATTTGTGACAGCAGCAATAGGAAACTAATACACAATTAGACATCTAAGTGGAGGTACTGAGTAGCTGTGGGATATGAGTGTAGAATTCAGGAGATGCATGAAAATATGAATTTGGAACTCATCACCATACAGATTTATTTAAAACCATGAGCCTAAATAAGGGTTCCAACACAGTAAGTGTGATAGAGAAAAGAAGAGGCCTTTAGTCTGTTTCTGAGCACCCCAATTTCTATTGGTCAGGAGGATGAGAAAACCAGCCAAGAAAAATGAGAAGGATCATCCAGTAAAGCATAAAAAGAGCCAAGAGTCTGAGGTTCCAGAAGCCAAGGCAAGAATGCATTTCCAGGAGTAAACAAATGTCAAGTGCAGCTCCATCACAGGTTTGAAATTTGGTGCTCACTAATGGTTTCCACTTTAAATTTTTTGCTAATGCCTACAAAAATTCTAGGAGGGACAACCAATGTTTGAGAGTGAGATACTCTACAGAACATGCTTATATTTATCCTTTTAGAGATTGCCTAAGCTCTGATCCTCTCTTGGAAAGCTACATTCTGGACATTAGTTGGATGCTTAGAATAAAGTCATCTGTTCATTTGACAAGTATTTTCAAGTGCCCGTTAGCTAGGTTCTGAGAATATGCTGATGAACTAACAAGATCCCTGCTCTCATGGGAACACTTTCAGTCTAGGGTATTTGCTGAGGCCAAACATCACCTCTTTTATCAAGCTTTTGCCAACATTTTTCAGTAGTTGCTTTCCCTTCTTTGTACATATTCATAGAACTCATCACATTTAATGTATTAGCCAGTTATTGCCTCTGCTGGTAAACTCTCCCCTCCTTTAGGAAAGCAACCCTATCTTAGTCATCTTCATATATAGATACCCTCATATGTAGGTTGGAAATATGATTTATTATTAAAACCAGGAAATGTCTGCAAGAGAAAGGAGGCTCTGTTAATTAACACCAAGACAGGGGATGTAAACTGGGACTTCCTAGGGCAAACAAAAATGTATAGTCACCCTATCACTCAAGTTTACGTCAAAATAACTGTTGAATAAATACATTTTGCTTCCTGAAAAAACACATTTACTGAAATGTGACTTAATATTTTGCTTTTGGCTTTAATTGAGGATCAATATGTAAGAAATAGTGTTAGGAAAAGTGTTTCTGCATCTTTTGTAAAACTGTTATTGGAGACTGTGTCCATTATTTTGTCCAGCGTTCCTCATATAAAGAGCCATGTAATTACTCCCCTTAGAACTGAGCGCTAGAAAAAAATATTGCTTTTTTCAAGGAGATGGTGGTGCACTTTCTCTTCCTAGATAATGAGAGCTCAGTAATACATCAATCACGCTCTCACATTGGCAGCCACAAGCTAGAGCTAAATTATATCCTCAAGTTGCTTTTAAGGCTGTGTCAAAATGTTCCAAATTGTGACTTTTCCTTTGCCTTAAACATTTATTGTTCACCTACTATGTGCTTAGTTCTGTTATTTAATCTAGAGATATGGCAGAGATCCACACACGTGATTCCTGTGTTCATGGCATTTTCTTGGTTCTAGCACATTTACCTACTCTTTTAGTACAGTATTTGGACATTTTCTTGTAGAGAGCCTTAAATTTTTGCAGGAGCAAGGCAGGCATTTAAAAAAAATTGAATGAAGTGCAATAGGCCAACAAATTAGGGAGGGGTATGGACGGTAGTCACAGAAGGCTTGGGCAGAAGTAGGGCATGAAGTCACTTGAGCAGACCAAGGAGCCCTGAAGTTCATATTTTGGTACTTTTGTTTTTCATAAGGTTTCAAACCTGCTAATTTTCTTTTGAAAAAGAAGAAGGAAAGGCCCGCCTAAGAAAATATAATTATTTCTAAAGTTGTGGTTAGCATCTTTACTAATATTTGTAAAGAGTACTTGATCAAATAAGGCATATGGGGATACTGTCACAATCCAGAAATGCTGAAAGTGCTTGTCTGTAGGCTAGAGAAAGAAAAACCCACAAATTGGGTTTTAATATGATACACCCTATACACCCTAGGATTGAGTAAATATTTGGGTTCTAGAGTATAGCGTAGTCTATTTTTGCAGGACAAGAAAATGATGAGTACTATTTTTTTAAAAAATAACCTGTCTACTTATGGGTAGATGAACTTAGCGGTCCATTATAACCTTAGAAAGGGACTTGAAGAAGCTGCTGCAGTCTTCCCAACCAAGAGAAGGACATTAGAGGTCAACCAGAAAGCACTATCTTGGCTGGAACAACAATGCCATCAAAAACAAGAAACACATCTTTATGTGTTGGTTTATTTAGCATGTCACAGTGTTAAGGGAAAATGGTCAAATGAAGGAAAGGTTCTTCAGGCAGGCAATTTAGTTGTTACCTTTTGAACCTGGAGAAGAATAGTAGTGTGGTGGGTATAACAGGAAAGACTGACAGATAACCTGTTAGAAGAGGGGACTGAGAGGGATAGAGAATGAAAAAGGCAGGGAAGTCTGCTCCTACAAACCCAGCTATGTTGGCACTTTCTCTTCTACAACTGCATACTGAAATGAACGTGAAACCAGTAGCATGAAACACTTGACCAATACATAGCATTAAAGGAATCAAAATTTAATTGTGAGCTCTTGAGTCCCACTACTTCTATTATTATTATATTGCTTCCACATGAAAGAATAAAATTAGAAGCTGAAATAGATATCAATTTGCTATGTAAGCCTTTTTTTAAGTCATATCTACCGAATATCCTGGATATTGCATTTTTTAAAAAAGCATATCAAATGCAGTCAGATTTGCTATATAATACAAATAAAATTACTCTTTTTAGCTAATGTTTATGCCACATTTTTAGCCTTCTGGCTCACTGTTATGACCGTAGTGTCATTTATGCAGGGTTCGTGTGTTTTTGGTAAGCTTAAGAGTTATCCACGGACCTTAACAAGCACAAGAGGAGAATTCACTAAGATCTAGAGTGCTTCAAATGACATTGCAAACATTGGACTGCCTGAAAACATAGGTTTGTCTCAGAACAGAATACCTCTGTGCACACACACAGAATGATAGGTCTGGAAAGGGATCTCCAGTGGCTACTCATTCTGTTCCTGTCTCCAGGTACGATGGTGGCTAAACCATAGTAGGAGTGCAGTGACAAGATGGTTAGATCCACAGAGGCTCCTGCATGTGTTAGGTTTCCCGCTCTGTCTGCAATTTTGGTACTAATGTAACTTACCCAAGACTGCCCATTTCCCCAAGCTGCAGCCAGTTGAGCTATCAAATAAAATAATTTATGTTATCATCCCTTTCCTGGCTCTCCCTTGGGTGCCCAAAGCTGTTCAAAACTGAGTGCTGGAGACTGAAAGTAAAGGTCAAAAGGAAAAGTCTGAACTTCAGGGTAGATCTGACCAGAAAATAAAGGCTGTCTTTCTACCTTGCACAGCAGAGGAACCTTCTTTACCTATCATCCAATCATGTTAGTTGTTTGAGCTGAAGCTCTGTAAAGAAATCACCTTCATCCACAGAAACTGGGAATTCCAGGGTCACTGGCAGAACTGCAAAACAGGATTGCAGCAACTCAGCACACACATTGTAAGATGATTTGCTTTTGAGAACTTGTTTTGAGCCTACCACCTGACCAAACAGCATCACCACCATTATCTGTAAAATATTTACATTTACAGGGCAAGAAAGAGTTACTAAAATTGATTGCCCTGTGTCAGTGTGGAGTTTACTTCTTTGAAGAATAAATTGAGGAGGCTACATGATTAATTCAAATAGTTAGGAGTCTCTTTTCTTTCCACTTGATCTTGAGACTTCAATGTCACTTTAAGTCAAATTCAAAGACATGTTGAGAAACATGAGAAAATACGTTTATTTCATTTATTTTTCCATGGTGGTCTCATAAGTTATTTTTTCTAGGTTATGAGAAGATAAAAAACTTTTAAACAAAGAAGCCAAATTTGGAGAGAAAGGAGCTATTATTGAACTTGGGTCTATGTTTCTGAAAAGTAGCCTAGAATTTTATAAAAGCAAAAAACAAAAACATCATCCTTGTGTTTATATTAGGAAGTATTTTAAAACATGCAATATGTATTTTAAACACTTTTCTTTTGAATCTTGCGTTGCACCCAAAGAATGCTAATGGTAACCAAATTGTTCTTTGGCAGAGTAGCCTGACCCTTAAAAAAAGGAACAGAAGTGTTACAGCATGTGATTGTAGCACAAGACAATTATGAATCCTCAACCCTGAGCAGATATTAACTAATCCTATGATCTGACCATAAGAGGTTACCTTGGAGCATTCCTCTACATTGCATTATGTATATTACATGGTAATGAATGACAGTTTTCATGGCTCCTAATAATGAGCAGCTTCTCTTTATTTAGAGAACAAAATAGGGGGTTTACAGATAATATCTGAGTTTATCATTGAGCTGCTCAGCCTCCTCTTCTATGTGCCTCAGCTTGTCTCAATCAGTGCTGGTTATCTCAGCAATAAAGCATTCAGCCTCTAGAAGTTGGTTTCTTCCTACACCCTATAAACAAGAGGATGAATATCTTGTTACATGTGCTAAAATGAGTTGGGTGAAATGAGCATTACTCTGCTCCCTGTCACTAGCTATAATCAGCTTTTCAAATCTATACTGAGTGTGTCCCCACACATAGCACACTAAGGAATAAGGATGTTCGTGACAATATATTCCTGAGAAGCAGCAGTTCTAACATCCCAGTGACAGCTATTCATTCCAGTTTCTTTGTGCAGAGACATTGTCCCAACTCCTTCACCATGTGCTAACAATTAGATAATGACTCCATAAATGTAGAGAAAAAGCAGTGTCATGGACGGTGGGTAGTTTGTTTTCTTAGTTCTTTATTGAAAACATATGGAGATGTTTATATATAAATAGAAAACAATAAAACGCTGCCATCATGTAAGCAGCAACTTAAAAAGTTCTACACGAATAGAAATCAAACATTTCTATACCTATGCCAGAATTCTGGTTTACTGATATCTACACATCCTGTCTTATTTGGCTTGAAAAGATGTTTTATTATTTTAGGCTTTTTATTTATAGTTGGAAGCAAATTGTGGAGCAAGAGATTTTTGTTTTTGTTTTCATTTCTTTCTTGGCTTAAACAAATTACTTTTTTAGCAGGAACAACAACTTCTGTCCAAGTATACCTTGTGTTATGATCATGAAAAAAAGTTTTTAATGTATACATTTAACTACGGTCTTTGTATTTCTGAATTAAAAGTGAGGACTTGTGGCCTGACAGAAGTGACTTTCAGGAGACCCAGCAGTGGAGAGGTTGAGAGCACTGCTTAGGAGGTAGAAGCAATTCCTCTGGGTTGGAATTCTGGCTGCACCACTTAACTAGCTAGGTAACCGTGGGAAAGTTAGTCAACCTGACTAAACCTCAGTTACTTCATCTGTCAGATGAGAAATATAAGAGCACTTAAAGAATGATCATGCACACTCATGGGATGAGCTGTAAGACGTTACACATAGTGTCTGGCTCGTAGGAAACATCACAGAAATGCTGCCTAGCATCGTTGTAATCAGCTAACAGAAGGGCTTATATTGAGACCATCCTTGAAAATCTGAGAAGTGTTGATGCTCAGTGCCAAGAACAGTAACAACAGTAATGCTACTGTTTACCAAGTGCTAGTTATGCCCTAGCCTTTACAATGTACTGTTTTTGACAATTCCATGAGCTGGGTACCATTATCATCCCCATTACAGCTAAAGATTGGTTGATGTGAGGGTCAAACCCAGTCTGGATCATTCAGAAGCCCACACTCTTGATCTCTCTGCTAAAATGGCTGCCACATATATAGCCTAGGGCACCTTTGAAACCTTCTTTATTTACACTATTCTCTATGTTCCTGTCAACATCCTGTGACATTGCACAATGGCATTCACAAACTGTGAAGTCCCCTGTCCCTAGGACATCTGTTCATTTGTAGTTAAAGAGGACCAGGAAACACTTAATGAACACATTATTAGAAGCCCTGGTTTTCAATTCATGCAACCATTTTTGCTTTGGTTTAAAGGCCTTTTCTTTAAAGGTGCTTGAAGCTTCATATGGACAGGCTCATTATTCAAGCTTTTGTCCCAACCTACAGATGCAGAAGCCAAGGACCAAAGTAACATGACTTGGGGACAGAGGGAGAGGCCATTCACCTGCCTTGGTAGCCCAGTGTATCAGTTGCTGAATCAGGAATACAACAGACTGAGCCCAGGGCAGTGTCCAACTCATCAGGCTGCTCATTAATGTTGGGTCTAACAGCCAAACTGCTAACTAGCTCCACTTTTTAAAAACTTCTATTTTAAGTTCAGGGGTACATGTGCAGGTTTGTTACATAGGGAAACTTGCCTCCTGAGAGTTTGTTGTACAGATTATTTTCTCTCCCAGGTGTTAAGCCTAGTACCCATTAGTTATTTTTCCTGATCTTCTCCCTCCTTCCACCATCCACCCTCTGGTAGGTTCCAGTGTGTGTTGTTCCTCTCTATCTGTCCATGTGTTCTCACCATTTAACTCCCACTTATAAGTGAGAACATGTGGTATTTGGTTTTCCATTTCTGACTTAGTTTGCTAAGGATAATGGCCTCCAGCTCCATCCATGTCCCTGCAAAGGACATGATCTCATTATTTTTGTGGTTGCATAGTATTTCCTGGTATATATGTACCACATTTCCTTTATCCAGTCTATCACTGATGAGCATTTAGGTTGATTCCATGTCTCTGTTATTGTGAATAGTGCTGCAGTAAACATACACATGCATGTGTCTTTATAATATAGAATGATTTCTATTTCCCCTTAACTGGTATATACCCAGTAATGGGCTTGCTGGGTTGAATGGTAATTCTGTCTCTAGGTCTTTGAGGAGTCGCCACACTGCTTTCCACAATGGTTGAACTAATTTACACTCCCATCAACATTGTATAAGTGTTCCCTTTTCTCCTCAACCTCACCAGCATGTACTTTTTTTAGTTTTTAATAGTTGCCATTCTGACTGGTGTGAGATGGTATCTCATTGTGGTTTTGATTTGCATTTCTCTAATGGTCAGTAATATTGAGCTTTTTTTCATATGCTTGTTGGCCACACGTATGTCTTCTTTTGAGAAGCCTCTGTTCATGTCCTTTGCCCACTTTTTAATGGGGTTGTTTTTCTCTTGTAAATTTGTTTAAGTTCCTTATAGATGCTGTATATTAGACCTTTGTCAGATGCATAGCTTGCAAAACTTTTCTCCTGTTCTGCAGGTTGTCTGTTTACTCTGTTGATAGTTTCTTTTGCTGTACAGAAACTCTTAATTAGGTTCCATCTGTCAACTTTTGCTTTTGTTGCGATTGCTTTTGGCATCTTTGTCATGAAAACTTTGCTAGTTCCTATGTCCAGAATGGTATGCCTAGGTTGTCTTCTGGGTTTTTATAGTTTTGGGCTTCACATTTAAGTCTTTAATCAATCTTTAGTTGATTTTTGTATGGTGTAAAGAAGGGGTCAAGTTTCAACTTCTGCATGTGGCTAGTCAGTTATCCCATCATCCTTTATTAAATGGGGAACCGTTTCCCCATTGCTTTTTTTTTGTCAGCTTTGTCAAAGATCAGATATTTGTAGGTGTTCAGCCTTATTTCTGGGCTCCCTACTCTGTTCCATTGGTCTTGTGTCTATTTTTGTACCAATACCATGCTGTTTTGATTACCGTAATCCTGTAGTATAATTTGAAGTTGGGTAACGTGATGCCTCCAGCTTTGTTCTTCTTGCTTAGGATTGCCTTGGCTATTTGGGCTATTTTGGGGTTCCATATGAATTTAAAATAGTTTTTCTAGTTCTGTGAAGAATGTCATTGGTAGTTTAATAGGAAGAGCATTGAATCTGTAAATTGCTTTGGGCAGTATGACCATTTTAATGATATTGATTCTTCCTATCATGTAGCTCCAATTTTAACCTACACAGTACATGACTAGAAGCACTTTGCCTGATTTTCTTGTTGGAAGAATGGGATCTGCCTGCAATATGGAAACCCTCACAAACAAGATGACTCAATTCTGTTTTCATTTGCAAGATATATTGTGAATGTTCTTTTCTCCTTTTTGCAGGAGAGGGAAAGGGTTTAGGGTTGTGGGTGTGGCAGGGCATAGAAGGGAAGAGGCTTAGGACTGCCAAATTACATGTCAACCTGCTGACTTAGCATCAGTGTACTAGTTAAATGAGCCCTGAATGTAAGACATTAATGCAAATATTTTGCATATTATTAACTCTAATGATGCTACCATAATGCAGTATCCTCAGCTGAAAGCTGAGGTGGCATTTTTTATTATAAATGCCCTGGGTCTTTCACTGAAAATCACCATGAAGACAAGTCCCTTAGAAGTGAGAGCAGAAATATGAACAGAGTTCTGCATCGTTAACCTTCTCATCATTAACAATAACAAAAAATATTGGTGTCCCAGGGCCCTGCATTCAGTAAATGCCGGCAACATCTTTCTTTAGAAACTATCACTGCTCTTGCCCTTATAACTACAATATACTTCCAAAGCAAAAGGTTAGGCAATCATTGTAAAATGGAATCTGTTTTAGAAAAAAATACTATGCAATCCCCAAATTGTTATGTAGGTGGAAAATCATTCTAAATGCAGAACAAGTATTGCTTACCCTCCAGTGCCATGCTAGTGATGGTAGTGTGGAGTCTTGGAAAGCAGAGGGTTTCAGAGCCAGCGCTACCATTTGCCAGCTGTATGACATTGAGCAAATCGCTTGACCTCCCTGATTGTCAGATCCTTTCCTATAAAACAGCAACATTAATAATACTGCTTTGTCTATTTTATGAGTTGCCAAAGAACACCAAAGGAGATTGCAAATGTGAAAGCTCTCTGGACGCAATGTACAAATGTTATTATTGATTTTTTACTAGGTGAGTAATGAGGAATGAGTAGCAGTGTTTGTCCAAGGATAGCTTGGGAATAAGTCAACCAAGGTGGCAGTTGGTAGGTCTTGAAGATGTGGTTGGCTCCTGGGAAACAGATGAGCTGGCCAGTTTGAAGGATCTTAAAGTTGCAAGTTTTCGGGCTGGGTAGCAATTTAACTGTGCAACCTGTCAAGAGCCTATTATATTCTAAATTTGTGCCGTGACAATATTGGCTACATGAAATAACTGTGTGCTTTCTTACCAGACTTTATTTGGAAAGAGTTTATGAACTAGTGGCCTGGCAGCGTTGCCTGGAATTAACAGTGCTGTGGTTTTACACCAGGGAGAGAAGTGTTTCATGCCTTGTTCTATTACCTCCCTCCCTGGAGATTCAACAGATGGAACAACAACAAAATCAGAACCCCAAGACAAACCTGTCAGCTTGATGCCTTTAAGCTTCGGCAGAACTCACAATTAAGATAAGATAGAATATCCATTTAGAGGAAAGAGGTGCAAAGAAATAAGTTCACAGAGCATACCTTCTTTTGTCTGAGCATGGCTAATACTATCTGGAGATCCCTGCCACATAGGAGGAATTGTATACTGGAACACAGTGAACACTTAAGAAAATTAGTTGAAAGAATATTATTGCTAGTAGAAATAACTGAACATCTTTAATATGGGGCTTTATATTTCCCTTCATTATATTTTTTTAATCCTTTCAAGCCAACTCTTGAGTTTGGCAAATCCTAGGCTGAGTAATTGTGCATCTCAGAATGGTTAGATAATATGCAGAGCAGACCTTAAGTCAGGCACAGCAACATGTGTTTTGGCACAGCCGTAAGGAGGTAAAGTATTTGGTAATTGTTGTTTGATAGTTCCCAAGGAGAAAGCACTGAAGCAACAGATAAGAACCAAACAATTTTCTCTTGTGTTTAGGTAAATATTTCCAACTACAGTCTGGTGATGGAGTCTGACGCAGGAACCTTCTTACCCACTGGGCTGCAATTCACTGGCAGTGAAAAGGCCAGGGCCATCATGGAGGAGGTTATGAGCCTGCTGCAGCCCCTCAATATCACTCAGGTCCTGAGCCATGGAGAAGGGACAGACATCAACTTTTGGATCCAAGCTGGAGTGCCTGGTAAGACCAAAAGATGAAGTTGTGTTCCTTATATATTGCCAACAATTTAAAATAAAATTTCTGTTTTAATAGAGCACAATGAATACTAGTAGGCCAGGTTGTCCACGGAAACCTTAAGCTTTTGTTCAAGGTATAATCTGATGATTTCTAAAACTGGGATAATAGTCCTCACCTTGTATTTGTTTACCCATCTGTATCCCTCCACTCTTTCTAAATTATAAGCTCCTCACTCCCAGAGATTCTGATTTAGTCATTCTGGAATTGGGCCTAAAAATCCATTGTTTTGTTTTGTTTTTTAAGGAGGTATCTTTGGTGATTATAGCACAAATGATCTCATAACCAAAATTTGAGAAATAGAGTAGAAGGCAAATATTACTACTAATATCCTTCTAGTTCTAGTCCTGTGCTAGAAAAACTTCCTTGATCCAAATAATTCCCTATTAAAACACTGTGGTATCTGAAATTTTACCATTAGAGATAGATTCCTTGAGGGTGGGGTACTTTCTTTTAATCATGTTTTACCTTAATGCAAAGACTCCTGTGCAAGAGGTTGAGCATAAACTAATTTACCCTGGGCAGTGATTTATCATGTGAATATCCTGAAGAGAAGTCCTAAGTCCCTGGGGTTCAGGGATGAAATTATGAAATGGGAGCGGACATGAGGAGGTTACTTACAGAAATACAAGCTGGAACAGCTGGAACAGTCTTTTTTTTTTTTTTTTTTTTTTTTTTTTTAGACAGGGTCTCACTCTGTCACCTGGGCTGGAGTGCAGTGACATGATCACAGCTCACTGTAACCTCCACCTCCTGGCCTTAAGCAATCTTCCTGTCTCAGCCTCCCGAGTAGCTGGGATTATGAGTGTGCACCACCATGCCTGGCTAACTTTTGTATTTTTTACAGAGACAGAGTTTCGCCATGTTGCCCAGGCTGGTCTCCAACTCCTGGGCTCAAGTGATCTGCCTGCCTTGGCTTCCCAAAATGCTGGGATTATAGGCATGAGCGACCATGCCTGGCCTCTAGAACAGTCTTAAAGAAGACAAATGTATACTACTTCACAAAGTTACCTAAGCCTGGCCATTGAAAAAGTTTACTGATATTGTTTGTGACCCGAGGTTGCTTCCTCAACACCATTATATCCATAATCCAAAAAAGTTAAAGGATCCATCTGCAAATTGTTCTGTATTTGTACTATACACATAGGATGCCTAACATTTGAACAGTTTTAACATTGCTGTATTCAGAAATATTTCTGTGGCTACAAACATTTCAGAGGTACTAAAACAGTGTCTCTGGACCTACTCCACTCCAGATTTTTTTTTCCAGGCTGCAAAGTAGATTTTACCAATAGTAACATACTACATAGATTTAAGATTTTTAAAAAGCTTATTCTTGCAATACTGCAGATTTTTAAGGCATATTTTAAGTTTTAAGGTTTATAATAATCTTTCATAACTAAAAATAAAAGGAGCTTTTCTGTACTCTAATAGAAAGACCAAAATTATTTTCCTTTGTTCTTTGTTCTGTGTATGTTAACATATTTTGAAATCTCTTAAAGCAACATTTCCATTTACAATGCTGTACTTCTCTGGACAGATCCAATACTATCTACATATGTGTCATTGATAAACATGATCTAAGTGTAGGGGAGAGAGTCTGCCCTTTAAATTATATAGAATCATTTGTATGAAATTCTAGATTTTTTCTGAGCCTGAAATATTTCAACAAGAACTTCTTAAAAATTGAGAAACCCTGAATAAGCTGCTGTGTGGTAGCTGTGAGGAAAAGACTGGTAGACTGTGGGTGAATGAGAGTGCAGACGGGGGGTGGTTCAAGGTGAGGTAAGGAGCTGAAACCTAAGACAGAATTGGGAACAAAAACTTGTCCCTCCCCATCCCAGGTATTTCTTTTTTGTTGTGTTTGATCATTGAGACTTGGCTCTAGCTTTTTTCCTTCACATGTACGTGTTGTATAAGAATGGTTCTGTTTGGAGTGATCAGGTTAATTTGATTCTTTTCACCTAAAATAAGAAAGCATTTTCTGTCTTTGCCATGGTTTAAGATGAGGTCAGATTTGATTTCTACCTAATAGAATGGAGTGGGGAGACTGAGCCCATTATGGTTGTATAAGAATTAATAAGAGGCCGGGTGCAGTGGCTCATGCCTGTAATCCCAGCATTTTGGGAGGCCGAGGTGGGTAAATCACTTGAAGTCAGGGGTTCGAGACCAGCCTGACCAACATGGTGAAACCCCAGCTCTACTAAAAAAATACAAAGTTAGCCGGATGTGGTGGTGCAAGCCTGTAATCCCAGCTAACTGGGAGGCTGAGGCAGGAGAATTGCTTGAACCCAGGAGGCGGCAGTTGCAGTGAGCTGAGATCATGCCACTGCACTCCAGCCTGAGCTACAAGAGTGAAACTCCATCTGAAAACAAACAAACAAACAAAAAAGAATTAATAAGAGTTAAAATGTGTTGAACTCCTAATGTGTAGGAAGTACCTAGGCTTTTTGCAGACACTGTTTTATCCATACAACCATCCTATGAAGGAGGTACAATTATCATGATCCCTATTTTGCAGATGAAGAAACAGACTCATAAGGGTTAAATGACTTGCCCAAGACTATACTGCCCTTAGGGCAGGAGTCACCCTGAGAACAGGCCATTTTGGCTTCAAGGCTGGTGGCCCTTTTCTCACAATATGCAACAACACTGAGGGGTCTGGAATGCTGAGAAGCCTCCAAATCTCCGGCAGTGTCTAAAATGTTTATCTTACTCAGCTCTTGCTTATGCAAAGGATTTCAGTCCATTCCTGCTCCACAGTGATTTACCCCTGGGAGAAAGGAGTTTGTTATTGTAAATAACTACTTATATCTTCTCACATTCTTTGTTCTACTCCCTTCTTTAACTCTGAAAGATCAGAAAGGTTTACATAAAGTCAGTAGCTCATTTAGATGACTCTAAATGTTTCCTTGAATGCTGTTTTATTTCCTTTAGAGCATTAGAAGACAGAACCAAATTACTGCTGTCTTCCTTTTATTACTTTTGAGTTATCCTTTGATATTTCAAATTTGGGCTATTCCTGGAAGAAACAATGGTACTGGTTATAACTCTTGTCACCTATTGAAAATTTCAGGTACCTCACTGTGTGCAGTGGCTTACCCCTGTAATCCCAGCACTTTGGGAGGCTGCAAGGTGGGAGAATTGCTTGAGGCCAGGAGTTTAAGATCAGCCTGGGCAACACAGCAAGACCCCCATCTGTCTCTAAAAAAAAAAAAAAAAGAAAAGGATGAAGAACCATATTTGGGTTCTTCATCTTTTTTCTAAAAGATGAAAATGAATTTGTCTGAAAAAGAAAAAAGTAAAAATATATCAGTTGTGTACCCTATATTTGTGAAGGCCTGACAAATTATAGCTTAAAGCTAAGGGTAGGATTCTAAATACTAATTAAGTTATCATTTAAATAACTGCTCACCTAACTTCTAAAAAATTAATGCTAAATAATATTTCTAAACTCCATCCTTTTTTCTTTCTTTTTTTCTTTCACGGATTCAATAAACATTTATTGAGTCCCTACCATGTTCTAGGCCTATTAAATTTCTATAATTTGAGGTGACTGTATGATGACTAGACCCCAATATTCCATGTATACTATTTACCAAAATACTGATAGAACTGTATATCTATCACACAGATAGAATTAAAATTCAACATTGCTTTCATTAATTATAGAAGACAAAAGGATCAATTTATAATACGGCCATCTTTGGGAGAGAAAAGATGATATCCTTTACCCATCTAGATGATATCTATAATGGACAGAATAACTGTCAACATTAATATAAGGCTTTGGGGAAAAAAGATTTTCTTTAAAAGTATCTTGGATGTACTTTCCGCATAAACTCTTTGTTCTAGATCTTCAGATTCCAGCCTTCTCCCATGTCCACCTCCTTCCATATTCCTATTCTTTCTCTCTAAATCCTCAGTGCTCTTTAAGGCTCATTCTGTATTCACTGGTGTTCATGAATCCTTCCTGAGTCCGTAGTGCTCTATTGCTTTTCCAAATTTCTAACGCGCTTCAAGTCTTTGTCCCACAACCTGGCATGTGAATTACAAACTATGATATTGTTCTTGGAACACTAGGGGCTTATGTGCATCCTGCTGCCTATATGCAGTGATCAGTTCTTTGAGGTTAAGGTCAATAATTTCTCATTCTTTGCCTGTTCCAGAGCTGTCGGTTTAATTTTAGGAGACATTTAAATTCTTATAAATCTGACTTAGCAGAAACAAAAACATTGAAATAATTATTGTCTAGACAAGCTTTTAGATACTTCAGTTTAAGAATATGAAGAAAATAAAGGATACTAAGAGCCAAAAATGTATAAAAAATATTGGGAGAATGATATAAATTGGGAAGCCTAGAGCAATAAGGATTATTTCTCTTAAAGGAGCAAAGACTGAGAGAAGATGTATCTTTCAATACTTTAGTGATTCTCACACATAAAATGGTGAATTGCTCTTCCCTGACAATTTGAAAGACAATACATGACTTAAAGTGACCTAAGAGGGATTTAAGCTAGTCTCTAGTCACTCCAGATAATAGAGAGGCTTTAAATCTCAAGTTTTTGCCTGATTCTCCTATATGAGCTCCAGGTTAGGATGAAAGGAGTCTATTTCATTCTGAGTATGTCACCAATGAGGTATAATCCATGGTTCTTAGATGTCCCTAAGTGCATCCTTCTTGAATATATTTCTTCTTTAGAAACTCTTTCACAAAATATACATTAATGAAAGAAAATTAAATACCCTCTTACTGTGACCTGAGAGAATGAGCCCACTCTTACTCTATATCTGCCAAGAAGAGTTTACTCCTCTGCTTCAGAATCTGAAATTCAACTTTTTGTTGTTGTTGTTTTTAGTGTGGTGGCTTGTGGTAGACGGTGTATTGCAAGGAGTTAGAGGACTTGAGTGTATATTCTGACTTCAAAACTTCTAACTATGTAGGCAAACAGTGTAATTTTTCTAAGCCTCATTTATTTGTTATTAAGCATCCTTATTAATCAACTATTGTATGGTACTGGAGAATCAGTAGTAAGAAAAGACAGATAAGATCCATGCTCTCACAGACAACACAGACTAGTAATGAGACCTGGTTATTTCATCTGCAAAATAAGTCTGGTAACCTATGAGTCATTATTTCTACCAGGCCTCCACTTGTGTTCTCCTCCTCCTCTGTCCCCTATCTCATTAGCAGGCACTATAATTCAGAAACCTCAAAAGCACCCAGGACATAAAGCCAAATGTTTACAAGTCCTGTTTACTCCAAATCCCTGCTATTTCTTAAACCCATTCCCTCCTCTCCACCCCACAGACCTTGTCTCACCAAAACTCACTGATTCCTACAGCAGCCTCCTAGTAATATCCCAACCTGTGTTTTTAATCTTCTTTCACCTAATTGGCTCACTGCTTCTAGAATGAACTTTCTAAAGTGAAAATCAGTATATCAACCTGGATGCTTTTGGCTGCAAAATGAAACAGAAGACCCAGTCAGAATGGCAGTAAGGGGATGATGTTTTTAAATTCGCTTAAAAAGAACTTTGCAGCAGGTGTTACAGAGTGCATAATTTGGCCATTTGACCACTTCAGGGACGTTGGTTCTTTACATCTTTCCATGTTGCCATTCTCAGCATGTAGACTTTTGTCAGGCCTGTCTCTTTGTGGTCCCAGGATGGCTGCAGTTGCTCTAAGCAGCACATTCTCATACATTGTGCAGTAGTGGAAGAGAGAATGTCTGTAACAGATATCCCTTTTGAAGAGTGAGGAAATGTTTTCTAGAAGCCCTAAAACAAGTTTCTTAAACTCCATATTATTGGCCAAAATTGTGACATATGTCTGTGGCTAAATCATGCAGAGGCGATAGAGTGGAATTACCTAGATTGGCTTATACTGATCAAATTTTACTTCCTAGGCATAGGGTGGGGCCCAGTATTCACTGAAAAACAACTTCTTGAGAAGCTGTTTGAGAAAAATTGGGATTCTTTAGGGAAAAGATGATGATATCTATTGGGTAAATAATTAAAAGTAGCTGCAATATCTGATCATCCCTGCTCCTTGCTTCCAATCCTCCAGCATCTCCCTGCTGTCTCCAGAGTATGTATGAATAAAGTGTTCACCAAGTATGGCATTCAAGGCCCCAAATCTCAGAAATCACCGCTAAATAACTTACTCATGTAACCAAACACCACCTGTTCCTCAATAACGTATGGAAACAAACAAATGAAAACGGTAATTTAAAAAAAAGAAATCGGGGCATCCAAATCGGTAAAGAGGAAGTCAAACTGTCGCTGTTTGCTGATGATATGACCGTATACCTAGAAAACCCTAAAGACTCCTCCACTCCTTTCTATCCATCTCTCAGTCATACAAGTCTAATTGAAGTTCCAGGCACACCCTGCTGCTCTCATACTTCCTTGCCACTGGACCTGCCCTATTCTGTCTTTTTCACCAGTTAATTTCTACTCACTCATGATGCAGCTCCTTGTTCTCCTCCTTCTCAAACCTTCTGCAATCTGCTACAGTCTGAGTAAATGTCCCCTGGGTACACTCGTACAATGCCCTGTGTTCACCTCTCCTCTTAGTACTTATCTTGTTCTCCTAATTGTGATCAATTGTGAATTCCTCAGAATTCTCAGTGCCTACAAGTGCCTGGCCCTCGACAAAATGTCCATGACTCAAATGCTGAATAAGCAGGATCCATGTCTGTAGGAAGAGTAAGATAATGCCAATGAGGTTTATTAACTATAATGCAAGACACAACTGTAAGTTATGATTAATTTAGTAACGACATCACTCATTGAGCTGTCCTCTTTCATTGCATATTGTGTTGTTTTAAAAATCATATTTTAGTTTATGTCATCTTTTCTATAATAGTTCAGACTCCACGTTGAAGTACCAAATACACAGATTACTCAGAATTTCACGTATTTTCCATCTTGCTTATTTCTGCCCAATACCTCATATGGCATTAAGAAGAACTAAATTAAAACTTTCCATTTCTACATTTGCAAAGGCCTTTCCTCTAAAATGTTCTAAGAAAGGAGACCTCAGGACACAAGTAGAAATGGTACTGTAAAGTAAATTGAAGGTTCAGCCTCTGGACCCAGGACTCCTGCGTTTTCCAATCACCAGATGGAATAGCGCAGCCCAGCGGCTCTATATCCCCTGTTGTCCCTAATTTAATGGTGCCTCCCTTATGGTGAAAACACTGTACAGTGATGTTTGAAGGGATTGATGCTCCATGGTAAGCAGACTTCGCCCTACTGGGAACATGAAAAGGAACCTCTCTGATTTGTGGCTGTAATCCTCAAGCCCTCGTTTAAATAGCCAGGGCAGTTTCATTTAATCAACAAGCATGTGTTGAGTGCCTGCTGTAAACCAAACGCTGAGACACTGAGGAGAGAGGATGAAAAAGACTCAACAGGTCTCTGATCTTGTGGAGTTTACATTGTGATGGAGGGGTGGGACACTGGGAAGATACAGACTATAACTAAGAAATAGATTAAGAATAGAGAAAAACAGTAGACATTGATAAAGGCTATACAGAGAATTATAGTAGGTGGTTACCTCTTACCTCTTTAATTCAGATGAGTCAAAGCTCTTGCTATTCACTGACTGCTATTTGCTTGACAGCAGTGTATGACATCCTCATCAATATTGCATTCCTGGAAATTGTTCATCAGAACATCTTATAAGCTTCTTCTGCTCTTCCCTCTTGCAGTAGATCTGCTTCAGCTCAAACAGAAACCACTGGGTATCTTGCCCAAAGCAGACCTGGCTCATGCCTTCTAGGATAATTACCAAGTAGGAGAAGAGCAAATTGTTATACCATTGGGCAGTTAGTCATGCACTGCTTTATGAAGTCTCTTCTATTGTTGCCTTGAACTGTTTTTTAAAGCACACACTTTAACTTTAAAGTTAATATACTTTGTACTTTATCTCCTTAACTGGATTGAGGATGAAGAGACTATTTTCTTCTTGTTCATATACCCACGACACCCATTATTACTTGGCATATAAAATGTATCCAGTAAATGTTTACTGATTAGATGTATTGATTTAAAGATGAAAATAAGCTAAGGAACAATAAAAGGAAGTTTTTGGTATAGTACCAAGATAAATAACACATGCAGAATAACTGCAGGGGCACATAGGTCAGAAGACAAGAAAGACGTGGAAGAGAGGAGCTTGAGCTGGACATTGAAAGATATGTAGTATAAGAATGGACAGGCCAGGCACGGTGGCCCACGCCTGTAATCCCAGGACTTTGGGAGGCTAAGGCAGGCAGATCACCTGAGGTCAGGAGTTCAAGACCAGCCTGACCAACATGGTGAAACCCCCTCTCTACTAAAAATACAAAATTAGCCAGATGTAGTAGCGGGTGCCTGTAATCCTAGCTACCCGGGAGGCTGAGGCAGGAGAATCGCTTGAATCCGGGAGGCAGAGGTTGCAGTGAGCCAAGATTGTGCCACTGCACTACAGCCTGGGTGACAAGAGTGAGACTCTGTCTCAAAAAAAAGAATGGACAGAAGAGGGTAGAGAAGGACATTCCTGATGAGATAATAATATGAAAAAGGCAGGTGTCCCTGTGGGGCCGGAAAGGAAAGTGACACCACTTTCCTAATTCATCTTGCAGGGCAGTGGGCAATGAGAATAGGTGAGTACCTCTAGGCCAGATGAAAAAGAGTCATAAATGTCAGGTGAAAACTCTCATAGCTGATGCGAAGATACCGGAACGCTTTACAAGGAGAGGGATTAATCAAAGCAGTGTTTTAGAATGTAAATCCCTAAAGCTTGTGCATGCCTAGAGCATCCAGGTCACACTCAAGTAGAAGGCTCAAAGTAAGAACACTTAAAGGGAACGAGGAGCTTGAGGAAGTAGCAAAGGGTTGAAAACAATTGCTTTAGAAAATCAGATAATGACATTATGATGTTGCTCCATTGTATGTACTATAATGACCCATAAAACACTATTACTTAAGTCTCTGTACCATTTTCCGTGCCTTCTAATGACATAGCCTAGAAAAGTTTTCCTTTTCTATCTTCCCCTTTTAGGGTCTCAAGATTAGCTCTTCTGAGTTCCCCTTCTTATCCATAGGACTTTCCATCCATTTCACTTTACAAGTTCTCTAATTTATTTCTTATGTTACACTTTAATCAATGGGTAGCTACAGTGTATATAAATTATGGAGGATACAAAAATGAGATATGGACCCTTCTCTCCTGGAGCTCACAATTGAAAACTGATTTTGGTTAGCTTAATAATCGTGAAGATAAGAATAAAGACTTCATCACAGAAAACTAAATAAAGCTACATTAAAATTTCTAAGAAAAATATCTAAAATTACTTGAAAAGCCAGTGGAGTATAAAGAAGAAGGATTTCAAAATATGTTTTCTCCTTGTCAGCCATGTGAGATTTTTCTCTCTCTGCTTTAAATAATTAGGAAATGTAGAATTTATTTTGACTTGTTTTAATATATGAAGTGATTTTAAAGTGTGATTTTTTAAAAATGCTATTACCAAAACTTTCAAATGTATACAAAACTAAAATAATATCATGAACCCCCATGCACCCACCACTCAGCTTAAGGAGTTTTTCACTCATGGTCAGTCCTATTTCAGCCACACAGCAGCTACTCTCCTACACCCAGTTTATTTTGAAGCAGATCTCCAAAATCACATCATTTCATTTATAAATATTTTAATTTGTATTTCTAAAAGGTAAGGACTTGGTTTTATTTGTTTTTGTTTTTGTTGTTTGTTTGTTTGTTTTTTGTTTTTTGAGATGGAATCTTGCTCTGTTGCTCAGGCTGGAGTGCAGTAGCACGATCTCAGCTCACTGCAACCTCCGCCTCCCGGGTTCAAGTGATCCTCCTGCCTCAGCCTCCTGAGTACGTGGGATTACAGGCACACACCACCATGCCAGGCTAATTTTTGTATTTTTAGTAGAGATGGGGTTTTACCATGTTGGTCAGGCTGGTCTCGAACACCTGACGTCGTGATCCTCCTGCCTCAGCCTCCCAAAGTGCTGGGATTACAGTCATGAGCCACTGAGCCCTGCCAAGGACTCATTTTTATTTATATAACTACAATACTATTATTCTACCTAAAATATTTTACAGTGATTTCTTAATATCATATCCAATATATGGCCAGTTTTCAAATATTCCCAATTGTCTTCATACTTCTTTAAAAATAGTTTTCTAATGTAAACCAGGATTCCAATAAGGTTCAAACAATGCAGTTGGCTGATATATCCCAAGTTTCTTGTAATCTGTAGGTTCTACTTCCATCTTTTTTCTTCTTACCACTTATGTGTTACAGATGCCAAGTATTTGTCCTAACTCCATTTCCACGGCATCATTTGTCATGTTCCCCTATCCCTTGTATTTCCTGTGGATTGAGTTAAATCTAGAGGCTTGCCCTAAGTTTGATTTTTTTTAGCGGGGGAGAGGGAGTGGGCTAAAATGCTTTCTAGATGTTGCTGCTTGTTTTCATAGGCATAATGTCTAATTATCTCCCTTTTTATGACATTAGCAGCCTAGATACATTTGAAGTTGACCCTTGAACAACAGGGAGTTTAGGGGTGCTGAGCCCTGCACACAAAAATCTGCATATAACTTTTGACTCCCCAAAAACTTAACTACTAATGAGCTACTGTTGATCAGAAGTCTTTATGATAACATAGTCAATTAACACATATTTTGTAAATGTATTATATACTGTATTCTTATAATAAAGTAAGCTAGAGAAGAGAAAACTGTTAAGAAAAGCATAAGGAAGAGATACATTTATAGTACCGTACTCTATTTATCAATACCATCTGTTTACAAGATGAATTTTCTGAAATGGCAACCACGGTGGCACACCTCAATCTGTGGTACATATCAAGCAATTCAACTTTTTCTTGTAAAGTCACGACTTTTCCCTGCTTCTTGGGAGCACTTCCAACATCACTAGTTGCACATTGTATGAGTCCTATGGTGTTAGTCAAGGTCTACAGTATTACACTAAATGTGATGAAAAGTATGTGAGAGCCATCACTTCTTCCTGTGATATGCAATTTACTGGAGAGATGAACTGCTCACATAGAGGTGATTAGCATCCGCAGCATTTTACCAGATACTGGCAACACTTGAGCTCACCACAATAGCAACAGGAGGTAGCTATGAAATTACTACAGTAGTACAGTATGTACTACAGATAATGTTCTGCAGTTATGATTTAATACTACATCTTTACATTTGTTTACATTTCTCTCATCTGCAAAGGGAGCCATGTACAATCTGTGTTTATGTGCATATGTTTTGACAAATTTTAACTTTTTATAATAGATCTGTGTATACTTTGTGGTAGTAAATGCTAAAATAAACTAGCATCCACATATATTTATGCATTCATAACATACCTTTTTCTTAATTATTTTGATATTTCCAGACTATGTGGTTCATTGTAGAATTTTTTTAAATTGTCACAAATCTCCAAAAAATTTGTGGAAAAAAATATTTGAAAAAGTGGATCCACACACTTCAAACTCATGTTGTTCAAAGGCCAACTAGATTTAATTTCAGTATATTCTGAATGGTACAGTCTAATCATGTAATTCCTTCTTTATTAATTTAAATAAATCTATGCAAACAGAACTTTCCCCTTATCAGCTATTCAGTTACTCTGAGATACTTTTGTATAAGAAGGTAGGATAAATGCCTCATTCTTTCTCTTTATTTACCTATTTTTAAACCATCAGTTTGTTTACTAGTATCACCCAAAGATGATTTATTTATTTTTTGTGTCATTATTAACTGATGGATTTAAAAATATTTGATGTGTTTCATTCCATTGTAGTAGCTATTTTATTGATGCTCAAATTGTCCCATCTTTGGCCAATTGAAACATCTTTAAACTGGTTCTGAGTCCTTTTGACATGACCCTCATAGTTGTTGATATCATCCTGGCTTTCTGATAGGACAAATTGTTTCAGGCTATCTTGTACATGTCCTGCCCTAGATCTGAAATCAGCTATCTCTTCAAAGAATCCAATTTATTTTCCTAGGTCATAGTATTTAGAGGCCACAGTCTGAACAGTAAGTGTGTGTGTTGCTACTGGATTGTTCATTGTTTCTAGGTCTTTTCAGCAGACAGGACTAGGAAACACTTTTTTTCTCCAACATGAAATTATATTACTAATTATATGATATTTCCAATTTAAGTTGAGGACTATAAAATTGCACTTTACCTCACTGATGTTACATCTGCATTTTCTTTTTCCCCTGCCTACAATCCTGGCTCTCAGTGGAACAACATAATCACTCATTTGCTTTATCCCACAATACACACCCAGTAGTCTCAGAAAAACAGTATCAACACGATCACCAACAGTATAACTATTGAAAAGAGTTTTCTGTAGTTCTTTTTGTTTTTAGTATGTATATTCTACTAGAGATGTACAAATTTCTGTTAACCTATGATGCATATTACTCTAAATATGATATCATTTCCATTTCTCTCTCTCTCTCTCTCTCTCTCTCTCTCTCTCTCTCTCTCTCCCTCTCTCCTTTTTTAGAGATGGGATCTCACCCAGGCTGGAGTGCAAAAGTACATTCATAGCTCACTGCAACCTCAAACTCCTGTGCTCAAGCAATCTTCCCACCTCAGCCTCCCGAGTAGCTAGGACTACAGGCTGGCGCCATTGTGCCCAGCTAATTTTTTTAAAATTTTTATTTTTAGAGATGAGGTCTCACTATGTTGCTTAGGCTGGTCTTGAATTCCTGGGCTCAAGCAGTCCTCCCACCTCGGCTGCCCAAAGTGCTGAGATTATAGGCAGGAGCCACTGCACCTGGCCATTTTTATTATTTTTGTTTTAAAACCTCCACTATTGATTTCTAAAATGTTTAAATGCTTATTTTCTAATTTTTCTTTATAATGTGGGGAAGAGAATATGAGTAGGAATCATTATATGATTTATGAATTACCTTGGAGTGTCATAGTTAGATCCTCAGGATACTATTGCCTGTTCTTTCTTCTTAGACCTGACTCAATTTCACAATTTCATTCACTCATTCATTTAAGAAACCCAAGTAAATGCTATGAAGCAATTGGAAAAGAGGCTTAAGGAGAGAATTTAACATATATTTGTTGTTTACTATGTGTCAAAATTATGATAGATGCTTTACTTATCTCATAATTTCATAAGAACATTTTGAAGTATAAATTATTATTATGTGACCAATTTTCAAATGAGGCAGTTGGGAATCAGGGAGTTTCCTTTGCCCAAAGTCATAAAGATATTAAGTAGAGAAGCTAGAATTAACATATACAGTCTGTTTTACTCCCGTGTCACATATAAGATGCAGTCCCTGTCCTTAAGGAGTTAATGGAGGGTTGAGACCCAAGAAGAACAGAGTACAATAGGAGTTCAGGCCAAAAGAAAGGTATTAAACTGCCGGGGCCTCACAAAGAGGTGGCATTTCACCTGATTATCAGGAAATAATAAAATGTGCTGGATGTAGAGGGAATGCATCCCATGTCAAAAATTGGAGATGAGCAACATTCTGTAGGTAAGAAAATGTGAGGGGTATTTAAAATGATAACCAGTCGGGTTGGACCAAAGTTTAGTTAATATAGGGAAATAGAAAACTAAAAGCGTTGCCTGGAATCTCAGTTGGGATCTGAAGGTCATTCTGAGGATTCAGGACAGCTAGAAACTTTTGAAGGTTTGAGCAGGAGTGAAATATGCTAGGGCACAATCCTAGCCACTGGGCAGGCTCCGGCTAACCCAGATCCTTCTCCTTGGAAGGACTCCAGACAAAACCCACCCTCATAGATCCACAAGTCTTGCTGATTGACTGCATGTCTTCTAGCAATTTCCTAGAAAAGTTGCATTTTCTTCGATGTTTTGCTACTGGAAGTTTTGCCAAATTAAGTCTTCCAGTTGAAGAGAGATGGAGTAGCCCCACATAGCATTGCATTGCGATTGGCAGTGGTTTTCTGAAGTCTCAGATGTGAGCAAATAAAGTCTGACTCTAATTAGACATACTTAATCTGCTCGTTGAAACTTGGAGTCAAATAAGTCTTAGAGTGACATTTCAGTCTTAGAGTAACATTTCACTGATTTCTTATAAGAGCTTTGCTAAAAAATATGCTTATCAATTTAATCAATTATAGGATTCTAGAAATCACAGGAAAAACATCACAATTAAAGAGATTTTGGTAAAACTGAGTTAAAATTGGGTAGGACTTTTTACTATAAAAATAAGTTATATCTAATGTTATACAATAAACTGCCTAGTTTGGATAATTTCATTAGCTTAAACTCTTCCCTTTGCTCAGTATTAAAGTTCAGAAGTGGCCACCTAACCTAACATTCTTACATATCCCCCTCATGGGGACTTTTAACACAGTGAATTAAGTGTCCCCTTTATTCCATTTTTTTATAAGAATGTATGAGATTGCATAATTCATGATAACTAAACTTACTTTTAAAATATGACATTTGCTGTCTTAATTCTTTCCAGTTCATAATCTATAAATCAAATATGGTCGAGCTCTGTGAAATCTATTAGTTATGCATCTTTTGAGACCTGAGTGATCCGTTGCCTATCATAGGACGAGATATGAAGTGTGTCCTCAGTATTCTTAGTACCCACCCTTCTTTCCTTCCTTCCTTCCTTCTTTCCTTCCTTCCTTCCTTCTATACATGTATTTTTTGTAATAGCTTGAATAGTTTACTGTCATGTAAGAGAATAGTATCTTATGTAGAAACATAGCGTGGACTTCACCAATACTCATTTTTGGAAGTTTAAACCTAAGAGAAAAATGTTTGCTGGATACATCTTTATAAAATCTACATTTTTACAGAAATAGTTCATTGATTATTATAAATATCATGTTTGAAAAACTTTTAAAAATGAAGTTACACACAGATATTGTTTAATACCTTTAGCACTATACTGCGAAGTGCACTGCAGAAATAAAGCCATTGTTTATTTAGATGGGTCAGTGATTCCAGACTCACTACTCCTCACACAAGATTTTATCTGAGATACCCTGATCATTGTAGTCATTTGGCTTGTGAGCTTCAGTTGCCCCCCCATACGCTTAAATTTTTCATTTTGTGCTAGTGTAGACCAAGTCAAAGCCCACATAAACCCAATATATGTGTTAAGGTTAGAGTTGTGCTTCACACTCTTGACTGTACTTTAAAATCACCTGGGGAGCTTTTAAAATTATCTCAGTGCTGGGGCCCCACTCCCAGAGAGTCAGAGCTAATTGGTCAGGCTGCAAGGCCACAACAGTTGCACAAATGCAGGTGGCACCTCTTACCAAGAACCTCTTCATCTCCCTGGCCTTCCAACTTCCTGGAGCACAACTCCACTGTTTTCCATGTGAATAGCACCCCTGTACTTGTGCAAACTTGGAAGCCCTAGCGATAGTGGCTGAGCACCCATGTTTTCAGAAGGCCCCCAGGTGTTCTAATATGCAGCCAGAATTGAGAACCACTGACATATAACTTTGACATTAGGTGTATGGATTAAGGAGCTGTGTAGAAATAGATTCAAGATCTAGCTCTACTACTTTTTAGCTGTGTGACCTTAGGAAAGTCATTTCACTCCTTGGAACCTCAATTTCTTCCTAAATAAAATAGTAATACTAATACCTACCTCATGAGATTATATAAAAGAAAAATAAGATGGTCAAAGTGAAATGCTTGGCACAAAGTTAACACTTAATAAGCCACTTTTATTATTTTAGCTATTAAAGCAAGATTTCTATATTAGTCTAGATTCCTACAGTACTAAGTTACAGAGGTCTATCTCAGATGATCTGAAACAAAAATGGGGAAATTAAGCAAGCCACGGAAGGATAGAGTTTGATTTGGCCTCAGATTTTGGCATTTGAATGCTGTTAGGACACATATTCTCTCTCTCTTTCTCTCTCTGGGGCTTATTCCAGCTTCTCTTTTCATGGTGCTTGCATTCTCTCAGCCCAACTTCCCCCCTTGGGGTAAACCATGACCATGGGCAGCTCAAGACATATCTTTTCAGCCTCTTTAGCACAGAACAGGCAAAAAATTCATCCTATCTGACCCGGTTGGAAAAGTTACAGTGACCCAGCCTGGCTCCATCCCTGTGGTCAAGAGCTGTAGTCATTAAAACGGGGAGAAGGAGTGCTGTGCAGGTAAATACAATAACCAGCTTTGTTTCATTGTTGAGACCTGATTCAAAATAAATAAAATACATAAAACTCCTGCCATTCTAGGATCTATTGGCAGACAAGGAAAGTCAGCAGTAAGATCCCAAGAGCAAGAACTTCCCTGAAATTAAAACACCTAGTCTCTCCACTCTCCATGATCTATGCACAATAATCACCCCTTAAGGTGAATTTAAGATCACAGAAGTGTGCCTTATCCCCTCTGGTCCAGTTTACTTGAGACGCTCAAACTCACAGGCAAATGAGGAGTTGAATCACTTCATACCAAGCTCCCAGCAATCTGCATTATTGAATACCTGAAGTGTTCTGTCCTCCCACTCCCACCCCATGGTATTTCCTTACCCATACAAGTGAGAAGACTAGGCAGAGTTATTTATTTATGTAAGTGTTATTTATAGGAACACTCTCTACAGCTACTCTAACGTGTATGTTATCCAAGAATAAGGCAATGAGGTAAAACAACCACAAAAGGCCCAGAAACATCCTTTAACATTTGGATTGTTCTAACCACTTACCTGACACTTGTGGTGGAGAGGCAACAAGTGTCATGAAAGAGCAACAAGATTCATCACTTATAGCAGTGTGCTTTTGACAAGTTACTTAACTTCCTGGAGCTTCAGTTTCCTGATCTGTAAAATGAGGGCAATAATATTTCAAAGGACTATTGTGAGAATTGAATGTATTTGATAAGTGATAATGTATTTGAATGTCAATTACACTCTGTACAGTTGACATTAAATAAGTGGTTTTCCAAGGGGGGTGAATAATTTTATATTTAAAGCATTATTGAAAAAGCTTTGCTATGAACATGTTCTCATGTATTTGGACCCAGTAGAGAGGATGACTGGGCATGTACTCGACTATCCTAAGAAACATTGCAAAAGAGGCACAAGTACTATTGGTACTCACCAGCCATTGGGTTCTTAGCATACTTACTTTGTGGTTACAAAAAAGAGTGATGGAGCTACTAGCATACACTATAACCACCCTGCTACTATACTGGTTCAGTGTCCTTGTTTAGGAAAGCAGCCTGACTCATTTCACTGTAACATGGTACAACACTGCAGAGAATAATGCCAAGAAGAAAAATGTCAAATATTAATAACATTACTAGCTCTTCTATTTCAAAGAATGCCTCTAGGGATTTTGAGGTCTCTTTATAGTTCCTATTCAGCCAAAGTAAATTGATTGATTATAGGTGATAAGAGTCGGTGGAGGATTATATGAGTGAATGTATAAAAGCACCTGGCCAAAGGCACAGAATAGCACTTGGACTGACTCTCACAGGCGACATCAAGTTCTAGTTTGTCTGCTATGGACTGACTGGGTATTCTTCACTGTAAAGGAGCCTCATCCCTAATGGTGATGTGAAGATAGTATGTATCCCAAAATATACATAGGGTATGCATTTTCTGTGACCTGGAAATGGGACAAGTACCTCTGTAAGCCTCACTTATTTTATTTTTTTTCACACTGCCATGAGAAAGTAAATGTAAGCCTCTTTTAGCATTAAAACTCTATAACCCAAACCCCACATTTTTCCAGAAGTGAAAATTGCTTACAATGTAAAAGATGAACATTTTGAATGAAGGAGCAGTCTACTCATAAACTTTTAGGAGCAAGAGATGAAATAGCACAAAACTGCCTATATCAAAGAAACACGAATAAAGTTCAGACGTGGATTTTAAGTTGTTCAAAAGATTGGTACTTCAACCTACTAAAATACTGGGGACAAACTGATGAGAATATCTTGGAAGTGAAGGAACATATTTCCTTAATTTTCAACATGTAGTCTTGGAACCAGTTTTATTTCAAATTTTTTCTAATATAAATATATAAATATCTGATTTATACAGTTTATGTATCCCGTGGCAATGTGATCTTTTGCTTCTTTTATTTTCTTCCTACCCCTCCCCCATCTTTTTCTTGAGGGAATCAGGAAAAGGTGTCCTATTTCTCAACTGTTGAATCTATTTATGAAAATTAGAACTAAACAGTTTAGCACAATTAAGCAGAATGCCACATTCATCAAATCTTCATTTTTCTAAGACTTCAATTCTGTCAGTCACTAGAAAGCATGTGCTAAGTGGAAGCTGTGTTTCCGGTCTTTTGGCATCCCACATCTGTTGACAATTACAGAGGCACATACAGTGCCATTCATAGAATGGCATGTGTCTCCCTATGCCTTGGTTCACAGGCCCTCGGGGACATTTACAAAGTGTGTACTTTTTAACTGTCCTAGAACTAAGGAGTTTAATTTTGCCTGAGAATGTGTTTATGTGCCTTGTAAAGGAGCTAGTCATTCCCTTTTGCTTTCCTTTATTATGATGTGTGTATACTCTGTGTGTGTGTGTGTGTGTGTGTGTCTCTCTGTGTGTATGTACACCAAAGAAGAACCACACCAGGAATTGAGCATAAAGGCTTTCTCTTACCCATCTACACACCTTTCTTGTAAGTTGCTGCTTTTATTTTTTATTTATTCTTTTGTTAATAGTGTATTTCTTGGCTTCTGCTGGATTTTTTTTCTGTTTCTAAACACTATTTAGTTCTGATTTCATATCCTTATGTTCTTCAGTCAAGACTGGGGTCAGACTTCTTTATATTATATATGTAATTATTACAATAAAAGTCACCATGTGTGGTGGCCCACACCTGTAATACCAGCAATTTGAGAGGCTGATGAGGGAAGATTGCCTGAGCCTAGGAGTTCAAGACCAGCCTGGGCAACATAGCAAGACCCTGTCTCTACATAAAATTTAAAAATTAGCCAGGCGCAGTGGTGCATTCCTGTAGTTCTAACTACTTGGGAGGCTGAGGGAGGAGGATCACTTGATCCCAGAAGGTGGAGGCTACAGTGAGCCATGATCATGCCACTGCACTCCAGCCTGGATGACAAAGTGAAACCCTGGCTCTAAAAAAAAAAAACCAAAAACAAGTCCCTGGACCCTCTCTGGAGCTATGCCCTCTTTCTTTTGGATCTCTTCCTGACCCATAAGCAAACCATATTCTTCAGGAAGTATCTAGTACCTAGAAAACTGAAGCTGAATCTACATGTCATCTATCCAGGAACTTCATCTCGCTAGTCTTAACACCTCAGATATTTGGCAATACCCAGAATATTGACCATTTTTCCTATTTTCATCCAAATATTTAATATTGGGTATGCATGACCATAGTAACATTAATTTTTTTCATTTAAAAGATAGGTACTGCCTTTGGACATTGTAAGCATCTCTTGTTAATACCATGAATAGTTAAATAAATTCTAGTATAGGAGCCACCTAGAGGAGTTGTTTAACGGCTGAAAGAAGAATTAGGTGAAAAAGAAGTTGAGACTGAGGCTAAAGCCAATTGTGGTTTCATCCACAGTGGTTAATGGTGTTTCTTAATCTTTAAATATCAAATGTGTTGTAATGCTTAATTATCCTTAATACATAAAGGAAGTGACCTACAAATTCTTTACTGTTTATTGAAAAGTAGCATATTTGGAGGCTTTGACAATTCTACAGAAGAGAGGAAGCTGTTAAATTCTAGGCTACCATGTCCTTCAAATGGGAAAAAACAAAATGCCTGAGCATGTCTCTTCTCCAGCATTAAATTTTTCATCAGTTTCCTATTAAACTCAAGGATATGGGAAGGGAGCAATTTTAATTGCTTGGCACTTAAAAAGCCTCCTCCACTGTTCAATGAGTTAGAAATATTTTGAAAATTTGATTGCATTTAGAACCACACAAATTTACCTGTAATAAAATTTTTGCTGCACGCTTAAATAATGTCTTCTAGAAATGAACATTTAAATGAACTATAGAATGCTCAGGGGGTAAAGGGAAGCTAATATTTATTGAAGACCATAAGGTGCCAAATACAGTATATTCATTATTTTATTTGCTCTTCTTAACATCCATGTGAATGGGTATTGCTGTTTCTGTTTTACGAATAAGAATTGGGGCTAAAACCAGCTGAGGGGGTTACCTAAATGGTACAAGGTGCAGGGCAGATCTGAAATCTGCTCTGTTTGATTGCAGAGTCTGTTTTCCTTCTCTGTTGTCTTTACATTCTCAGGATTATGTTGAAAACAGCAAAGAGTGCCATCTTATTAGCTCATATAGGCTTTACAGTCAGTGCAGCCTGATTCACCAAAGCTACACACCCACCCTCACACACAGAAAACCACTTGGGGGCTGACTTACCTGGATTTGTGTCTAAATTATCCCATATATCAAATAATACTAGATCTCCTCTTCAGTTTCTGCTTTGTAGTTAGCTTAAAATATCTCAAAACTCACATTGTCCCAGAGGAATACCAAGAATGTCATCTTACGTTAAGTAAGTATGTACTGTACTGTCTCATATTAATTAAATTTATGGTACCTAAATCAAGAATCCTTCAGATTGGCTTTTGAAGTGCACTCTATCTCTGCCATGGGAAGAGCCCATTTTGAGGTTTTCCTACACAAAAGAAAAGAAAGCCACCTCCAGGTATCCTTAGGGTCCTTTCAACTGATCCCCAAACAGAGGAATCTAGTTTCAATGGAAGTTTTTAATAAACCTCATTATTTGACAATTAGTCAAGTGTCTGGCATTCCTTCTTTCTTTATTTTTCCACTTCTGCTTATGCTTTCAGGCTCCTTTGATGTTGTTTGCCCCTCCGGTGGTGGTAAATGACCACAATGGCTAATAGGCTGGCTTCCACAGGTGCCTGTTAACAACCACTTCATAAATATTCAACAGGAGCATTCTGTGCGAAAGACTGGGGAATTAGGTGACCTGCCAAATCTTTCCACATCCAATATCTATGATAATGGATACACAAATTACGCGGGACAGAAGGAATGGCCTTGCACTGTGAAAAACCGAAGGGGAATCAATACAGCCTGTGGCTCCCAGCTCAGGCAGGCAGCCTCGCCCAGTATACTTCTCCCAGGTGCCGACTTGGGGGGTCAAGGGCTTTCCCCTCTGCCTAATGAGCAGTTCTTCCATAGCAAGTCATCACCACCCCAGAGTGGTGGGCTCTTATCTGTATTTTAATTTTTTGTTATAATGGTAATTAGCATTACATCTTGAATAGTAAATTAAGAAACCCAAAACAGAATTTTAAATTTAAAAAGCTTTTCCATTAGGAATCCAGTTGCATTAATTTTGTGGATGGAAGGTGAGCTAAATTAGCCAAGTTTGTGCATTCATTACCTCGTTCTAATCCTCAACATCACAAATGCAAAAGACTGTCATTAGATTTGAGAACTGACAAGAACTGGGATTTCACAGTATGAATGTTGAAAGATTAATTTGAAAAGATCTCACTAAAAAACACAAAAGGTTATTGCTAACATGGAATATTTTATATTCATAGTCTGTACCTAGTTTTAAAATGCCTATTTACAGTTATCTGGCTTAAAAATAAATGGTACATTTACAGTACTTGATCAAATTGGAATATTTCTAGGTATCTTGTTTTGATGATAGAGAAGTGTAGGTATCCAATATTATATGATAATATTGGAAATGCTTTTTTTATCAAGAGATATTTGACTTTCAATTATTATATCCAAAGAGAGGTTAAAAATAAAGAGAAACAAGAAAGAGAATGGGCTTTTTCACCCTTTTACTTCATAGTATGTTGTCAAAAAAGAAAGTTATTCTTTTGCAATATTTCACCCTTTGTGTTTGCCCTGAAAATATTAATGGTGAAGTAGAAATCACAGTGATGAAAGCAGTGTCATACATTTCATGAAAGTACAGTTAATTTTCACCAAATGAGTTGCCAAGCTGGTAGTGGGTAAAAATGTAAATGTTCATCTTTGATCAATTGAATTTTAATGTTGTGAATAGCTGTATGCCTTGATTTATACATCTGTAGCACATTTTAAACATCTGTGTTCAAGATGACCATTTGGGAAAAGATTCATTGGCTTCACTTAGTTCATGTTGTTTGGTTCTATATACTATATTCAAGTCCCAAATGAGACTTTTCTAAAAAGAAATTTTACACAAATTGCTTACTTTATTATAGACTGCGCAACCTAGAATGGCATTTTAAAAACCAGCATGGGTGATTTCACCATGAGTTTTCAAAGGTTATACAATTGTTGAAGAATGAAAATGTATCCGTTTCAACAGTGAAAATGAGAATAATTGATATTTAAATGCTACAGTAGCTGAGGCTAATGTTTCTCTTAGGAGCTCTGTTACCACAGGACCCTCACTCTCTGTGTTGTCTTTATTAGTTTCTAGGAGATTTTTGCATTTAGAACCTATAGCCTAGCTTTTAAAAAATGCTACTTTAAGGTCATAGACTGGAGTGTAGCATTATTTTTCATCAAACTTGATTAATTTTAACCATAGGTAGCTCAAAAGAACAGCTCAATTAAAACTACCACATATACAGGAAGAAAAGAAATAGATTGCCTGTAGCTTAGCTCTAAAATAGGAAGTCCAAGCTATACTCGAAATAACTTTTACAGGTGACCCTTCTATTTTTAAGACAATTATAAGCTGGGCATGGTGGCTCATACCTGTAATCCCAGCACTTTGGAAGGCCAAGGCGGGTGGATCACCTGAGGTTGGGAGTTTGAGACGAACCTGACCAACATGGAGAAACCCCATCTCTACCAAAAATACAAAATTAGCCAGGTGTGGTGGCACACGCCTGTAGTCCCAGCTACTCAGGAGGCTGAGACAAGAGAATCACCTGAACCCGGGAGGCGGAGGTTGTGGTGAGCCGAGATCGTGCCATTACACTCCAGCCTGGGCAACAAGAGCAAAGCTCAGTCTCAAAAAAAAAAAAAAAAGAGAAAAGAAAAGAAAAGAAAATTATAGTATTACCATTTCTAAAATGTCTAGGCAGCCATTGCTATTAAGAAAGTTGCATTGCTTCTATTTACCTTACAATGTGTTTGCATCTTTCCTAAAAGCACAGGCCTAGAAGTAATTCCAATGATCCAGGGGGTAGTCCATAGTCTCCCCTTCGAGACCAGAGCTACAGCTGCAGATTTTGCTAACATCAGAATAGTCCGCTAGTTCTTCTTCATTTTCTATTAGTACAGGAATCCCCCCATGGGCTTAAAAGCAGCAGCTTTGTTATAAGAGGATCTTTTAAAAAAAATTACTCTTGAGATCCCTTTCTGCTGGAGATATATTTATTTTGTAGTCAATAAAAACTTACAGGACCCCTTCTGAAAGTTTTGCTTGGTAACTCATAATTTAAACATCTGTCATTTTTTCCTTTTTAACACTACCCTTTATGTGTATTGAACTCAACCTAGGATGGGGTAGGGAGTACTGATCCTTTCTTTAATTTTGAGTGGCCTTTTGGAAACACTTACCCCTGGACCAGTAGTATTCAATGTGGTTAACAATCTCCTGTACAGCTTATTACAAGCGCAAAGACTCCTGAGCCCAATACCCCAAAATACTAATGTAGTAAGTGTGGGGTGAGACTCAGAATTTTCATTTTTCTTAAGTTCCCCTGCGGGCTAAGAAGGGCATCTGGGAACCATCCTTTGAGGAGTAAGATGGTCTCTGAGTCCTTGTTTATCTGTTTACACAGAAACTACCTATTGTAACCACCTAAGAATTATGTGATCTAGGCAGTGTTTTCCCAGGTATACTAATGTTAACAGTTGCAGAAGCAAAAGGATAACACTGAGGTTACTTCACACGAATGGATGTTTGATGGATTCTGAGAGTTCCCTGGAGTAGGGAGACCTGGGTGAGTTCCAGGGCCCTGATGCTGATGCTCTGGCATTGTGCAACTTAAATGACTCAGTTTTCTAGTGTGTGAGTGGAGATAATCATCTTTCCCTCCTACCCACATAATTCCAATGCTCTGACAAATGTCGAGGCACTACCTGTAAAAATAATCTAATTTCTACATGATGGTGTAGTTATATAAGTAAAAGTTTTCCAGAACAAAATACCAATTGAAAACCTAGCATTTTTTAATGTTTTATAATTTCCCCCCATTTTAGATGATAGCTTGTAAAACTACTTCCTCACAGACTTTCCCCATAACTTTCTACTTTACCTTTAACCTGTGCTAATTCATTTCTATAAAGACATTGAGATACCAGATTACATGTCATGTTTCTAAACCACTCTCTAACTGGTGTCCTTGGAAATTTCACATTTCCCACACTCAGAACCTAGGAGATCAACCATATTTGACTCACCGAAAATAATAACCAGTCTGGGATATGGTATGGGAAAAAAATTAGGTTAAACCACAAAACTCTTCCCAATAATGAGTCAGTGTGTGAGTGCCTCTGTGTAAGACCTCATTTAAGAGCAGCAGGAGCTGAGTGGGGGACAGTTCTCAAGCGGTTCTTTGGAATTAGCATTTTTGCAAGGAAGCTTTCTTACCCACCCCAACTAGAGAAACCTCTCATTGTTTTACCCACCTCATCCTCTCCAAACATTATGATGCAACTTCACATCATAACAGGATGCTGCAAGAGTCCATGCCCCTTTAACTTCTGCTTTGTCTAAGACCAAGAACACATCTATGGCTGGACAAATTGGGTTTATCATTCATTGCAGTGAGGGAGAACTCATGTCATGGGGACCCACGATGCATCTCAATAAAAGGGTGTTAGAAGGGCTTGGAGGAGGATTGAGATTTTGTGTAGAGGAGAGTTTGGTAAGAGTCCAAGAAAGTGGCGTTCGCTCTAGACTGGGCGCTGTTGGGAAGTGGGGACCATCCTATGACTGTGTATCTTAATAAACTGTGTCTACAGGGACAGAAGCCCAGAAGGAGACTAAAGCTTTAATTAGTAAAGATGCAGCCATCACTTATATTTCTCAGAAGAGGGGATGTCTGATATTTTGTGGTTTGCCAGTGACTTTGTTTTTTCTGGGCTTAAATGAAATTATGAACTGGCTAGTTTTGACTGACTTCAGTACAGTCACAGAGTGACCTTGTCTGTTGCTGGCGTTCCATGAGATTAGTTATTTGTTCATGAGGAGAACAGATGGCATGGTTTCTTTAACAGCACTGATACCTACTTGTAATTGTCAGGCCAGTTCCCAGATGTCAGAGGCTACTTCTTTTTTAGATCAGATACCTTTGTAGCATAAAATCAGTTTTAGGGCAGTATGATTTTTCATGGTGAACATTTTAGGTTCTCTTTGTAGGTGCTGGTTTTTAAATTAATCTTTAGTTTTGCCATTGTCCATTTATGATCAGTTGATCTGATTTCAAAATGCAAATCCCTAGCATTTAGGAACTTATACATTGGGAACATTTAGGGATTTAGGAAAAGTGGGAAGAGTGAAGAAAGGTTTCTCCCATGAAGCAGTGGGTCAGTAGGGAAATTATAAGGAAGACCAAAGAGAATGAAATGGTTACCAAAGTGTACTAATGTGAGAGATACAAAGATGGATGGATAGATGGATGGATGGATGGATGGATGGATGGCAGAGAGAGAGAGAGAGAGGATGAAAATGTCATGCTCATCTGAACCTCATTCTTATCACCCCAGGGAAACTGCAGTTATCCTAAATGCCTCTGGTACCAATAACTGACAAAACACATGATTCCTACCATTTAGTTATTCGTCTGTTTGTATGTATGTACATACGTACATATGCATTGCATCTGTTTGACACATAATACTGAAACCGTATACTGCTAAAATTATGATAAAGAGCAGCTAATGTTCCAATAGGCTTTTCTTGCTTCATAGCTAAGGGGAAAATGTATGGGATGAAAACTCCAGTAGAAAACTGTGTGCGGCATTTAGTTTTAACACCCACTACCTTTGAAATCTGTCAAAAATCCATTGTCCGCTGTGGTTAGCCTCAGAATCATAAGGTTTAAAGGCTATAAAATGTTCAGTTTCATATAAACATAGAATGGATTCAGGATTTGAGGTGATGCATTCCTTTTCCAATAGGTACTTCTGCATAACTACCCAGTAGAGAAGGATCCTTTCACAAAAGGTGTGGGAAAACTATACTACAAGCCTGCAGTAACCAAAATGGCATGTTACGGGTACAAAAACAGACACATAGGCCAATGGAACAGGTTAGAGAAGCCAGAAATAAAGCCACACACCTACAACCATCTGATCTTTGGCAAAGCCAACAGTAAAAAACAATGGGGAAAGGACTCCCAATTCAATAAATGCTGCTGGGATAACTGACTAGCCATATGCAGAAGATTGAAACTGGACTCCTTCCTCTCACCATACATAAAAATCAACCCAAGATTGATTAAAGACTTAAGTGTAAAACCTAAAATTATAAAAATCCTACAAGAAAACCTTGGAAATAACATTCTGGACATTGGCCCTGGCAAAGACTTCATGATGAAGACTCCAAAAGCAATTGTAACAAAAACAAAAATCGACAAGTGGGACCTAATTAAAGAGTTTCTGCACAGTAAAAGAAACTGTCAACAGAGTAAATAGACAACCTACAGAATGGAAGAAAATATTTGCAAACTACGTATCTGACAAAGGTCTAATATCTAGAATCTATAAGGAACTTAAGCAATTCAACAAACTAAAAACAAACAATCCCATTAAAAAGTGGGCAAAAGACATGAACAGACACTTCTCAAACGAAGACAGACAAGCAGCCAACAAACATATGAAAAAATGCTCAACATCATTAATCATCAGAGAAATGCAAATCAAAACCACAATGAGATACCGTCTCACACCAGTCAGAGTGGCTATTACTACAATGTCAAAAAATAACAGATGCTGGCAAAGTTGCAGAGAAAAAAGAATACTTACACACTGCTGGTGGGAATGTAAATTAGTTCAGCCACTGTGGAAAGTACTTTTGGAGATTTTTCAAAGAACTTAAAACAGGACCTACCACTTGACCCAGCAAATGCTGTGTGTATACTCAGAGGAACATAAATTGTTCTACCATAAAGACACATGCTCACATATTTTCATCGCAGCACTATTCACAATAGCAAAACATGGAATTAACCCAAATGCCTTTCAATGGTAGAGTGGATAAAGAAAATACATTCATTACCTGGGTGACAAAATAATTTATAAACCAAACCCCAATGACACACAATTTACCCATGTAACAAACCTGCATATATACCCCCTAAACCAAAAATAAAAGTTGGATAGAAAAAAGAAAGAGGTGTGAGAAAAGACCCCACTGTGACACATAAGTGGCATAGATAACAGTGGAGATTCACTCACATTTGTTGAGTATTACCTAGACAGTGGAGATTCACTCACATTTGATGCGTATTACCTAGACAAGGAGGACAATGGCCCCTCTTCCTTTCTGTATTCTTTGTAAAGGGTAGGCCTTCTGAGAGGTTAAACCACCAATCAGAATTTGAAATCTTTAAAGTAATCAATTTATCCGCTATTCATTTGCCTTCTACTTTAAATCTAAAGTTTTGTCACAGCCAATATTTATAGTCTCTGACATCACTGGGATCAGAATGGAAATACTAAAATCTGTTTTGTGGTATCCTAAATTCACTGAATTAGTATTTATTGTAGGACTCCCATAGGGTGTGAGTCTTTACAAATAAAGGTAGGGAATGCCCTTTATTTGTAAGGGCAAATAAGTTCCTCCTTCTCTTGTCAAGGGGATGTGAAAACCTCCTTGCACATTTTTTCTTTTCTTTTTTTCTCTTTGCAGAATGAGTGTTCTGAGAAGAACAAAACTCTTTTCTGACAACTCTTATAAAACACTTTTGTGTTTGATTCTCCAACGACTAAGATTTGGACACACAATTCTCCATTCATTTCTCAAGTGTCAAGAAAGAATTGAGTTTAAAGGCTCCAATTCCCTTGCAGGTTACACTGTCTATCTAGATGAATTAGTATTCAGCACAGCTTTGGGAAAATCTCAAATGATTTGCAGGTTTGCAAATTGTTCAAACTCATAATGAAATTTCAGGCTGAGGAAATCACTAAACAGTTCATGGCATGAGTTTTTCCCTCTGAGATCTGGACATCTTAGATCAATTCACTCCTCTACCTTCGCTGCCCCATCCATGCCAGACAGCCCAGGGCTGCTTGAGAAAGTCACACACACCTGTCACCACTGAGGTTATTCTCCTATCCCCATGTCCTCCCCTGCTCAGCAAACCAGCCCACTCTCCATCCATTTTCATTCTTTATTTTCTGTTCCTATAGCATGTGTTCCTCTTCTTATCCAGGGCTATGTTCTGAGTCCGGTCCCCCTCTATGCCCTCAAGCAACTCAAACTGGCAATTATTTATATCCTATTGCTTCAATTCTCTCTCTTCTCTAAACTTTTCCCATCAGAATATAAATATTTCAAGTATTCGCCATTAAAATATATATATATATACAGCTTTACCCAACTTTATGAACCTCCAGCTCTTTCTTTTCTTTGCAGCCAAGCTTTTTGTCCTCTCACTCATTCCTCCTTCCAGTGCATCCTGAATTCCACTTGGAACTGTCCACCAGGATTACCTTCCCAAGGACACAAAGGTCCTCCTTTTGGCCAAATTGAACTGGTGCATTCTAGTCCTTTTCTTGTTTGATTTTTCTGAAGCATTGACATAGTTGACCACCACTTACATCTTGAAACTCTGTATGTCCTTAGCTTCTCTTAACTCCTCTTTTCATTCCTTTTTCGCTTCCCTTCCTTGTGCCAGTCCCTTACGTGTTAGTATATGCTAGGATCTCATCCTTGGACTCTATTTATTCAGGTCACTGTTCCTGGAAGATAACTCTATAGATTCTCAAATCTATATCTACAGATTTTGGAAGCCATGTGGCCAATGTTACCACTTGGGTATCCTGTAGGTATTTAAATTCAACATGTCTGAAGCCAAACTTCTATCTCACCCTTACCACAACCCATCTCTAGGAATAGAAATTATCGTCCAAGTCGCTCAAACCTGAAAACTTGGCATTGACTTAGACTTATTTTCCTCATTCACTCTCCCTTATTCAGTCAATCCTTAAGATAATGCCATTTCTACCCTTTAAATGTAGCCTCTCCTTTATTCATTGTACTGCTGCCTTAGTTAAGGCACTCAAAATTCCTCATTACTGCATTGCTCCCAGTTGTCTTCCCAAAATGTGGCTTCCCATTCTTTCAAGGCCAACTCTTGAGCATGACATATTGGTATATAAAGGCCTACATGACTTGACACTTGCCAAACTCTCCAGCCTGGTCTCTCATGGGTTTTTCATGTGGACTTAACTCTGGCCATAGCATCCTGCTGGAAATTATTTAAAAACACCAAATTATTTCACAATTCCTTATTTCATATGCTATTATTCCCTTTGCTACTTATCTTTTAAGGCTTAGCACAGAGAGCGTCTTAACACATATTACTCAAGAGATGTTAGCAATCACTATTGTTGTTTTTGTTGTCATGTCTCCCTTTAGTATCTAAGGCTGTTTGGTACTCCTCCTCTGTTTTCATAGTAAACTTAAAACATAGCCTTAATCATACTATATCATAGTTGGCTACTTGTTTTTCTTGTCACCAAATTCTGAATTTTACTTTTCTCACTTACATTGCCTTCCTGGAACCTAAAAGCATTTGGGCTTGTTATTTCTGTTTAAAATAACAAAGACCATCAACAAATTTCCAGTGAAATTATAGTTGTGGTGGGGATGATGATGATGATGATGATGATGATAGCTACATTTATTGAACTCTATGTCCTAGGCACTTGCTAAATGTTTTTAAATGTTTTCCATTATAATCTTATTAATGATTTCATTTAATGGGTAAGGAAACTAACACTGAGAGAGGTAAGTACCTTGGCCAATTCATATAAGTTATGAGTGGTAGAGCCAGGATTTAAGCACATAGAGTAGTATTCCAGAGACCAAAAAATAAAGAAATCATTATCTATGTCCTGATACTAACCTTATCCTTATTACTTTATGAGAAAGAGAGCCTGGAAAGTCAATTCAAAATATTTGTTACATGTCTACTTTATGTTGGATTGAATTAGGTCTTTGAATAAAACAGCTCTTCTTTGAACTTTATCTCCTAGAAAGGGAAATAAGATATGAACCTCCCTAAATAACTAGGCAAAATATTATAAATGCTAAAACGTACAACTACTATAAAAATGGAAAGAGAGAAAGTTTAAACTGGTTGAGGAAAACTCAGGAAAGTCATCTTGGAGAAGGCGGCATTTGATATGTGCCTGAACAGTTGAGTCCTAATGCGTGAAGATGGCAGAGGATTGAAGAGTGCATGAGATTTGAAGGGTACTTGTAAGGAATGGAACAACCACCTCTTATTACTCTGCTTTATGGCAAAGGAGTAAGATGAAGGCAAGAGGCCTTCATAGAGCTTTCTCCCTGCAGAGAGGGGAAGAGTATAGTCCCTCATGACTCAGAATCTCTTGGTTGCTGCCATGCAGGCATCTATGGAATCACAAAAGCAAGGCCCAGGAAACTTTAAACTAACCTATGCTTCCCGCCCAGAATTCAGTCTATTTCCATATTAGTGGGTGCCTTCTGTCCGTACCTATTTCTGTGTGCAATGTGTTGAGTCTTTTGAGTGGTGGCTTAACAGCCCAGGAGAGAATTGAGCTATACTGAGGCTTCATATATGAACACAGTATGGTTCTATTCTTGAAAAGGTTTCCAGCGTCCTTTTCCAAAACTATAGAGTTGTGCTGCTCCTGTCTAGAAAGCAGCTCAGTGAACTTGACCTTGACCCTTCTGCTGTATGAACTTCTCAGAAGATTGCAGATACTTTTATTCAATAAGTCTATTCCCCCTTTTTTTGTTTAGTCAAGTAGGTAACTATTTTGTGGGTATATTTTCTAAGGTCAAATTCCTAATGATAATAGACAACCTGAAGTTGATAGTGGCCAACTCCGTGACATTGCTACTTGATAAATATACCAATCTTAGGATCTCTTCTTTTTTTTGAGTACACAAAAATCATTTTGAAATGCCTGACTTGCTAGTTTTTTGATGCCTTACATATGGAATATGCTTAATAAATTACATTTGTTATTTACTATATGTGACTCAATATATACATATGCAAGTACGTATGTGATTGTAACCCCCATTCTTTAGTCCTACTCTCTGTCAAGAATAAGAAGCTTAAAGGTCCCTATAACCAACACAGAATTCAATGGCCTCTGTCGTGTAAGTAATGCTGGCAGCTACAACAAGCAATCCCATCTCAGTGGCTTAACAAAACAAACATTTAGTTCTTGCTCATGTTATAGGCCAGTGGGGAACAGTTTGTGGGAGGGGTTTGGGGAGGAATATTGTGCGCCATGCAGGTATTCAGGTATCCAGACTTCTATCTACTGACCTGGCTGTGCCCTAAGGTCTCAGAGCCTTGAAGTTCTCCACTGGAACCTCTGCAACTGGTTGCCCAGACAAGGAGAGAGAGAGAGAGAGAAAGAAAGAACATGTAAATTTACAAGAGAGGTTTCTGGAAGTACCACACATGACTTCTGCCCAAATTCCATTGGCTAGAACAAGTTACATGTTACATGGCCCTAACTAAGTGCAAGGGGAGCCAGGAAATGTTGCCTTCCTATGTATCCAGAAGAAAAATAAAATGATTTGTTGAACATACAGCATTGTCTCTATCACAGCCTTTATCCCCTTCATTATTCCACTCATTTCTAGTATTTTGAAAGTTTCAAGGTCTCCCCCAACCCTCAGATGTCAAGAGGGCCTCCTAGTAGATTGATGGAGAGAGTTGGGGATACATAAAGAATGCAGTCTTCCCAACTTTACACTACTCTCTTTTTCCTGGATCATGGCTTTCTGCAGCTGCTTCTCATTTAGTTCAGTCCAAAAACATTAATTGAAATCCCACCATGAACCAAGCACTGTTGTAGGATCTGGGGAGTCAATGATGCACAAGACAGTCTCTGCCCTCAAGATGCTGAGTCTAGTGGGGTCCTCTACTACTGTGGCATGTTCTTTCATCAACTCCAAAGGGCTTTCTCCAGTGCTTTTCCCCCTCCCAAACTTCTGGGTTCTTCAGAGAGAGGTCATACTCCCCTTCCAACTCTAGACAGCAACTCTCAGCAGAAGCCCTGCTGGTCCTTACAGGAATAGTCTGTGTTTCCAAAAACCTTCTTTGAACACCCTAGAATTAATTTTGAGGGATAAGTCTAGAAAACATAACCCAGAGCCATATTCCTGCTTATTATTAAGGTCCTCTTTAGATTATGTCCTCAAGCATGGCACACATTCACTGATGTTCTCTGGCACAAGGAAAACTCTCATCCTCTCTGAGTGGATTGGTTGTCTTAATGGTCACAGTACAGGTCATCATACACCTCTGGAGGAAGTCTGTTCTCCAGTATTGAGAAAAATTAGCAGTAGAATCAAATTCCCCTTCACAGGGGAATTTATTCAATTGGGTCCTGGAAACAGCCATTGATATCCCATGATTCCCAAACAGAGACATGCAAATAGAATTCTACAATAGCCTGAGGTTGTATGTGTGTGTGTTCACTCACACCCCCACACACACATACATAAACACACAGATATGTGTATAAAATTAAATTTAGAAAGCCATTTTGTAGAAGAGACTGACTTAGGCCTGTTAAATAAAAGTTTAATTTAACAAAGCAACCCGGTATTTTTTTCACCAAGTTTTTAAAGCATTCAAGATGCTAAATTTTCCAAGATGAGTTTTCTGGAAGAAGTCCCAAAACTCCCTTCTCTCTCTTTTTTTTTTTTTTTTTTTTTTTTTTTGTGATGAAGTCTCACTCCGTTGCCCACTACCAGGCTGGAGTGCAGTGGCACGATCTCAGCTCACTGCAACATCCACCTCCCAGATTCAAGGGATCCTCCTGCCTCTGCCTCCTGAGTAACTGGGACTACAGGCTCACACCACCAAACCTGGCTAATTTTTGTATTTTTAGTAGAAACAGGGTTTCACCATGTTGGCCAGGCTGGTCTCGAACTCCTGACCTCAGGCGATCCATCCACCTTGGCCTCCCAAAATGCTGGGATTACAGGCGTGAGCCACCATGCCTGGCCCCAAAACTCCCTTTCTGATCACATCCTATCAGGCTTAGAAGGGGCAGGTATTTTCTTTTGGTGGGTTCAACTCCACCTTTGTTCATTTTGATTATAGGAAAAATTCTTAAGATATGTGTGTTTTTTTTTTTTCTGACTACGTGGTTTCTCCTAGTGCTAAATTCTCACCATGCTTGAAATATTGTAGAGCAAAGCAGCTCTAGTTATCCTCAAGAAAAGGATCAAAGAAGGGAAAATATATTAATGAGCACAATAATTCAAAACCTCTTAAAATGCTGTTCCCAAGTGTGCTGGGACTTTCTGGTCATGTCTCTGCGAAATGGATATTTTGGATCTTGCTTTAGCATACACAGGAAACCAATCTCCAGGCAGTTCTTCCTTATAATTTCTTTACAAGTTTCCCCTTAAAGAATTCCTAATGTACTTTCCTCAATAGTAACATAGATTTTTCTAGAGTTAGAAAATTATGAGAAAATAGAGTGAGCGGCTATCTCAAGTGTGTTTACTTGTCTAGTCCCCTGATATTAACTAGCTATGTACCTCTAACACCAAGGCAACCACATTATTGATTTAATGATAAGCTGTACAGCAGTGAAATCACATTGTTTCTTCATAGACACAGAGAAAGCAGAAGCATAGCTACTGTTGTCAAGGAGGTTAAAATTTAGATGTGAACACTAAAAGTGGGAACCCCAACTGGAACATAAGTTCCACGAGAGGCAGCCTTATTCACTGCTGAATCTCTAGTGTCTTGAGTAGTATCTGGAATATGATACAGTTCTCCAGAATTATTTGTTGAACGAATGGAGATCCAACAGCATAGAGCAATATATCACCAAGTATTAAAACTGTAAGAATGGCAGGAGTTCACTGAGAAAAGTGAAGACTTTATGAAGACAGTGGAGTTGAGCAGAGCCATAGAGCTATAGACTTCCAATAGGTGGAGGAGAGAGGAGCGGGCAAACCAGGCAAAGAGAGATGAGAGAAGTAACACAGGAGGTAATGAGCATGTTGCAGTGGGAAAGTGGGCTTGGCTCTGGTCAGAGGAATCATGCAATGGATTAATAGAATCCAGGCAGGTCAGGGATAGGGATAAGGACTTAGACATCTATCTGGTTTTGTGTCCTAGCTTCGTCATTTATTCAATAGCTGAATAAATCACCCCTTTTAGTCTCATTTAATATCTAAATTTGAGAATAATACATAGAACATATATTTTTAAAATTCAAGAAGAATTTATAGGTTAAAAATGGTAAACTTGAAGAGCTTTTTTAAAACATGGTATTATCATTGTTATTATTTATGACAACAGTGTTCTGGTTGACCTTTTGATTGTGGTTTTCTTAGTGGGAAAATAGCTCATATAATGGCCCCCGAATGTATGCCTGGGAAGAAATATGTTAAAAAATGAAATCTAGTGATTGATTGTTTATTGGATAATTTCAAAATAGTACAAGGGAAAAAATTATTTTAGTACTCCTAAGTATTAGAAATAATTTTACAGTTCAATTTGTGTGATTAAATTATTGTATATTATATACAGTCATTTCACAAAATTGTTATGCGGGAAGTAAAGATCCGTTCAGTCACTGAGTTAGCAAAGGAACTTGATTAGAATAATACTCAACCACGTTTGTATTGTCAGGAAATGTTAGAGAAAGCTTTAGTGTTGTTAATGACTCTTGGCATATATAATACTCCTCGTCCTTAAAGAACTTGACAAACATTGATTTAAGCCTCTTTTCAAATATATTCCAAAACTAAAGTCATTGTTTCTGAGTATGCCATAAAAGATAAAGTACGATTTGGTGGTTCTCACATTAAAAAAACTGTTGAAGAAGCAGAAGTGAAAACTGCATATTCATAGAGTAATGATAGTTTGGGAGATGATAGTGTTGGCTTAAAACAAATTGGGTGGTATGTTCTGCCCACAATTGATCAAATTGTGGTCAATTATATAGACAGATTCAGCAAATATATAGTATTTCTGCCGTACTATATATATATATATGATATACTATATATGTAGAAGATATACTATCTCTCTCTCTCTCTGTTTCTCTCCTTAGAGACTCTGAGTCTAAAGCAGACATCACTAATCAATCACAGATTCTTTCCAACTGAGTCTTTTTTTCTTTTTTCTTTTTTTTTTTTTTTTTTTGCCTTTTGACCAGGAAAAGGAATCCAACTGAGTTTTGATTTGGCCATTATGTCTCTTTGAGATATAGGGCTCTAAGTAGCCAATACCAGAGATCAGAGTTGGCACAGGCAAAATGGAACCTACTTACTATCCTAGAATCAAGGATAGTTCTACGAAAGTTTCAAAGAGCCTCCCTTATCATTAATGGCTGCAAATATATAAGGGCATATAATTAATAATACATAAATGCAGGACTTAAATGACAGTAATATCTCAATCTCCCTTCCCACGTGTTGCTTTCTTCATTCATTTGGCCCTTCATTTTTATTCATTAGATTGGTGGCTCTCTCTCTCTCTCTCTCTCTCTCTCTCCCTCCCTCCCTCTCTCTCTCTCTCTCTCTCTCTCTCCTGATAGCTCACCTTATGTTAAGTGCTAAAGAGAAAAGATATAAGACCTGCTTGCTGCTCTGAAAGAGCATGCAATATGGTACAGTTAGGGAGATAAGATCTAGCTGTGAGAAGCAGTCACACATCCTGCTTCTTTTTAAAATGAATGTGATTACTTGAGTTGTTTGTTTGTTTTGAAAATAAAAATGCACTCAAACTGAAAAAAAGGAAAACGGATGTATTTCTTCCTGGGTTTGCAAAGCCACTTCTGATTTCAAAGAAAGCTGCTCGATAATTTCTTACGGGCTCAACTCTGAAAGAAGCTCTTAGAAACCAAAGTACCTAATTACTAAGTCACCCCCATCCAACCATCACTACTGTTTGAGTTAAACTGCCTTTTTCCAGAAGTAGAGAGAGGAATAGGGGAGAGGTTCTGTGATGGGAAAAGAATGAGGACCAGAGTGATTGTATATGTTGCTGTTTCTCGCTATTCAACAGGCAATTGAAGGCGGCTGCTTTACAACATTGGCAATAGTGCCTTTTCACTTACCTTCTTTTACTCGCAGTTTCAAGGATTCAGATTTGGTGTTTTGATTAGGAACATGGTCCAAAAGGCCTGAGTTCAGGTATCAGCTGTGCGATTTCAGCCAAGTTCTTAACCTATCTACATGTCAGTAAAATGACATTACTGACATTTTTCATCTGTAAAATGAGATTAAAAACAGTGTCACTGAGGGAATTATGGTGCACTAAACCACCCAGCACTACACCCAGACTTTGCATGGGCTGAAAAAATCTTGTCTAGTATTATCACTGGTGATGCTTAGTTGACTATATTAGTTTCCTTTTGCCACTGTAAGAAATCACCACAAAGTTAAGATGACTTAAAACAACAACAACAAAAAAGTGTCTTTTTTTACGTTCTAGAGGTCAAAAGTCAGAAATCTGCTTCACTGGGCTAAAGTTAGGGTGTTAGTAGAGATGGTTCTTTACAGAGTGTCTGAGGGGAGAATCTATTTCCTTGCCTTCTAGTGCCTTGGGGCCCCTTCTTCCATCTTCAAAGTATATCACTCCAATCATCTCTGCTTCCACCATTGCGTTGTCCTCTTCTCCAACTACCTCCTGGTTTCCTCTTGTAGGGATCATTATGGTTACATTGGACCCACCCAGATAACTCAGGATAATCAACCATCTTAAAATCCTTAATTTAAGCACACCTGCAAAGTTCCTTTTTGCCATATAAGGAAAAGGTGACACTCACGGGCCCTAGGAATTAGGATGTGGCCAGCCATCTTTGGGGATCATTATTCAACTTAACCACATTGACTAATCAGATTATTCAACATCATTGAGACAGTCTGCTTCATAGTGCTATAACGCAGAGTGGTGACTGTGAACCTTGAGGCCATGAGGGTTTGAGATGCTAATCAAACAAATCACTTTAGAAAACTAGTATTTTTTAAACTCTAGTGTTATTTCTGTAACACCCATCTATCCTTCCACTCCTGTCTTATCTCTACTTGCTCAGAAAGAAAGATGAAATCTGATAAAGCAGAACAGAAGAGCATAATCCTAAAACTCAGATAGACCTGAGTTCATGTTCCAACTGCAACCTGATGGCTAGCTGGGTTACCTTGGGAAAATTACATGATTGCATTGGGTGCATTCCTCAAAAGCATTCCCTGAGACAAAGATTTGAGGTAGGACTTTATCTGAAAGATGATCCCAGGAAAGATGGATGGAAAGTGAGGAAATGAGTCAGAGAATGGAAAGAAGCTAATAAACAGTATATTATCAAGCAGGTTACTCCTGTGGGCCACTGGGTGACCTGTGGGAAGTCACAGGCAGACAGTGTAGAACATCAGAGGTATCCTAGCTGTGGAAAAGAAGCTTTCATCATTGGCTGAGGACTGATCCCTGGCACATTATCTTCCGCACTTCCAGGCTGCTCCTGAAGCAGGCTGAGAAAGCCCTGGGGAGACTGCATAGGATGGCCTACCTCTAGTGAGAAACACTGAGTGCCACACTGGTTGTAAATGGGGTACTAGAAAGGCCTCTCTGAACTTCAAGGATGATAGTACTCAGCTTGCAGGGATTTTCTGAGAATTAGGGATTTTCTGAGAATCACATGCTAAAGCACCTACTAGTATGCATGGCACATAATAATCGCTCAACAAGTGGTAGCTTCTAAATAATGATCATATCAAAGGTTTGCCTTTGGTTTCTGCTTATGAAATTAGTTTGCACATGAGAAGATCACTCGACATTTTTGTGCCCAGTCGTTTTTTAATCTCTAAAATCAGGGAGGAGAGTAAACTAAACCATCCCAAAGTGTATTCTTAGGACTAATAATCTAAGTCGTCATGGCTTAGTTTCTCATGTCCTTTGGCACTATAATTTCGCTCTGGCTTCTATGCTGATGATTGTAAACTGACCTCAGCTGATTTGGTCATGTATGACTCTTAGGATCTTTTTGGTAAATCATAGTAGCCTCTGATGAAGTTTTGAGGTAAGAGTTGCCTGCTCAACTGGCAACTTCACTACTAGGTTATAATGAACAGAAATTCCAGACAAATACTGTCACAATAAAACATCCATCAAGTAAACATTTATTAGCAAGTAAACACACAGTTACACACACACAATTTATATGACCTGTTTTGTAAACTTGAGCATGTGTCAGCTGTTATTTTTAGCTCCTCTGACCCCCATCTTGCACAAAATATTCCCTGAAGGCCATCACAAAGATTCCACAGTCAGGAATTTGTCACTCTTTGGCTAGCATCAGGGATCTAGAATCCCTCAGTGTTCCTGGCTGGGCATAGGACTATTTAGAGATTTAGTCTAGGTCATCATCCCTGAGGGTGAAGTCTACAGGACTAATTGGATTCTTGTGCCCTTGTGAAGCAGGTGTGGGAAGTGTTTCTAAAATATTTCTGCCGATCCACATGTAAGGAATACTTTTAATTTCACTGAGAGTCTTTTCCTAACATTCACTGGCCTACATAACAAACTACCAATTTCATCAACAGAAAATCTGTTTCTGACTTTCAGTATGTTAATTAGCAAAGCATTGCTTGTGGGTTGAGATACAGGTAACAAAAACTTGTGGTAGCTAATTGAAAAGACCACCCCGGCATTGTGCCTTCTTGATTAGCATGCAGACAGCTCTCGGGTTATAGCTTAACCTAAGTAATGGTCACGTGGTATCACACAGCACATGCTGAAGTTTGGGGATTTTTTTAGATTATAGTAAAATAGACATAAAATTCCACTCAGCCCTTGACAACCAACATTCTACCTTCTGCCTCTGAATTTGACAACTCTGGATACCTCATCTAAGTGGAATAATACAATATTTGTCCTTTTGTGACTGGCTTATTTCACTTAGCATAATGTCTTCAAGGTTTATCCAGGTTGTAGCATGTGTCAGAATTTCATCTCTTTTTAAGGCTAAATAATATTCCATTGTATGTGTATACCATGTTTTGTCTGGTTTTTTATTCAGCAGTGGACATTTGAGTCGTTTCTACCTTTTGGTTATTGTGAATAATGTTGCTATAAACATTGGTATACAAATAAATGCCAAAAGCATTTTGACATAAATTACAGATATAACAATCTGCTCCTTTTACTAGGAACCTAAGGAACATGCAAACTATTGCTTAATCCTTAGTATTGTTGCAGTTTAGTAAAACACTTGTAGCTTCTTAGTACCTTAGTATATCTAAAAGCATTGGTCACGTGGATCTTCAAAATAAGATTTTAGAAGGAAACAGTTTTAAACTCTTTATTTGTTATCATAAGCCTGATTTCATATTTCATTCCCCAAACAGCTTTTAAAAATATCATTTACCCTATAGTCATTTAATTTCCTATACAGTACTTTCATTCTGCAAAAATCAGTTACATTTCTACAGCTATTTGGTAATTCTGCTTTGTTTCTAGGATGCAGTTGCATAAAACATTATATTCTGTGACCTCAACCTCTTCATCTGTGAATGCTGAAATGTGCCTTCATCTTCCTTTCCATTGGGAGGTCCCGATACTTTACAGAATTTTAATAACTTCCCTCTGTAAGACCATGAATGTGGATAGTATCTGCTCTGAATTCTGATGATGGCCACGAATGAATCAAGTGGATTACATACCAGCAGAGATTGGAGGGCTTGGATTCTGTGCAGGATGGATTGTTTGTTTCCTTAATTTATATGTGAGAATGAATGTGTTTGTAAAATCAGGAAAACCCAGGACCAGGCACTGTTCTTACCTACAGGTATGCTGTCAGAAAGCCCCTGCCCAGACTTCTGGATATTTCCTTAACATGCTTGGAAAGAAGTGTGTTTCCTGAGTGATGAGTTCCCGGGTTCTGACCCTATCTTTGCAAGTGATAGACTGCAAGTTCTTAGAAAAGTTGACCTTGGACTTTGATCACACATCTGTTAACACATTTTTATTGAGCACCTACTATGTGTCAGGCACTCTGCCAGGTGCTTAGGATACCTCAGTGAGGAAACAGTGCTCCCTGCTCTTGCGGCACGGCGTCTAGAGCTGCTCCTTGGGAGCCACTGGCCACATGTGGCTAATAAAATATGTTTAAGTTTAGGAAAATTAGGTAAAATTTAAAATTAAATTCTTCAGTTGCACTAGCCACATTTCAAGTACTAGACATCCAAATGGAGATGTCAGGTAGAGAGTATGATGCTAAGAAAGAGGTGAAGGCTACAGAAATCATTTGAGAATCAATAGCAGGAGAGCCTTGGGCCAGATGGATCGCAAGTGAGTGAGCATAGAGAAGAGAAGAGCCCTGGCAGTTCCATCATTAAGAGCTTGGGGATAAAGAGAGAGAATCAGCAAAGAGCCGAGAAAGAGAGGCCAGTATAGGAAGAAAACGAAAGAGAGTGGAATACTAGAAGCCAGTGAAAAAGCGTATTGGGATAGAGGGAGTGATTCTCGTGTCACATGCTGCAGGAATATAAAGTAAAATGAGGATAGAAAACAAATCATTGGATTTAATATATTGGTGACCTTGACAAGAACAATTCTATTAGAAGGTGAAGAGCAAAAGCCAAACAGGAAAGAACAGAAGGGAAGGAATGGGAGCTACTGACTCTAATAGCAGAAATTTGCTACAAAGGATCTTTTTTTCAAAAAGGCTTAATAGGTAGTGCACTAACATTTATGGGATCCAGGCCAAAATGGAGGCCTATATACAATATTTGTAAATAGGTAAAAGTTATTTATCAAGCTAACAAACTATTAAACAAATATGTGCTTTGCATTATATTGACAAATATAACTTCATAAGAATCTGGAAAAGCAGATTCCAATTTAGAATTATTGGACTTTGGAGTTCTGTTCTATAACTTGGTGGCACAGGGAAAGGGCCTGAGGCCCACATGCCTTGGCTTCCAAACCCCAGCACCATCCCATACTCTGAAGGGTGTGCTTGTGAGGGGCCTGCATGCCCTGGCCTGCATATCCCAGCCCTGTCCACACTTCTTCAAACAACGATCCCCTGAATATCTCTTGAGTCCAGGAGTGTGTAAATCAGCAAGTCCACCCTAAGGAAGATGGACCCAGAGAAGAGGACTATGAACACCCTGTAAGGGGCTAAGGACCATGTGGGCAGAGAATTCTGAGGTGCAGAGTACCCATGATCTAGATGGCAGGAAGCATCAGCTCTGACTAAGCACTTCTCCTTGGCCTAGCAAATGCTCACCCAGAGAGAGATGTATGGCTGGAGAAGGGCCAGAATACAGACCTTAAGGCACAGAGCCAAGGGCAGCTCTCTGAGGTGGTGGGGAAATGGGGCAAAGAAAAAGATTTTTAAGATAAGAGAAATAACATGTTTGCTCATGAGAACAATCCAGTAGAGTGGGAAATAGATGATGTGGAAAAGAAAAGGATAGCCAAAGCCATTATCTGAGTAGGCAAAAGGGAAGAGGCTGTGGTGTGCAAGTGTAGAAATGGGCTTTGGATATAAGCTTGAACAGTTCCTCTACAGCAGCAAATAAGAAGGCAGAGCATGTGGATGCTGATGCAGGTGAGGAAGTGGATGTGGTGGTGGGACGATGTGGAAGTTCCCTTCTGATTAATCAGCACATGTTTCTGGAAGATTTCTGATTAAGAATGCCTTGCCAGTGCTGTTTCAGGTCAAAGTTGATTATTTTTGTTAATTTAATTTCTATGTAAGTCTCACTAATAATGCACTGTTTTTAAGTATATAAAGTACTAATATTCCATGTTGTATAGCTCTTTCACTGGCATAGTTTCTCCATGAGGAAACTGAGGCACAGAGAGACAATCATTTGTCAAGGGACACATAACAACTCTGCTGCCATTTTCTCCTGACTTATGATATAACAGGCAGCTCCTACTGGCCTTTTGAATGTTTTTCTTGATTTAGGAGTCTGGGGGTTCCCAAATAAGAGATTTTATTTTTAAAGACTTGATGGGATTATGTCAATTTTAAAAATCAATAAAAGAACTAGAAAGATGAATAAGAAGAATATAACTCCTTTCTTCTCATAAATTTTATTTTTAAGTGTCAAAACACGCAATTTCTTTTCAGATACTGAAACCTGTGATATTATGTGCCCTTTGCCTACTGCAATCGCTTTCTGAATAGTCAAGTGATTCAGCGATTACCTCTGTGCACCCAAATCCTACCTGATTGGAAGGAAGTCACCGGGGAGGGGATGGTGAGATGACGCACTAAAGTAAAACTCCTTGTTTGTAAAAGGTGAATAAAAACCACTTTTGTGTTACTCATAGAGACTGAATTGAGATCAACTTTAAAACATATTTTGAAGAATTTCCAGCTTCATAGAATTAAAGTGGTTAATTATAGACAATAACATAAGAGAAAGAGAAGCTTGTTGAGTGAGGATTCTCCACCACATTTTCTCAAGGACTTCAACCTTTGGCTCACTCTTCCTCCATACCCATATTCTGCCATGATCCTTAGTGACTCCAACGTCCAACACAAAATGTCACCACCGTTCAGCTCATCCCTCAGCATAGCTTGTAACTCATCAGCATTCAGAGATGCTCTCCTTCAAATATCTTGAGCATTAAATTTACCTTAGTTGATCCACATTGCCTCATACTTACCAACTTTCTTGTACATCCTGAACCTACTTCTCTTCTTCCTGACTTCCAGACCCTTGACCCTTCCCCACCCTTCACTGGCCCTGCTCCATCCCATTCCTGCTTCTAGCCATAATCCATTTCAAGGGTGTTCTTAATAGCTACGGTGCACTTTCATTCTCCATGCTCTGCTAGTTTCCCACATTGGCAATGATCTCCACTGTTGGTCTATGCCATACAACTCAGAATTGCTTCATTCATCTCAGGCAAACCCCCTTTCAGATTCTCTATAGTGCTGTGTTCTGAACCCTTAACATGCTCTTGAGACCACAGTTCTACCTTTCACTGAAGGTCTTTTCTCCACTATGTTGAGACATTGGAGGATGTCTGTCAGGGGTTCTCATTCTTTTCTTCCCCTCACCCTTCACAGCTTTACCCAGCCCTCCATCTTCCTTCCTGACCCAGAAGGTTCCCCTCCTTTCTAAGGGTGAGCCATCAAGGTCTACCAGAACCTTGCTCTGTGAACGATCTCCTCTCTTCAATGTCTCTTCCTCAGTGATTCCCCCTTTGGCCTGCAAACATGCTACACACAAATGATTTTTTTTTCAGTTATCTAGACTTTTCAGACTCCTTGAATGATTATTCCCCTTCTCTTTCTTGGTGAATCCTATGGAATATGTACTCAGCGCTTTTGGCTCCTACTGCCTTACCCGCTGTTTTATGACCTCCGCCTCCCTTTCTGGCTTTACCTCCATTCCCCACATGACTCGTCCTCAGGCCAATGCACATCCCCAGCTCCCTACCTTCTATCTCCATTTCTTCCTCCTTCTTTGCCTTCCCCCCAAAAAATTCTTTAAGGGTTATTCTCCATGGAGCCTTCTTGAGGCAGCACTTCTACAAATCCATGCTATCTTTCTACCCAACTCTTATTTTTTTCTATTTTTACTGAGATACAATTGACATATGGTAAAATGCACCCAGCTTGATGAGTTTGGATAATTATGTAACCTGGGTGACCACCACCCAAATAAAGACAGAACATTTCCAGCACCCCAGACATTTTCCCAGTTCTACTTTTCAGTCAACTGCCAACTTCACCAAGAGACAACACTATTCTGATTTCTATTACCAGATATTAGTTTTTCCTGTGCTTGAACTTCATATAAATGGACTCACACACGGGTATGTATCATATTTAGCACTGCATACTGTTTCTGAGATTCATCCACGCTGTTGCATTTATCAATAATTCATTCTTTTTGATTGCTGAGTACTATTCCATTATATAAATACACCACAGTTTGTTTATCCATTTTCCTGTTAAATGCATATTTAACTTTTTTTCAGTTTTTGGCATTTATGAGTAGAGCTACTATGTACGTACTTATACAAGTGTGCAAGTTTTATTTTCTTTCTTGGAAAAATATCTAGGAGTGGGATTGCCAGGTCACAGGTTAAATATATGTTTAACTTTCTAAGAAGCTGTCAAACTATTTTCCAAAGTGGTTTTTACCCCTTTTCATTCTTCACATCCCACCAGCAGTGTGCATGGAGTCTGGTTGCTCCACATCCATCCCCTACTTCTGTGTCCTCCTTCTTGGCTTTTTTTGGCATCACTGCCTATATTCTTAGAGCATCTTATCTCATCTCCCCTCCACTTGAGCTTCTGAGGGACTGCAGTTGTGCCTTCATCATCTCTGCACCCCCACACTCTAGCCTTCCTTAAAGCTCTAAATTTGTACAGAATAGGATAATATGGAATCCAGCGAAGGAGCCAGGGATTCGGGAGTTCTGTACAAACAACCAAGTGGCCCAACCAAATCAATATGATCCGACTCACCCAGCAGTGTATTACAGTATTGCAGCTTGAATGTGGGGCTCCTGCGGCCATTTGTCACAGTCTTCAGGAAAGGCTTTTTATCAGATTCATAGTGGCAAGTGATACAAATTATTGGATTTCTTTTCCAACATAAAAAATAGCTATTTGCAGCCTTTTGAAGCTGGGTAAATGAGCCATTGATCTTACCTGTGGAACACCGCAGGGTATTTTTGTCCATCCTAACTTTCAATATTCTATGATGGGAGCCCACCCCTCCAGCCAAGCTGGTCTAATCATTATTCCTTGGGTGTGCCTGATCTGTATCCTCCTCCATACCTTTTCCCACAATGTAGAGAAAATTTTTAGTGGAAATGTCCTCCCTTTTCCTCCTCCTAGAAGCTGTCTTCAAGGCCTGGCACAAATGCCAGTACGTCTATGAAGGCTTCCCAGCTGCATCATCCTGTAGTAACTCTTCTCTCCCATGAATTATTACAACCTTCCCAGGATGAGATGACGGCCTCCCTCATAGCTTCCTGGACTTCTAAATAGAAAGAGGAATCTGAGAACAGAAGAGAGCTCCCTAAATGACAAGTGTACCCCAGATGTCTGTGGCCATGTCCCAGAGGGCCAGCTGCAATGCAGGGCCTCTCTTTTGATGTCCCTTGTTCACAACGAGCCATTTCACTTCTAGTCAGGACTATCTGCCTCCTACCATCATCTTGAAGCAATAAATTGCTTCAGACTGTGTTTCATCACTTACCAGTCAGTCAAGAGCTTGGGTTGCATTCAAGAGCACATGTTAGAGCATTCTGTCTGCTGAGTGTGTGGGAAGGCACAGAGTAACATGGCCCTGCCTCATGTCGTCAGTGCAGGATGCTCATTTCCAAGGGGGACAAGAAACATTCAGCTTAAATTTGGTAAATATCTTGAACAAAACAAGAGGAGTCTAAAAACCCTCCAGGTTTCTTTTCTCTTATTCTGTCTCACTCTCTGTCAAAGCAAACCAGCACCTGGTCTGTTTCTTCATATGCTCTGGGATATCTTCCTGAAGAACAGCCTGAAAAGCAGAGTCTTCTCTTGCCATTGTCCACACTGATCTCCAGGAAATCCTTCATCTTTAACCCTGGAAAATGGCAGCTGGAGAACCAAGGAATACCACCCTCCCATGCTTCCTTATTTTCCCTTTCCAGCTTTGGTACTCCACTCTGTCCTCACCTCCCATTTCCTATAAAATATGTTTATTCATTAAAAAGTATTTAATGCCTTATTTTTTATTATTTTTATTTTTTTTTTATTTTTTTTTTTGCTAAGACACTGTGGTAAGAATTAGAAGTCCAACAACAGACAAGATGAAAACAGTGTCTACTTCTGGGGCTTATATTTTACTAGGAGATATAGACACTCAACGAGTCATCTACAAAAGAGTATCCTGACTGCCATCTTAGTAAAAGTACAAGGACTGTGGGCATATGAGAGGGGCAAAGAGGCCAAGCTCAGGACATCTGGGAAGGCCTCAGAGAAGAACTGACCCATAAGCTGATGAGAGTTACCCAGAAGTCAGCTGGAAGCCATGAGGGTGGCATGGCACAGAGGACATGGGTGGGGGCACCCAGCAACTGAGAGCATGGCACAATAAGGAAGCAGTGGCAGGTATGAGAGGGAGTGGTGAAGACAAAGCTGAAAAGGGCAGCAAGGATATTCCCATCACAGGCCTTTCTTGTACGTTCTAAGAAAGAGTAGGGACTTATAGCAAAGGGGAGCCATTTATAAGCTCACACAGGGGAATGAGGGCATCCCTTTTGTGTTTGCAAAGGCCGTGCTGCAGCAGCACTGACAGCATGGATCAGAGGGCAACACTGGACAGGCGGGAAGACAGAGGAGACATGACAATGGCTTCCATGAGGGGAGGGGCAGTGCTGATGGCGTACATGGAGGCACTAGTGATGTCACGGAGAGGAAGGAGTAAAGGATGGGGCTCTGGTTTCAGGCTTGCGCCTCTGGGATAATCGTAGCACACCCACAGAAGTTGGGAAGACTAGAAGCTGCAGATCTAGGGACAGAGGGAAGCCATTTCGGGGATAGTTTGCTGTGTATCTGGGCCTCAGGAGAGGCCTGGACCATTGGGGTCACAAATCATCAAAACTTTGCTAGTCATGCTGCCCTGGGAGTGGGTTAGACAGCCCAGGAGAAGAGGAGGGATGCTAAGGAGCAGGCAGGTAAAGAGAAGCCCATGGAGAAGACTGCGGGGCCATCAGCGAGTGGGGGCAACCAGGAGAGAGGCTACCATGACAGGGCTTGGGGAAGAGTTTTGCAAGGAAGGCAGATGATCAAGCAGGTCCAGTGTCCCAGAAAGACCTTTTTTTGTTTTTGAGACAAGTCCTGTGCTGTCGCCCAGGCTGGAACCTCAAGAGGCTTGGCTCTGAAGGGAGGAGACAGAGAGAGCAGCAGCAGGAGAAGGGTGTGGGGTAAAAGAATGGGTTGGTTTAAGACAGGAGGAACATAAACAGGACTTTAATGTGTTTTAGAATGAAGAGGATGAGTGAATGAATGTTTGGTGAGAAGCAATTACAGGATATAAAGCAAATAATTAGAATATAGGCACAGTGTTTACTGACTTAAACACTTAACAACAAAATTATATGATAGTGGACTGAATCCTCAGTTTGCAAAACAGAGAATTCAGTTCCATGTGGTGGAGGCAGCATAGTGAGCAGGTTCTGGAGCAAACCTCTGTGGTGCATTCCCAGTTGAGGGTGGCTAAGGGCAAGTGACCTAATCTCTCTACCAGAAATGGAGATAATCACACCCATCTCTCAGGCAACAACAACTGAGCTCAGTTAGAGCGCAACAAATGTCAGCTCTAATCAGCTACTGAAACCTAACATTAAGGGAATAAAACGTATCTGGTGGATACTCACCCAGTCTGCTAAAGGTACAGAAAAATGTGTTCATGTGCTGTTGATTTCTAAACTGCTGAAACTCAGACCAGTCCTCAAGAGCTGGGCCTGTTCCAACTGTGGAAACACTTAGGGTTTGTATTGTTTGGCTACAACGTGGGCAGCAGAGTGTCCATCACGAAGGCCATGTGTGCACAGCCAAGAAAACTCTTTTAGGTTCCTACCTGTCTCTTTCCAGAGCCATCCCTCTGGATTTCAGATGAGATTTCCCTATTAAGGAGGGATGCCAAATGCTGGGGATTTCATAATACTCCCAACCCCAGGCACCAGATTTGTGTAATTGCAGTGGTGGAGATTTAATTGTCCTTTGAAGAGGCCCCATACTGTTTGTCTGTCAAATTGTCTGCATGTTGGTGCAGTTGAAATTATAGGAGAAGAGGAAACCAGGGGTATGTTTCAAAGTAGTTGGCACGTGGTTGGTGATCCATAGTGCAGGTTTCCTTTCTGGAAGGTAACAGGACTGTGTTCTCATAAGGCAGCATGGCAGGGTGGAAGCCATATGGGATTTGCCCTCGAATTTCAGCGCTGCCGTTGAGCAGCTGTATGAACTTGAGCTATTTGCATATCTTCTTGAACTTTTTTGCTCCTCTGTGAATGAAGCCATTGCACCAGCATGTTTTCAGGATTAAGTGAGACAATATGTGGAAGTGCCTGGCACACAGTAGGTGTTCAGTATTTTTTTATTTTCCATTCTCTGTGTCCTTGTTTTGACTACCAGGTAACTATGTTTACCCTCAGAGATCTGATGTATTTCTTCATATCAAGTATATATCAAGAATTTCATCCCTCATCCTAATGCATTAAACTCACTGCATGGAAGTTATACCATTACCTAGACTCACCACGGTCTTGTCAGACACCAGCAGAGTTTTGTGTGGCTGCAATAGAGATGTTATTGCCAGTTGTCAGTATTGAAATGAGGCACTCCTTCATCCTTCAGTGAAATCTGTGCAGGCATTTTCCTTTCTCTGGTTAAACATTTTATAGTCTCCTTTAAAAACAATGCCCTCATTTCATTTCCTCTCTCTGGCTGGACTCTTCTCCTCCCTCCTGCTTTCCTAAAATCCATCTTGTTTCCCTGTATTGTTTGCTGAATGGGCAGTTTAATGAATACAGCATTTCCATTTTGAAATGTACAGAGCACAAGGCAGAAACTGAATTTCCTCCTGGACAGTTTCCATCCACAGTCCTCATTTCCAGTTTTCTCCCTTCTTTTCTTTTCTACAACACAACTGAAATTTGCTGAACCAGAAAGGGGAGGAAGGAGGTGTGACAGGAGAGGCAATATGCCTTCTCATTGTTTCAGCAAAAGCTTATTAGCATCCTGCTCCCTAGAAGAGACCAAGTGCCCTAAAGATGCCCTGGGTGCCTCTTCTATTGCACAAAGCTCAAGGTCCAGAGTATACAGTGCATGACAGAATCTAATTACCAAGATAATTACTGTTACCTGCACTACCTAACTGTTGTGTTTTGTAATCAAAAGCTATATTGGCAGGGGTGAGTGTGAGCCTGCTGAAAACTCAGGGAAACTGTTGAAGGTTTATCAACCCGAAGCAATTTTACTCTAGTTAGTGGGCCTGTGTTGCTCAGTTAGCAGAATGTTTGGGGATCAGAAGAATACCCCAGAGCACTTCAGCCATTGCATAGACATTAGTTACCGGGTAGGAATATCCTCAGCTGACTCAGGTATTCATGTTGTTGAAACCAGACTTCATGGCAATTTGAAAACGTCTGTGCCATTTTTAAATTTGTTCTCGAAATAGTTGATCAGTACCTGACTTAGCCTTCATTTGGCATTCGGTGAAGGAGAAATTGATTTCCTTTGGGCATGGCTGTATGTACCTGATGGGTACAGCGTGTGCTAAGCTGGATGTAGGTATGTATTCATACTATCACCACCTGCTTCATATTCATTATGGCACAAGGTTACAAATTGGCTTTCTGTTTCCCATCTCAGCCAGCTCTAGTTAATTTATGTCTTTACCTCTGTGCTTCACACACTAAAGAAATGGAGTTTCTACTTTAAAAATCAGGTGTATTGAAAAAATGGTTATAATTGTTTTTTTAAATTTTTAAAGAAATTCCAAGTGGAAAACAAGGAATAAGTTGCAAAAGAGTATGAAAAGTTTGGTAATAAAGGCAAGGACACTTAAAAGGAGGGAGTAAAATAACAAAGCAAAATGGGTGAGGCTGACAGGCTATAAATTGAAAAGGGAGAAGGGGTCAAGGAAAATGCAGACAGGAAGAAAAGAGACAGAAAAAGAAATGATAGGGCCTTGAGTAATGGACTCAGAAAAGGAAATAGGAAAAGTTAAGACCAAAGTAAGAATTATGGAGACAAAAGTCAAAGACATCCAGGTCTCAAGAATTACAGGTTATTGGTGGCCTGGGAGGTAGTGAAGAGGGGCTAGGCATATCCCTCATGAAGTTAGATGTCTGAATTCCTCAGGACAGTGTGACAGTCAGGGAGAATGTCCCCTGAATATGCTAATTCAGACTCTAAAATAAGAGCCAGCCAGATTCATTACCATGGTTGGCCAGCCTGTAATGGCAACAGAATTCACTGATGCATATTAAACTGAATTTTTCTAACCAAGGTCTTAAATAAACAGACACCAGCTATAACTGAAAATTAGAATAAGGCCTTCAGTGGTGACTATTTCTGTAGGGAAAGTCTGAAAACCCTTAACATGGTTTTTTTCCAAATTTTTAGAAATTTGTGGTTCTTAAGGCTGCTTAGTATGTTAGCAATTGCTCCAGTGCAGGACTGTGTGGATCCCTCTGGTATTTTCTTTTAACTTTCTGCAAGGCAGAGAGTGTGGCTGACCTGTGATATAAATGAAACCCCGTGGCAGGAACATTAACTCCATCTACAACAAAGGAACATGTAGAGATTTGGATTCTAATGAAAATAATAGAAGCTCCTTCTCCCAAAGTTGGGAAATACAGAGGAGGTCTTCTCAGCCAGTCCAAATTTGCAAAACCAGAATCATCACAGAAAGGTAGATAATAGGAGGCCTAAGAGAAAGCTCAGTTGTCCTTTGGCCTATGGCCTTTGGGCTTGCTGTAGATCCTCTGTTGGCAACTGGATGCTCTGTTGGGTCCAGGAATTGATGATAACCAGTAGTTTGTGGGTAGATTTCCATGTTGAGCACTGCCTTCAGCTAAGTGCTTTCAGTTGCCTCTTGTTATGGTTGGAGCTGAATGACCTTTGTTTACGTGTGTTTCAGGCTAACTGATGAATTACAAGATTTTCACCAATGAGTGGGAAATGTAGCGATAATTATTCAGACTGATTTATATTTGTCTTTGGGCTGGTTTTTCATGTATATTTTTAGACATTTTAATATATTTGGATCTGATTTTTTATAAAATCATGAGGTTCTCTTTATGCTCAAGTGCTGCCAAGAAGTTGGACAGCCCTCCTGTTCTTCTCCCAGTTCCCCAGTCCCTATTCCAGATGAGGGGATGCAGAGTTAGTTGTCAATTCATTCAACAAACATTTATTCAGCAGTTAGAGTGACTATCTCATCTCAGTTTCCCTGAGACTTTTCTGGTTTGAGCACTGAAAAGTTCTATATTCTAGGAAACTCCTCAACCTCAGGCCAGCCAAGACAGTTGGTTACCTTATCATCTACCATGTTCCAATAGAGCTAGGAGAGACCCTAGAAATCATGACAATTTCTTTATTATTATTAATTACTTTTTAATATTCTTCTTTTTTTTGAGACAGGATCTTGCCCTGTACCCAGGCTTGAGTACAGTGGTGCAACCACATCTCATTACAGTCTCCACCTCCCAGGCTCAAGCAATCCCCCTGCCTCAGCCTCCCAAGTAGCTTGGACTACAGGCATGTGCCATCACACCTGGCTAATTTTTTATTTTTATTTTTTTGTAGAGACGAGGTCTCATCATGTTGCCCAGGCTGGTCTCAAACTTCCAGTCTCAAGCAATTATCCTGTCTTGATGATTTAAATTCAAAGAAACCTAGCTTCCCAAAGTGCCAGGATTACAGGCACGAGCCACAGTGCCCAGCCCATTCTGATTTCTACACACCCATTTTAAAGTGCCAGTTAAAGCCAAGGAGACCTCTTTATCAATTTGTTTTCCTTCTGATTCACACATTCCCTGGATTGGAAGAGATAATTAAGTTCTATGGTTGAAGATGTTATCTTCAGGCTGCATTAAAGAATAAAATTAAATAAAAGGTCATGCAGTGTGCCAATAAGAGTTTTACAAGCCAGTTGGAATTTGAAAATTAGAGAGTCAAAAAGATAAAGTGAATCAAAAATCATTTATTTAGTATTGAGGTACCTTTTGGTACATCAAAGAGATCATTTATAAAATAGTATAATGTAAGGAAGTTGAAAGAATGAACTACAGTGGAATACTATTATTATATCTACTTATGCCTTTTTTTCTGGAAAATGTTCACAATGATGTGAAAGGATCTAAGACCAGCCTGGCAGCCACCAGATGGTGATTCTAGTCCTGGCTCAGTCAGTAATAGGTCACTGACCCCAGAGAAATCAATTCAGCCTCCCCAGGTCCTTGGATTTCTTTCTGTGAAAATGAAAGCATAGGTAGGAATTTCCCATGGAACAGCTAGCAGAGGAGAAATATTAAAAGTCAGGAGACTCATGCTATAGTTTTCATACTTCATTACAACAATGTTGTTTAGGACAAGTGAGTTAACCTGTTAGCTTCCTCTATATAAAATGGAAAGTCATTAAAAACCTACATAGCAGGGTTCTTGTGAAGATCAAGTGATAATGTAGGAAGCATGTACAAATGTCACATTCTGCCGTCACGTAATGGTCCTCACAGCTTGAGGTAGCATTTAGCATGTGTCATGATTTAGTACAAGGGTTGGCAAACTGTTGCTCTTGGATTAAGTCTGGCTCATTGCCTGTTTTTCAAAGAAAAAAATTGTATATGTGTGTATATATGTTATATATAGGTACACACACATATGTGCTATATATAGCATATATACACACATAATATATAAACATGTACATATATAGCATTATATATATACGTGTATAATATCTCCAGTCCTCATGACCAGCCATGCTTGTTCATTTACATTTGCATACTCTATGATTGCTTTCATGCAACAATGGCAGAGTTGAGTGATTGTTTTGCAACAGAGACTGTATGGCCCACTAAACCTAAAATATTTAGTCTCTGACCCTGAAATGTAAGATTGATAGCCCAGGACCAGGCGTGGTGGCTCACACTTGTAATCCTAGCACTTTGGCAGGCCAAGGAGGGTGGATCACCTGAGGTCAGGAGTTAAAGACCAGCCTGGCCAACATGGTGAAACCCTGACTCTACTAAAAATACAGAAATTAGCTGGGCGTGGTAATGGGTGCCTGCAATCCAAGCTACTCTGGAGGCTGAGGCAGGAGAATCACTTGAACCCAGGAGGCAGAAGTTACAGTGAGCTGAGATGGTGCCACTGCACTCCAGCCTGGACGACAGAGTGAGACTCCATCTCAAAAAAAAAAAAAAAAAAAAAAGATAGTCCAAGATCCAGGATTCTTTTAGGTTCTGTGTCACTATGTGATCTCAGGTTAATGATTTATTGTTTCTGATTCTGTTTCTTACACTGTAAAAAAAAAAAAAATGGTGGGGGGGAATACAAATCCAGCCCCTTCTTTCCTCACAGAAATGTTGTTAAGATAGATAAGAAAACAAAATCATTGATCTCTTCTGGAGGAAAGATGATTTAAATTCAAAGTATTACTCATAAGGTGGATGCTGTTAGATGACTCAGAAATGATGACTGATGTGTTATTATTATTCTCTGAAATTAGTTCCCTCATGTACCTCAGTGGGGGATTACTTAGAACAGCGATAGCATACAGACCCCTGCATCGTGACACTACATCAAAAGCTAAGATACTGCACCAGAATCTAATTTAATCACAGTACCCAGTCAGGAGTGAGTTTTAATTGTTTCTTTATCCCTTTATCCTCTGAAGACTGTCATTAACATTTACAAGACATGAACTTCAGATCATGCCAACATCTCTGCTGAGGTCACCTGGCAGCTAGCCATTTTAGTCCATGATCAAGACAGAGGGGCCTTCTGGGCACATGAGGAGGGACAAGACAGAACAGTAGTGGTGGTAGCACATAAGCTGGTTTACAGAGCAAATACCAAAGATAGGCTTGTTTCTGTTAAAACTTGAATTTATATTTTATTCTTGGACACATGACTGATATCCAGGCTGACTAAGAACATACACAAGTAAATAACAAAACTTTGTCTAACACGTATAAATATTAGGACCTCCTTTTTCCCCAAGAATCCCCTCAAACCTCTAGGGAGGATCTCCCTAAAGGAGCAGCTCTTCATGTGGCTGAAAGCAGCCACATAAGGAGGCTAAGGCTGGCCTCTGAAAGTTACCTCGGCCCAGGTGCAGCCCATTTATAGACCCTCTATACCCAACTCCAGATTTATGGCATAGATAAATTAGTGGGCAATCATTTGCTCTATAAAATGATTCTTCATTTTACAAGCTTATTCACTGCCGCATTCCTTTACTGATCTATTCCTTTACTGATCTATTCCTTTACTGATCCCTCTATACACAACTCCAGATTTATGGCACAGATAAATTAGTGGGCAATCATTTGCTCTATAAAATGATTCTTCATTTTACAAGTTTATTCACTGCCACATTCCTTTACTGATCTATTGCCACTAGTGCAGTTCCAATAAAATCTCATTGTTAGAAATCCAGTACACAAATGCTTTTTCACTGCTAACCTGGATGGAAAGATGAAGAATACAATGCACTTATAATCCCCTTAGATCTTATGATGTGGCTTTGGTCAAAGTCTTCTGTTCTCAGTTTAGGAGCTTAATGTTCCTTGGTACTTACAATTGACAGGGAGAGACAGGACAAAAGATTCTTTAAAATAACAATGAAACAATATGTGATTTCATTAACTAACTTGCTCTAATTATCTGCATGAGATTTTTAATAAAAGGATCAGTCATACAGAAATAAGCTAACTGGCCTTTTGATGATGAGTAATAATGATACTGACAATAGCTACCATATTGAGCATTACCATGTGCCCCATAGCATTCTAACTCATTAACTCATTGAAGCTAAAACCTAAAAGGTAAGTATAATTATTTTCATTTCTGTATTACAGATGAAGAAATTAAGGCACAGAGAAGTAAAATATCCTACCTCATGTCACAAGCTGCTATATTTGGAGTCAATATTCAAACTCAGTGGCACTGACTTTATAATTTTGCTACTAAATAGTTACAGTGCTGTATTGACAAGTAAAGCAACTGTCAGGTGCTGAAATGTAGGAGCAAGAGCAATACATAACATGTGTTCTACCTTCAAGAAACTAATAAGAATTTCTGCCTCAGGCCATTAGAGAAAAACTGGTTTGGGACTTGTCCTTTGCCATAAAATGAAAGAAAAAAGGAAAACTGGACAAAATATATCAAACAACTAATTTCATACCTTGGACAACAGGAAGGTTGTTGTTGGACAACAGGAAGCCAAAGTGGAAAGAACTTGTTGGGTATATAGTAAATTGAACAGAGACCCTAGAAGGGCCTTGGTGTAATAGTAAGGCTAAACTAGCCCTAGAATCAAGATTATTTTAGACTCACTCTGGTAAAACTTAAAAACAAGACTTGAAAGGATCAAGTACATCTAGAGCTGCCAAAACAATAGCCAACACTTTTTAAAGGAAAAAAAGACAATCTAGACAGACACTCAACATGTAAAATTTATTATATCTATCATTCAATCAAAAATTACTAGACATGTAAAGAAGCAAGAAAATATGACCCACAACTAGAACACCCACTGAAGAGAAGCAGACCTAGAAATGATAGTGATGATGAAATTTGTAGACAGGCACTATAAGCAACTATTATACATATATTCAAGGATTTAAGAGAAATCAGAAACATAATGAAAAGAGAAATGGAAACTATAGAAAAGGAATCAAATGTAATTCTATAACTGAAAAATACAATATATGAAATAAAAAAATTCACCTTATGGGCTCAACAGTAGATTAGATACTGCCAAATAAAAGATACATGAACTCGAAAAGATAGTGATAGAAGCAATTCAAACTGAAGATAAAATGAGGCTGAAGATAAAAAGGCTCTTGTAAAAATAAGAACAGAGTCTCATTTTTAAATAAAAATAAACAGAGTCTCCATGACCTGTGGGACAACATCAAGCAGACTAACATATATGTAAATGGAGTCCCAGAAAATGTCAGGGTAATGGCAAAAAAACCTGAGGAATTAATGACTACAATTTTTCCAAATGTAATAACAACTATAAACTGACATATCCAAGAAACTCAATAAAACCCAAGCATGATAAGCGACAAGAAAATCATTACAATCAACTAGTCAGAAAGCAGCAATACAAAAAAAACTTAAAAGCCTCCAGAGAGTTGAAACACATTATATAAAAAAGAAAAAGATGAGAATAATCACTGATGTTTTTTGAGAAAATGCAATGTCTTGTAGAAGACAATGGGTGACATCTTTAAAGTGCGTGAACAAAAATCTGCCCACCTAGAATTCTATAATCAGCAAAAATATTCCTCAAAAATAAGAATGAAATTAAGAATTTTTTAGACAAACAAAATTTGATGAGCAATTTTTTCACCACTCTAAGAAATGTCGAAGGGAATTTATCAAGTCAAAATAAAATAATGGGAACTCAGATTTGCACAAAAGAGAAAAGTTTCTAAATTAATAAATATGTAAGCTGGGTGTGGTGGCTTATGCCTGTAATCCCAGCACTTTGGGAGGCCAAGGCACGCGGATCATTGAGGTCCGGAGTTTGAGAACAGGCTGACCAACAAGCTGAAATCGCATCTCTACTAAAGATACATAAATTAGCCGGACATGGTGGCGTGCACCTGTAATCCCAGCTTCTCAGCAGCCTGAGGCAGGAGAATCGCTTGAACCCAGGAGGCAGAGGTTTCAGTGAGCCAATATCACACCACTGTACTCCAGCCTGGGCAACAGAGTGAAACTCTGTCTCAATAAAATAAAATAAAATAAAATAAAATAAAATAAAATAAAATAAATAAAATAAAATAAAATAAAATAAAATAAAATAAAATAAAATAAAATAAAATTAAAATAAAATAAAATAAAATATAAAATAAAATAAAATAAAATAAATAAAATAAAATAAAATAAATAAAATAAAATAAAATAAAAAAAATAAAATAAAATAAATAAAATAAAATAAAATAAATAAAATAAAATAAAATAAAATAAATAAAATAAAATAAAATAAAATAAATAAAATAAAATAAAATAAAATAAAATATAAAATAAAATAAAATAAAATAAAATAAAAAATAAAATAAAATAAAATAAAATAAAATAAATAAAATAAAATAAAAATAAAATAAAATAAAATAGTGAGTAAATATAAAAGGCATTTTGGTTTTTAAAATAGCTTGAAAAGTAAATGGACTGTTCAAATAAAAAATAATAAAGATATAATAATGATATAATAGGAAAAAATATATGATAATAGCATAAAAGAAAAGAGAATAAGTGGAAGTATACTATTGTAGAATTCTTAAATATATGAAGTACATATCTAATGAAGACTGTGATAGTTAAAATGCATATTGTAAATGCTAGAGCAACCATTTTTAAAAAATGGTATAGCCAATAAGCCATAGAAAAGATGAGATGGAATTTGAAAAGAAAAACCTCATATGAAATGAAAGGAAGAAAGGAACAGTGAAAGAATAAAGAATAAGGTACAAAAAAATCAAGATGATATAATACAAACTCAATATATCAGTAATTACATTAGGCATAAATAGACTAACCATGCCCCATTAAAAGACAGAAATCGTCAAACTGAATAAAAAAAGCAAGATTCAGTTATATGCTATTTACAAAAAAAATATTTTAAATATAAAAATAGCTAGGTTAGATATAAATGGATAGAAAAAGATATACAGCAAATTCTGTATACGTGAAGGCTGTCATAATTGTACTATCTGAAAAAGTTGGCTTCAAAATAGAGAACATTATTAGAGAGGAGGAGGGACATTTTATAATGGTAAAATAATCTATTCATCAATAAGACACAGTGATCTTAAAAGTAAATTCACTCGCCGAGGTGGGCAGATCACAACAAGGTCAGGAGTTTGAGACCAGCCTGGCCAACATGGTGAAACCCCATCTCTACTAAAGAAAAACAAAAATTAGATGGACTTGGTGGTGGACACCTGTAATCCCAGCTGCTCTGGAGGCTGAGGCAGGAGAATCGTTTGAGCTGGGGAGGTGGAGGTTGCAGTGAGCCGAGATTGCACCATTGCACTCCAGCCTGGGCGACAGAGCAAGACTCCGTCTCAAAAAAAAAAAAAAAAAAAAAAAAAAGTAAATTCATTCAATTACAAGCTTTGAAAACTACATGAAGAAAAAACTGACAGAATTGAAAGAATACACACATCTATAGTTGTGGCTGGAAATTTCAACACTTCTCAGCAGTTGTTAGAACAAGTAGCTGGAAAGTCTGGATATGGAAGATTCAAACAATACTATCAATCAACTTGATCAAATTGATATTACAGAACACTGCATTCAACAACAGCAGGGTGTACATTCTTTTTAAGTGCACATGGGGTATTCACCATGATAGACTATATGCTGGGTTATAAAAGCTTCTCAACAAATTTAAAAGGATTAAAATTATATGAGGTCTGTTTGTTGACCACCATGGAATTGGGTAAGAAGTCAAAAGCATTAAGATATCAAGAAAATTCCCAAATACTTGGAAATTAAATATCACACTTCTAAATAAGCCATAGATCAAAGAAGAAATCACCAGGAAATTAGAATTTATTTGAACCTTATTGATAATAAAAACACAATATATCCCAGTGTATGGGATGAAGCTAAAGCAGTGCTTAGATGGAAATGTGTAGGTTAAATGCTTATGTTAGAAAAGAAGAAAGTTCTAAAATCAGTGATCTAGCTTCCACATTAAGAAGCTAACAACAACAACAAAAATACTAACCTTAAGTACGTAGAAAAAAGTAGAAATCAATGAAATAGAAAATAATAAATAATAGAGAAAATCAATGAATTTTAAAACGGACTTTTTGAAACAAAGCTATAAAACTGATAAACTATCAAGCTGGTCAAGAAAAAAGAGAAGATGCAAACTGGCAATCTCAGGTGTGAAACAGGACACATGACTACACATACGTCATTAAAAGGGCACTAAAGGACTCTAATGAACAAACATATACAAAAAATTCAACAACGCAGATGACATGCATAAATTCCTTAAAAGACAAATTGCTAATACTGATTCAAGAAGAAATAAAAAACCTAAATACTCCTATAAATTAAATGAATTGAATTCATAAGTAAAAGCCTTTACTCAAAGAAAACCCCAGGCCCAGGTAGTTCCCTAATTAATTCTGTGAACCATTTAAAGGATAAATAATAACATGACTATGCAAACTTTAAGAAAACAGAGAAAGAGGTAAATACTTCCCAACTCATTTTATAAGGCGTGTATGACACTGATATCAAAACCAAAGATATGGTAAGAAAACTATAGACCAATATCCTTCATAAATATAGACACAAAAATTCTTAACAAAATATAAGCAAATTAAATTCAGCCATATGTAAACTGGATAATATACTATGTTCAAGTGGCATTTATCTTAGAAATTTAAGGTTGGTTTAATATTTTTAAATCGATCAATATAATTTACCACATTAACATAATAAAGGAAAGAGTATGATCATTTCAGGAGGTGCATAAAAAGCATTGCACAAAATTCAACACCCATTCATAATAATGACTTTTGGAAAATTAGGAATAGTGACAGCTTCCTCGACCTGTTAAAAGGCAGTGATGTCAAATCTTCAGTTTAATTATGAAAGAGTGAATGCTTTCCTACTACGATGGGGAATAAGACAAAGATTCCCGTTCTCACCACTTCTATTTAAACATCATATTGCAAGTACCAACTAGTATAATTAGACAAGATAAAGAAATCAAAGATTACAGATTGCAAAGGAAGTAGTAAAATTATTATTATGAATAAACAACAGAATTGTGTACTGTCAACCTAAATAACTAAAAGAGAGGGGCTCTGTGAAAGAAAGATGTTTATCTGGGAATAGAGCTTTGCAATGGAAATACCTAGGCTGTAGTTAACTATGTGTGTATTCAGGGAGGTAAAGGAAGACAAAGCTTTTTCAAGGAAAAAATGAGGAAGATTACATAATTGTTTTAAAATAATTATCCTTGACTACAAAGATCAATAAGAAGGGTGCGATGGGTACGCTAAAAGCCCAGACCTCACAACTGCACAATATATACACGTCTTCTGCACTTGTACCCACTAACCCTATAATTTAAAAAAATAATAATAAAAAATAGCAAGAGTGACACCTTCTGAGGTTGGACAGGTAGCTGCTGGGCAGATGTACTTACAGAAGTAAGTTTTATGCAAAGTCTTGATGGTCTCTGTGCAAAGTTGTGGTTTTAGCGGTCTTTTTTGTTATCAGGCATGCAAGCATGAGAACCCTCTCTTCGTGACCTTCCCTAGCTGTATTTGTTTGGGTTTTCATAACATTTATGCCTTCATTTTTATTCTGATAACTTTCACAGTACATAGAAAATCCTAAGAAAACTACAAACATATGCTGCTAGAAGCAAGAAGTAAACTTAGCAAGGTCACAATATACAAAATTAAAGTTTATGTCTGTATACTAAAAACTAGCAAATAATATTTTAAAAAATAACATCAAAGAACATGAAATACTCAAGAATAATTTTAATAAAATACATGTAAAATTTAGGAGATTTTTAAGCAGACTTAAATAAATGAAAGAAAAATTTTGAAAAGGAGAAAAAAAATTTGAGGACTTACTCTGATTTCAAAAACTTTCATCTACAATAATCAAAGTCATGTGGTATTGGCATATTGGCATAAGAATAGACAGATCAGTGGAATAGAATAGGTCTATGCGTATATGGTCACTTAATTTTTTACAAAAGTACAAGGTTATTCAACGGGAAAAGGATAGTCTTTACAACAAATAGTGTTAAAACAGATATCCTTAAGGGGAAAAAAATGAACCTTAGCCCTTATCTCATACCCTGCACAAAAATTAACTCAAAATGGATCATAAACCTAAATGTAAAATCTTAAACTATGATAATTATAGAAGAAAATATAGGAGAAAAATCTTTTGACCTCAGGTTAGGTAAAGATTTCTTAGATTACTAAAGGAACTAACCATTTAAAGAAATTGATAAGTTGGACATCATCGTAAGTAAAATTTCCACTCTTTGGAAGATATCATTAAGAAAATGAAAGGCAAGCCACAGAGGAGAAAATACAATACATACGTCTGACAAAGGACTTGTAACTCTCACAACTCAATTAAAAGGAGACTAACAAGAAAAAATGAGCAAAATATTTTAACAAACATTTCACAAACAAGATACACCAATCCCCAGTAAGTACATGAAAAGGTGCTTGAGATCATTAGTCATCATTGAAATACAAATTAAGGCTAGGTGTGGTGGCTCCCAACACTTTGGGAGGCCAAGGCCAGCAGATCACTTGAGGTCAGGAGTTTGAGACCAGCCTGGCCAACATGGTGAAACCCCCATCTCTACAAAAAATACAAAAATTAGCCAGGCGTGGTGGCACGCACCTGTAGTCCCAGCTACTCAGGAGGCTGAGGCACGGGAATTACTTGAACCTGGGAAGTGAAGGCTGCAGTAAGCCGAGATTTCGCCACTGCACTCCAGCGTGGGTGACAGAGCAAGACTCCATCCCAAAAAAAATGAAAAAAAGAAAAAGAAATACAAATTAAAACCAAGACAAGACATTGCTAACATTCACTAAAATGTCCAAAACAAACAAACTATGCAATAATGTGGATGAATTCCCAAATCATTATGCTGAGCAAAAGAAGCCAGACACAAGAGATCACACTGTATGATTCCTTTCAGGCAAAAGTATAGGAAAGGCAAGCCTAATCAATAGTGACAGGAATCAAACCAATGGTTGCCCGAGACGGGGGTGGGAAGGAATGGACTGAAAAGGACCATGAGTGAATTTTTAGGAGTGATGGAAATGTTCTGTGTCTTATTGCTGTAGTAGTCACACAGGTGTGTTCATTCGCCAAAACTTGTCAAATATACACTTAGAATGAGTATTTTCTATTCTATTCAAATTTTGCATAAAAAGAAGCAGCTATTTTGTTGTTCATGATAGAAGCAATATTAGCACTTACTGTTCTCTAGCTCTTTCCCAAGGTTTTGCAGCACTATGAATTCCTTTAGTCACTCAGAGAATTAGGAAATTAGCATGGGTTGTTTTGATCTGATTGGGCATCACAATAGGAACTGACCTTTCTGTCTTCTGAGCTCTAACTTTGGATCTCATGTTTTGCTCCTGGTGTGTAAGTCCTAGCTCTCCTATTTGGGCCTCCTTAAGGGTGGGTGCTTGGTGCAACTGTCATAGTCCTTTGCTTAAAACTTTCTCCTTGGCCAGGCACAGTGGCTCAAGCCTGTAATCCCAGCACTTTGGGAGGCCAAGGCAGGTGGATCACCTGAGGTTAGGAGTTCAAGACCAGCCTGGCCAACTCGGTGAAACCTCGTTTCTACTAAAAATACAAAAATTAGCCAGGTGTGGTAGCAGGCACCTGTAATCCCAGCTACTCAGGAGGCTGAGGCAGGAGAATCGCTTGAACCTGGGAGGTGGAGGTTGCAGTGAGCCGAGATGGTGCCGTTGCACTCCAGCCTGGGCAACAGAGCGAAACTCTGTCTCAAAAAAACAAACAAACAAACAGAAAAAACTTTCTCCTCAGCTTATTTTACGAACATAGTTGTAAGTTGAATGAATGCACGCCTGGAGAGCAATTGGGATGCACTACTGTGGAAAGTAGAGGTATTCAGAAAAGGCTCAACAGCCATATATTAGGGATATTATGAAGTGATTTAAACATTAGATGATGGTTGGACTAGAGAAGTTCTTTCCCAGTCCTGATTATGTGAAAAGAAAGCTTCCAAGGGCAGGAGACATTTCTCCACAGGGGGAAGTGAGTCTAAATATTAGGAGGGTCAGTAGCCATTCTGACAACCTACCCACCATAGACAGAGTGGGATTCACCCCTAAACCAGCAGAGTGGTTAGATGTCTGTCACCAGGCATGTGGGTCTGAATCAGAAGAAAGAGAAGGATATCATTTTGGAAATTTACAAGTGAGACATGAAATCTAATAGAAGGGATTTCAAAAAGCACAGATTCATATGAGAAGTTCCCTGGAAAGAAAAGATGGGTGCTGATGTGGGCAGGGGCCATCTGAGGATGGCAGCTTCACAGAATTGCCCTCTCACTCCACTCTGGGGCCAGGACTCCCCACTCCTGTAGTCTTCTCCCTAAGATGAGTAAATATGAATTCAGCACCAAGTAAAACGGCCTACACATCCTCTCACCAGACTCTTTTGCTTATAATCATCATTATTACCTTAAAGCCAAAGTTTACTCATCTGTAAAATGAGGATAATAATAATTATAGAATCATTGTGAGGCTTTGATAAGATAATGCCTGTAAGTGTTTAGTACAGGCTCATAGAAAGTACTTAGTAAATCCTGGCTATGATTGTGGTTATGATTTTGTTACTTGTTTCATCATTAAACCATGTATCATTTACTCCGGAAACAAAAAGTAGGAATGCTATTTCCCAATCTCTGTACCACGCTCACAGCGAAACAGCCTGTGCCATCCACTAACATACCCATAAACAATCTCCACTGCATTACAATCAGGAACTTAGGGAAAATGAGGCTTTTTTCTTGTTAAGCTTTATCTGCAGAATCTCAAGTAGTTTTTAGCTGTGCTCTTTTATATTCCAGTCAACCTCATTTCCACAGATGTACTCCCCTAGATTGAAAGTTCCGTGAGAGCAGGCATCTGGTAAATTATGCCCACCACTCTTTCCCCAGGGCCTAGCAAGGTACTTGGCACTTAGTGGGAGCTCAGTAGATATAAGATGAATGAATATGGTGCCCTTTCCAAAATCCTTCTACGCAAGTCCTGCTGCACTAGTCGCTGCCCTGCTATGGATGCAAAAATGAGTGAAAGGTTGATACATTGTAAACGTAACTGTGATCATTCTGAGTAGTCATTTAACCTCTTTACAGCAGCTGGATGATTATTTCTCAGCTATACGAAATTATTAAATAAGAAATAATTCATGCTTCATGTTCCATGTCCTCCATCATGAGGCCTTTTTACCAGTTTAATTAGTTAGTAAAGGACAGCACGCTTTCCTCTCCACCTTTTATCAAGAATTCTAAAGGCTTTAGAGAAAAAATGACTCAGGAGGTGAAACAGCAGGACTCCTGGTGTTATTTATAAACTCGTCCCTGGCATCTGCAGCAGCAAATCTCAAGCATCGTTTACCTTGCCCCGTAATTCTGGAGTTTGAGTATAAATGATGAAACAGCTAATGGCATGTTACCCGACAAAGTAGCATTAGCTTCCTCTATCATCGTCAGCTGTTTTTTTTTTTTTTTTTTTTTTCCACAAAAATGTGTAAATTGCAGTTTATCTCACCAGAGAAGCATTTGATCAAATGTACTTTAATTATATTTTGTGTGGCTACTGAGAATAATCACTGTTTCTTCATCATAAGGATTGTCCTAAAAAATTATATTAACGTGGGTCAACCATAAACAGCAGTGGGAATTTAGCTACCTTTAAATGCTAAATTTACCTCTCAGCTTGTAGATTTCCTACAAATGAATTTCTTTGGGTCAAGATTTTTTCATGAGCATTGGCAATTAGTGGATATTCCTTGAACCAACCTTTTACTTTAAGTGAAATGTATTTGCATTAAGAGCATATTCATTTCCCAGGCTGCTTCTTAACACATTTGTTTCCCTTTGTTTTGGAATTCACAAAGCTTTTCATGGTTTGCCTATTCATTCCCTCACTGCATAATGATTTATAGTAGGTTATATTTTAGAAGGTTTTGTGTCAAAAAAAAAAATTTGCATCTCTTCATCAGGTAGTCAGTTAAAGAGGCTGCGTTGAGCTGCCAAATGGGACGCTGCCAGGTGACCAAGAAAGAAAAGCCTACTTGCATAAATAAAACGAAAGCATATTAGAACATTTAGCTAACATTCACCCAATTTTTCATAGTTGGCAACTTCTAACTTTGTTTCATCTTCAAGGATTATGGTTTGAAGCAAGGGTAATTCGCCTTGTGTCTTCCTTTTAGTTCTTCCCTCAGAACCTGGTTTGGGAAAAACCTCACTAATATTTTGTAGCATCAGCCAAGTAGTTGTCATCTTTTTTGTAACCAACTGCCTTATACAAAAGCATAGACACACTTATTTTGGATAAATCCATACTGTCTGACACATAAGCAAATATGGAAAATATAAAGGAATCCAAAGGCTCTCACACAGATCAATTTTCTTCATTGGCCAGAGCTGCCTCTAAAGAAATTCACATGACACCGTCTTCATTTTTCTGAACATGATACATATTATTCATTAGCATTTAAGCTTATATCTAATGCACATTTTTAGATAGGATTTTTTAGTAGTAAGACTTTTTTATATGTCTACCTATTATTATCCATGGTAGAGTTTCTTGTGACCTTGACCCTGTGATATCTGGAAATGAAAAAAGCCCATTTTGTTTCAGACTCTTGGTCCCTCTAGCTATAATTCTACTTCTGACAGTGGCCCCCAGAGGCATTTTGTGGAGGGCTGCTGCCACTTTGACATCACCCCTAAAATTGTTGGGCACACCCTCTCTAAAATAATTTTATTTCTCATTATAGCTTAATCACTATGAATTTCTACTAGAGTCATTTAAAAGAACAATTTTAGCCTGCCCTACTTGTTGGGAAGAATAGGGGAAATTAACAGCATCTTGTAACTGGAAGGACCCTTATAGGTTCCTAAGACTGATTCCAATTCCAAACAATAATACCAGTCCGTAAGTGGATCTGCTTATAGAGAAACACCTGTTGCTTCTGTTTTTTGTCTCATATCCAGTTAGTTTCCCATTCACAGCAAAACATTCCCTTCAATGCCAAGGAAACTCAACCTTTTTGATTATTAGTATAGTTTCATCAAAGTTTCTTTGAAAGGTAAAATATCCCCTTTTTCTTGCCTATAATTTTTAAACCTTTTTAAAGGTTGTAAAGAATTAGTTAGTCAAGGCTTCTTCTCATAAAGCCAGGGTTTCTTTTTTCCTAGACTCTATGTGCTTAAGTGCTCTATGATAAAATGTGGATGTTATAAACTCATCAGCTTGGCCATGTGGAAGTGAAAACCACTGGTCAGAGGTGTGTGGATTCTCCCTTGTGACCTATCTCATATTACTGTGAACCAGCTGGCCCCCAATACCATAAGCATTAACAATGGCTGACAAAATTGGGACTCCAGCTCCATTGTGTCACCTGGGCATCTGTGCAGCACTCCTGCCAAACAGTCCTGCTAAACTATTCCGATTTCAGATGGGAATTTGGTCAGAAACAGCATTTTCTTGTAATACTTCCCACTTTTCTAATTCCCTTGTTTCTGGTTGCCAAAAGAATGGGAGGTAGACAGGAAGAGGTGGGGAAAAATGTTTAAGTTCAAATGTCATCTCTGCTAAAACCTGACTTCCACTGCACTGTGGCTTTGTAACCTCCTTGTGTTTGTAGCCAGCTATCAAAAATCTGTCCATTTGAACATGATTATACTAAAGCATGATTATTTTAAAGCTTTCATTATAAACTCTACACTGGAAATAATCTTTAGGGTGTTTTCAGGTTTGAAAACCCATATGCACTGAATGTTCTCATGGTGTGCTCTGTCAGAAACAATTTTTAATGATGTTTCCTCAGTGAGCATCATTCCCTAGATGTGGACAGAGCTGCAGAAAGGCATTTACAAGGAGTCATGCTGGCTCAGATGGGTGAAGAGGGAACTTTATTGACGTCAGACCATGAAAAGAGAGTGGGCAATAAATTCTGTATAGACAAAGGTGAACACAATAAACTGAGACTGACATATAAACACGAGTACAATTCAAAATACAGTGGTAAGGAGGTGTGGATGTTTCTTTATAGCTGTATATGTTTTTGACACACCCGCACACACAGAAAATTATAAAGTCAAAGATAATGAACCTAGAGTCATGTGGAAGGTGTGAGGTGGGTCAAGGGAGAAATAGAGGTTATTAAGGAGTATAGGTAGGTATTGAAGAAGAGCCTCATTTTATACACATACAGACACATGCACACATATATACCTATATATACTCTCTCTCCATATATACATATATTTATATTTATGCACATGTAAATACATATATGTAATTTATATTTATTTTCCCCCAATACTCCTCATACCTAGAGACCATGAACTACATACAGAGGGAAGGCACACTTTCTACCTGAAGGCCAGCCCTTATATTGGTGATCAGTTTGTTCAGTGCTCTTAATCATTAGAGTAATTGTGTATAAAATCATGAATGGGGACTTTGTGAGTCACTTAACATTTGCAAGAAGCATATGAACGTGATTGTTCTTTTAGAGTTTGTTAGGTGGGTGGTGGTAAAGTAATACAATTTTCTAAATGGTAAAATCATGAATCTCATGCATGTCAAAAAATTTATTCAATTCATTAATTAATGAGAATATCAGTAAGATGTTACACCATTTTAAAGAGCATTTGAGAAACCAAGTCTGTGCAACTTAATAAATATATATTAGGATAAAATTGCTGGGTTAGATAAAAACTGGTTAATGTCTTAGAAGCCAATAAACTGTAACATTTGAGATATCTGTTCTATGGGACAAAATTCATTTTCATCTCTTTTAGACATCTTTAAGTTGACATGTAACTTCACTAAATCTGGGACCTTTAATCAACAGTAAGCAGTGAGTCAAAATAAGTACATTCTAATAAATAATCTTTGGGTGGACTTGGCCCCTGAATGACATTGAAAGAATGTACTGCCTACCTTTTTGCTTTATTTTTAAGTCATGAATAATTTTTATAAGAGTGGTGAAAGGTATAAGAACATACTGAGTTCTACATAATAGTGTTTGGATCTCAACTTGTATACTGCTATATGTTCACATGGTTTTGGTAAGGAGAACTGACTTGTCATTCTCCAAGGCAGAAGCTGAGAGTAGAACTCCCAGAAAGTGGGATTTACTTACCATAAGTTGCTGTAGAAAAGGAGGATGGAGTCAATCTTTATTTCTGCTTTTGTCCCACTACATGTTAAGAATTTTTTCATTTACCCATTCAGTGATTCAACAAATATCTGTTAAGCATCCACTAAGTGCCAGGCATTGAGGATTGGGGTGAAAAAGCCCCTGCTCTTAAGGAGCTTACATTCTAGCAGAAAAGACAGACAACAATAATAAAACCATGATAATATTGTTTCAACTGGTAGATAGTGCTATGAAAAAGAAAAAGAAGCAGCAGCATGAAGGTAAGGGAGATAATGAGTGACCACATGGAGGGGTGGACTTTAGACTGAACGATCAGGGAGTCCCAGGAGGACTGGCAGGCCTGCAGAGTGTGGCCCGGCCACAGCGATGGGCTTGGTGTCAGGTAGGGCTGCCATTCATCTTCTGCCCACTGTATGAATGTAATTCAAGTCTTTACTCTATTTCATGGTCCAGGATACCTCCGACCCAAGTTTCCATCTCTTTGTCATAAAGTAGAATAGGGGTGGGAGATCAGAGCTGCAAATGAAGCAAGTCATGCAAATGGTTTCCCACTGGAGAAAAGGCACATTTTTTCCCGAGATAGGGCAGTGAAGAAGGTACAGAGCATGGATTTCAGATCAGAGACACCTGGGTTTGAATTCTATTTCTACCACTTACTACTGTATGACATCAGACAAGTTACTAAAATCTATTTTCCATCTGTTAAAGACACATGAAGATCTCTCCCTCATAGGGCCAATTCAATGAAATCATCTCCAGAAAGCCCTCAGTACACAGAAAGCACTCAACAAGCAGTGACTATTATTCTTGTAATTCCCCTATTTGGGGAGTCTGTAGCATCATCTTCATGTAGTACTGATTAACTAGTCTTAGTTATTGCTGCCACACAGTTTTACCACCTTACAGAGATGACTCATTATCACACAGTTCAGATACTGTGGGACCTGCAAGTCCACCAGAGGTGTTGGTGTTGACCTAAACTATTTGGTCAAAATTATGCCCATAGCCAAGCCAAGGTTTCCAAAGAGATAGAAGGTACATGGGCTTAGTGGCGCACCTAAAACTTTTTAGCCCAAGTTTGGAGATTCTTGGGTAGCTTGAGAGTTAGAAACTAAAAGTAGAATACTTTTAATGGATTTGTGATTGAGGATTTTTTTTGTTTTTACTTTCTGGTCCTGTCCTGTCCTTTGTTTTCCTTTCATTTTTTCCCCCTCTTATGAGTTGAGTTGCTTTCTCTTCTAGGGAGCTATGTGTTAGGAAGCTGCTAATGAACTGCTTTTGAGTCTAATTTTCAATAAGATTTAATACAGTAGGGATTAAACTGCCCCCTTGAAAAGAGAGATTAAGTGTCTGCAAATCCCATGAATTGATTTTCTAATTGTTTTGGTAATAATGTGTATGTGTTTTTCATTTGCTAATGTTGCTGAAAATAATAATAATTTTAATTAAATTTTAAATGTATTTTTAGTATTTTAAGGATTCTAGAGGGACTAAGTTTTCTTGCAAGGAATATGTTAAGACCATAACATTCTTCCCTCACCCCATAATTATTATGATCAGGGAATATCTATAATATATTCCATGGCAATTAAATTGCATACCCCAGACTGTTCAAGATGTGTTTATAAAAGGAGAAATGGATTTCCCACAGCTGCTCGCCTGTGAATGCATCCTTCACACAGAACCACAGTAGCCAGTATATGCACTAAAATAACAGACTTGAATTTAAACTTTCAGTGCTTTCAAACGTCTTTCAAAAACTTCTCATAACACAAATTGCTTAATTTGTGTACATGAAAACTCACTGATTACATATGAATGAGAGTCAACCTATAATAATGGTGACTTTGAGAATCTTTGTGTATGTGCCCACCCATCTCTTCAGGAATTAGCAGGTATTCAGTCTTGTTCCAACATTCTGCACAAGCCACAGTCATTAGTGAGAGCACCCTGTGAAGGCTGAAATCTGCTGTGAACAGTATGGGGCAGCTCAGGTATTTTTTATAATATTCATCAGATGGTCTTCACCCAGTCACGTAGCTGGAAAATGTTTTCTGTGAGATGAGTGTTTACAAAAAAAAAAGATTCATAGAGAAGGAGCAAGGGAAGGAGGAAGAGGGAAAATAATCCAAACCAGGGTCAAGGCAGTCATATAGACTAGAATCACAGACCAGGTGTTCCGTCTTTAAAAAGCGATCGTCACAACTTTGATTTATTAAATTGGAATTTAAATCTTCCAAGCTGTAATGAATTGATCATGATACTGTTGATATAGATTGGCTCATCTTTGTGGCTGTATAACAACTATAATAAAGAATTAATTGAGTACCTATTAATCCTCACAAGCATCTTGGAAGTTGGATATCATTAGCCCTGTTTGCTGATTGAGGAAACTAAAGTTGAATGGCTTTACATCATTCTTTCAAAGTCACCCAGGTTTTAAGCAGAAGAATTTGAATTTGAACCCAGCCCTACCTGCCTCTAAACCCCATATTCTCTCAGCTGTATCTCCCTCCTAGGTGCAATGGCTCCTTGGCTGACATGCTGAAGGATATGTCTTCACATTCTTAAACTCCAAACCTCCCTTGGAAATAATTTCCTAACAGTGAAACTGCCCTAATAATGCTGTAGTTTGTTTCCAGGGGAGAATATTTGCCTTCAGAGCAGGCTCCTTCTGCCAGCTTTCCATTTCATAAATGCATTTTATGACTCCCTCTTCAGAGCTCATATACCTGTCAGAAGATCCTATGCAATTTATCCCTGGGGATAGTTAACATTCCCCCTGACCCACCCACCCTGCAATGTCAGGTGCTCTCAGAAATGGAAGTGCAGGATCTCCCTCAGTGCCCATCTTTTAGATCAGTAGCTGTCACTGATAAAATGTCTCCTTGGAACTACAGAGACAAAGTTGCAAGCCAGCCAGCGGGCCCACCCTGGTATCTCCTGCAGTTATCAGCATTCTCACTAGTGATTGATAGAACACGTTTTGGAGTTGTTTTAGTTTTGTAGAATGTTCATGGGAACTTAGATGATATCTGAGGAAATGCCTTCTTCAAGTCACTAGTTCTAAAGGAAGGCAGCCAAATTCCTTCAGTCTGAGAATTTTGGAGCTCTGAAGAGGGCATGGACAAATATTTCTTGCCTCTCTTTTTTAAATATGGAATTTGGAGGCTTTGTCTGTCGACCACCATGCCGTGTCTTTAAGAAGCTCTGACTGGGAAGGAAACAGCCCCAAGTGTTCCAAGCTCTGTCTGCTGGAATTAAATGTCCCTTCCTGTTTCCTGACATCCACAATTCTAATTCATCCTCCATTCACCCTCAGTGACTTCTGTTCTTTGAAGGTTTTGACTCTGTCCTTGTACATGAATTTGACATTCACCTGATACTCTGTGGGGTCCAGAGAGCATGTACTCCCCACCAGCTTCAACTAACTCTAAAATGTCACAGTTTCTGTTAAAGTGCTTTCTAGCTACTACCAGAGTAAACATACAGATTTGTCTCCCCTGGGTGTGCTGTGAGTTCATGGCATAAAGTATTTTCTGGTTTTAAAATGGACTTCTGGCCTGTAATCCCAGCACTTTGGGAGGCCGAGGCGGGCGGATCATGAGGTCAGGAAATCGAGACCATCGTGGTTAACACGGTGAAACTCCTTCTCTACTAAAAATACAAAAAATTAGCTGGGCGTGGTGGCAGGCGCCTGTAGTCCCGGGAGGCGGAGCTTGCAGTGAGCCAAGTTCACGCCACTGCACTCCAGCCTGGGCGAAGAGCAAGACTCCGTCTCAAAAAAAAAAAAGGACTTCTGGCTTTTCTACTGGGAAATGTGGTTATCTGTGCCTTCTGGAGGTCAAGATGTCATCATCTGGCCCTGGTCCCTCTCACTTCTCCTCAGACTGGACCTCTTCTCCAGCTGTTTACTCACCTTCGTAGTTGTTCACACAATTTCTCCTTCATGTTTTTTGGAGCATCTCCCTAAGGTGCATCTCTAGTCACCCCACCTTCTCATTCATCCTCCCAACCACCATGGCTCCACATTTATGAACTACATTCAGTCTATTTTCAGCCTGACATTTAGGACCTTCCACAGGTAGTTGCCAACTTTATCTGCCAATAATTAGCCCAAGTTACCCCCCAGTGTCAACCAAACTGGAACGCTCACATGTTCTGTTCATCTGGAATACCTGTGCCTATATCTGTCTGTTGACATCCTAAGTACTCCACCCCAGAGCAAGGGGTTTATGGGAGTAGATAGGGGAAAACTCTGGTACAAAGTTGTAAGAACGTGGGTTGGGCTTGGAGAAAATCTAGATGGCATCCTGGGGCAATGGAGGGCTCAAGAACAATGGCAATGTCCAGTCCACAAGACAGGAGGTAGGGGATTTGAAGAGGGAAATCCTAGCAATGTGGTTACCAGAAACACATAGAAACATACCTCCCCTTCCCTAAAATAGTTATTGGATATAATAATAATTGCCTTTTAATAATACATGACTTAGCAAGAGGCAAAATAAGGGAATTCCTCAGAGGTGAGAAATAATAGAAATAATGAAAATCTATAGAAGTAAGAAAACCCTGGGGCCTGGCATTTGTCTGCTAATCCCTGTTTGCCTAGAGCATGGGTTTTAATGAGCAGTGGGTGCATCTAGGACAAGTACAAAACTTGGGGCCACTAGTGTACTTTATAAGATATTGATTAACTTTAGACTTATTAAGATGAATATGTAACCTATAATTTCCAAGGTCTCCACTGACAGAATTGAAATAAAGCATGTAGCTTCCAAACTATAGAGTTGGAGGGAAAAGGAATGAGAGAAGGGAAAAAAATCAACCCAAAAGAAGGCAAGAAAGAAAGAAAAAAAAGAAACCTAGAAAACATAATAAACAGATAGAAGCAAAAAAATTCAACTCTAAACTATTCATAAGAGAAACTCCTAAAAGTATGAGATAGAGAAAGGCTGCCAGTAAAACGATGGGAAAGGACATACCAGGGTAATACTCTGCAAAAAGAACTAGGTGTGCCTATCTTAATTATTAGGAAAAACTGGACTTCCAGAACAAAAAGCAACATTACAGATGAGTTTTCAATTTACCAGGGATACATAATTTTAAATTTGTATACCCCTAACAGCATAACTTTGAAATATATTTTAAAAAATTACTGGAACTACGGAATATTCAAAATCACAAAGGGACATTTTCACACATCTCACAGAGGGACATTTTCACACATCTCTCTCAAAATTGATGGGTCAAATAGACAATAAATCAGTAAGGAGTTAAAAGGTTTGAAGAACACAATTAAGAAGCTTGATCTAATGGACTTACACAGAGCACTGAAAGCACATTCTCTTCAAATACACATGGAATATTTACAAAAATGCATCACATACTAGGCCATAGAGCAAACATCAACAAAATTCAAAGAATCTATATCATACAGCCAACATTCTCTAACAGTTAAATTAGAAATCAATAATGAAAAAAATAACTCAGAAAACTTCATACTTTTGAAAATTAAAAAAATGCATTCTAACTCATGAGTCAAGGAAAAAGTAAAACTAGAAATTAATAAATATTTAGAACTGAATTGTCATGAAACTACTAATGGGAACTGGTGAGATACAGCTAAAGCAGTATTGAGGGAAGATTATAGCCTTACTGCTTATGCTAGAGACAAAGTACGTCTGCAGAGTAATAAACTGAGTGTTTAACTCCAAAAATTAGAAAAAGAAAAGCAAATAAATCCAAAGAAAGGAGGAGTAAAATAATATAAGCATAATATAAACTTAGGAGCAGAAATCAATGGAAGAACAACTACTAAATAATAGAAAGTATCCAAAAAATGAAAGTCATCATTTTTTCTTTTTCTTCAAATTATTAATAAAACTGACAAACTGCAAGCAAGATTTAAAAAAAAAACAGAGAAGACACTGATAATCAACATCAAGAATGAAAAAGAGGGCATCACTATAGATGCTGCAGACATCAACTAAAATTAAAAACAGGATATTACTGACAACTTCATGCCAATTATTTTGAGCATTTAGACAAAACTCACAAATTCCTAGACAAATGTAATTTCCATAGTTAATTCAAGAATAAGTACAAAACCTGAATAAGCCAATAACCATGAAAGAAATTGAATCATTAGTTAAAATTGTTATCATAAAGAAAACATCAGACTTTGATGGCTTTGTTAAAAGTTCTACAAAATAACCAGGAAATAAATAATTCTAATCTTACACAAACTATCCCAGAATGTATAAAAAAAAGAAGGAAAACCATGTTATGCATCAGATACATCCTTGATACTAAAACTGGAGAGCCACAAACAGAAAATGTAGGTTTTTCAAAATGAAAATTTACAATAGCAACAAAATATATAAGCCATCAAAGAAAGAAAATGAACAAAAGGGATGTAAAACTGTTATAAAACTTTAAAGACATTAAGAAGACAAATAGAAACATATATAAACACACCATTTTCATGGATAAGAACACAATATTCTAATAAAAAGATGTTCGGTTCCCCCCAATTTAAAATAGATATTACCACAATTCTGATCAAAATCCAAAAATACTTTTGGAGTATATTTAAATGATTCTAAAATTTATCTGAAAGAGCAAATGGTTCTGAATAATCAAAACACTCCTGAAGAAGAAGGAAGAGAAAGTGAGGGAATTTGCCCTAACAGATATCAAGGATTCTAAAGTAATAGCAATTAAGATAGTGTGGCATTGTTGCAGAGATAGACAAATAGATCACTGAAACAATTAGAAAGCCCCAAAATAAACATATAAGGAAACTTAATATGGCACAATCCGTACCGCAGATCAGTGGAGAAAGAGGATGTACTACTAATGAATAAATGTTTCTAGGCAATGGAAAACTGAAAATAGAATCCTACCTCACACCCAACACAAAAATCATTTCCTATTCTGGATGGGTAGAGAACTTAAAAATGAAAATAAAATATTTTTAAAATTTAGAATAGAATTTCAGAGAATATCTTTGTAATATTAGGGTAAGGAAGGACTTCTTAAGACATAAACAGTATGGATCTTACAGGAAAATATTCATAAATCCAACTACATTGAAAGTAAAAACACTTATTCATCAAAACACACACTAAACAGGGTAAAGAGATGAGCCACAAACTGGGAAATGATATATACAAACTTACTAACAGAAGTGTCTAAATTATGCCAAGAACTCTTACAAGTCAATAAGAAAAAGACAAATCCATTGAAAAATGGGCAAAATGCATGAACAAGAACTTCACAAAAGAGAAAACACACATAAATGACAAAAAAATCCACATGTAAAAACATACTTAATCTCACAATTAGTTTCTTTTAAAACTGAAAATGAAATGTTAGCATTTCACACTCACCAAATTTACAAAAATTAGTTTGACAATATCAAGTGCTGTAGACTATGTGAAGCAAGAGAATGACTCATATACTAACAGTGTAAGTGTAAATTGAAAAGGAAAACATTTTGGAATTGCACGGTAAAATTGAACACACACATACTCTATAGCCCAGCAAACCACTCCTACATTCAAAGCCTTGATAGTGTTGGTAGCAGCACGTAATAGAAAACTGGAAACCACCTAAATGACCATTGTTGGTAAAATGGATAAATAAATACAAAGAGGTAATATACTGCAATAAAACATGAAAATACTAGAGCTATACACAACAGCATAGATAAATCTTATATATGTTTGAATGGAAAAAGCAAGCTAAAGAAATATATCTGGAGGATATGGTTCAAAAGTAGGCAATATTAAACTGTATATCTGTACACGTATAATTGTTATATATAGTCATATACATATATGTGGTAAAGTATGAAGTGGTAAAACTGTAGAAAAGCAAGGAGTAATTAAGAGGCAAGACAGGCTAGTGGGTACCTCTGGAGGGAGGAAAAGATCTGCAGTGGGCAGGGGTGTCATAAATGGGTTTCCAAGATACTGGTGATATCATTCTTGCATTAAATTATGGACATATATGTACTTATTATTTTCACCCTTTATAATATACATTTATGTTCTGTACAATCTTATGTGTGTATGGTATATTTCACAATAAAACAGTCAACCAACCAATCAATCAAGCTAGCTAGAGGCTAAAGAACTGAAACTAGAATCCATAAGATGGGTCTAGTAGGTTTTCAAGGATAAATAAGAGACAATGAAGTTTCCCTGAGGCTATGATCCATGACTGAAACTAGCAAAAAGCTTCACACTTGAATGAGAAGAAAGCTTTGAAGCAGGGCAGAGACTCCTGCTGGTGCCCTTGGAGGTTGCTGGGGATGTTATAACTCTAGGAAGTAAATGGATGATTTGAGAAGGAAAACTTGAACAAAGGGGTATTGGCTTTCTTTTGTAACCAGGAAGGTACATAATTTGCAAACGTGCAGATACAAAGAAGATACTGTCTTTTTATAAATATGAGGCATTTGTCTCAGTTACTTATACAAATAAAAGTTTATTTTCCCTTATATCACAGGAAATCCAGAAGAAGGCAGTGCAGAGCTTGTTGAGAGAGTTAGCAATATTTTCCAAATGTAGGCTACTTCCACTCTGCCATTTTTAGTTTAGGGGCTTTTTGCCCCATGCAGCTCCAAAGTTCTCATCTGCCTTGAATGCAGCATTAGGGATATTTTCCCAACTCTTTGTCAACGAAGTTAAAGGCTTTTCTAGAACTCATCCACAGCCGGCTACTCACATCATAGTCATCTGAATGGTGACACATGGACATTTCTTGCAGCAAGAGAGCCTGGAAAAGTAATTATTTTGCTATTGCAGACTGTATAATAGGAGCAGGCAAAAGTGAAGGGGGAGAGGTGTGTATTCAGCAGTGTCTGTCAAAATACTCCACTAAGAATTCTTCCTCTTTTATCCCCAGGAGCCAGTCTACTTGATGACTTATACAAGTATTTCTTCTTCCATCACTCCCACGGAGACACCATGACTGTCATGGATCCAAAGCAGATGAATGTTGCTGCTGCTGTTTGGGCTGTTGTTTCTTATGTTGTTGCAGACATGGAAGAAATGCTGCCTAGGTCCTAGAAACAGTAAGAAAGAAACGTTTTCATGCTTCTGGCCAGGAATCCTGGGTCTGCAACTTTGGAAAACTCCTCTTCACATAACAATTTCATCCAATTCATCTTCAAAGCACAACTCTATTTCATGCTTTCTGTTATTATCTTTCTTGATACTTTCCAAATTCTCTGATTCTAGAAAAAGGAATCATTCTCCCCTCCCTCCCACCACATAGAATCAACATATGGTAGGGATTACAGTGGGGGCATTTCTTTATATCACCTCTTAAAAACATTGTTTCCACTTTAAAAGTAAACACTTAATAAATTTTTGGAAGATCTCTGATTTTTATGTGTTCATTTATGAACATTAAATACGAAAATATTATGGTTTATATTATTTATTGAAGGAGTAGAGGAATTACTCAACTTTAGTATGCTCTTAATTGAATATATGGAGGCATTTGACTTTCTAATTTGTATATTTTTATATTATGTGAATTTTAAAAATGAGCTTTGGAATTTTTTAATTTATAGAAAAAAAGGATATCATTTGGGGAAAAAATCAAGAATGTATAATTCAATTGCCTTATTAAAGGTAAATACTAGGGTCTGTCACTAGATAAATAATAATGCTATTTTGCATTTATGTTTTGTTATTTTACACAACATTTCCATGAAGTTGGGGCTTATTCACAATTTGCTGATGACATGGTTGGAGCTCAGAGAGGCTCAATAATATTTACAGAGTCGTCTAGAGCAAAAACATTAATCCCCATCCTCTCTGGAGCCAATTTCTACTATTCTGCCTCACACAACATCCAATATTCAATAAAAAATTACAAGACACACCGAAAAAAGAAGAAGAAATAAACTTATTGTCAAGAGATAAAGCAATTAAGAGAACAAGACTAAGAGATGACCCAGAAGTTTGAACGATCAGAGGAGTTTAACCTAACTATGATGATTATGTTAAAGGTCTAGTAAGAAAAATGGACTACACACATGAACAGAAGGGGAATTTCAGCAGAGCTGGAAACCATAAAATGGAGTCAAATACAAATGTTAAAAAATGCAATGTCAGAGATATAAAATTTTTTTGTCAGACTCATCAGCCAATTGGACAAGGCTGCAGAGAGCATTAGTGGACTTGTATGTAGGCCAATGGAAATTATCCAAAAAGAGAAGAAAGAGTAAAAAAAAAAAAAATGCCAGAGTGAATCATCCAAGAATTGTGATACAATATCAAGTTGTCTAATATGTGTGTAACTGGATTTTCAGAAGGAGAGGACAAAGCATCAATTGTATTAATGATAAAAAAATGATTGAAAGAGTGGGATCTTTCATTTCTGACGAAGTAGCACACCAGTACTCTGACCCTTACACTGAAGATGACTAAAAATGCTAGATAATATTTGAGAAACATCTTATTAAATATATGAATGAACTGATTAACAAGAATATTAGACAAAAGACTAAGTATCGAAAGACTATATACCAAGAGATACATAGAATATTTTTTGCTTTTAAAAGGTTTTTAAACTTTTAAATATATATATATACATATGTGTGTGTGTGCGTGTGTGTGTGTGTACTCTGTTGCCCAGGCTGGAGTGCAGTGGTGCGATCTTGGTTCACTGCAACCTCCACCTCCCAGGCTCAGGTGATCCTCCCACTTCAGCCTCCTGAGTAGCTGGGACCAAAGGGTGCTAAATTTTTTTGTGTTTTTTGTTTGTTTGTTTGTTTGTAGAGATGGGGTTTCGCCACATTGCCCAGGCTGGTCTTGAACTCCTGGACTCAAGCGATCAGCCTGCCTCAGCCTCCCAAAGTGCTGGGATTACATGCATGAGCCACTGCGCTCAGCCTTAAAAACATACATATTTTTTAATTCCAATAGCTTTTTAGGTACAAATGGTTTTTGTTACACGGATGAATTGTATAGTGGTAAAGCCTGAGATTTTAGTGCACCCCTCACCCAACTAGCGTGCATTGTATCCAATATATAGTTTTTTTATCCCTCACCTCCCTCTCATCCTCCCTGCTTCTGAGTCTCCAATGTCCATTATAGCACTCTGTATGCCTTTGTATACCCATAGCTTAGCTCCCACTTATAAGTGAGAACATACAGTATTCAGTTTTCCATTCCTGAGTTACTTCACTTAGAATAATGGCCTCTAGCTCCATCCAAGTTGCTGCAAAAAACATTTCATTCTTGTTTATAGCTTACTCAGCAGTGTTCCATGGTGTATATATACCACATTTTCTTCATCCACTCATCACTTGATGGGCAGTTAGATTGGTTCTATACCTATTCAACTGTGAATTGTGTTGCGATAAACATATGTATGCCAGTGTCTTTTGATATAATGACTTATTTTCCTTTGGGTAGATACCCAGTAATGGGGTTGTTGGATAGCATGGTAGATATACTTTTGGTTCTTTGGGAAATCTCTATACTGTTTTCCGTAGAGGTTGTACTAATTTACATTCCCACCAATAGTGTATAAGCAGTCCCTTCTTACCACATCCAGTCAACATCTATTGTTTTTTGACTTTATAATAATGGGCATTCTGGGGCCAGGCATGGTGGCTCGTGCCTGTAATCCCAGAACTTTTGGAATGCAGGAGGATTGCTTCAGTTCAGGAGTTCAAGACTAGCCTGGACAATATTGTGAGACCTTTACTGTACAAAAAATAAACATAAAAATAAATTAGCCAGGCATGGTGGCATGCATCTGTGGTCCCAGCTACTTGGGAAGCTGAGGTGGGAGGATCTCTTGAGCCCAGGAGGTCAAGGTTGCAGTGACCTGTGATCATGCCACTGCACTCCAGCCTGGGTGACAGCAAGACCCTGTCTCAAAAATAATAATAATGGCCATTCTGACTGCAGTAAGGTGGTATCTCATTGTGGTTTCGATTTGCATTTTCTTGATAATTAGTGATGTTGAGCATGTTTTTATAAGTTTGTTGGTCATTTGGAGATACATAAAACATTGAACAAGCTTTCTCTTTGAGAAAGTTTAAGGAATGTGGTAAACTTAAATTCCATTCAGAGATCAGGAGATTGTAGACAAATTCCAGATTCTGCCACATTAAGGATACTATAGAACTCCAACAAAAATGAGACCCCAAAATATTATACCTCAATACAGTGGTGAACAAAAATAACTCTCAGGTCTGCAAGGAAAGTTACCATGATTGAGTAAAAGCTAAGTAGAGGGTCTGAAGAAATTCCCACTTATAAAGTTAGATAAAATATTAACTCACAACAAAAAGGGGAAAAAAAGAATCACAGCATTCTGAGCAAGAGCAAACAAAAAAAGATCAAGAATTAACCCACAGTGTCCTCTGATATTGGAATTTTTTGGTTAAAATTATTTAAGCTATGTCCATTATTTCAAGGAAGTCAAAGAAGAGTTTGAAAGTAGAATAGAGAGCATGGGACCATAAAAAAAAATGACCAAGCATATTGTAGAAAGAACCAAATAGAACTTTAGGGAATATAAATTATACTCAGTGAAATTTTAAAATTCGGGGACAAATTTAACCAATTTAATGAGAGTTAGTAAACTGCAAGACAATAGTGATGAAATTTATGAGAATTTAGCACAGAAAGACAAAGAATGGAAAATATAAATGAAAGGTTAAGAAATATGAAGGATAGAGTTATATTGTCTAATGTGTTTAATCAGGGTTTCAGAAAAAAGAAAATGGGACAAAGAATTATCTGAAGACATAATAAATCAAAATTTTCCAGAATTTAGATACACAAAATCAAGAAACCCAGTGAATCCCAGACAGAATAAATAAAAAGACATATTTTAGAGAAACTACAGACCAGAAGAGACAAAAGAAGCTCTTTGAAGTAAGAGAGAAGAGATGGACTATCTTGAAAAAAGCAACAATTGGACTTTTAGCTAACTTCTTAACAGCAACAATGCAAGCCAGAAGATCTTCCACATGCTGAGAGACAACAATTATCAACCTAACAACTCTGTGCTCAGGGAAAATATCTTTTGAAAACAAGGACAAAGTAAGGATATTTTTCAGATTAAAAAGTGAAAGAGTTGGCCAGCCATGGTGGCTCATGCCTGTAATTCCAGCACTTTGGAGGGTGAGGCGGGTGGATCACCTGAGGTCAGGAGTTCAAGACCAGCCAAGCCAACATGGCAAAACCCCATCTCTACTAAAAAAAAATACAAAAATTAGCTGGGTATAGTGGCACGTGCCTGTAATCCCAGCTACTAGGGGGCTGAGGCAGGAGAATCGCTTGAACCTGGGAGGCAGAGGTTGCAGCGAGCCAAGATCATGTCACTGCACTCCAGTCTGGGCAACAGAGTGAGACTCTGTCTCAGAAAAAAAAAAAAAAAAAAGTGAAAGAGTTTACTACCAGCAGGTCTTCACTACAGGAAATTAGAAAAAGTGTCCTTTAGGCAAAATTAAATGATTATAGAGTGGACACTAATATACAAGAAGTGAGGAGATTGGCTCCAGGCCAAAATCAAAATCTGTATGTGACTTTCCAGGCCTGACTTTAGGCATTACAAAGGCTTTGCCTGGCAGGCGCTACTGGGAGAAAGCTGCCCCCTTGATGTGGTTTGATTGTGTCCCCACCCAAATGTCATCCTCAATTCCCATGTGTTGTGGGAGGGACCTGGTGGGAGGTAATTTAATCATGGGGGCAGGTCTTTCCTGTGCTGTTCTCATGATAGTGAATAAGTCTCATGAGATCTGATGGTTTTATAAAGGGGAGCTTCCCTGCACAAGCTCTCATTTGTCTGCCACCATGTGAGACGTGCCTTTCACCTTCTGCTGTGATTATGAGGCCTCCCCAGCCATGTGGAACTGTGAGTCTATTAAACCTCCTTTTCCTTATACATTACCCAGTTTCAGGTATGTCTTTATCAGCAGCCTGAAAACAGACTAATACACCTCCCCACAGCTGACTTAGTGCTCTGCCAGTGGGTTACAGTTTTCCAGAAGGAGCTGCAGTCAAGGACTCAGGCCGCCTAGGGCAGCCACCCATTCCTCACCCAAACACCTCCATTCAAGGCCTCCTTATCTTATGACCAAGATACTTTCATCCACTCTGACCCAGTACTTTTCTAGTCCTAGACTTCCCCTACTCCCTTCTGTCAGTCCCCTGGACCATAAAATGTCAGGAGTCATTTGTTCAGGGCTCTTTGGTAGTGAGATGATTTTCCCTGTCTGAGCTGATTCATCTGACCCTTGCCTACTGCCATTCCCTGGGGAAAAAATGGAATGTTAGGAAGCTGGTGCTTATTTTTGCCTCTTGTTTACACTATTTCTGTAAGTGATTAAGGCTTGATTGTTAACTTTCAGTTTGGCTTATTGTTCTGACTGACCACCTAATCCTGGCCACTGGACAGAAATTAAGAGCAAAGAAAGTGATAACCGTTTTAAACAAACATAGAATAAATAAAAACCACAATAATAAGGTGGTATTTGAAAAGAAAACAAGATGGAAAGAATATATTTCACTGGAATAGCATGTGAATAAGACGTGAAGTTACTGGAATTAGTGTTCTAAGGTCCTTTTGAAACTGCCTTTGCAAAATTATAACAGTAAGAAAAATCTGACCTAGTTGACTCCATCTTACTTCTAACCCCAAGCTGTCCTTGGTCATTCCTGGACATAGGCCAAGATAACTTTGAGAGGAATTTAGTTTACAGTTTAACTTAGAAGCAAGAATGATAATAGTCCCTCCCTGAAACTAACCCTCTCCCTGTTCAATGGCTGAAACTGCCTTTGTAAGACTAATGAAAGGCCACAAGATTAGGATTATGGGAGAGGCCCAAGTTCTGCTAAAATGTAGGCATAGTTTCTATAATTTCTTACTGCTCAGGAGTCATGTGGCCAGAGGTCCCAAGATTTATAACTTCCCCAATTGCTTCTATAGGTATCACTGTTGTAGAACCTAAGACTGGGGAGTTTTTTTTTTTTTAGATGTTTTTCAGACTGATCCCATCTGGACTCATGACTCAGCTGGTCCTGTGGCTCTGCCCACAGGTGGCCTCACTGCACAAGGACAGTCTTCCAGTGATGTGATGGCATTCCCAACCAATCAGCTGCACCCATTCCCTAGTCCCCTGCCCACAAAACTGTCCATAAAAACCCTAACCTCTGACCCTTCAGGGAGACTGATTTGAGTGATAACTCCAGTTCTTCTGCATAGCTGGCCTCATGTCAGTTAAACTCTTTCTTTACTGCAATGCCATGGTCTCAGGCAATTGATTTTGTCTGTGCAGTGGGCAGAAAGAATAAATTTAGGAGCTCATATGGGATCCACCCTTGTGGGTGCCTGCTTGCAGTTCATTGGTTCCCCACAGGTCCGACTGACCTGGAGGTGAGCTCTGACGGCCACTTATTTCTCCAGAACTGAGGGTCTCTGCTGATGTCCCTCTGCAGCTGTCCTGCCAGTGAGGCACTGTTGACCCATCGTGCCTGGGCCTAACTGTCATGTAGAAATAGTTTCTGGAAGTCATCTTTAAACTGGTCTGGTGAGTATTCTAAGTGCGACCAACATCCCCTTCCTTCTCCTGACCTAGTTGGCCCCTTCTGTGGGTTCCAGATAGCCTTTTTCTGTGAGTTCATTTGTATTGCTCTAGAACAGGATAAAGATATTGTCTAACTTTAGGCTTTGCTAAGTTAAATATGAAAGTTAAATTTTCTGGCCAGGCGCCTTGGCTCATGCCTGTAATCCCAGTACTTTAGGAGGCTGAGGTGGGCGGATCGCTTGAGGTCAGGAGTTTTTAAGACCAGCCTGGCCAACATGGCCAAACCCTGTCTCTACTAAAAATACACACACAAAAATTAGTCAGGCATGGTGGTGTGCACCTGTAGTCCCAGCTACTTGGGAGGCTGAAGCACGCAATCATTTGAACCCAGGAGGTAGAGGTTGCAGTGAGCTGAGATCATGCCACTGCACTCCAGCCTGGGCGACAGTGGGAGACTCCATCTCAAAAAAAAAGAAAAAAAAGAAAGTTAAATTTTCTCAGGTAACCACAAAAAAGAGAGGTAAAGTGTGTAACAACAAAACAACCTCCCCCACCAAATGGAATGAGAAAAAAAGGCTTAACAAATTTGATATCATATTCTGTGACCACAATGCCACTAATCAACTAAAAACATATATAAGTTTGAAAAATTAGAAACATGACTCATTGAAATAAATAAATGACTTAGTAAATAAAGAAATTATTTAGTAGTTTATGAGTCTGATATGGTTTGGCTGTGTGCTCACCCAATCTCATCTTGAATTGTAGCTTCCATAATTCCCACATGTCATGGGAGGGACCCAGTGGGAGGTAATTGAATCATGGGGGAAGGTCTTTCCCATGCTGTTCTCATGATAGTGAATAAGTCTCATCTGATGGTTTTATAAAGGGGAGTTCCCTTACACAAGCTCTCTCGCCTGCCGCCACGCAAGACATGACTCTTTGCTCCTCATTCGCCTTCAGCCATGATTGTGAGGCCTTCCCAGCCATGTGAAACTGTGAGTCAATTAAACCTCTTTTATGAATTACCCAATCTTGGGTATGTGTTTATTTGCAGTGTGAGAACAGACTAATACGGAGTTACAGAAAGAATTATAATTAAAATTAAAACATATGTACAACTGAATAACAGCTCACACACAGACAACACTTTCATATCAAAACTTGTAGGATGCAGGTAGGCAGTTTCTTAGAGGCAAAGTTACAGTTCAAAATGATAAAAATTTTAAAATAAGCTAATAAACCCAAAGAAAGAATTAGGGATTATTGTTTATTCCCTAATTATTTGGTTTATTCTGCTATACTTTTTTTCCTCCAATTAAGAAATAGCAGAATAAACCCAAATAAAGAATTAAGGCATAAACAATAAATATGAGTAGAAGTGTGTGAAATAGATCACAAGCCTTCAGTAGAAAGGATCAACAAAGCCAAAGATTTGGCTCTTTGAAAATACTGAAAATTACTGATTAAAAGCTTTATGCCAATAATTTGGAATCTTGAATAAATGCACCAATGTTTAGAAAAAAATGTGATTACTTAAATGAGTTGATGAATAAACTTCATATTTTAATAGCTCTAGAAACATTAAATAAATTGAATCACTAGTTTAAAATGTACCCCCCACCACATAAATTCTTTAGTTTTATAAGTAAGTTCTCCCAAACTTTAAATAAATAATTTCAATTTTACAAAATTATTTTACAGTATAGAAGAAGGACTAATTAATTCTAAGCTCATTTTATGAGACTAGTACAATCTTAACACCAAAATCTAATTAAGGACCGTTTGGAAAAATCACAAGCCAACTTCACTCATGATTATAAATGAAAAAATTGAACAAAATATTAACAAACTGCATCTATTAGTGAAAGAAAAAGAGAATAAATGATGACAAAGTTGAGTTTCTGCCAGATATGCAAGATTGGTTTATCATTAGAATATCAGTTAATTTAATTCATCACATTAACAAATTTAAAAGAGAAAAGTTATCCAATCATCTCTAGATGCAGAAAAAGAGTCACATAAAACCTGGAATCCATTTATGGTAAAAATTAAAGAAGACATTCTTACCCAGATAAAAAGCGTCTACAAAAAAAGCTAAAGAAATATCATAATTAACATGAAATGCTGAAAATATTTCTTTTAAGGTAAGAAATAAACTAAGGGTGTTCACAGTAACTACTTCTATTTGGTAGTACTTGGATATTCTAGCTTCCACAGACGGGAGAAAATGTATAAGCAATGGAAAGGAAGAAAGAAAACTGTTTCTACTTGTAGACAAATATGATTGCCTACATTGAAAATTCAAAAGAATCTACCAAAAAAGTATCATAATTAAAAATGGGGCTTAAGAAGTTTGCTCAAGAAAAGAAATTTTAAAAAATGAAAAATATTTCTAGACAAATACTTAGAAAACGCAACTAAAAAGATATCATTTACGTTTGCATCAAATAATATAAAATGTTAGCTGTGTTCATTGGCACACACCAACATTCCTGTAGTTCCAGCTACTAGGGAGGGATGAGGCAGGAGAATCACTTGAGTCTAAGAGTTCGAGGCCAGCCTCTGCAACATAGGAAGACCCTGTCTCTAAAAATAATAATAATGTAAAGAGTCTAGAAAAAAATTTTATGATGAGAGATTGTTTTATGGATAAAAATTATCAAACTTTATTAAAATATATTAAAGTAGAGCTAAATAGTTAGAGAAATATGACATTCATGTTTTGGAAGACTCCATAGCAAAGATGTTCATTTTCCCCAGATTTATCTATGGAGTCAATACAATCTCTATCAAAATTTTACAATGGAGTGTTTTGGCTTTGAGTTCTTGATTTTGGTTTGTTGGTTTGTTTATTTAATGTGTCAAGCTGAATCTAAAGTGTAATTGGACTACTAAGGGCTAATAACAGCCAACTATTTCTGAAAAAAAAACAATAAAAGTAGGGGATCATAGCCCCTTATTCCACTTTCCTTCAAGGCAAGATTGTACTTTCCTGATTTCTTGTAATTTGGTATTACTATGTACTTTTGGCAAATGAATATAAGCAAAAATCAGCAGGTGTTTTGTTTTGGACTTAACTGTTGGGTGTTCAATGAGAAGAGCTTCTACACAGGACTTACAGAAAAAGAGCAAAGCCCAAATATTAAGCAACTAAAACTCATGTTTCAAAGAGATCATACACCTCTGAGTGGAAATTGTAAAATTCCCTGTATGGTTTGCCATACTGTCTCTTTCTCCAAGGCAAATGGCAATGTTTCAGATAATGCCTGCTCCACAAGCTTGGATCCAGAGTGATAAGAAGGAATGACAGAGCTTCCAGTTTATTCACAATGGATGTGAAGCATGACTAAGAAATAAATTTCTGTTGTGTTAAGCCACTAATAATTTTGTGGAGGTTTTGTTGCCACAACATAATGTAGCCTATTCTGATTTTTTATCTTGTCTTGCCAGATGTCAAGACTTAACTTATTGTCTTTAAGATGGCATAGCATTAGCAAAACGATAAGTGAGTAGTCCAATGGGACAGACTAGAGTTCAGATCCAGAACCACATATGCAAAAACTTGATTTATGACAGGTTGGTATAGATGATCTGTAAAAAAAAGGTGGACTTTTCAATAAATGTTACAACAGTTATCTATAAGTAAACGTTTAAATTGGACTGCTACCTCATACCTCCTCTGCAGTCTTTTGTTAAGAACAGTTGGAAAACAAGTGGTTGTTTCCCTAATTTAAGGGCACCAAGAACAGTGCCCAGTACATAGTAGGTCCACAATATGTGTCCCCTGATTGAGGAATGTTAGCTGCTTCTATTTTACAGCAAATTCATTTCTCAGTTCCATTCCTCCTTCCTTCCCTTTTTTGAAGTAATGGTGGAGACAAAATGAAAATTTCCATCAAGAAGCCCTGTCAAGAGAGAGCTAGCCTGAGTGCCTTTCCAGGAAAGTCCTGGAATTGTCTTAAGAGAGAAGAAACTCTTAGGAAGGAAATATGGAAACTACCAAAGAGGGAGGTCATTATCACAATTGTGCTTTAGGTGGTATCATTCATATCCTATCTTCACGAAAGGAAACAAGTGGTCAGAAATGGAGATTTGTATTGGAGACACCACTCAGTAACCCACATGAGTAATAATTTCTATCACAGTGGCCCTTGATGACACAAGGAAATATTTTGAGTGATTAATATTGGTCATGTAGCATACAAGATGGTGTCTTTCAGCTCAATCCAAAAGACAGTCAGTCACTCTCAGGTTCATGCGGGATTTAGATATGTAGCATGTCCTGATTCTTTAACCAAGCTCAATGAGGTGAAACTAGAGCAACATTTAGTCTAGGGCTAATTTTGCCCCACTACTAAAGCTCAACCCTTCTAAGTACTCTTGATGCTCTATAGATTATGATGTTTTTTCTCTATGACTGAAGGAACAGGAGTTCCTAGTATTATTTTCTATATTCCTTCCAGATTGTTCGTTCCCCAGTTTCTGATCATTTCCGCAAATGCATGAACTGATCAGTACTCACCTGAAGTTGTGGGAAGGTGGGACCCTCTGCAGCTCCCTGGCCTTCTCTCTGTGTGTGGAACTATCCTCCGTGACACTGTGTCCTGTGAATTCTAGCTGCCTCAGCCTCTCTGGACATTCACATTCCTCTTTTCAACTCATGGTGGTTCCTGGGCTCTGCCTGGGTTTCCCTTCCCCACAGTGTAACTGGAAACTCTATTAAGGAAGTAAGCTAGGGCCATCATAGTGCTCACCTCATTCGTTTTCTGCCTGTTGGGCATCATTGCTCCTCATTTCCTGGTGTCTGGTGTCTTGAACACTGTTATTTAATACATTGTATTCGGATTTTTTAATTGTTTCATGCATAAAGGTAAGTCTGGTCCCTGTTACTCCTACTTGGTTGGAAGTGGGTGTCAGACCACTAATTTTTGTCTGACGAATATACTTATATTCCTTTTACATTTAATGCATTTTGATTCATTTTTTTCACAACTTGATTCCAATCTGTGTATGTAGATTCACATAAATTTTCTGAACTGTCCAAAGTCTGCTCAAATATGCAAGATTGGTTTATCATTAGAATATCAGTTAATTTAATCCATCACATTAACAAATTTAAAAGGGCAAAATTATCCAATCATCTGTAGATGAAGAAAAAGAGTCACATAAAACCTAAAATCCATTTATGGTAAAAATTAAAGACGACATCCTTAACCAGATAAAAAGCATCTACAAAAAAAACTAAAGAAATACAATAATTAACATGAAATGCTGAAAACATTTCTTTTAAGGTAAGAAATAAGCTAAGGGTGTTCACAGTAACTACTTCTATTTGGTAGTACTTGGATGTTCTTGGTATCTATGAATTACCACAGTTCAAGGATAATCTGTAGTTTATCTAGTCATCATTATTGGATTTCAGAGTTATTTTCTAGAAAAGTTATATCCAGTTTTATAATTAGCATTAAAAATTCACAGGCTGACTGATTGCCTCCTTTTTGCTTTCTAAGATGGACATTTATGTCCTATTGGACTAAATTTCTTCCCTTTCCTTCAGTAATAGCAAAGAGTAACTTCTTATAGGAACACTGCCACACCAATGAGCTCCACCTCCCTTTGACTTGGGGCTGCTGTGCTTTCTGCTTATCAGCTCTGAGCAACATCTTAGATTATCCCCATAGATGGTGGAGCCCAGAGTAAGTTAAATTCTGTATTCTCCACTCACTGCTACCACCACCTACCCCAGTCACTCCAGAATTTTAGGTTTCAGAGCAACTTTAGAAGAGAGAAACTCACAAAGTTGTATTATAGTCTCAAAGTTCCACCAGCTGCTGGCAAGATCGTCATTTCCTCCCCCACTGCCTCCTGAGTCACTGTACCATTCTAGTTCCTCCAGGGAACTAGACCCTTTCTCCACCTCCACCTTTGGCATAGGGTTAGGGATTGTACCCCCATTGCCTTATCCTACAAGTGGCTCTGAAGAAATGGATCTTATTCATTCTCTCCGTAAAATTGTCTGTTTGCTTAGCAACAACAACAACAAAAAATTATATGGGGCCAAATGATAACATAAACGGCCCATTTTCTAGCTGGGCCCCTTTACTGCTGCCTTATTAGAGGAGTACGGAGGGTCTGGGTAGGGGCGACAATGTGACTGTGTGCAGGTAGGGGAGTGTGCTGATGAGTGTGGTTATCGATAGCAATAAGAGTAGGGGAGGTATGAAGAAGTATGTGGGAGTTAGAACAAGAGAGGGTGGAAGAAAGATGATATAGTTTGGATGTTTGTCCCCTCCAGACCTCATGTTGAGATGTAATCCCCAATGCTGGAAGTGGGGCCTGGCATGAGGTATTCGGGTCATGAGAGCAGATCCCTCATGAATGGCTTGGTGCTATCCTCACAATAGTGAGTTTCCACAATATCTGGTTGTTTAAAGGTGTGTGGCACTTATCCCATCTCTCTCTTGCTCCTACACTTGCCATGTGAGACATCTGCTCCCCTTTCCCCTTCCACCATGATTATAAGCTTCCTGAGGTCCTCATCAGAAGCAGATTCTAGCGCCATGCTTCTTGTACAGTCTGCAGAACCATGAGCCAATTAAACCTCTTTTCTTTATGAATTACCCAGTCTTAGGTATTCCTTTGTAGCAAAGCAAAAAGCCTAATACAAGAGTGGTCTGTAGAATTATTTTCCTCTCATGAAAACTCTACCTGCACATCATAATTGCTAGGGTGTACCAGGCAATCTTGCAGCCTGGCACAAGCTATTGAGTAACTATCGCTATAGGCATTTTTAAGTACGATTCTCTTGTTTTCCATAAATTTAAAAAGAACTGTTTATCTGCTGAGAAATGGTATATCATTTGTGTGGTGGCCTATTTTCTATGCATGCAGCCACCTTCCAATTTGACTTTAGGGTCAAGTTGCTTTTCTGATTCATTTAGCTGAGTAGACTTAAGAGCAAATTGAGAAGAGAAACCCATTTAAATATTGTATCATGTGAAAAGGGTGAAATCTGTCACTGAAAAAAAAGGAGGAAGCTAGAGGGAAAGGAGGTCGATTGCTGATTTTGCCCTTGACATTGTTAAGATGTGGTTTTGAGGGTTCTGCTGTGTCTGTGGATAATTTGGAGTTTATGTTCCCCAGAGTGTTCCACCCTCCTCACAATAATTACAGTAATGACACCAAGAGCGTCTTAAAAATTCTCATGCATCTACACTGCATACATTACATTGCCACACACAGTCCTATTTGCTCAGTATGCTCCTTTCATAATAATTTAAGATGCTTCTCATTTACGTTGAGTAAATATCAAACGGATCTTGATATCTATATCTGTCTCATGAAATATACATCCTCTCTAACTGTGCCCAAATGATTAATTTACAGCTATGTGATGATTAGCATAAAAAGCTCATCACAACAAGAGATAGAAATGTTATCACTAATTGCTATTTGAAGTGAAGAATGTTTTCTGCGTAGAAATTAATGATGCATGCTTACTTCTCAATTCTCTGTTAAACCAGAAAACCCAAGACTGTTTTTGGAGAAGAAAGAAATTACCTTTGAAGTTGTGTGGGGTTTTTTCGTCTCCCTTAGATGACCCACAGTTAACCAAAGGAATTGTGGAAGGCAATGGCTAATGAAGTTCCATGCATAAATTAGACAGATGTACTCAGCCCTTATCAAATCAAGTCTTGCTATCAATCCATGACTGAACTATTCAACTGCAGGCAAAGACATTTTCCCCTGGGCATGAGAGCCTCCCTGTAGCCTTGAAACTTGTCTCATAAATATTCTTATGTTTACAGCATATCCTAAGAGTGTCCAGGTTCTTCACAGAACCTGACGGTCTTAATATCATTGGTGATTATTCTGGGCCTGCTCAAGCAGCCACACAACTACCTATGAGTTGGATGGTACCTCAGAAAGCCTTGCTTTATTTTCCAGATTTAAAGAACATTGAGCTGTGACTTAGATTTTGACAATAAAGTCACGCCCTGGTCCAGTTAGTTATCTTAATTCTAAGTACCAGCCAGTCCATCCCAGAGATTGCAATGGAACATGAATTTTCCCCAAGCTAAGCTTGTCTCTGAGATTCTGCCTTGCCATCCAAATCATCATCATCATTATCAGTAATACCTATCCTGGGCCAATCATGCCGCTAAAAACTTAATGCGCATTTTCTCAGTTAATGCTCACCCAATGCAATGAGGTAGGTCCTATTTTAATCCCCATTTTAGAGTTGAAGATTCCTGGGTATAGAGCTTGTAAGTAACTTTTCCAAGATCACAGAACTGACCAAATTTGACTAAAATCTAGATGATTCAAAACTGTTTATCTTCCTCAAACATACTTCTCTGAATAGTGAGCCTTCTAATGTTCCCAGAGTGAATATATCCAATCTAACCGGTGCATTTTCATTTTAAGGAATAGAAAGTGGGGTTTGAACAGTGCCATGCTTCAGCCCACGAAAGAGGGGACCCCTGCCCTGAGCCCTGTGCTTTAGAGGATCCCATGTATCACAAAAACACACCAACAGTAAATTTACTGAAGGATATATGGATGCTTCTATCACCAGGGATCTGACACTCAGGGCTGGCACAGCGTGACTCTGCATGACTCAAAGTGTTCACCTCCAAGCTAATGCCATTTAGGCCCCAAAGAAAGGTGGTTCTCAGGTCCTGCCTTGGAGGGAAGACTGTGTCTGAATGTTGTGAAGACAGACACTGCTTTAGAGCATGAATATTTGAGGAACAAAAGTATTCAAGAAGAAAAGACAAATTCATCAACTTGTCAAATCTTTCCTCTCAGGGAGCATAAAATCAATAGGTTCTCACATAAGGGAGTATTGTTTCCCAGAAGTGAAGAGCATCTATTCTTTGGATTCTTGTTATGCTCCAATTCGTGGTTCCAAGGGAACTTGTGAGTTGGCATGGCATTTGCAATAGTTGTACATGGTGGCTTTTTGCATTGTTTAATATTTGCAATGTTAAATAATTTGTACTTATAAATTTGATGTGTTCGTCTAGGTATAACACTTCTGAAATGCAATATCCATAATTTACACTGGCAACAAGATGGGCATTTTCATACTGGAATTGCAAAGTTTTACTTTGTAAAATTAATAATATTCAGCAAACATTTTAAAATCCAAGTAGAAAAAGATTGCTTTATTTAAATATCTTTATTTAAAAATTTGATGTGTTAATTATAGTTAATAACTCCCCTTCATTCAATAGCTAACTTTAAATTATTGTGTTAAAAATTTTGTGTTAAATTTGTCTAAGCTTTTTGTTACAAAGCTACAGTAATCAAAACAATATAGTACTGATATAAACATAGATATATAGAACAATGGAGTAGAACAAAGAACCCAGATATAAACCCTTACATATGTGGTCAAATGATTATATTTTTGCAACTAAAAAGCTTACATAAAATTTAATGCAACACAAAATTTACTATCTTAACCATTTTCGTTGTACAGTTCAGTGGTACATCACATTGTACATTCACATTGTTATGCAGCCATCACCACCATCCATCTCTAAAACTCTTTTCATCTTGCAAAATTGAAATTCTACTCCTCCAACATAACTCCTCATTCCTGACTCCACCCAGCTCCTAACAACTACCATTTCACCTTCTGTCTCTATGAATTTGACTCTTCTAGATACTTCCTGTAAGTAGAATCATATAGTATTTGTCTTTTTTCCAACTGGCTTATTTCACTTAGCATAATGTCCTCAAGTTTCAACCATGTAATAGCATGTGTCAGAGTTTCCTTCTTTTTAAGGCTTAATAATATTCCTTTGTCTATATACACCACGTTGTGCTTATCCATTCATCTACTGATGGACACCTGGGTTGCTTTCCCTTTTTAGCTTTTGGTTATTATGCTGGTACAATGCTGGTATATGGGTGTACAAGCTTCTTTTTGAGACCCTGCTTTCAATTCCTTTGGGTACATACTCACAAGTAGGATTTCTGGATCACATGGTAATTCTATTGTTAATTTTCTCAGGAACTTTTATACTCTTTTTCATAGCAGCTTCACCATTTTACACTCCCACCAATAGTGCACAAAGCTTCTAATTTCTACACATCCTAGCCAACACTTATCATTTTCTCTTGTTGTTTTTTTTTTTTTCATAGTCGCCATCCTAATGGGTGTGAGGTGTGTGAAGTGGTATCTCATTGTGGTTTTGATTTACATTTCCCTAATGATTAGTGATGCTGAGCATCTTTCAGGTGTGCTTATTGGCTAGTTGTATATCTTCTTTGGAGAAATGTCTATTCAAGTCCTTTGCCCATTTTTTAATTGAGTTGTTTGGTTTTTTGTTGTTGAGCTGTAGGAGTTCTTTACAGATTCTGGCTATTAACCCCTTACCAGAGATATGGTTTGTAAATACATCCTCTGATTTCATAAGTTGCCTTTTTACTCTGCTGATTGTGTCCTTTGATTCACAGAAATTTGTAATTTTGGTGTAGTCAAAGTTATTTTTTCTTTTTTTGGCCATGCTTTTGATGTCATATCTAAGAAATCATTGACAAATCTAATGTCATGAAGCTTTTCCCATATATTTTCTTCTAAGGGTTTTATAGTTTTAACTCTTACATTAGGTCTTTGATCCATTTTGAGTTAATTTTTCTATATGGCATAAGGTTAGGATCCAACTTCATTCTTTTGCATGTGGATATCCAGTTTGCCTAATAACATTTATTGAAAAGACCGTTCTTTCCCCATTGAATGGTCTTGATACCCTTGTCAAAAATCATTTGACCATATACGCAAGGGCTTATTTCTGGGTTCTGTATTCTATTCCATTGGTCTGTATGTCTTTATGCCAGTACTATACTGTTTTGATTACTGTGGCTTTGTAAGAAGTTTTGAAATCAGGAAATGTCAGATATCTGTTCTTTTTCAAGATTCTTTTGGATGTTTGGAGTTTCTTGAGATTTCATGTGAATTTCAGGATGAATTTTTCTCTCTTCAGTTTTGATAGGGATTGTATTACTCTGCAGCTCACTTTGAGTAGCATTAACATCTTAATTACTGTTAAGTCTTCAATCCATGAATAAGGGATATTCCTCATTTATTTGTGTCTTCTTTAATTTCTTTCATCAATGTTTCATAGTTTTCAGTGTATAAGTAGTCTTTTTCCTCCTTGGTTAATTTATCCCTAAGTATTTTTTTGATGCTATTGTAAATGTAATTGTTTTCTTGATTTCCTTTTCAGATATTCGCTGTTAGTATATATAAATGCAACTGCTTTTTTGTATGTTGGTTTTGAATCCTTCAACTTTGCTGAATTTGTTTATTAGTTCTAACAGTTTTTTGATGGAATCTTCAGACTTTTCTACATGTAAGACCCATGTCATCTGCAAATAGAGATCATTTTACTTCTTCCTATCCAATCTGGATGCCTTTTATATCTTTTTCTTGACTAATTTCTCTGGCTTCAATAATTCTGAATATTTTAGAAGAAAAATAACCTTTTGGAAAGCATAAAAATGTACAAAAATGTTTTTAATTGTTTACACTCACTTTAATTTATATTTCTATTAAATATATTCAAAATTTTCTACATTAGAATTCAAATACTTTTTAATCTTTTAGAGCATTATTTTAAACAGACTACAGCTATATAATTATAAATTTATAATGACATAGAATATAATTGTGTTCTGGATTATAAGACCACAATTCATGATTTTGCTGAAAAGAAGGCAAGAAAAATAAATTTTATAGAATACATATGTAATAATTTGTGAATTATGTGTGTCTTTATTATTCATCCAAACATTACTAGCCCATCAATAGAATATCAGACATGGGCAATAATGATTAAATTCAACTATCTTTGGTATTTTTTTGACTTTTAGTCATTATGAGTGTGTATTTGTCAAAGTACTTAGTTTAACAGTTTGTTAGTCTTCATGTATAACTTTTAAATATTTAGGTATATTTAAAAGTTTCTCTGTAACAGTCAAGAATCCCAGAAATAGCCAGTTTGGGCTGATCTGTAGCTCAATGCTCTCCTTGCCAGAGTCCCACCAACATGAGGGACAGGCTTGGGTTTGCAAGTACACTCTTACAGTACGTTTCTCATTTACAGAAGTTATTCTGATGGGATAACTGCCCCCTCAACATTGCAGCCAGGATGGTGTTTATGTGTTACAAATCTGTCCATGCACTCCCCTACTTGGAGCCCTTTGGTAGCTCCCCTTCCCACTTGGGATGAGTTCATGATATCAGCCTTTTCCTTTCTAGATTCACTTTATACTGCTCCTCCTCTCTTCAGCCAACTCAGACCATGTTGGCTTTTTACCAGTTTTTCCAACATTTCCCCTCCTGTCCCAAGACCTTTGGCCATGTGGTTCCCTCTCCCCATAATGCTGTCCCTTTACCCCTTCCTTTGCCTAGCTTACTCCTGCCTATCCATGGAACTCATCTCCAAGGTCTCTCTCTCTGGGAAGCCTCCTTTGAATCTTTCCACGAGATAGATATCAATAATAGCAAAAATAATTATTATGCTGGTCATGTGTAAAAGCTAACACTGACTGTTTGCTGTACAATGAAGTAGTACGCACTTCATGTGTATTAACTCTTTTAATTCTGGCAAAAGTCTCCCCTCCAATTTTATAAATTAGTAAGTTAAGACTTAGACCTAAGTTAAGTCACTTGCCCAGGGTCACATTGTTAATTAGAGGTGGGGCCAAGATTTTAATCAAGACTGTCTAACTCCCAAGCTTATATACTTAGTCACAGTGCCATATTGGTTTTCTCTGGCAAGGGTCCTCATTCATAATCTGGTCATTCATCCCAAATGTTCATTAAGTTTCTACCATGTACAGGCACTGTGAGGCACTGGGAGTATGGTGTTGAGCAGCAAAGTAGATAAGGTCCCTGCACTCAAGGAACTTTGTTCTAGTGGGGGAAGAAAGACCACAAAAAGTAAAAATAATCAAATAAACAAACAAGATTATTCCCATGCTGGAGCTGGACAGGTTCTGTGGTAGAGAGTAAGTAGGGGAAACTTACTATTGACAGAATAGATGCAGGTGGTCTCTCTAAATAGGGGTCGTTTGAGCTGAGTCCTCAAGGATGATGAAGTAGAGGGAGATTATTGTTTTTCAAAAAATTACCCTTTTTATGGTAATAGAGGCCCTAAATTTTAGCTGGAGTAAAGATATTATATTCCCCTGCCCCAGTTTGTAATCAGGTGTAGCCACGTGGGTCATTCCTGGAAGTGGTATGAAAAACTTCCAGGAGTTTTCCTTAAGAAGAGCTAAAGGAATGGGAGTGCTCTCCTCCTCCCCATCTTCCTTCTTGCTAGAAAGTTGTAGCATCAGCAGCAGATTTAGACTATGAAGTGAACTTGGGAATGGGAGTCACACATAGCAGAAACAAACAGAAAGAAGTGTAGGTCCCTGATACTCTGAAATACCACACCAGCTCTGGACTGACTACCTCAGATAAACTTTATTAAAAGAGTGCTTCCTACTGCAAGACGACTTCTTTATCCTTCTGAAGATTTAATGCTGCCACTTGTGAAGTGTAGGGAATAAGCATCATGCACAAGCTTTCACTCACAGTAGTGATAAATTAAACATCCTCAGAAAGTCATTATAGACCCCCTTTAGTTGCCTCTGACTCCCAATCACAGGAAATGGCTGGGTTCTCTTTCTCTCTGGAATGTGTTTGGAAGGTGTTTGGCATGCTGGGAGGGCTACTCGATCAGATGGCACCTGCCAAACTAACATAGATAAAAACCTCCACAAAGTAGATCTCTGAGAAGCGCCTCCATGACATATTAGTGATTTCACAAACACATTCGAATGCTCAGATAAATCTTTTGATGTCCCTGATCTTTGCACCTCCAGATGGTGGTTGAACAAACAGAAATCGGTCTTCTTTGAAACCCTTCAAAGCAGTGAAATTGCCTAAATCAGTCTGTTGACTATTCTTTGACTTCCAAAGGTCAGGAAGGCTTTCTGTTTGTTCATCTTTCCAAAGACACGTTCACATTCTCTTCTAGGTACCTCTGTTCTGGGAAATTTAAATCCATAACTGATCTGTTTGATATACAACTTTAAATTCCACATGAAGACTTGGCTAGTTTTTCTAAAGACCAAACATGATTATTTTCAAAACAGTTGTACAAATATTCTATTAAGAAATGGTAAACTGAACTTATCAGCATGGAGGTAAATAATTAAGAGGAGAAACTGATTGTTTTACCAACATATTTAAAGCTCATGAAATCACAAATGTGTCATTGTCATTTACTAGAATATTCTGTGTAAAATCCAATGTGCTGAGGTTATTATGTTACCATCTATGTGAACTGGGCCTGGCAGGAAGAAGACTATGTGGTTTGTGTTTGTTTTTCTTTCTTTTTTTTTTTTTTTGAGACGGAGTCTCGCTCTGTCGCCCAGGCTGGAGTGCAGTGGCACAATCTCGGCTCACTGCAATCTCCGCCTCCCGGGTTCACGCCATTCTCCTACCTCAGCCTCCCAAGTAGCTGGGACCACAGGCGCCTGCCACCAGGCCCGGCTAATTTTTTTTTTTTTTTTTTTTTTTTTGCATTTTTAGTAGAGACGGGGTTTCACCATGTTAGCCAGGATGGTCTCAATCTGCTGACCTCGTGATCTGCCCGCCCCGGCCTCCCAAAGTGCTGGGATTACAGGCATGAGCCACCGTGCCCGGCCTGTACTTGTTTTTCAACAATTGTGAACTAAATAATCAGCTCTTGAGGATGACTCTCACCAGGTAGAAAACACCATGAAAATTACCATGTGCAGAGATGAACTAAGAGGCTGATACTTTACGGTTTTCTCTGTCATTATGACCCTCGTAATCAGGACTCTATAGGTAAGAGACAAAATACATTTAAACTAACTCCATAAGAAAGAGGAGATACTGAGGTATCACGTGAACTCAAGGTCTCGGATATAGTGAGGCTGAGGCTTCAGGAATTGAACTGGAGACTGCTGCCTGCTCAGCAGTGCTTTTCGACCTGCTTCACCTCACAAATATTACATAAAATGATGATATTCCTATGGCTCATGGGGATAAAATAATGAGACTGCTCCAATGCAATCGAAAGTGACTTACTCCTTGTCATACTGATCAGCCAACCAGATTCCAGATAAAGCCGTTTATTCTCCCAGTTCCCAAGCTCTCAGGAAAGCCATGGCAGATATTTATGGAGACCCTGTTGTGTGGCAAGCACTGTTTTAAGCACTATACCTGCATTTCATCACTCAACAAATCCTCACACAATCCTTTAAGTCAGCTATTATATTTTTCCATTTTATAGATAAGAAACCTCAATTACTTAGGGGCTAAGCAATGTGCCCAAAGTTGTGGGACTAGTGATGGAGACTGAATTTGAATCAGTTAGGCTCCTGTTTCCCCTTAACCCTCAGTTTCAGTGCCCCAGCAATGGAAGGTAATAAAGCTTTCTATAACAGGGAGGGAACTGATTGGCTGAGCTTGAGTTAGGTGCCCACTCCTTGACCAATCAGCCATGAGAAGGGGATGGTCTCACACTGTAGATGGCAACTAGGTGCTCCTGCTAAGCTCTGTGGAAGTGGATAGGGACAAGTCCTAGCAAAAGAGTGCTTAACGGTCACTCATAGGGGTCCTCTTCTTTCTCTCCCTCCTGAGTCCCTCAGGGACTAAGGTTGACTTAATCATTCTCATCAGTTCACAGCAAGCTGTCATTCCAATGCATCTCTTGCTTTATTTCATCCTATTTCTATTTTCCATTCCCATTCTCCTCCCAACCCCAAAGGCAACCATCCTACTTTGTTTGATAGGAATCATTTTATTTTTATGTGTTCTTACATAATGTGTCAATATATATTGTTTTGTGTGCATACATTATTCATTTACATACATGACACTGGGCTACAGGTCCTACTGTGTGTCTTCCTTTTGTCACCCGGTGTTATGTTCATAAAATCTATCCGTGTTGCTGTGTGCACGTCCAGCCTATTGCTTCTGACCACAGCATGGACTCTATGATGCGCCAGCAACACGTTTTGCTTTATCCAACACATGTCCTGTTAAGTCACGGACTAGTGTGGTCTATGGGCTGGCAGAGGTGAAAAGATCTCCCTTTTCATGTAGCTTGCCCACCTACTTACAGCGTTGCATCACAGGGTCAAGTGTTTCTCCTCCACTTCACGCAGCTCGGGAGCCCTCTTGTCTGGAAAGGCTCTTCCCTGCTGGTGCCTCCAGGCTGGGCTGGTTGTTGCTCCTCTATGCTCCCGAGGTCCTCAGTGCCTGCCTTTATCAGAACAGAGGCCACAGCGCACCTTGGTTAAATGTACAGTCTCTGGGACCAGACTGCCTGGACTCACAACTCTGGCTCCGCCATTTACAGGTGAGTCACATAACCTCTCGGTGCCCCCACTTCCTTGCCTGCAAAGTATCATTTACCACAACTACTCATTGGATTGGTGTGAGGGTTCAATGAGAAAAATCTATGAGAAGTGCTAAGAATAGTACCCGCCATCAATTAAATTCTATTTGTGCCTATAAAAATAACATTTGTTGTATGTAATGAAATTGTGTTTACTTGTGTGTCTCCACCATCAGGCTAAGACATCCTCAAGTCTAAGGACCTTGGTGTTTTCATCCCAGAGCCCCACACCTTGCAAGTGTCCAGAGCATAGTCATTGGATGATGCTGTTTCCCACTTACCCTCTGGTTTGACATGGCTGCAGGATTGGCATATGGAAACTGACTGGGTTGAGAAGAGACTCAAATAGGGACAGACTGGAGATGTAGGCTTAGAAAGGAGAGATTTCCTGAAGCTTTAATGCTGTGCAATAGAAATATACAGCATCAACTTCCTTATACAACTAGGCGGGTCAGCAGGTCACCTGTGGCGGACCCAGGGAGGATGTCCTCACACCGAACAGGTGAGCTTGGCTCGGAGCATGGCCAGGAGCCAGCCCATAGCCACATGCCACCACTTTCTGGCCTTCACTGTGTTTGCCTTAGTGTCCTCGTCTGTAAAACAGGACTAATGGCATCTACCTCACAAGGCTGATGTTAGAACTTTGTGAGGAAACAGTTTTCAAAAGCTTAGAACAGTGTCTGGCATGTCCTCAATTGGCAAGAAATGTCAGCTCCTCTTGGTGTGATGATCACCAAACCCACTTTTTTTTACAAACAGAGTGGGGAGACACCACGTCATTTTCATTCTTGTTTCAGGATCTTGGGAATTTCTGTTTGTCCATTTATGCATTTGTTTTTGTCTTTATTTATTTATTTAGAGTTCTGGTGGAGATAATTTGTTAGCAGGTTTTCTGTTGGAAGGTGCAAGCCTTCTTCCCTAGCCTCAATAAGTGTGTCCCTGTAGGCAGAGGGGGGCAATATAGCTTCTCAATCTTCGAAGACTTCCTAAGGACAACATCACTCTCAGGTTGGAAATTCTCCGAAATCCCAGCTTCCAGCAACCCACAGTCAAGTATTCCTAGGGATATGAGAGGGTTTTGTTCGCAGTCACAGAACACGTATAAATGGGGATAAACTCAAATGGTTTGTTGTTTTGGTTAAAGTCAATAAAAGGGAAGAAGAACAAGGAAATCAAATACGGGTCCAGTGGGACCATCCTCAGTGTAATAACAGCCTTTCCCATTAGCTTTCTAAGCAACTTTTAGGCTGCTGATTTGCCGCAGAAAGACTTTTTAAAAATGCTTTAGTTTCATACATGGAAAGAAGCCCTCAGGGTGAATTGCTGGCTGCCCTACATTAGAGGCCTAGCAGTAAGAACCATTAGCTCTAAAGAGAGGTTAATTACGAGGAGAACTCCCTGGCCTAAGCTGAGGGAGTTACAGTGATTCCCAGTGAGAGGCTAATCAGGAGGCAGCGTTGGGTGGCAACAGCCCTCTCCTGGACAAGGGCTTAATGGGAGTGTCTAATACCATTTGCAGTGTTTGGGTTTATGTGGGGACCAGGGGTCCTTTTGTGTTTGGGTTCATTAGCTTCAGGGATTATTGCCTATGGGGATTCACTAACAAGTAGCAGGGGAAGGCGGGAAGAGGCAAGATGAGCTGGAGAGATTCAGCAAGACCTCTTATTCTATAAAATTAAGATCTTGATGAAACCCCAGACTTTGTCCAGGGCTGGCTCCTTGGTCTATCTGGATTGGCAAATAGGTGTAGACAACATATTACAGGATCTTACACCCCATGTCATCTATTCCAGATGATTCTGCAATCAGCTGTGCCTTAAAACATGTTCATGAAAGCTACTCTTGATTTCCAAGAAACTGCATGAGATTTCGTTTAGAAGCCCTTGAAAACAAAGTTTGTATTTTGTCAAGAAAAGTTTGTTTAGAGCCAGCAACACAATTTCCAACCCATTCACCACCCTCCACCAACATTCTGAGGGCAAATAGGAATCCAGGATGTGCAAAATTTAGGAACTTTTCTCCAAAAGAGAAAAGTTTTCTCCAAAAGAGACAAAATATATATAAGCATCAGATTCCACAGTTACTAACTGAGCACCTACTATGTGCTTGACACTGTGCAGAGTACTTTGCTTTGCTCCACGATTCCCACAATGCTCATTACTCCACGGGACAGGGGTATGGTTATCAGTTCTGCAGATGGTGAGACTGAGGCCTACAGACTCACAAAAGGCCACACAATGAGAGCAGAGCCAGCCTCTGTCTTCCAGTCCTTTAACTTTGGTCATTTTTCCTGTCCTCTGCCCTGCCTCAACAGAATAACCCAAATAGTTACCTGTAATGGAAATTAGAACCATTGTAACAAGTATTCACAAGTATTTAGCTTAAGGGAAGAAATGTTAAAATGTCTCTCCCTGTGGGTTACTGAGTGTGACACCCCCTGACCTCACCCACCCTCTACAAGTGGGGGCCAGGAGCCCTGTTGTGTGTTGTTGTTGTTTGTCTTCCCAACTTTGGAGTGAATAAGTATGCAGATAAACCCTGTGACAAATATCAGGTAAATCTGAAGTGGCTGTGTGTGTTGACATTTCATTTTTATTATGTTTTCAATATCTGCGAAAATTTTCAATAAATAAATTTTTCTTATGACACCTTCAAATTGAATTATATTTTAAGAATATCTACTTCGCTGTGCTGGCACTGGATGAAATTCTACCATTTTGAACTTCTGCTCTTCATGCCCATGTGACAATTAAGGTAATTATATAACATCTTACTGAATGATGATCTTGTCACAGGTTAATAAAAATTAATGTATTTCTATTCTTCACTCTTTAGTTTCTTATCAACATTCAGCTTAAGCATTTTTAGCTTTTAAATATTGTACATTTGGCAATGTCTATAAGACATTTCCACTTGAGTTCAGCCAAGGCGGTATGCAAATGAGGAGCTGACACTGTTCTGTAAGTCAGCAGAATGCGGTGGGTAACAGTCTGGTTTCTGGAGCCAGCTTGCCTGAGTTTGGTTCCTGGTATACCATCATTTCTGCTGTTGATCTTGGGCAAGTTACTGCACCCAGCTCCATCTTATGTTCTCTGTAAAAATAAGATTAAACATGCCCCTGCCCCACTTGGTTCCTGTAAAACCATTATTTATGGAAAGTGTTTAGAACGATGCCTGGAATATAGTAACTCTATATAACTAATTGCTGTTATTATCATTATGTAGGAAAAACAATGAATAAGACCTAAAAAATTTGGAAGGCAGCTACTGGGACATCAGGAATCAGGACTTGTGTATGCTGGGCCTCACCACCATGACCTTCCAGAACTGAAGAACTTGCAGTACTAAAGCACTTAATGATTACCTTAGTCCATCTGTGCTGCCATCACAAAATGCCACAGATGGAGTAATTGATCAAGAACACAACTTTATTTCTTGCAGTTCTGGAGGCTAGGGAATCCAAAACCAAGCTTCCTGGCATTGGCGTCTAGTGAGGGCTGCCCTCTGCTTTCAAGGCGGCGCCTTGTTGCTGTGTCTTCACATAGCAGATGGAAGGGCAAGAGGGCTGAACACTGTATGAAGCCTCTTTTATAAGGGCCCTAATCTGATTCATTAGATCTCCACTCTCATGACTTAATCACCTCCTAAAGGCCCCCTCTTAACACTGTCACATTGGTGATTAAGTTTCAACATATGAATTTTGGAGGGGACACAAACATTCAAGCCATAGCAGTGATATAGTCATGACTCTTCTCCCCTAACTCACCTCTCAGGCCTGTAATGTTCATGCTTTTTTCAGTCTATTAAATAAATCAGCTCGTAGTTCACAAAATATAGGCAAACAATCTTAAGATGTGAAAGTATAAATAAGTAGCCACTTAGCAAAAAGTTTGATTCTCGTAGGCAGAATTTATGGGATGTGTTAAGCATAAGATAAGCAGATAGCAAGTAGAACGTGTGTGTTATACCGAGATTGAGTAGGATGAAAGGACCGAGAAATAGCTAATATTTATGATGCAGTTGAGTATTAAATATTTGTAACGTACTAGATAGACATTTAGACATAAGGCTAAACACCAAGAGGTACCAAATAGACATGAGCATTTTATATACATGATCTCCTAATTTGGCAACCTATTGGCTATATCTTTCTGGTCCAATGTGTCCTCTGCCTCCAAAAACAAATAGAACTTATGGCTGCTCATCTTGCTAACTGGCAAGCTATAGCTGTCACCAGGCATACTTGTCCTTATATCTCTAGTAGAACAGGGATGTGATATCAACCCAGCAAATCCATCCCTATCTATCTATATCAGGGATTCCCAAGGCCACCCTCATATTCAATGATTTTCTGGAAGGACTCACAAAAATCAGAAAAGCAGTTATACTCATGATTACAGTTGATTATAGCAAAGGCTATAGATGAAACTTGGCAAAGGAAAATACGCAAAGGGTGGAGTCCAGGAAAGACAAAGTCCAAGCTTCTAGTTGTCCTCTCCCAATGGGGTTGTATGAACAACACTTAATTCTCCCAGAAATGATGTGTGATACTACATACAAAGTACTGCCAACCAGGAAGTTTAACCATGCTTTAAACTTGGTGTCCTGGGTTCTTACTGGAGTTTAGCCACATAGGCATAGAGTGCCCATGTAGCTTATCTTAGCTACTCAAACCCTAGGCCCCCGCTGCCCCCTAGAGGTCAAACTGATAGCATATGGCCCAAGTCTACCACCTAAATCACATTTTTAGCATAAACTATCTGGTATGGCCCAGGGCACTGGGCAAACGGTAGCACTCTTATCAGTAAGGATATTCCAAAGGCTCAGGAATTATCTCCCTGAACTAGTCCAAGGGCCAGTCCTTTCTTTGGGATGTACAGGTTTGAACACCCCAGACCCACTGAGTTAACCCTTTCCTGCACAGTGGGGTCCTTCCACTCCACTTGTGTCTGATCCTAAGTGCATTAACTTACCCCGTCTCTCTCCTCTTGCGTCTCACTTTGTGTTTTAAATTGACTTAATAACTTTGCTATTTGCAAATTTTAATCTGCCTTTTAATGAGCCCTTCTGGGATAGCTTGCTTGATAGTGTATTTGTAGACTATCATTTCAGACTATCATTTCATGTACTTTGAGCTAACTTCTCACCAGACATGTCCAGCCTTCATCATTTGCTTTACCCACCCATCATTAGGTGGGTAAAGAGAGGTGGTATATTAGTGTGCTTTTCCTGAGCTATGCCATGGAGGCAAACAATACCAATGCTTACAGTGACCATGGTTATAAATTAGGAATCTGTACAACCTACCACAGTGGGATAGAGAGGAGGAGAAAGCTAAAAAAGCAGATTTTTGAGAGTATTATTATAGGCTTGGTCTTGTTCATTGCTTCTGGGCACTGCTGACCACAATTTGCCTACAAGTCACATTTAGTGAATGCCCACTACAGACCAGGCACCATGCTAACCACTCTAGATGAATTAGCTTATCCTCACAAAAACCTATGAAGTAGGTATTATTTATATCTTCACCATTTTATAGATGGGTAGATGGAGGTACAAAGGAACTTTGAGCTTGTGTGCTTTGTCAACAGTGGAGCCAGAATTCAAAGGCTGGTGACAAAGTTCACACTCTTAACCACTCTGCTAGGCTGTTTGGGCTCTCTCATTGGTTTGTCTCGGCTACCTGGCATACAGTAGACATAACTCTTTTAACTATGAGTGACAGAAACTCAACTCAAAATGACTTAATTGAAAAGGAATACTTAACTCCACAAGCTTGAAAATTTCCAGAGCTAGAACTGAAACAGTTGGATCCAGGAGCTCAATCAGGAAGTCTGGATTTGACTGCCCTCTTGCCATCTCTCAGTTCTGTCTCTTCTTATTGGGTCTCACTTTTCTCTCGTGGCTGTTGGCAACTCGAAGCTGACATTCCCAAAGTTTGGCAATCCCAGCTCTATGAGAGACATTCTCTTCCCCAAGAATTCTAACCACAAACCAAGGAGTTGGAGTGGCTTTGGTTTCCCTAATCAATCCAGTCACTGGGGTAGAGCAGTGGCCTGGTGTGGGTGATGTGTCCATTCTTGGTGCTAGGTGCTGTGGTCAATCCCACTTGAACCACATGGATTTAACATGAAAGAGAACATTGGCCCAAAGGAAGAGGAAACAGCTCCAGGCAGGCAAAAATAATCAATCCTCTTATTGGGTTCAGAAAATATATGAATATTGGAAGATGGATGAATAGATGGATGGATGGGTGGCTGAGTGGATGAATGGATGGATGGATGGATGGATGGATGGGTAGACAGATGCGTATATGGGTAAATGAATGCAAAAGGTAATGCCCAAGACAAGGGCCTCTATGATGAGAAACGCATAAGAAAAATACTTCTTATGCACCCAAACAGTAAGAGGAGTCAAGGTTAGGTTAAGTCAGTCAAGGTTAAAGAAACTTTGCTTCTCTTCCACAAAAAGAGACACCAGGATATTTGGGGGAAATGGTAGAGAAAGACTATTGAAAAAAGGTATATGAAACAAAGAATGAGAACATGAGGAGGAATTTCTCTAATGGAGACAATCACAGTTTTAATAGGACATCTGCTTCGAGCAGTATGAGTTTCTGGGTGCTGCTATTGTTGGTATATCTCTTTTTCTTGGTGCAGTAACTAGGCTACAGTTGTCATGGGCAATTACAGCCCAGTGTGCAAAGTCACACATCCCATCTGGAGAGACCGGTCACCTCAACTGGCACAAGCCAGCAGGATCCTCAGGAAATATGAGCTCACTCCACAGGGCTTCACAGATTCTCTTTAACTTCCTAACTCAAACTGTTCCTTTAGGTTGCTCTCTAGTTTTCAGCCTTGTTTGTGTCCCCTTAAAGCTGCCATTTGGAAAGCTGAATTTTCAGAATGGGATTTGGCAAGGCAAATGGAGCCTCAGTTGGGAGAGACTATCTGTCCTGCAGAGAAGGTTATGAAAAAGGACAGGATGGTGGATTCCAGCAGCAGGTTTAGAGAAAGAAAAAAAGAGCGATGTACATACTCACATACATAAGCATCTTGAACTGCTTTTATGCAGAGCTTGGGTTCAGCAAGTCCTTAGCATATTTCAGCCCAAAACCCTTGTCTTATTTTATTTTTCACCCTACGATATGTTTCAGAAAAAAATGTAATCTGCATCTTTCTAGTTCTTCTGACTTCAATTTTGTCCTTCAAATTTATTAGCCCATCTTTTAAACTCATACAGCTATTCTTATATAACAACTCCACTCTTCTATAGCTAAGTAGATGTTTATGTCTTTTGTGTTTATGTCAGGGATTTGTTGTGAGAAAGTAGGGGGAAGGTTGCTTCCAAGAATTTGAAATTTCTTTTTCAACCCAGAAGTTTCTAAGAGTCACGAGCATCTGCTCTGCTAGTCTAGAGGGCTCAAGTCTAGGGCGCCTTTTGAGGTATGATGCTTCATTCCTTGGGCTCTGATGTGGGACTGAGTTTGCTTGCAATCTAGGACCTAATATCCTAACTATTTCCTTCAGCATCAGGACTGGTTATGCCCATCTCAAGCCAACTTAGGGTTAAATGTAAGAAAACGTTTTCATTGTAGAATGCAATTTGCCAACCAAAACTTATGCCAAAACTGAAATCTGAAGGGAGAGAGAACAAAATGGGGTCACTTTTACGAACTTTTGCCAACCTGGCTGGGCTAAATGCAGCACAAAGCAAGAGAACTGGTTTTCTAACTGCACCTCGGGCAAGCACAGTGACAGAAGTCCTTTAGGAACCACACATCACCTGCAAGACATGGAGAAAGTGGAGATTCAGCAAGGAGCTGGATTCTTTGCACAGATAATTTCAAACTTGTCCTTTCCCTGCTCTTTCAACTGGTGAGATACTCTGCAAGATTTTCTGCCTCATCCTATTTTGTTGCCAACCTATCTCCACTCAATCCAGTTTTGCCCAGATATAATTAATGGCAACAAGAGCTTTCCAGCCTACAAAATTAATGTGGAAATGGCTGAAACAGTGTCTTGATGGCAGAAGGAAGAAACATTTCCTTATAATTTGCCATGCAAACAATCCGCTACATCCGTAACTGTGCCTTTTCACATGCAAATGAAGGAGCCAACCTGATATATGATCTTAATTGGGCCTCTTTAGGAAAGGAAGTCACATCTGAACTTGGCTTCAGGAACTTCTACCCGCATTCACCTTAGTACATAAGGTCAAATGAATATTTTTTAAATGAATGCCTCACTGTATTTCTTTCCCTGCCTCCCTAGGCTATTTCATTCAGATTCAAATCTCATAGTCCAGGCATTAATACTGACAATTCATCTGACTGTTTAACAAAAAAGGGAGATAATTTCTTACATACAGAAACAGATAAGCCACTTCCTCAGATTTGATGAATTTAAATGCCTAACTTCATCTTAGAAAGAATAAAGCCAGTAATAGTGAGAGGAAGTCAGAAGTGGGCAGGGCAGACCAGGTAGGCCCTTATAAGCCTTGCTAAGACTTTGGATTGGAGGGTTGAAAGCGGGACATGACATGATTTGAATTAATATTTCCTCTTTTTATTTTATTATTATTTTTTATAAAGTTAGGATTCAAATTCTATTTAGGATGCTATTTTAAAAAGAGAAAATGCAAGACCTGAGAGAACCAGAAATCACCAGTCAGGAGCTGCCATATTATTTTCAAATATTCTCCTCTAAAAGTGGAACTGCCCACACAACACGAGCATACTCATTGGTCTTGCCACACAAGGAAGAATTTGTGAGAAAAGTCAAAATTCAGTTTATAACATTCTTTCTCCATAAATGATCAGAGGATATCAACTTTTTCTTTATGATATGACTTAGGCTAAGAACTGTGATCCTGGATGAAACTTAGCTTCCTTGGCCTCCCTGGCTTCTGCCTATTGTCAGGCCTCTGAGCCCAAGCCAAGCCATCGCATCCCCTGTGACTTGCACGTATGCCCCCAGATGGCCTGAAGTAACTGAAGAATCACAAAAGAAGTAAAAAGGCCCTGCCCCACCTTAACTGATGACATTCCACCATTGTGATTTGTTCCTGCCCCACCTTAACTGAGTGATTAACCCTGTGAATTTCCTTCTCCTGGCTCAGAAGCTCCCCCACTGAGCACCTTGTGACCCCCCGCCCCTGCCCACCAGAGAACAACCCCCTTTGACTGTAATTTTCCATTACCTTCCCAAATCCTATAAAACGGCCCCACCCCTATCTCCCTTCGCTGACTCTCTTTTTGGACTCAGCCCACCTGCACCCAGGTGAAACAACCAGCCATGTTGCTCACACAAAGCCTGTTTGGTGGTCTCTTCACACAGACGCGCATGAAATTTGGTGGATCAGGGGACCTCCCTTGGGAGATCAATCCCCTGTCCTCCTGCTCTTTGCTCCATGAGAAAGCTCCACCTACCACCTCAGGTCCTCAGACTGACCAGCCCAAGAAACATCTCACCAATTTCAAATCCGGTAAGTGGCCTCTTTTTACTCTCTTCTCCAACCTCCCTCACTATCCCTCAACCTCTTTCTCCTTTCAATCTTGGTGCCACACTTCAATCTCTCCCTTCTCTTAATTTCAATTCCTTTCATTTTCTGGTAGAGACAAAGAAGACACGTTTTATCCGTGGACCCAAAACTCCAGCACTGGTCATGGACTGGGAAGACAGACTTCCCTTGGTGTTTAATCATTGCAGAGACACCTCTCTGATTATTCACCCACATTTCAAAGGTGTCAGACCACATAGGGAGGCCTGCCTTGGTCCTCCACCCTTAGCGGCAAGTCCCGCTTTTCTGGGGGAGGGGCAAGTATCCCAACCCCTTCTCTCCATGTCTCTACCCCTTCTCTGCTTTTCTGGGGGAGGGGCAAGTACCCCTCAACCCCTTCTCCTTCACCCTTAGCGGCAAGTCCTGCTTTTCTGGGGGAGGGGCAAGTACCCCAACCCCTTCTTCAGTGTCTCTACCCCTTCTCTGCTTTTCTGGGGGAGGGGCAAGTACCCCTCAACCCCTTCTCCTTCACCTTTAGTGGCAAGTCCCGCTTTTCTAGGGGGCAAGAACCCCCAATCCCTTATTTCTGTACCCCAACCTCTTATCTCTGTGCCCCAATCCCTTATTTCCATGCCCCACCCCCCCTTCCCACTTTTCTGGAGGGTAAGAACCCCCAAAACCCTTCCCTCCGTGTCTCTACACCCTCTTTTCTCTGGGTTTGCCTCCTTCACTATGGGCAACCTTCCATCCTCCATTCCTCCTTCTTCTCCCTTAGCCTGTGTTCTCAAGAACTTAAAACCTCTTCAACTCACACCTGACCTAAAACCTAAATGCCTTATTTTCTTCTGCAATGACGCTTAACCCCAATACAAACTCGACATAGTTCCAAATAGCCAGAAAACGGCACTTTCAATTTTTCCATCCTACAAGATCTAAATAATTCTTGTCGTAAAATGGGCAAATGGCCTGAGGTGCCTGACGTCCAGGCATTCTTTTACACATCAGTCCCTTCCTAGTCTCTGTGCCCAGTGCAACTCATCCCAAATCTTCCTTCTTTCCCTCCCGCCTGTCCCCTCAGTCCCAACCCCAAGCATCGCTGAGTCTTTCTAATCTTCCTTTTCTACAGACCCATCTGACCTCTCCCCTCCTCGCCAGGCCGAGCTAGGTCCCAATTCTTCCTCAGCCTCCGCTCCTCTACCCTATAATCTTTTTATCGCCTCCCCTCCTCACACCTGGTCCGGCTTACAGTTTCGTTCCGTGACTAGCCCTCCCCCACCTGCCCAGCAATTTATTCTTAAAAAGGTGGCTGGAGCCAAAGGCATAGTCAAGGTTAATGCTCCTTTTTCTTTATCCCAAATCAGAAGCGTTTAGGCTGTTTTTCATCAAATATAAAAATCCAGCCCAGTTCACGGCTCGTTTGGCAGCAACCCTGAGACGCTTTACAGCCCTAGACCCTAAAAGGTCAAAAGGCCATCTTATTCTCAATATACATTTTACTACCCAATCTGCTCTGGACATTAAACTCCAAAAATTAGAATCTGGCCCCCAAACCCCACAACAGGGCTTAAATAACCTCACCTTCAAGGTGTACAATAATAGAAAAAAGTTGCAATTCCTTGCCTCCACTGTGAGACAAACCCCAGCCACATCTCCAGCACACAAGAACTTCCAAACGCCTGAACCGCAGCGGCCAGGCGTTCCTCCAGAACCTCCTCCCCCAGGAGCTTGCTACATGTGCCGGAAATCTGGCCACTGGGCCAAGGAATGCCCGCAGCCTGGGATTCCTCCTAAGCCATGTCCCATCTGTGTGGGACCCCACTGAAAATCGGACTGTTCAACTCACCTGGCAGCCACTCCCAGAGCCCCTGGAACTCTGGCCCAAGGCTCTCTGACTGACTCCTTCCCAGATCTTCTCAGCTTAGCGGCTGAAGACTGACACTGCCTGATCGCCTCGGAAGCCCCCTAGACCATCAAGGACGCCGAGCTTCAGGTAACTCTCACAGTGGAAGGTAAGCCCATCCCCTTCTTAATCAATACGGAGGCTACCCACTCCACATTACCTTCTTTTCAATGGCCTGTTTCCCTTGCCTCCATAACTGTTGTGGGTATTGATGGCCAGGCTTCTAAACCTCTTAAAACTCCCCAGCTCTGGTGCCAACTTAGATAATACTCTTTTAAGCATTCCTTTTTAGTTATCCCCACCTGCCCTGTTCCCTTATTAGGCTGAGACACTTTAACTAAATTATCTGCTTCCCTGACTATTCCTGGACTACAGCTATATCTCATTGCCGCCCTTCTCCCCAATCCAAAGCCTCCTTTGCGTCCTCCTCTTGTATTCCCCCACCTTAACCCTCAAGTATAAGATACCTCTACTCCCTCCTTGGCGACCGATCATGCACCCCTTACCATCTCATTAAAACCTAATCACCCTTACCCTGCTCAATGTCAGGATCCCATCCCACAGCATGCTTTAAAAGGATTAAAGCCTGTTATCACTCACCTGCTATAGCATGGCCTTTTAAAGCCTATAAACTCTCCTTACAATTCCCCCATTTTACCTGTCTAAAACCAGACAAGCCTTACAAGTTAGTTCAGGATCTGCGCCTTATCAACCAAATTGTTTTGCCTATCCACCCCATGGTGCCAAACCCATATACTCTCCTATCCTCAATACCTCCCTCTACTACCCATTATTCTGTTCTGGATCTCAAACATGCTTTTTTTTACTATTCCTTTGCACCCTTCATCCCAGCCTCTCTTTGCTTTCACTTAGACTGACCCTGACACCAGTTAGGCTCAGCAAATTACCTGGGCTGTACTGCTGCAAGGCTTCACAGACAGCCCCCATTACTTCAATCAAGCCAAAATTTCATCCTCATCTGTTACCTATCTCAGCATAATTCTCATAAAAACACATGTGCTCTCCCTGCTGATCGTGTCCGATTAATCTCCCAAACCTCAATCCCTTACAAAGCAACTCCTTTCCTTCCTAGGCATGGTTAGCGCGGTCAGAATTCTTACACAAGAGCCAGGACCGCACCCTGTAGCCTTTCTGTCCAAACAACTTGACCTTACTGTTTTAGCCTAGCCCTCATGTCTGCGTGGAGCGGCTGCCGCTGCTTTAATATTTTTTGAGGCCCTAAAAATCACAAACTATACTCAACTCACTCTCTACATTTCTCATAACTTCCAAAATCTATTTTCTTCCTCATACCTGACGCATGTACTTTCTGCTCCCCGGCTCCTTCAGCTGTACTCACTCTTTGTTAAGTCCCACAATTACCATTGTTCCTGGCCCGGACTTCAATCTGGCCTCCCGCATTATTCCTGATACCACACCTGACCCCCATGACTGTATCTCTCTGATCCACCTGACATTCACCCCATTTCCCCATATTTCCTTCTTTCCTGTTCCTCACCCTGATCACGCTTGATTTATTGATGGCAGTTCCACCAGGCCTAATCGCCACACACCAGCAAAGGCAGGCTATGCTATAGTACAAGCCACTAGCCCGCCTCTTAAAACCTCTCATTTTCTTTCCATCATAGAAATCTATCCTCAAGGAAATAACTTCTCAGTGTTCCATCTGCTATTCTACTACTCCTGAAGGATTATTCAGGCCCCCTCCCTTCCCTACACATCAAGCTCGAGGATTTGCCCCCGCCCAGTACTGGCAAATTAGCTTTACTCAACATGCCCCGAGTCACAAAAACTAAAATACCTCTTAGTCTAAGTAGACACTTTCACTAGATAAGTAGAGGCCTTTCCTACAGGGTCTGAGAAGGCCACCACAGTCATTTCTTCCCTTCTGTCAGACATAATTCCTCAGTTTAGCCTTCCCACCTCTATACAGTCTGATAACAGACCAGCCTTTATTAGTCAAATCAGCCAAGCATTTTTTCAGGCTCTTAGTATTCAGTGACAGACTAATGGTCTATTAAAAACACACTTCACCAAGCTCAGCCACCAACTTAAAAAGGACTGGACAATACTTTTACCACTTTCCCTTCTCAGAAGTCAGACCTGTCCTCAGAATCCTACAAGGTACAGCCCATTTAAGCTCCTGTATATACGCTCCTTTTTATTAGGCCCCAGTCTCATTCCAGACACCAGACCAACTTAGACTGTGCCCCAAAAAACTTGTCATCCCTACTATCTTCTGTCTAGTCATACTCCTATTCTCCGTTCTCAACTACTCATACATGCCCTGCTCTTGTTTACACTGCCAGTTTACACTGTTTCTCCAAGCCATCACAGCTGATATCTCCTTGTGCTATCCCCAAACTGCCACTCTTAACTCTTGAAGTAAATAAATAATCTTTGCTGGCAGGACTATGCTGAATCTCCTTAGGCACTCTAATCAGATGTCCTAGGTCCTCCCAATTCTTAGACCTTTTCCATTTAGTTTTTCAATTCATACAAAACATATCCAGGCCATCACCAATCATTCTACACGACAAATGTTTCTTCTAACAACCCCACAATATCACCCCTTACCACAAGATCTTCCATTCAGCTTAATCTCTCCCACTCTAGGTTCCCACGCCGCCCCTAATCCCGCTTGAAGCAGCCCTGAGAAACATCGCCCATTCTCTCTCCATACCACCCCCCAAAAATTTTTGCCGCCCCAACACTTCAACACTATTTTGTTTTATTTTTCTTATTAATATAAGAAGGCAGGAATGTCTGGCCTCTGAGCCCAAGCCAAGCCATCACGTCCCCTGTGACTTGCACCTATATGCCCAGATGGCCTGAAGTAACTGAAGAATCACAAAAGAAGTGAAAAGGCCCTGCCCCGCCTTAACTGATGACATTCCACCATTGTGATTTGTTCCTGCCCCACCTTAACTGAGTGATTAACCCTGTGAATTTCTTTCTCCTGGCTCAGAAGCTCCCCCACTGAGCACCTTGTGACCCCCCCCCACCTCCCCTGCCCACCAGAGAACAACCCCCTTTGACTGTAATTTTCCATTACCTTCCCAAATCCTATAAAACGGCCCCACCCCCATCTCCCTTCGCTGACTCTCTTTTCGGACTCAGCCCACCTGCACCCAGGTGAAATAAACAGCCATGTTGCTCACACAAAGCCTGTTTGGTGGTCTCTTCACATGGACGCGCATGAAACCTACGACTTGTTATGCTTTGTCATTGAAAGGTCCTGGCTGATCTTGGTCAAGTCACCCACTCTTGCTGGCCTCACTTTTCCTCTTTTGTACCATGAGCCCAGAGAGGACGATCTCTGAGGCATTTCTATCTGCCTCCTCATAGTTCTAAGTCTCCACTTTTAATCTACATTTCCAATTAAGTGAGCAATCTGTGAATGATTCAGAAGCAACATTCTAAAGGAGTGGTTCTAACCCTGCCCTGCCCTATTCTCCAGAAGGTATCACACCAGTTGCCTCCTTTAAATATAATTCTATGGAAGTGTTTGCTTACTTGCGTGTTTCCTTCCCTGCCTTCCTCTTGTGCCTTCCATTACAATTATCTTTTCCTCCCAGCCCCCACACTCAATTGTAGCAATCGCTCATTTGCTGGGTAGACGTCTCTAGAGCACCTCTAGGTACAAAGCACAAGGCCCCCGTTTCTGACCATCAGAGAAGGGAAAGTTAGTGACCAAAGGCGGAAATGCAAGATAGAAAGTTCAAAGGAAAACGAGGTCACACAGCAAAGATTTCCTGGGGAAACAAACAGAAGGAGGAGGAAAGGAAGCTGACAGAAATAGCCTCAGGACATTTGCACATGAAAGGCTCTGGAAGCCTATCTATGCTGCTCAGTCCCAGCTTTGGTTTCATAAGAGGTAACTGGTAAAACTGAGAGGCTTGTAAAACCAGATTTCAAAGCATCTCTCTCTCCCTGCTTCTAAGAAACAAGCTTCTAGGCCTCCACACACAGAAACACTTTCCACAAGTCTTTGCCTTTTGGGGTTCAGAAGAGAAACAAGATACAACAGGCCATTTGGAAGGGAAGGGTAGCAGGAAAGAGGGGGACAACTAGTGGAATAATAACCAATCATCATAAATTAATATTGAGCCCTAAACATGCAGACCTGCATTTAGAGCACAAAACAATTAGTTCCCACATAGACTGAGTCTTTACAAATATTTAAGTTGGAAAGAGAGAAAAGAAACAAATCCTCATTTTGGTATTTGCAGGAAATACATGAGTTTCAGCTTGGGAGGCAATGGGGTGCTCTAGGGTGGGAAATGATGTCTTGAACAATTAAGGTGCCTACTCCTGCCCTTTATCCAAGCAGACTTCCTTCCCATCCATCCCGTAGCTATCACTGGGGTGTCTACCCACTGTGTTCACTTCTGCAAACTTCTCTGACAGAAGAAAGGGGGACTTGCAGCTGGACGCTGCTCCCTGGCTCTTTGGAGTGGGTTCTTTTACATTGTACTTCTCCACAGCATGGACCATAGATTAATTGCAGGCATGACTCAGGGAGAGCTTGCTAAAGAAGCAGGGTCCTGGCCTCCACCCAAAACTTCTGACTCTGAATCAGTGTCTAACATTTCTTTATTTATGTACTTACTTATCGGTTTTGTTCACTGCTATATCTTAAGCTCCTAGAAAAGTATTGAGCATGGTAGATGCTCAATAATTATGTACTGAATAAATGCATGAATTCACATATTACATTCACTTGGCCACAGTGGTTGGCTTTAGGAAACACAATCAGTATGACACAAGAAGACCCAGTTCGAGGGCTCTTGTTGGGAATGAGAGCCATTCTTTTATTTGCAGGGATGGATTAAAAAAACAGTGGGGTGATTTTTGCCTGAGAATAAAGTCAACAGAGAGAAAAGTGGAGCCAAGAGATTGAGTGAGAAAGACTGGGTCCCGATGACACTAAACTTCTAGAGCCAGCTGTGATTTCCTTTGGGATGAGAGGCAATAAATTCCTTTCTGCTGAAGCTGTGCTGACTGGGGTCTCCATCACTCACTGAGACCTGCCAGGCTTCCTGGTGCTTCCCTGTCAGGATCACACACTCAGGCTGAGTGACAGCTTTTCAGAGCAGACTTGATGCCTTTTCGTGTTTCCTATATCTCTCCTTTTCCAACCTCCTGCTCTTGAGGGTCTTTAATGTAGGGCAGGGCTTTCTAGGCATGGTTACCATTGTTATGATTATTGTAAGAAACTTATTTTTGAAAATGACTTAAGAATTTGCAAATCATTTTGTATTTATTACCTCATTTGATCCTCTCAAGGACCCATAAATCAGCAGTGGACGTGTAATCCTCGTCCAGTTCATTGATGAGAAAATGGACACTCGAGGAGATAAAGGCTCCAGTCCTGGGGTCAGATGACTCGTATGCAGCAGGGTCTGACCTGGATTCTCACCCAGGCCCTCTAATCACATAGCCCTTGCTTTTTCGCTTTGTCTTTATGTCTCCTTTTCAAGAAAAAAATAATAGGCCTAAGATTCAGTGAGTTTTCCCTAATGAATTTATAGACTCGAGCCATAAAGAACACTTGAGATTCCTTGGACCTTGCAGGAATGTTTCTGTGTCCCACTGTTGGATTTTGTAAATGGAGCAAGTCTCCAACAGGATGATACTCAGGCCATGGCTGCTTTCTGGAGCTTCCAGATACTTTATGATGAGAAATTAGTTGAGTTCATGTCAGTAGCATCTTTGCAGCCCATTTCCTGATACAGATGGTGTGGACTGAAACACAAGAGTGGGATGGAAATCCATCCTGGTAGAGTTCAGCAGATAAATGACATATTTTAGAACTTGTGTCCAGACAACATCCCAAGGTACAAGACACCATTTTCCCTTCACCAATACCTAATGCTCACTGTTGAGAAGCCAGTGCAGACTTCAGCCTAGACACACACACACACACACACACACACACACACACACACATTTATAATTTATTTATTGGGTGTTTTAAAACTGTACGCTCTAGGAAATGACTATGGATGAAAGCCTAGAACTTATATACCAGTAAAAAACAAATACAAATATGATACTAATTAAAACTATAGCAAGATATAAAGTTCACCCAGAAAACATCACCTTGTTGAGAAGAGACTGTTTAAAGATACAAGTCAGAATACAAAGGCTGGCACCTTGTCCTTAGTGAATTAAAAATTCCAGAGTCCTTCATGGATTTGAAACTTGCCATTGGAATTATAAATATTGCCATATTGATAGATATACCTTGACAGTTATGAATAGTAGCAGTAATAATAATGATGATAAATGTTATCTGAAATAAACAATAGCTAATACTTTATTGTTAGCCAAGAACTCACTCTCCACGTATCATCTCATTTGATAGAACAGTCCTGATGACAATATAGAGCTCATCACAGGCAGTTCAGAAACAATCCCATGCATTATTAACGGATGTCCCGAAGCATCGGCTCTCAGAACAAGAGCGACTCATTGAGTCCAGCTGGATCATTCTACAGATGATAACAATAGTCAACATTTGTTAAGCCAGGCCCAGTGCTACACATTTTACATTCATTATCTCATTTAATCCTCATCCCCAGTTTGTTGGTCAGGAAACTGAGACTTAGCAATGTTAAGCAATTTATGATGGTTACTCAACTAGCAAATGAGAGAGCCAGGCTGTGTGGTTGAAAGGTGTTATCCTTGTGGCTCAAGATACACTTCTAGTTCGGTCCTACACAACTTCATGTTCTTTACTAGCAGAGCTAAGATATGACAAACTTTCTGCCTTGGAGCAAAGGGTCCAAAAGAAGACAAATGAAAGAGAACCTATACTAACTAGCCATTTGCCCTTTGGAAAATCAGCATCCCCCAGCCTTGTCTTCTGCAAAACAAGACCCTTAGACTGAATGCTCTCTAAAGAATCATTCAGCTCTAACATTTGATGATACCATAAAATATATCATGCGTGGTAATAGGCAAGTGTGTTGGGAAGGGAAATTTTGCTATTTAACAAAAAAAAAAAAAAAAAGAAAGGAAGACAGGAATAAGCATAGCTACTTCTGAATTCTAGAGAAGCAGCAGAATTCCTCCCAGGGGACTCTTAAAATGCATCCTATTAGGCCTTTTGGTTGTTAGTATATTTCTTATAAAAGAGTTTTAAAAGCCCTCTGGTGCCCATAAGTAAGTGATTTCTGTACTTCAGAATCCTTCTCAACACAGGGCCCCAGGCAGCCACCAATAAATGATCAAAGTGGGCTTGCAAGATAAAATGCATTTTATATCCTTCCTACAAAAGGATATCTTGGTTTTAAAAAAGCATATGCCTTGCAGACATCTCATGGTTATACTGTAGTGGTCAAATAAATGGTGAATGGGTGACAGCCTGTTGGACAAGTGCAAGTCCTGCTAAATGCATTGCCAAGGACAAGGTTAAAATGCATCTGGAAATGAGGTAGTCCAATGACCACAGTCCAAGTTGTGGTCATTGGTTGGCTTTGACAGTGACATTCATAAACTCTCAGTATTACAGCCTAACACCTCTGGGATAGAAATTGATGTATCCACTTTCAGCCAGGAGAGAAAGAGAGAAGCTTCTCGGGGAGAGTCCACACTCCCCACCATGGGGCTCCCTCTCTGGGAAGACAGTAGCTACTCTCAGCATGCCAGCTCCCACAGGGCTCACAGACAAAACATCATACAGATGAAAGCACCCTATCAATCTAGTTTACTTCTCTCTCCTTTGGGAGTGAAGATGAGCTTGTGGGATCATAGCAACAAACTGTAAATAATGGTTGCAGGGACAAATGGAGGACGAGAGCATCTGGGCAGGCTCCTGGCTGCTGCTGCATTCCAGGTCCGCCTGCTTCAGTCACCACCACGCCCAACTCAGAGACACCTCCCGAAGGCAGTGTGTGTCCTCCTGGATTTTATTTCTGCTGCACTTTGCCTTCCTATTCCTGCCAACTTCTGTTTGTTAAAAGTTGAATGATACAACCATAGCTGAGTGAAAACACGGCCGGCAAATCTAGCTTTCTTCTCAAAACTGGGCACTCCCATGAGGTCCTTTGATTCTCTGTGAGAAGGGAAAATGATATCTCCTGAGGTATCCAGCTGGGTAGTTAGTCAAATATGTACATGGAGTGGCCACTGAGTGCCAGGCTCCGGGGATGCAAGTGAATACAAGGGGTGGGGAGGGCATGGGTCTTATTTCATGGTCCTAGCGGTTTAGATGGGAAGACGACTGAAATAACTAACTACCAATAACAAATGAAAATATGGCTAAGTGCCAAGTGCTGTGAGGGAGGACAGTGGGCAATGGGAGCTCCAGATGGGGACCAACCGGGTGTGGGTTCTATGTGGTGAAAGTTCACACACACTCACTGACGTGTGAATATCCACGGAGCTTTATAGCCATAGCTACACCCTTACCGTCACTCCCTCTCTGCATCAATCTCAGGCATTTCCCTAAAAATGCACTCCCAAGTCCAGGGTTAAGCCATGTTTTCCAGCTCCTAGAAGCAGTGCTGGCAGCAGCAGTGGTTGGGTCCATAGTGGTGGTCAAGGCAGGACCCACAGCAGGAAGACTCTGGTGCTACAGCAGCAGCAGCAACGTGGTTCTAATGGCAGCAGCCTCTGTGATGAACTGAACTCCCTGGGTGCATCATTTTGCCTTTTTCTCCATGGCCTGAGGAGCAGTAGCAACTCTCCGCAGTTACTAATCTGTGGTTTCCCTTACTGTTCTCCTTATGCCATCTAGATTTTTCAGTCAACTCCCCAAATAGAATTCTCTCTGATTGAAATATGCCATCTAGATTTTTCAGTCAATTACCCAAATAGAATTCTCTCTGATTGAAATCTCTGGCATGTTTCAGTTTTCCTGACTGGACACTGACAGACACAGGGTGCAAAGATGTCTAAGAGGTGGCCGTGCCTTCATGGTCTGCTGAGGACACACCCTCGGCCTTCCCAGTGGTGACATTTGAGTTCTCTTCTCACTTCGCTGAGAGCGACGGGGTAAAGAAGAGAAACCCCTTCACTATCCCCAACTAAATGTGTCCTAGCTTGACTCATTGTGGGGACTAAGAGCTTTCTCTCACTAAATGTAGGTATCCCAAAGCTTTGTGAATTGCTAGAAGTAACTTGAGAAAAATAGAAAGCAGTGGAAAGCATGTGCTGAAGGAAACTTAGCCAGGGAACAGAGAAGTACGAAGGACAGAAGGCGACCTACAGAGAGGACTCAGAAGGTTAAGAGTGAGCAGTAAGTAGGAAGAAGCAGAATTCAGGTTTGTCAAGGCCACCTCAGCCTGTTGGCCAGACTGGGTGTGATGAAGGAGGAATGAGTTTCCAATCTGCTCAGGGAATTGGGATATTTCTGCACAGCCAATTTCAGTCTAAAGCTGGGTTTATATCTGCAACCTCTCTATAACATGGTGGCTAAGGCATGGCTTGTGTGTCAAATCACACACTAGCTACACGATTTTGAGCAGGTTTTTATACTTTTCTGAGCCTCAGTTTTCTCATCTGTTTAACAAAAAAATAGTAGAATGGGGGGAATATGATGGTCAATTTTAGGTATCAATTTAGCTGGACCATGGCATCTAGATGTTTGGCCAAACACATCTGGATGTTGCTGTGAAGGTAATTTTTTTAAATTTGAGGTTAATGTTTAAATCAGTAGATTTTGAATAAAGCAGATTATCTCCATAAAATGGTGGGTCTCATCCAAGCAGTTGAAAGCCTTGAGAAAAAGACTGACCTCTCTTGAGGAAGAGGGAGTTCTTAGCCTTCAGACTTGAGCGGCTTCATCAACTCTTCCTTGGGTTTCCAGCCTGTCTTGTAGATTTTGAACTTACCAGGCCTCCTCCAATTGCAGAAGCCAATTCCAATTCTTGAAATTAATCTAAATTAATCTCTTTCTCTCTCCCTCTCTCCCCTCCCTGGAGAACTACTATAGAGAGTAATCATTTCTACATTGCCAAACATGGAAGCCTCATAGCTTTGGAAGCCATTACTCAGCCTCCTACAACTTGGTTCCCTGGGCTGGGCTGATGCCCTGAGTTCAGAGGCGTTTACATTATGCCCTAAGTAACAGCAAAAATCAAAGCCCCACTGATAGGAAGAGAGGTCATACCATGAGCCCCCAAGACAGCCCACTTCAAGACCCAAGGGATGAATAGGGCATGTTTGCTGAAGGGAGACCCCGTAATCCTGCCAAAGACTGACTCCTTGGCTGCCTTCCAGAAGCTTAGCTTGAATCAGAAGAGGCCTTGGCTGGGCTCATTCTTCTGAGGGGAATGGGTAAGGGGAGGAATGGCAGAGTCAGCCCCAGCAGAAGTTTATACTGGCCCAGGAATTCATTTGGGAAAAACAGTCTGACTACTAGACCGATTAAAAGGAGGACTCACGGCCGGGCGCGGTGGCTCACGCCTGTAATCCCAGCACTTTGGGAGGCCGAGGCGGGTGGATCATGAGGTCAGGAGATCGAGACCATCCTGGCTAACAAGGTGAAACCCCGTCTCTACTAAAAATACAAAAAATTAGCCAGGCGCGGTGGCGGGCGCCTGTAGTCCCAGCTACTCGGGAGGCTGAGGCAGGAGAATGGCGTGAACCCGGGAAGCGGAGCTTGCAGTGAGCCGAGATTGCGCCACTGCAGTCCACAGTCCGGCCTGGGTGACAGAGCGAGACTCCGTCTCAAAAAAAAAAAAAAAAAAAAAAAGGAGGACTCACAAATCCTTTTTTCCCTAATCTGTGGAACTTTCTGTGCCAAGAAAAGCAGCTTAATTTTTTTGACATAGCAAACTTTTTCTCCCATGTCCAGCTCCAATCTCAAGGAGGAGAAAACCATCTATCTTCATCTGTGCTAGCAGGCTGCTCAGTATGAGAACATGGAGGACTGAAATGATTAAGCCTGACAGGCAAGTACAGTTTTCTTTTTGCACAGGGAACGGGAGCAGCAGGCAGGAAAATTCTCAACTTTAGCTCTCTTGCTCTCTGGTCCTCACTCTGACATCATTGGCCCCTCACTGAATCTGCTTTCTTCTCTGTAGCTGCTGTATTCTTGGTCTACAGCTTTAGTCTCTCCTTTTCTCCCACAGCCCCTGCTTGTTTAGCCCGGAGTGTGCGCAGATGTAAAACCATTACTCTTCAATCTTTACTTCCCTGGTGATTCTTCTGAGAGGTGCCCTGCACAGATGTTGGCAATGCCCAACTCTATCCCCTCTGCATTTACCATCACTGTAAATGTAGCCCAACTCTCACCTGCCAATCAGCACCCATGATGCTTTTCCCACAGCCTCGCTCTAACTGTTACAGCTCCCTCTACCCACTGTGCCCTCTGGGGCCCACCCAGCTCCCTCTGCCCTCAGATAGGATGACTCCAAGGCCTGTGCTCTATGCTGGCTCCCAGCATTCCTCAGTGTCCACAGCAACAACTTGCCTGATGAGGGGCTTTACTTGGCTGCCTTCCCATCTCAGTCTTACTGCCCCACTCCTCACCAGTGCTTCCTGCAATCACCTCCCAAAAACTACAGTAGTCCCCTCGTATCTACAGTTTTGCTTACCAAAGTTTCAGTTACCCGCAGTCAATCCAGTCCAAAACTATCACATCACTATTCTTGTGCTTTGGGGCCAGTCTTAAGTAAAATAAAGGGGACTTGGACACAAGCAATACCATGACAATTTGATAACTGAGAGGGTGTATTAGTCTGTTTTCACTCTGCTATAAAGAACTGCTCGTGACTGGGTAATTTATAAAGGAAAGAGGTTTAATTGACTCACAGTTCAGCATGCCTGGGGAGGCCTCAGGAAACTTACAATCATGCAATCATGGCAGAAGGCCAAGGGGAAGCAAGGCACCTTCATAAGGCTGCAGGGAGGAGACGCACCAAGGAAGGGATAAGAGCCCCCTTATAAAACCATCAGATCTTGTGAGAACTCACTCACTATGAGGAGAACAGCATGGGGGAGACTGCCCCCATGATCCAATTACCTCTGCCTGGTCTCTCCCTTGACACATGGGGGGTTATGGGGATTACAATTCAAGATGAGATTTGGGTGGGGACACAAAGCCCAATCATATCAGAGGGCTACTAGGTGACTCAAGGTGAGCAGTGCCACAATGTGGAGATGCTGGACACAGGGAAGACTCATGTCCTGGGTGGGATGGTGCGATATTTTGTCATAGTACTCAGAACTGAGCCCTATTCAAAACTTATGCATTGTCTATTTCCGGAATTTTACATTTACATCACAATGCCTACATCATTCACCTCACTTCATCTCATCACGTAGGCATTTTATCATCTCACATCATCATAAGAAGGGCGAATACTGTACAATAAGATATTTTGAGAGAAAGACTACATTCACATAACTTTTATTATAGTATATTTTTATACTTGTTCTATTTTATTATTAGTTATTATTGTTAATCTCTTACTGTGCCTAATTTATAAATTAACCTTTATCATGTATAGGTATCTATAGAAAAAAACATTTTATATATATATATATATATATATATATATATATATATATATATATATATATATGTATAGGATTCTGTACTCTCTGCAGGTTTCAGGCATTCACCAGGGAACGTATCACCCATAGATAAGGGGGCTGCCATATTTGCACTTGGATTCTTGCCTCAGGGTCTGCTTCTGGGAGAAATGTGAGCTGGAACATCCTCCTGTCATCTCTGGCACTCCCTGTGTTCCCCACATGCCCATGGGCATGAGCCTTGGAGCAAACTTTCCTATCTACTATTATGGCTTCATACCTTGAAATCTGCTCACTTTGGTAATAATGGGAGAAAGCAGATAGGGCCCAGCATTTCCTTGCTGTTCGTTGTCAGCCAAGATTGTTCGCTCCTGTTTGCTTATTATCTCATTTTTACACCCTACTTTAGCTTCTCCCACAATAAACACACACAGGCTTCCTTCTAGAAGCTATCCCAATGTTGGTCTATGGTAAGCTTCAAGTTTTTCTTGCTATTTTGCTTCTTTCTCATTTTTTAACCCATCTCTCTCTCTCTCTGTTTAAAAGAGATTGGTTCACGACCTCTGGAACAATTCAAACCCATCACGTGACCTCCTTCTTCTACTCCCAAGCCAAGTGCAGGCAAATGGCTCTCCTAAGGAATCTTCAGTCATCACTTGCCCCCATTGCAACTCTGTCAAATCAGAAACTGACCTTCCTGAGTCAGCCCCTTTCAAAGCTATTATTATTTATCTTTCTGGTCTCCAAATGCCCTCAATCTAGTTGACATCATTTTAATGCAGACAGGCTTGAACTATACCCAGGGTGGCTCGGCATCCATTGACTTGCATCCTGTCATTTCCAGCAGTGACAGGACCCCTAAGTCAGCTTTGCCCCGAAGTGAGGTCGATGACCTCAGTAATTATTGCTTCACTCCTGGGTGTCTCTCGCTGTGTGTGGCCATTAATTCCTGGCTGATAGTAATGCTTGTTCAGTGTGATTTAAAAAACAAAACCTAATACAAATAACTATTCCTGTTGCTGGTAATTGGATCAAACTTCCTCAATGTTATCCCTAACAGAACCCAACTCTCTGGAGAAACCCTTGATTGGGATTTGGAAGATTGAAAGGTCAGTGTTCAACTCTGTCCCTACCTCTCCAGGTCTTCCTTTTTGCCTATCCCATAAGTTTCTAAATGACTTTGAGGTTGGTGGGTGCGGGGAAGCCATGAAGGTCAATGCAAATCTCCTGGGCTTTGAAATCCTGACATCCGGGTTATATCTCAGTTCTATCATTTGCTCGGCATGTGGCCCCTAAACAAGTTAACCACCACTCTGAGCCTCAGTTTCCTCAAGTGTAAAATAGGAAAGATAAAATCTACCTGCACATTAAAAGTGACACAGTGTATCTAATTCATGGGTCAATTATGGAGAGGAGTGTGTTGAAATATTTCACTATGATGGTGGATTGGTTGATTTCTTCTTGAAGTTCTGATAATGTATACGGAGAACTTAGCACAGGGCAGGCATGGTCGGCACTAAATAAACACACACATTTAACCGGCGGAAAGCTAACGTAGGGTGATAGATACAACATTTTATTTTTCACAGCCATAAAAAAGAAAGAAATCATGTCCTTTGCAGCAACATGGATGCAGCTGGAGGCCATTATCCTAAGCGAATTAACACAGGAACAGAAAACCAAATATTGCATATTCTGACTTACAAGCGGGAGCTAAACACTGGGTACTCGTGGACATAAAGTTGGCAACAATAGACAGTGGGGACTACTAAAGGGAAGAGGCGGAAGGAGGGAAAGGCAGAAAAACTAACTGCAGGGTACTATGCTCAGTACCAGGATGATAGATCATTCGTACTTCAAACCTCGGCATCATGCAATACACCCATGTAACAAACCAGCACGTGTACCTCGTGAATCTAAAATAAAAGTTGAAAAAAAGTCATATGTGCTATGTTTGAATTCCAGCTTATGCATCTATTAGCTGTGTGAGCTTTGAAAAAAAAAAAAAAAACACTTAAATGAGTACTAGTTCTTCATTTGTAGAATGGTGGTAACAATTCTAGATATATGGTGGGCATTCAGCATTTCCTATTTTTCCTGTATTTCTTTTCAACTACTTCAAAGTTGAGGTAGTCAATAGTGTGGACTCAGTATAATCGATTAGGGCGAAATGTGTTTGTCATTTGTTGTTGCTTTGTTATTATTTTGCCCCATGTCTTCTAATGTTAAACTTTCCAATTAAACAAAATATGGCAAAGCCTGAGACCACGCTTAGTTAACAAAAAGGTAAAATCTAAAGGTCTTACTGTCCTGTATGCCCCAGGTGGGGATTAAGCCACATATAAAAGTGTGAACCTTATCTCCTAAGATTCAATAAATGTATTTTATTTTGTTAGAAAGCAATTTCCTTCAGGCTTAGGTCAGAATTTCTCTGAAATAAAATGGCAACATATCACTACTTTGTCACAATTCTCAGTAAATCATTAGAGCTGTGAAAAATAAATTTCATTTTTAACAAAACATCTTTCTAGATCAGGGTCAGCAAACTATATGGCCCGTGGGCTAAATCTAGTACACTGCCTATTTTTGTATTTTTTACATTTTAAAATGTCCTTTTAGAAAAATTAAAAGAAGAAGAATATTTTACAACACAAGAAAATGATGTGAAATTCACATTTCTGTGCCCATAAATAAAATTTTATTGGAACTCAGCCACACCTATTCATTTATGTATTATCTTTGACTGCCTTCATGCTACGAGAATCGAATAGTTGCAGCAGAGACCATATGGGCCACAAAGCCTAAAATATTTTCTACCTGGCCCTTTATATAAAAAGTTTTCCATCTTCTGATCTAGATTCGAGATCGATGGTTTATTTAAACTATGTTAACTCTAAAAAACTGCCTCCAAGTTACCTCAAGTAAGAGGGATTTATCATCAGGCTCCAGGTTTCCACAGAAAGAGCTGGGGCAATCCTAGAGCAAGGTGCTGGCGTGCAGTAGGCTGCCGTCCTTGAGCGGATGCCTCACTGACAGCGACGGAGTTCCAGCCATGCTGCACTTGCTCCAGCCACTGACTTAGAGACAGCAACCTGTACAGGCACCAAGCAAAAGAAGAAATCTGGAGATCTCAATGAGACCAGGAAAATCTCTCTTCAATATTTCAAACCTTTCAAAAGCCAGGTTGGTTTTCATTTCCTTATCTTCCTACTGTTGACTGAGTTCTAGCTACGAGGTGCTGTGCTGAACACTTAGATCCATTGTGTCCTTGACTCTTCTTAAGAGTTCTGTGAGGTCAGTGTGATTATCTCCATTTGACGGCTGAATAATCTGAGACTGAGAGAAATTAAACAATATGTCTGCTTTCGTTTGTCCCCTCCAAAACTCATGTTGAAGTTTGATTCTCAGTGTGGCAGTATTGGGAGGTGGGGGCTAGTGGAGATGTTTGGATCATGGGGGCAGATTTCTCATGAATAGATTAGGGCCCTTCTTCTGGGCTGAGTTCTCGCTCTCAGGAATGGATTAGTTCTGGAGAGAGCAGGTTGCTAAGAAGAATCTGGCTTCTTCAGTCAGCGCTCTTGCTTCCTATCTCTCCATGTGATCTCTGCACAGACCCACTGCCCTTCTACTTTCCACCATGAGTTGAAGCAGCCTGATGCCCTCAGCAGATGCAGCTGCCCAATCTTGAACCTTCCAGCCACCAAAATTATAAGCCAAATAAATCTTTTCTGTATAAACTACCCAGTCTCAAGTATTCTGTTATAGCAACACCAAACAAAGTAAGACAATGTCCAAGGCCACCCACCTACAAAGTGTGGATTTGAGGTTTTAAACTCAATTTTTCTGACTTCAAGAGCCCCTGGTTCTACTCATTATACTCTACTATCTCATCTATGCATTTTTTTTCTAAGAAATGGAAAGCAAAAGCATGTACATTTTAAAATAAAGTCTGAGCTCTTGTCTGTTTTTCACTTTATTAAGGCTATGGAGTTGGGTACAAATCCATCACTGTGGGATCCCAGATGCAGTTAGTTGATTATACCTGAAAGGTGTAATAACTTGCTTAAATGAAGCTTCATTCATAACCACCAGTGTTCACTCTATCTCCCGAGATGTCCAGTGATTAATTTCTCACACACTCGGGATTTGGAAACTTAAACGTGAAAGTGAGTGGCTCGGCAACCCTCCAAACTGGACTATGATGTGACTTTTCCCCTGGAGGTGCCACCACTATTGTGAAAAGCATCACTAAGACTCAATCTCCATGTAGGAATATAGTCCATTTGGATTGCATAAGAAACACACAGTCTAGGATGCAGGGGTGTCCTGGATGTCCATTTGGTGCAGACTCCTGTGCAGTCCCCCTGAGAACTCAGGAACTTAGCCTGTTGCAGAACATATGATGGGCCCCAGGGAGAGGGCAGAGGGATCTTCCCAACATCCCTCAAAAGATCTGAAAGGAGACATTGAGTTTTATAAAGAATGATTGTCTTCAGGTAGCAACTAAAAGCTAAATTTTGCGTCCCCAGGAGATCCTGATAAGGATTCTGTCTTAAAATCCTAAAAGCTGTCTTTTGGCAGAAATGCTCCAAGCAATATTTTTTTAAGTTTCAAGTGTAAAATATGAGTGGCATATGTATGCTCATTTATATTAATGTTATAAAACTCATCAAACATAAAAAGATGAAGTATATGACCAGTATTAGCAATGGGCCTAATCTATTTTTTAAAGAAGGAGAATACAATATATGTCTAACACAAATATCAAAAATAGACCCCCCAAAACCCTGTAAAATAACTAACTAGCACAAATGGTTACAGGATGCTGATCTATGCCCAGTGGCCAATGTGAGGTGCAATCACAGATCAGGTTGGGGATAAACAGTTTATGTCAGTGAGGCTGCTTTGGGTGTCTGGGAAATAGACCAAGCTGACAGAGGGCAGAGGACTCTATGGAAGGAAGGCCCTGGGGATCTAGAGTCAGGAAAATCAAGAATGAAAGCATAAATGACAGAAAAGAAAAAGCACCTCCCATCCTCCTGTCAATGGTAGATGGCAGACTGGGTCATGCATTTCTCTGTTCTCCCCTCCCATTCCCTCCCTGTCTCCCTCCCCTGTCCCCAGTAACAACCTCTCCAAACAGTATCAGGACTTGAGTCATCAAAACCATCTTTGTGGATCTTGTACTTACAGTCCTCTCTCTTTGATTTAAAAAGAGATATTGCCCCCACTTCCTATGACCTGCCGTTTCTTGGTGACATGCTCTCCTAGCACAGCTCCCAGGATTCTGTCCATAGTGGTGCCAGGAAGTGGGCACACTTTGGCCTTTCTGGATGTGACAAGACACCGTCTTTACCGGGAAAGCAAGCCAGTTGTGGGGGAAGAAGTTGACTATTCAGGTAATTGTTCTGATTGCATCTGAATCTCTGGACACAGAGTGAGGCTGGGAGGTCAGGAAGTGATGAGGAGTTCTGAGGTGGGGTGGAATGGGGGAATATTACCTCTCTTCCAAGCAGTGACATCACATGAAGAAATACCACCTGCGAGTAGTGAGAAAAAGCCCAGGATGATTCAATAACACTGTAGCAGAGGGCGAGTCTCCCATGCTAAGGACAGGCTATGTGGCCATCTTCAATAACTCCATCCCACCCATCCCCCATGCTTTAGCACTTGCCATTTCCCAGCACCATGCTCAGCAGAGTACATATAACGAATGCAAAGACAAGTCACGCAGCACATAATAGGCACTTAGCAAATATTTGTTGAATGGATATGAATGAATAACTAAAGACAGTCTCTGCTCTCAAAGTTTTCACACTCCAATAGAGGAGACGCAAGCATGGAAAATGTAGTGCTAAAACAAAGGTGTGAACTGGAAACCATACCAGAACACAGGGGTGACTAATTACTTCTATTTGGGTGGGTCAAAGAGGATTGAGTCTGGGTTTTGAAAGAAGAGTAGAAGTTTTTCAGTTGCAACCCAGGCAGAGAAAATACCATATGCAAAAGTACAGAGGCTAGTATATGCAAAAGTATAAAATAGAATATGCAAAAGTATGACATAGTTGGGGAGCTGGAGCTGTTCAATATGGCTGGAGAGGTAAGTATAGTACTCGGGATGAGGGGAGGATCACGACTGAAAAGGTCAAGAATTGAATCATAGAAGGCTTGACGTGTTTTCCCAAGAAGTATGAAATACCATCCTGTATGGGATGGATATATCAGCATCCTGTAACCATTCACTTTAGTTAGTTATTTGTTTTACAGGGTTTTTGGCATATTTTTTAGTATTTGTGTTTAACATATATTTTATGCTACTTCTTTAAAAAAAGATTGGCCGGGTGCTGTGGCTCACACCTGTAATCCCAACACTTTGGGAGTCCGAGGTGGGCAGATGACCTGAGGTCGGGAGTTCAAGACCAGCCTGACCAACATGGAGAAACCCTGTCTGTACTAAAAATACAAAATTATCTGGGCATGGTGGCACATGCCTGTAATCCCAGATACTCAGGAGGTTGAAGCAGGAGAATAAGTTGAACCCAGGAGGCGGAGGTTGCAGTGAGCTGAGATCACGCCATTGCACTTCAGCCTGGGCAACAAGAGCAAAACTCTGTCTCAAAATAAATAAATAAATAAATAAAAGATTAAGCCCATTGTTAATATCCGAATATATACTTCACCTTTTAATGTTTTATGAGTTTTATAACCTTAAAATATGCTGCTCATTTTTTTATGAATGATTTCATTTTTCAAGAACTAGTAATTCAATTGATTGGATTGGGTGGACTACGGTTATTCATTGGATGAGGAGAAATTGAATTTAGGCAAAATCTTCCTGTCAGGTTTGGGTAGGCACACACTCAGCCAGCCCTATCATTTCAGCCTGAAAGAACCTGTCCTGCAGCGTGCTGTGACTAAGGTGCCTATCCCCTCTGGGGGTTCCAACGTGGGGGTGTGCGTAGACTCTGGACCCCGCACGCCGGGCAGTGTGTGGACAGTGGTGGCTGGTGCCTGATGCTGCCATGCTGTTCTTCGCACTGGCTCCAGGTTTCCTCTCACATTCAGTCTTGCCTCAAGACATAGGACAAATGGAAATAAACTGTCGCAGTTGGCCCCTTTCCCAGAGAAATTATATTTAGCCTCCAAAAGCAGCAGGCTTCAAAATGGCATGGTTGTCTCAACTAAAAATGGCCATCCGGAAGGAGCTGGATTATGGGAAGCCATCCAGAGATGAAGAACAGGCCACTTTGAGGCAATGATTATTATGTGCTTCAAGGAGTCCTGTTCTCAAGTCCTCATGGACTGGGCCAAATTAAAACAGATGGGCACATGACATTTAGAAGCAACCATAAAAAGGGCTTATCTGGAGGGTCCTAGGCCCAGAGCCAAGGCTGGCCAAGGCAAATTTCAGCCAACTTCAAATTTATGCTCCACAACATAGATAGCATTTACTATGTCATAATATTGAAGGCCTTTTAGGGCAAAAGACGCAAACAGACATCATACAAAGGGAATGATAAAAGTGTCAAACGTATGTTTTTTAAAGCTCAATCTTTGCCAAGAAACAAAATATAAAATACCATTTTTCAAAAATGTTTTAAAAATAATTATAGATAGTAAAGTTTTGGGAAATAGGTATTCTCTTACAATGCTAATAAGAATATAAATTAGTTGAGCTATTTAGAGTTTTGTTTTAGAAAAAGCACTTTGACTAAGGGGTGGAGAATGGATTGGAAGGGCTCAAAATTTAAGGCAAGGAGACCACTTAGGAGATAGGACAAAAGCAGAGGGGAGAGTAGCCTGAATAGGGCAGTGGCAGAGGGGTGCAGGAAGTGAACAAAATCAAGAAGTATAACTCACAAGTCTTGAGAATTGATTGGATTGAGTACCTGGGTGGACAATGGCCATTCATTGAAAGAGGAGACATCATCATCACCATCACCATCAGTGCAAACTTTTATAGACCGCTGAGTAGGGTGAAGCACTGTTTTGAACACTTTAAAAGTATTAATGTGTAAGGAAAATACCTAATGCATGAGAGCTTAAAACCTAGATGACGGGTTGATGGGTGCAACAAACCACCATGGCACGTGTATACCTATGTAACAAACCTGCACATTCTGCAAATGTATCCCAAAACTTAAAGTAAAATAAAAATAAATAAATAAATAAAAGTATTAATGTGCTCAATCCTCACAGTAGCCCTATGAGGTTTGTCCATTCTTGTCCCCACCTGATCAGATAAGGAAACTGAGGCACAAGAATTGAAAACTTGCCCAACGTTCATACATTGGCATTATTCTCTTCCTTCACCTTTGTTTATGGTATTGTTAAAAATGGAAACAACTTCAAAATATCACAATAGTATATTGATTATATAAATTATGGCCCAGTCACATGATGGAGTTCATGTTTTAGAAGAATATTTAATGAATGGAAAAAGACATAGAACATAAGTTAAAAAGTGAGTTATAGAATTCCAGGTGGGGGTGGCTGGTTGCAATGGCTCACACCTGTAATCCCAGCACTTTGGGAGGCCAAGGCAGGCAGATCACGAGGTCAGAAGTTCAAGACCAGCCTGGCCAACATAGTGAAACCCCATCTCTACTAAATACAAAAAAATTAGCCGTGCATGGTGGTGGGTGCCTGTAATCCCAGCTACTTGGGAGGCTGAGGCAAGGAGAATCACTTGAACCTGAGAGGCAGACGTTACAGTGAGCCGAGATTGCACCACTGCACTCCAGCCCCAGCGACACTGCAAGACTCCATCTCAAAAAAAAAATTGGGCCAGGCGCGGTGGCTCATGCCTGTACTCCCAGCACTTTGGGAGGCCGGGGTAGGAGGATCACCTGAGGTCGGGAGTTCAAGACCAGCCTGACCAACATGGAGAAACCCCATCTCTACTAAAAATACAAAATTAGCCAGGCATGGTGGCACATGCCTGTAATTTCAGCTACTCAGAAGGCTGAGGCAGGAGAATCGCTTGAACCTGGGAGGCAGAGGTTGTGTTGAGCCAAGATCTTGCCATTGCACTCCAGCCTGGGCAATGAGAGCAAAACTCCAACTCAAAAAAAAAAAATTCCAGATGGGAGTATTCCATATATATATATATGGCTCCCATTTTCTGACAGGAAAAGATCATTTAAAGTAAATCCACTTAAAATATTAAAAAAGTGTTATAATGAATAAGCAAGAAAAGATTTGATTAGGGTTGTGTCTTTAAAAATTAAGCTAAAAATTATGAAAATTTTTATTTTATCTTACATTTAACACTATATAGATTACTATTAAAACTTTGAGCTAATTCTTGGAACCCAGACTGAAAGGAGGCTTAGATATGAGCTTTCTGAGAAACTATATGATGACTTGAGTACCCCCTAAAGTGAATCCCGAGTCAAGGACTTGTGTGCTGCTGGTTGACTCAGCAGGAGATCCAAGTAGCATGGCTGAGGAACCAAGGAGAGGGAGGAGAGGAAGAAATGCAATGCAGGGTGCATTATTATCAAGGTCACTCCTGTTGACAGCTAGGATGTAGCCTCACCAGTAACCTCTGAGGAGGGCATAGAATGCATCTCAGAGTTATCCACCTGGGGACTGACTGGAGGACTATTTCTCCATCAGCTCCTTGCCCACATTGCTTATGGGTTGTTCCTGGGGCCATTATTGCTCCCAGCACTTCTGGGCTACTTGTGTCTGTTTGGGAAGCAGTGCTGGTGTCTACAGCATAGAGAAACCCAGGAGGGAAGTGAAAAGCAGGAGTCCTGAGTGTGGAAGCCCACAGGGAACTGCCTTCCATCCTGCAGCCTTGGCTGTGATGAGAGGAAAGAGCATGAGCACATGAATCTGGCCATCAGAGGTGGGTGACTGACACGATAGCACACATCATAGCATTCTCATTTGAATCACAACATGATCATACTGAGGACCTCTGCAAAAGCGTTGCATAGAAGTCTTCATCAGTTTTCCCAAAGGCCTTTTGTATCCTTTAATATTCAACTCTTTTAAACCACCTTCCATGCTGTGCTGTTTCTCTTCTTTAATTGTTAACTGTCCCATCCCTGCCAAACAATGTTTGTTGATGACTTGGTATGTGTTTTCTGCAGTTCTCCAACTCACTTGAATCAGCTTCACAAAACAATGCATCTTTTGCAAGATTTGAGATTTCTCTTTGCAGTGAACTTGCAATGCATTTGCAATGAGCAGGCTAACCAACAAAAATATTCATGTGAGAGTGGGAGTATATACAGGGAGGGCTGGCTGTTAAGAGTGAGAATTAATTTACTCAGTGGTCAGTTTATTACTTCTAGTTAGTGTCCTTAACCCACATCCATACCCTTACCTTCTCCCAGTTGGTTGCCTAATGAATATATCCCTTGGAAAGCAGAGGTCAATGCCTAAAGCATTGGAAATTCCTACCACACAACTGTATATTTCCCTCACAGCCACTCCCAGAAGAGAAAAGCAATGCAGGGTGTGTCCTCTCAAGCATCTCTGCACCTTCCCTACCACCTAGTCATGCCTGACTTCATCCTTGCCGGACAATTTCCCAACATGGGCTTCCTCTGCCAAGGATGTGAACTAGAATTTCTTTTCATGTCACCTTAGTAATATCTCACTGATATACTGAGACCTCCAGACCCTTAACACTAACTTCACTCTTACCCTCAAAGCCTCCTGACCCCATGCTTCATTTTCTTTCACATTAGGCAGGAAAATGTTGGTATTATAAAAACATGGATTGGAAGTGTCAGGCCTCTGAGCCCAAGCCAAGTCATCGCATCCCCTGTGACTTGCACGTATACACCCAGATGGCCTGAAGTAACTGAAGAATCACCAAAGAAGTGAATATGCCCTGCCCCACCTTAACTGATGACATTCCACCACAAAAGAAGTGAAAATGGCCAGTCCTTGCCTTAAGTGATGACATTCCCTTGTGAAAGTCCTTTTCCTGGCTCATCCTGGCTCAAAAAGCTCCCCCACTGAGCACCTTGCGACCCCCACTCCAGCCCGCCAGAGAACAAACCCCCTTTGACTGTAATTTTCCTTTACCTACCCAAATCCTATAAAACGGCCCCACCCTTATCTCCCTTCGCTGACTATCTTTTCGGACTCAGCCTGCCTGCAACCAGGTGAAATAAACAGCCATGTTGCTCACACAAAGCCTGTTTGGTGGTCTCTTCACATGGACGTGCATGAAATTTGGTGCTGTGACTCGGATCGGGGGACCTCCCTTGGGAGATCAATCCCCTGTCCTCCTGTTCTTTGCTCCGTGAGAAAGATCCACCTACGACCTCAGGTCCTCCGACCGACCAGCCCAAGAAACATCTCACCAATTTCAAATCCGGTAAGTGGCCTCTTCTTACTCTCTTCTCCAACCTCTCTCACTGTCCCTCAACCACTTTCTTCTTTCCATTCTTCAATCTCTCCCTTCTCTTAATTTCAATTCCTTTCATTTTCAGGGAGAGACAAAGGAGACACGTTTTATCCGTGGACCCAAAACTCCGGCGCCGGTCACGGACTGGGAAGGCAGCCTTCCCTTGGTGTTTAATCATTGCAGGGACGCCTCTCTGATTATACACCCACGTTTCAAGGGTGTCAGACCACGCAGGGATGCCTGCCTTGGTCCTTCACCCTTAGCGGCAAGTCCCACTTTTCTGGGGAAGGGGCAAGTACCTCAACCCCTTTTCTCCTTGTCTCTACCCCTTCTCTGCTTTTCTGGGAGAGGGGCAAGTACCCCTCAACCCCTTCTCTCCTTGTCTCTACCCCTTCTCTGCTTTCCTGGGGCAGGGGCAAGTACCCCTCAACCCCTTCTCCTTCACCCTTAGCGGCAAGTCCTGCTTTCCTGGGGCAGGGGCAAGTACCCCTCAAACCCTTCTCTTTCACCCTTAGTGGCAAGTCCCGCTTTTCTAGGGGGCAAGAACCCCCAATCCCTTATTTCCGCACCCCAACCTCGTATCTCTGTGCCCCAATACCTTATTTCTGTGCCCCGACCTCTTATTTCCATGCCCCAACCCCTTATTTCTGTGCCCCATCCCTTATTTCCATGCCCTGACCTCTTATCTCTGCGCCCCAACCCCTTTTCCCACTTTTCTGGAAGGTAAGAACCCCCGAACCCCTTCCCTCCGTTTCTCTACTCTCTCTTTTCTCTAGGCTTGCTTCCTTCACTATAGGCAACTTTCCACCCTCCATTCCTCTTTCTACTCCCTTGGCCTGTGTTCTCAAAAACTTAAAACCTCTTCAACTCACACCTGACCTAAAACCTAAATGCCTTATTTTCTTCTGCAATGCCACTTGACCCCAATACAAACTCAACAGTAGTTCCAAATAGCCAGAAAACGGCACTTTGAATTTTTCCATCCTACAAGATCTAAATAATTCTTGTCGTAAAATAGGCAAACGGTCTGAGGTGCCTGACGTCCAGGCATCCTTTACACATCAGTCCCTTCCTAGTCTCTGTGCCCAGTGCAACCCGTCCCAAATCTTCCTTCTTTCCCTCCTGCCTGTCCCCTCAGTACCAACACCAAGCGTCGCTGAGTCTTTCTAATCTTCCTTTTCTACAGACCCATCTGACCTCTCCCCTCCTCGCCAGGCCGAGCTAGGTCCCAATTCTTCCTCAGCCTCCGCTCCTCCACCCTATAATCTTTTTATCACCTCCCCTCCTCACACCTGGTCCGGCTTACAGTTTCGTTCCGTGACTAGCCCTCCCCCACCTGCCCAGCAATTTACTCTTAAAAAGGTGGCTGGAGCCAAAGGCATAGTCAAGGTTAATGCTCCTTTTTCTTTATCCCAAATCAGATAGCGTTTAGGCTCTTTTTCATCAAATATAAAAATGCAGCCCAGTTCATGATTTGTTTGGCAGCAACCCTGAGACGCTTTACAGCCCTAGACCCTAAAAAGCCAAAAGGCCGTCTTATTCTCAAAATACATTGTATTACCCATTCTGCTCCGAAATAAAACTCCAAAAATTAAATTCCAGCCCTCAAACCCCACAACAGTATTTAATTAACCTCGCCTTTAAGGTGTACAATAATAGAAAAAAGTTGCAATTCCTTGCCTCCACTGTGAGACAAACCCCAGCCACATCTCCAGCACAAGAGAACTTCCAAACGCCTGAACCGCAGCAGCCAGGCGTTCCTCCAGAACCTCCTCCCCCAGGAGCTTGCTACACATGCCGGAAATCTGGCCACTGGGCCAAGGAATGCCCGCAGCCTGGGATTCCTCCTAAGCCGCGTCCCATCTGTGTGGGACCCCACTGAAAATCGGACTGTTCAACTCACCTGGCAGCCACTCCCAGAGCCCCTGGAACTCTGGCCCAAGGCTCTCTGACTCCTTCCCAGATCTTCTCGGCTTAGCGGCTGAAGACTGACACTGCCCGATTGCCTCGGAAGCCCCCTAGACCATCAAGGACGCTGAGCTTCAGGTAACTCTCACAGTGGAAGGTAGGCCCGTCCCCTTCTTAATCAATACGGAGGCTACCCACTCCACATTACCTTCTTTTCAAGGGCTTGTTTCCCTTGCCTCCATAACTGTTGTGGGTATTGACGGCCAGGCTTCTAAACCTCTTAAAACTCCCCAACTCTGGTGCCAACTTAGACAATACTCTTTTAAGCACTCCTTTTCAGTTATCCCCACCTGCCCAGTTCCCTTATTAGGCTGAGACACTTTAACTAAATTATCTGCTTCCCTGACTATCCCTGGACTACAGCTATATCTCATTGCCACCCTTCTTCCCAATCCAAAGCCTCCTTTGCGTCCTCCTCTTGTATCCCCCCACCTTAACCCACAAATATGAGATACCTCTACTCCCTCCTTGGCGACCGATCATGCACCCCTTACCATCTCATTAAAACCTAATCACCATTACCCCACTCAGCGCCAATATCCAATCCCGCAGCACGCTTGAAAAAGATTAAAGCCTGTTATCACTCGCCTGCTACAGCATGGCCTTTTAAAACCTATAAACTCTCCTTACAATTTCCCCATTTTACCTGTCCTAAAACCAGAAGAGCCTTACAACTTAGTTCAGAATCTGTGCTTTATCAACCAAATTGTTTTGCCTATCCACCCCGTGGTGCCAAACCCATATACTCTCCTATCCTCAATACCTGCCTCTACAACCCATTATTCTGTTCTAGATCTCAAACATGCTTTCTTTACTATTCCTTTGCACCCTTAATCCCAGCCTCTCTTCGCTTTCACTTGGACTGACCCTGACACCCATCAAGCTCAGCAAATTACCTAGGCTGTACTGCCGCAAAGCTTCACAGACAGCCCCCATTACTTCAATCAAGCCCAAATTTCCTCCTCATCTGTTACCTATCTTGGCATAATTCTCATAAAAACACACGTGCTCTCCCTGCCAATCGTGTCTGACTGATCACTCAAACCCCAGCACCTTCTACAAAACAACAACTCCTTTCCTTCCTAGGCATGGTTAGCGCGGTCAGAATTCTTACACAAGAGCCAGGACCGCACCCTGTAGCTTTTCTGTCCAAATAACTTGACATTACTGTTTTAGCCTAGCCCTCATGTCTGCGTGCAGCGGCTGCCGCTGCATTAATACTTTTAGAGGCCCTCAAAATCGCAAACTGTGCTCAACTCACTCTCTATAGTTCTCATAACTTCCAAAATCTATTTTCTTCCTCATACCTGACGCATATACTTTCTGCTTCCTGGCTCCTTCAGCTATACTCACTCTTTGTTGAGTCTCCCACAATTACCGTTGTTCCTGGCCCGGACTTCAATCTGGCCTCCCACATTATTCCTGATACCACACCTGACCCCCATGACTGTATCTCTCTGATCCACCTGACATTCACCCCATTTCCCCAAATTTCCTTCTTTCCTGTTCCTCACCCTGCTCACACTTGATTTATTGATGGCAGTTCCACCAGGCCTAATCGCCACACACCAGCAAAGGCAGGTTATGCTATAGTACAAGCCACTAGCCCGCCTCTTAGAACCTCTCATTTCCTTTCCATCGTGGAAATCTATCCTCAAGGAAATAACTTCTCAGTGTTCCATCTGCTATTCTACTACTCCTCAGGGATTATTCAGGCCCCCTCCCTTCCCTACACATCAAGCTCGAGGATTTGCCCCCGCCCAGGACTGGCAAATTAGCTTTACTCAACATGCCCTGAGTCAGATAACTAAAATACCTCTTAGTCTAGGTAGATACTTTCACTGGATAGGTAGAGGCCTTTCCTACAGGGTCTGAGAAGGCCACCGCAGTCATTTCTTCCCTTCTGTCGGACATAATTCCTCAGTTTAGGCTTCCCACCTCTATACAGTCTGATAACAGACGAGCCTTTATTAGTCAAATCAGCCAAGCAGTTTTTCAGGCTCTTAGTATTCAGTGAAACCTTTATATCCCTTACGGTCCTCCGTCTTCAAGAAAAGTAGAATGGACTAAAGGTCTTTTAAAAACACACCTCACCAAGCCAGCCACCAACTTAAAAAGGACCGGACAATACTTTTACCACTTTCCCTTCTCAGAATTCAGGCCTGTCCTCGGAATGCTACAGGGTACAGCCCATTTGAGCTCCTGTATAGATGCTCTTTTTATTAGGCCCCAGTCTCATTCCAGACACCAGACCAACTTAGACTGTGCCCCCAAAAAAACTTGGCATCCCTACTATCTTCTGTCTAGTCATACATACTCCTATTCACCGTTCTCAACTACTCATACATGCCCTGCTCTTGATTACACTGCCAGTTTACACTGTTTTTCCAAGCCATCACAGCTGATATCTCCTGATGCTATCCCCAAACTGCCACACTTAACTCTTGAAGTAAATAAATAATCTTTGCTGGCAGGACTATGCTGAATCTCCTTAGGCACTCTCTAATCAGATATCCTGAGTCATCCCAATTCTTAGACGTTTTATACCTGTTTTTCTCCTTCCGTTATTCCATTTAGTTTCTCAATTCATCCAAAACCGTATCCAGGCCATCACCAAATGTTTCTTCTAACAACCCCACAATATCACCCCTTACCACAAGACCTCCCTTCAGCTTAATCTCTCCCACTCTAGGTTCCCACACCGCCCCTAATCCCGCTTGAAGCAGCCCTGAGAAACATCGCCCATTCTCTCTCCATACCACCCCCCAAAAATTTTTGCCGCGCCAACACTTCAACATCGTTTTGTTTTATTTTTCTTATTAATATAAGAAGGCAGGAATGTCAGGCCTCTGAGCCCAAGCCAAGCCATCGCATCCCCTGTGACTTGCACGTATACACCCAGATGGCCTGAAGTAACTGAAGAATCACAAAAGAAGTGAATATGCCCTGCCCCACCTTAACTGATGACATTCCACCACAAAAGAAGTGAAAATGGCCAGTCCTTGCCTTAAGTGATGACATTCCCTTGTGAAAGTCCTTTTCCTGGCTCATCCTGGCTCAAAAAGCACCCCCACTGAGCACCTTGTGACCCCCACTCCTGCCCGCCAGAGAACAAACCCCCTTTGACTGTAACTTTCCTTTACCTACCCAAATCCTATAAAACGGCCCCACCCTTATCTCCCTTCGCTGACTCTCTTTTCGGACTCAGCCTGCCTGCACCCAGGTGAAATAAACAGCCATGTTGCTCACACAAAGCCTGTTTGGTGGTCTCTTCACAGGGACGTGCATGAAAGGAAGGGCTTTAGCACATCAGACAACTACCCCCATTCATTGACATGTATGTTCGTCTGTTTTCTGCTGCTATAACGGAATACCTGAGACTGGATAATATGTTGAAGAAAAGAAATTTATTTGGCTCATGGTTCTGGAGGCTGGGAAGTCCAAGATAGAGGGGCTGCATTTGGTGAGGGCCTTCTTGCTGTGTCAGCCCACGGCAAAGGCAGAAGGGCTAGAGAGCATGTGTCCACATGAGAGAAAATGAGGTCAATCTCATCCTTTTATCTCTCACAACAGCTAACCCACTCATGTAACAACAGCATTAATTCATTCATGGAGGCAGAACCCTTATGACCTAATCACCTTCCTTTTAAAGGTCCCACCTCTAAACACTTTTGCACTAGGGATTAAGTTTCCAACACATGAACTTTGGGGAACACATTCAAACCATAGCAATGTGGGTCATGAACATGTTCTCAGTTTTATGTAAATTGTGAAAAAGCAGCTTTAGGGCAAGCCTCTTAGTCATCCCCTTTACCCCACAGTTGCCTCTAGCTCTGCCTAAGTGGAAATTCTGGCCCTACTCCTGACAGGGAGGGGCTTTATATTACTTGGTCATCGTTAAATCCCAAGCAATAATGATTGGCAGCTCAGTGCTCTAGGTAAAAGCATGAGTTCTCGTGTTTGAGCACCTGGCTTTGGGACCTGGTAGCACCATTTACAAGTCATGTTACTCAACTGCTCTGTGCCTCATTCCTCCATCTGCAAAGCAAATATAATTATATCAGCTACCTCTGGGCAGATGAGGATTAGTGAGTTCATTCATGAGAAGCACTTAGACCAGCACCTGACTTTGAACAAACACTCAAACATTAGCCAAAGCTATTCTCCTCCCTCCAGTTTGAGATAGAGAAATAATACTTTTCATGTGGACCACATGTGATGAAAGAAGTCTGAAAGAAGCTAAGAGGATGACCATCAATTAACAACCTTCTTGGAGGGCACAACTTTCCTCTATCATGTCTGAGAATGTAGAGAGGGCTTATCCCAGCTCCCCTGGTTAGCTGAGCCTGACTCAACTGAGCCTCCTTAAGAAGATGAATAGATCATGGAAATTTATTAGCAAGCACCAGAACCATCATTGTGGAAGCATTTCTCCAAAAGCCATAATTGAAGGCTAGAATGTATGACATGGGGAAGTGGCAAGGGCCTGAATTAAACAGGGACTTTGTCACTTCATTTTTCAAGAGGGATGTGAAATCTGCACAGCCTCAGAGATCTGTATCCAGAGTTCAGTGGGTATTCATCCATAACCTGAGACCAGAAGCGTTTGGCTGAGTCAGGCTGTCATTAAGGGTCACTGGGGGTGCTGACTGCAGCTTATCAAAGGCATCCTACTAAACTGAGAAAGCCACAGATGAAATAAACAGGACCTTGGCCCCACTGGAAATGGAGCTTTCTTTGCAGGGGGCTGACCTTGTTTTTGTAAAGGGCTTTGATTATCAGTTGATCTGACTCCAACAGGGTCATTCTAGGGCAGAGGGAACCACCTCCAAGGGAACCAATGCTGGTGCCAACACACGTAGGTGGGTACTGCCCACTTTTGCTTATGTAACCCTTCACCTGCCAACTTCCTTCCCACCTCTGCCACTATGGGAAGGTGGCATAAACTCACTGACATACCCATTTCCAAGGCCTAGCAGGCCAGCCTTGTGTCCTAACTAACATAAGACAATGTTTAAGCACAGTTGCGGGGAGCACCTTTTGGCTATCAAATGACAAGTAACAATTTGTGTCTTTCAAAAGCAGCAGCCAAGCCCAGGTCACTTCAGGAGGGTGCAGCATACAGACCCTCTTCTCCCACCATGTGAAATAAGAACTGCTGTTCACTGAGAGCTTATCCAGGACCACACCCCTTGATCCACATGGGGATCCTGTGAGATAAGACAATCTCCACCTACAAATGAGAATTAAGGTTCAGAGAGATTAAGTAACTAGCACAAAGCAGCCCAGCAAGGAAGTATGAGTGGGGATTCATACTTGGGGTGTTGAATATAACCCAGAGGTGTCTTACACATGCTATGTCTGAAGATCCCCAGAAGCCTTATTAGTCTTTGGTAAAACTGAGAGGCAGCGAAGTTTATTTTTGGTTGTCTCCTGCTTGGCATTCAGTGTTTCTCCCCCAAAATTAACAGAGCACCTCTCTTTGTTGGGTGACCCCCTTGCCCAAACACGTGTATTCCCCTTTGTCTTCTTCCCACCTCCATTGTCCAATCCACATGCTCTTCGTGTTTCTGCCTTAGCTTCCATCTGGAACAAAGAACACTGATGAATGAAACACATCAACTCAACCAACCGAGGTTGATGATGACTGCTGCCCACCTCACTCAGGGTTACTCATGCATTCAAAACTTAACTCCAAATAATGAATTGTGATGGTTCTGAAAAGTACCCAGTATGGCCTAGAGAAGGGGACCTCCAAGCTGTGTCTAAAATAATCCAGGCCTTGGGTTGGCCATGGTGGCTCATGCCTGTAATCCCAGCACTTTGGGAGGCTGAGGTGGGCAGATCACCTGAGGTCGGGAGTTTGAGACCAGCCTGACCAACATGGAGAAACCCTGTCTCTAGTAAAAATATAAACAAATTAGCCAGCCATTGTGGCACATGCCTGTAATCCCAGCTACTCCGGAGGCTGAAGCAGAAGAATTGCTTGAACCCGGAAGGCAGAGGTTGCGGTGAACCGAGATCACGCCATTGCACTTCAGCCTGGGCAACAAGAGCAAAACTCCGTCTCAAAAATAAATAAATAAATAAATAAATTCGAGGCCAAAGGGCTATGTGTGCTTTCTTTCCTCTCCTCCATATGGTTCTTGAGACGCCATGAATAATCCAGCTATACCCAGCGATTCCGGGGGGTTCAGACCAGAGCTCCCCTGGCCATAGGCCTTTGAGTTATATCCATTTCAGGGGTTCCGGAGCTGATTCCTAGGCTCAGCGTAAAAAGTCACTAGGCACAGTGGCTAAGCATCAGATGCCTGAGTCAGGCGGCCCAGTTCATAACATGCTCTGCCATTAACTAGCTCGTTCGCCCTGTACACATTACTTAACTGCTCTGAGCTTCAGCTTCCTTATCTGTGGGGAGGGGCCAGCACATAGGAGGCACTCTATAAATTGATGGACAAATGGCAATAATAAAATGACCTTCTTCATATTCTTCATAGGATTGTTGTGGAGGATATATGTGTGTGTGTGTGTGTGTGTGTGTGTGTGATTTATATGTGATATATATAAAGGCAGTGTTTGACTCCTAGTAAGTACTCAATAGATAACCATTATACTGTCCAAAGGTGTGACTTGCCCCTGACCCTGGAGATCTGAATCATATAAGGGGTCAAAAGGCATGAATTCGAATGGTGGGTGAGACTCAGAAGTGGCCTGCTATAGTTCTGGGCCATTACATTCCTGTTAGGTGCCCAGGTTATGGTCTAGTGAGCAGGAGAAGATCCAGTTGCCCCCAACTCCCTCTCAGTGAGGGGATGGAAGTTAGTGAGCCAGGCCCTGTCCTTTGATATGCATGGCAGGGCTTCAGTCCGAATGGGGAAACAGGGAAACTTGTTGTTGGTTGATGTGCCTCCTGGTCCTCATTCCTCAACACCAGACTCATTCCAGACCCCTGCTGGTGCACCGTGCACCATGAGGCTCAGCAGGGCCCTACACCCAGGATGGGTCAGGCTGGCTCAGGAAGTGAACTGGACTAAGCTGCCATGGGAGACATCGCTGCTTTAGCTGAGATTCTGGGCTACTCTGGGGTCCTGACCCCAGGGGGTTCTGGGGACTTTTGCCATAGCCCTGATCACATGGCTGAAGGAATCAGTCACTCCCATCTGCTGAGGGATGGAAGCAGGGAAAATTGTCAGACCATCTAAGTCACTTATTTCTTACTCATGCCTTTATCTGTCCATCCAAAAATAATTACTAAATTACTACCTATTCCAGCTCCTGTACCAGAGACAGTGAAAATAAAAAGCCCCTTGGAATTTACAATCTGTTAGGAGAGGCCCAACTAAATGAACAATTACAGCAAAACATGATTAATGGAGCAAAAGCAGGTGCCATGGGAACATAGCAGGGCAGCTTACCTAGGCTGAGCCAGAGAGGCTTCCTGGAGGAAGAGGCACTTCCATTATGGTTAGTGATTATTAATAATATTCCCTCATTCTTAAATATGAAATACTATATATACCCCCAAATAAAGTGAGCTCTTTTTCCCAAAAAAATTATCTTTTTAAAGAAAAAGGAGAGAGGAGTTGCCTTTTTCTGAGTTTTTACAGTCACATTTTTCATAGCAATGAATCTCTCTGTAAGATTTTACCTAGAGTAACAAAGTTCTAGTAGGAGGAAGTATGTTAGGCTACATGACCTCAGTCAATACTAGTTTGGGATTGTTTAAACAGATGACCATATAAATTTGGCTGCAAATAAAGAAGGCAAAAGAGCATAAAACAAATGTAGTGATTATTCCTGCAGCTGTGTCCTCACTGTTGTGTTAGATATTGTAAGCAAGCATGCCAAAGACACTTATGATACAGTGATAAGTTATTTCCTTGAAATATTTCCATGTATGCTGTCTTAGTCTTTTGGGGCTGCTATAACAAAATATCATAGGCTGAATAGCTTATAGAGAGCAGAAATTTGTTCCTCCTAGTTTTAAAGGCTTGGAAGTCCAAAATCAAGGTACTGGCAGATTCAGTGTCTGTTAAGGGCTTTCTGGTTCATAAATGATACCTTCTTGCTTGTCCTCACATGGTGGAAGAGGCAAACAAGCTCTTTCAGTCCTCTTTTATAATGGCACTAATCCCACTCATGCGGGCTCCATCCTCATGACCTAATCACCTCCCAAAGACCCCACCTCCTAATACCATCACCTTGGGGGCTACAATTTCAACCTGTGAATTTGAGGGTGAACACAAACATTCAGACCATAGCATATGCAATGGTAGTTTGCTATCAGTGTCATATATGGATTCAAAAAGGCTCTAGCTCAACAGTGCTCTGAAAAACCACTGCAAATGCAGCTCTGGTAAGAAAAAGACAGTGATGTCAAAGACACCTGCAGTGTAATGAAGTATTTTAGTAAAGTGTACTCCAAAATAAAATGCTTTATGTACTATGTGATTTTTAAATACATCTGTATTCCTAAATTAATAGATTAAGTACTTAAGTAGACATTTGACTAGTTGACCTATGAAGAGACTTCAAAAAGTTCATGGGAAAATGGAATTAAAAGATAAAAATAAAAAACATAAACTTTATTTCTCAACATAATCTCCATCAAGTTTAAGACACTTTTGTAAGCAATGATACCAGTCATTTATTCCATCCCTAAAGAACTTAGGGTCCTGGAATTTAACCATGTCCATGCAGACTTTCTTACATTTTTAACTGAAGAAAAATGGATGCCCTTTACAGATGTTTTTAAGATTAGGAAACAAAAATAAGTCAGAGGAACCAACTCAGGACTGTAAAGTGGATGCCCAATGACTTCTCATCTAAACTCTCACAAAGTTGCCCTTGTTTGATGAGAGTAATGAGCACAAACATTGTCATGGTGAAGAAGAACCCTCTGTTGAAGATTTCCTGGGTGTTTTTCTGTTAAAGCTTTGGCTAGCTTTCTTAAGACACTCTAATAATAGGTAGATGTTACTGTTCTTTGGCCCTCCAGAAGGTCAATAAACAAAATGCCTTGAGCATCCCACAAAACTATTGCCATCACTTTGCTCTTGACCCGTATGCTTTTGCATTGACTGGACTCCTTCAACCTCTTGGTAGTCATTGCTTTGATCGTACTTTGTCTTCAGGATTGTATCGGTAAACCCATGTTTTATCTCCTATTACAATTCTTCAAAGAAATGCTTCAGACTCTTGATCCCACTTGTTTAAAATTTCCATTGAAATCTTTCTTCTGGTCTGTAGCTGATCTGGGTGCAGTGGTTTGGCACCCATCAAGTGGAAAGTTTGCTCAATTTTAACTTTTCAGTCAGAATTGTGTAAGCTGAATCAATTGAGGTGTCTGTGGTGTTGGCTATTGTTCCTACTGTTAATTGTCAGTCCTCTTCAATTAGGACATGAACAGGATGATCTGCTGCTGCAGGCTTTATCTTCAATATCATCTTCTCCTCTTAAAACAAGTTATCCGCTTGTAAACTGCTGATTTCTTTGGGGCCCTTGTCCCCATAAACTTTTCATAAAGCATCAGTGATTCCATCAAACTTCACCATAAATTTAATGTTTGTTCTTGTTTCAATTTTAGTAGAATTCATGTTGCTTTGATAGGATCTCTTTTTAAAGTGATATCTTATCCTTCTTAGTGCCTCAAACTAGATCCTCCTCAGACATGTTATAACATGGTAGTACAAGTTTATCTCGGTGCAAAAAAATTTTTGAAATCCATGCCTAGTTTTTTCATAAGATACATTTTCCATGAACTTTTTGAAAGCCACTTGCATATCCTAGACTTTGTACAATCAGATTGACAAGGGAAAAAAAACACTTTGGGAAAAATCTTATTGAGGAAATGAAGACTGTCTTAACTTCTAGCTTGTCTCCTATTTGGGCAAGATGAGAGTTCTCTTCAGTCACTTGGTCAACCAACAAGAATGTGTTGAGTGCCTACCTGAGTATTATGGGGGCTACTAAAGGGAAAACAGAGGTCTCCCTGTCCAAGAGTTTGCCCTCTTGCTGGGGAGACAGGACACAGTGATGGGAAAGGATCAGAGAACAGGACACAGTGTGGGGTGGGGAGGGGGAATCCCCTGTAGAACTGGCATGACCCATTTGTGAAAGCACATTCTCCAAATGCAGGTCCACTGTGTCTTGAACGTGGAAGCACCCCATGTCCTTAGATACTTGTCAACAGGGGCTACAGCCCAGGCAAAAGGAGAAAATTAACCCTGAAGTGTCCTCTATTACCAATGTGGCCCCCAAAGACATGGAGAAGGTTCATGCAGGGGCCCTCGATAAGCCAATGTGTGGCAGACAAGGCAAGGAATCACAGGGAGCCACCCACCATGCGACCCCATCTGCCATATCGCCAGCCCCTAGCCATCCTCTAGGTTCCTCTGAGGTGCATGAGGTTCTCTCTCATGTCATTCTGAGAGAGACATGTCATGAGGTTCTCTCTCATGTCATTCTGAGAGTGTCATTCTGACACTCTTCAAGCAGTCTGACAGTGCCAGTCCCCTGCCTGTGCTATGGCTCCTGGCGCTTCTGCGGCTGCATAAATGCCATACCCAAAGCAAAGCCCAAGGTGCAGATAAGCTGTGCCTTGTGCCTGTACCCACAGAGCACCTTTGACCAGGTCCAGACCCTGCCAGTGGCCCTCTAACACCACAATGCTTCATCGTGAGTTCACCAGCGGGCACAGACATTATCCCCCGGCCATCAGAGGCAAGTGCCTGGGCAGAGCAGGCAGAAACAAATTGCTTTACAGCCACTACCTTGAATCTGACACACATCCCTTTTCCAAAGTGTGCACCTCACTGGCAACTTCTAAGTGAAATTCATGGGAAAGTATTTAGCAAATCACATGCTGACACATTTATCTTGTTAGCTGTCAAAATGAGTAAGTATGCACGTTGAATGCCATCATTCAGCCTGAACTGAGAAAGGCTACTAATCAAGAAATCTGACAAAATAAATATGTTTTCTAACCTGATTTGTCAGATTTATATTAATCCTTTGTTCAGACCTTGTCCTAATTGACCTTAAATAGACCTATGATGACCCAGGTGACTAGAGACCACGAGCCATCATGTGCCCTACATATTAAAGCGACATGCTGCCCACAGGGCCCTGCAGAGGGTGTGATGGAGCAGCTATCCACCCAGCACCCCATATTTTACTGCCTTTTAGTACCTAATTAGCCCGAAAAATCTATCAAAAACCATATGTTCAGGCCTTGCCACAAATGCAAGCAAAAAAGCCATGGGGTAGGTGAGGTCATGGTCACATTCTCAGGGGTTCTGTCCACCCTTCCGACAGCCAGGGCAGAGCCTTGAAGTGAGTTCAATGTGGAGGAAATGGTAAGAGCATGGACTCTGGGGTGGAAATACTTCAGAGCACTAACAGACTTCAGAGCAGAGAAATGTCGGTAACTGCCCACATCCTCCCCTGCCCTATCAACCCTGGCCTGGCCTGAGGCAGCAGATTAATTGCTGACTCATCTGTACAGGTTTAGGAGTTCCAGGGAGGACAAGCCCCTGCCCCCTCCTTTTTCTAAGCCTTCCTTGAGGACAGCCTTCTGAGTGCCTACCTTCCTCTGGTAACTTGAGATTAGGGGCCTAGGAATCTGTATGTGTTAAAGCTCCATGGCACTGGGGCCCGGTGTGCAGATGTAAAGACCCCCCCAGTTGGAGGACAGTGGGCTTCCAGCTATGTTCAGAAAGGGCAAAGCAGACATTAAAAGCACAATTTTATTTTCTCTGAAAGCTCTTGTTTTATTTTTAAATGTATTTTCTTAAATGCATAATGTTCTTGCTCTATTAAGATAATCAAAATTCAAAACTCTTCCCCAACTCAAACTGATCTCCCAAAATGTAACCTATTTATCCTGTGGTCTTATGTACTAGTAATAGCTAGAATTTCTGGAGCACTTATTAAACACTTGGGAACATCCTAAGAGCTTTACCTGTCCTAGCTCATTTAACTCTCACGATTGCACTATGAGGAAAATAGCATTATCTGTATTTTGCCAATGAGGAAGCAGAGGCTTGGGGAGATTATGTGAAATCTCACCCAGCCAGAAAGAAGCAGAGCTGGGATTTGTGTCTAGGTTTGTTTGAACCCCAAACTGGCACCTTTAATCATTGTGATTGGCAGTCTTCTGGTATAAGATGCACAATCCTAGACCAGAGGCTATTTTCTTCCCCAGTTGAGGATGGACTTTTAATAACACTCCTCCTCCTCAAAGGAACAATTATAACAGCAATAACAAACAATGGTATGTGCAAGGCCACTAAGTGAGTGTGTGGAAGGACTAGAACTCAGTTCTCTACCATTCTTTACAGGGAAGGTGTGAGAGGTTCAGTGTGAGATGCTATTCAAGAGACATGGAAGGAGGCTTATAAAAGTCCCCTACGCCCCAGCCTCTCTTCCTACAGGGCACTGACAGAGGGGGCTGGCAGGGGAATCCACGATGGGAGGGCTACACACAGATGTGGTCTAGAAGGGTCTACGCCTGGAAGCTACCAGGTTTCAAGGGTTTGATTTTGCATCTGAAAATGTGTATGCTTTCAAAGGGCACATCTCAAAGGAGGTTTCAGTGCCTGCCGTCACCAAACATTTTTCTTCAAATTATATTTCCTTGCAGGTTCTGTCTGAGGAGATAATGTCTGAGAAAAAGCCTCTGGTCACCCTGAAAAGGGAAGTTCCATAAAGGCCCTTCACAAAATGCTGACTTGAATGTGTAGCTCAGCTGACAACATGAAAAATGCAAGTTAGCCAAAATAGATTGCAGTAAACAGGGACTATGCCTCCTTGATTTAGACTGTATCTTGCCCTTCATTCATTCTTTCACCCATGGGATATTTATTGAGCACCTGCTAGGTAGATGCCATGCACTATGGTAGATGCTGTGCATACATAGATAGATATGCCTTTTATGATTTCAAAGTCAAATAAAAAAAGACATAAATATCTGTCTACACTTAGAATGAGGAATATAAGAACTAATGGTTGCATGGCAATAAATAACAAGAGCCAGTAGTAATTGAGCACCTACTATACATCAGAGGCTTACTAAACCATTGCTGTGTACTAATGTGTTGAAAATTTACAGACCCTTTAGGATAGATCCAATTAGCATCCCATTTTACAGATGAGGGTATCAAGCCTTAGCAATATTAAATAACTTGCCTAGCATCTATAGCTGGGGCATTTAAAACCAAGCTCCTCAGGCTTTGGTTTAGAGCTGTTTAGCTCCAGAGCTATGATCTAAAGGGGCCTGGGTTTGATCCTAGCCTGGTCACTTAGCAGCCATAACACAGGTTGCAGTGAGGACTAAAGGCAAAATGCATGTGAGGTGTTGTCACCCACTCTAGTCATCTAGCCATGAACTTGAAGGTCTTTGTGTTTTCTGTAGAGGTCTGGACTACATGCCTCTTCATCTAGCTGTAGTTCTGGTGATAGGCAGACAGGCAAGGAAAGCATCAGGGAGGTGACCTTAAACAGGATTTTGAAGGAGCTGTACGAGTTTGCCAGACAATGTGTTGTGGGGAACAGAGAAGAGAGGACACAAGAAAGGATACTCTAGGCATGGAAATGACATGAGTAGAAGCAATTAGATATGGCTGGAGCCTATCTCAGGGCTGGGCTGGGGGCATAAAAAGAAGAGGCCAAAGAGGCAGACAGGCCACAGGTCAGGAGACCATGGGTGTTGTGCTACCAGGTTACACCTGACCAAAGGTGACAGCGGGGCAGTGGAAAGGTCACTCTGCAACAACATGCAACAAGGTGGAAAGTGATCACAGGGGGAGACCTGGGTGGCAGCCAGAAGCCCAGTTAAAGAAGTATTGACATAATTCAATGAGAGCTTCATTCATTCATTCAATCTATTAGCCAGGTAGTAGGCAAATATTTGAAGATTGTCTTACAGCAATTCTCAAATTATGATATGGGGACCCTTGGGAGTCCTGAAGACCCTTTCAGGGGTATCAAAGAGGTCAAAACTATGTTCTAATACTACTAAGACAGTATCTGTCTCTTTTACTCTCATTATCTCACAAGTGTCCTGTGGAGATTCCCAGAGGCTGCACAACCACAGATAAAAGAACATATTGAAGGCAGGAGCAGATAGAAGAATCCCTAGCCTTTTATTAAGTCAAACAGTTAAAGAGATTTGCAAAAATGTAAAACAAGGCCACTCTTCTTAATACATGTTTTCGTTTTCAAAAATATAGTCATTTTTTCATAAAAATAGGTTCTTTATGTTAGCATGTAATGGGTGTGATTTTTAAATGAACTATTGATTTAAGAGTATAATAAATATTTATATATTTTAAATAAGTATTTTTAGACGTTATGCTTTAATTTCTAATATGAAAATCTTGATAGATATAATCCACCAAAAAAAAATTTTGAGAGTGTAAAAAGGGTTTCTGAAACAAAATGTTTGAGAGCCACGGGTATAGTACATACGGGGTACTGTCTAGGACACTAGGAGTAAAGCAGTGAACAGGCCTCAGTCAGTTCCTGCCCTGTAGGGGCTGTCATTCTAGTTAGTGGAGGTCCATAAATAAACAGTGAACAGCAAAGAGCTGGGTAATGGGTGAAGAGCAGTGAGCCAGGCTCGCCTTGCTGTCTTTGTTTGCTGGCAGCAAAGCCCTGGTCCCACCCTCTTCTCTTGCTCTCACTGAATGCCACAGTCCCCAGGGGCATCCATCCTCTGAGGGCATATTAGTCCATTTTCACACTGCTATAAAGAACTACCTTAGACTGGGTAATTTATTTTAAAAAGAGGTTTAATTGGCTCACAGTTCCGCAGGCGTACAGGAAGCATGGCTGGGGAGGCCTCAGGAGACTTACAATCATGGTGGAAGGTGAAGAGGAAGCAGGCATGTCCTACATGGCTGGAGAAGGAGGAAGAACAAAGGGGGAGATGCCACACACTTTTAAGCAACCAGAACTCATGAAAACTCACTATCACGAGAAGCAAGGGGGAAGTCCACGCTCATGATCGAATCACCTCCCACCAAGCCCCTCCTGCAACACTGGGGACTACAATTTGACATGAGATTTGGACGGGGACACAAATCCAAACTATATCAGAGGGCCTCTCACATGATGGCAGTTTCCCTCCCATGCCCCTCACAGCACAACCAGCCCTGGCGTTGGGGAAAGGGTTCTTCATGTTCCCACTGCCTCCTCCAGTCCCTCTCCCTCTTTCCTGCTCAGGCATTGATGTGTTGTTAGAAGCTTCCCAGAGCCAGAGTTCAAAATGATTCCCCTGATATACTCACACCATTCATCTCATAGATGAATTCTTCACACTCTCCTCCTCAAAAACCTCTTCCCTGTCCTTACTCACAGCTTCCTAATCCATGGGGAAAATGGAAAAAATCCAAGAAGAACATGCACCTCACTCCTCACCCCGTCTACCCTAGTGCATCTACTCTCAGACGTTCTGGCTTCCCTCCCCCACCACTCTGTTACCAAGAATGAACTCTCCTGCTCCTGCCACCCTCCCTGCTGGGCATCCCACTGGCTCCTACATTCTCCACTTGCCCCTTCACTCTCTCCTGCATCATTCATGTTTCACTCTTTACCAGAAATTTCCTATTGGCAAAATAATACAATATTACTTCCACTAAAAAAAAGAAAAAAAAATCTTTACCCCACATCCCTCTCTATTGCCCCAAGTCTGTATTCTCTCTTTTAAAGCAAAATTCTTTAAAAGGATTGTCTTTACTAGCTCTCTCCAATTCCTCTATTCTCATCCATTCCTGAACCCATTCCAGTCATAATTTCTCTCCCACCATCCCATTGAAACTGTTTCCCAATGACACCCAAGTCACTAAATCCAAGGTCAATTTAAGTCCTCATCCTGCTTGACTCTTTCAACAGCACCTCACCCAGTTGATCATGGTCTCCTCTGAAGCACTTTCATTTTCTTCCCTTTCTTGGGAAGGAAAACCCAAGAGTGGGACTTCCAGAATGTCCCACTCTCGGATTTTCCTTCCTTCATGAGCTACTCATTCTTGGTCTCCTTTGCTGGTTCCTCTTTGTCTCCCTGAATTCTGTTAGGGTTTAGTTCTCAGAACTCTTCTCTATACTATAGTCACCCCCTGGATAATTTCAGTCAGTGTCAGTGCTTTAAATACTCTTGGCCAGGTCCATGGATCAGCAGTCTCCAGCAGTCTAGCAGTAAGAACAGTGTTTTTCTCCCAAGAATAATTTCTTGGGAATACGTTGTTGTTTTGGGATTGGGAGAATGTCTCTCTAAAATTCCAAGTAAGCACCATGCTTTGCTGAATTTCAGCAAATGGAGCCTGTACTGCCTTTTTAGTGAGGATTTTGCCTTACTAAGCTGGATTCCTGCTGGTTCTTTTTCATTATTGCAGCAGAACTGGTTCACATGGAGGACTTTCTTCCATGTAACATTGATCTCTTAAAGACCGAATCTAATGTGCAACCACTTGACATAATGACCACAGGAGAAGCACAGAAAGCAAATGGAGAGCTTTGCATTCCTGCTGTCACTGGTCATCATCATCCAGGCTGCCTAAGCCTCCTTGGAAAACAGAGAGACATCACCCCATCACAGCCCCCATCACTGGTCAAAACTTGAGTTCATGCTGTCAGACCATTCTCATTCATTCTCTCACAAGCCTGAGTTTATTACAGCCCACATCTCAGAGGAAATATTCCATATCTTGAGTTTATCACTATCTTTATTCAGCCTCCCAACAATTTTAGCTAAAGCTACCCACCAAGCCTTCTCTTAAATTCTGCAATTTGAAAAAAAAAAGAGATACCATTCAAGGTATTAACTCCATTCTTCATTATTCATTCACTCATTCATTTCTGTACAAAGCTCAGTACACATGGTCAAACAGGGAAGCAGAGATGTAAAGCAACTGAAAAACTGCTGGAATGGAGGCAATACAAGGTTAAGTAGAGTATCTTCTCTTTCATGCCAGTGTTTTCGTACATGTTTTTCTCCTTGTTTGAAATAATAATAGCTAAGGTCTAAAGAGCACTTAGTAATATGTCAAGAACCATGTACAATTTATTTTTCCTCAACTGAATGGAATAGCTATTTAACATCTTTTTGCCTTAGTTTCTCTTCTCAAAGATTGTGGAAGAGTCTCAAGTTGACAGGCACGAACCTAACATAATTTTATTTTTTTAGGACCTGAAAGCAGCTATATATACTCTGTCATTTTAGCTATTAGAGAGTGTTTGTCTTCTCACTCAGGACTCTGTGCCATTTATTTTAAAACTGCAAGCTTCTATTTGCTTCAAGGTTCTCCCCCTGACCATCCCGCACTGACTGGATTTATAGCTCCTCTAGTCCCGGATCATGGGCAGGGGTGGGTTAGGATCTGCATTTTTACCACCTCCCCTCTGCTGTCTCTTTCAGGGATTCACCTTCTGGTGTTGGGCAGGAAGAAGAAAGGGGCAAGGCACCTCCTTATGTGAGTGCTCATGCTGAGGTTGTTGTCCTATTTTAATGTTCATCCAACTCCAATCCAGCTCATGGTCTCCAGCCTTGGGAAGTAATATGGTGGTCTCACACACTCTACTGACAGGCCTTCATCTCATGTGACTCCTTAGGCATCAATGGTCACTTTCCTTTTTTTGTTTTTGTTTTTGTTTTTTTTTTGGCAGAACTCTCACTGCCTTCCTCTGGTGCATGAAACTTTTTGTCCCATTCTGGAGCAGCCTCCACAGTGCAGCAGCCTCATCCCATCAATCCTCTGCAGGATGACTGGGGTTTCCCTTTCGACATGACTGTGCCCTCTGACTTCTCTTCCCAGTCCTCTGATGAGTTGGAGGAGCAAATCATGAGCCCCAGCTGGATTGGACAGGGACCAGGCCACGAAGGGCTGGTAATGGAGTAAAGCGTTTATGCTTTAGGCCAGGTGGAGCCACCAAAGAATTTTGAACAGGGGAGTGATATGATTAGATTTATTACAATCCTTCTTAGAACACAGCAGAGAATGGACAGGAGAGTGTCAGACTAGCAGCAGGGAGACTAATAGAGCCAAATGCCATGCTTTTCCACTTGCATATTGTCTGCAAACATGGCCAATCTTGATCACCCTTTTTGCTTATGACGTAATCTAGAAGGTGATTCAACATGCCTTGGGTGAGTCGGTCCTTTCTGTCTATGGAAGGCTGTAGTGGGTTGAATTACATCCCCCTCAAAGGTATACTGAAATCCTAACCCCTGGTACCTGTGCCTGTGGCCATAGTTGAAAATAAGATATTTGCAGATGTAATGAAATTAAGGTCATGATGGATTAGGGTGGGCTCTAAATCCAGTGACTGGTGTCCTTTTAAGGACAGGGGAGGTTTGAAGACACACAATGAAGAAGGCTGTGTGAGGAGAGAAGCAGACATTGGAAAGATGCAGCTATAAGTCAAAGAATTCCAAGGACTGCTGGCAACCACCAAAAGCCAGGAAAGACAAGGAAGGATTCTTTCTAGAGTCTCAGAGGCAGTGTGGCCCTGCTGATACTTTGATTTCCACAATGATGAGAACATTACTGTTTTTTTTTAAGTCACCAAGTTTGTGGTAATTTATTATAGCATCCCTAGGAAACGAACACAGGGCCAAATAATTACAGAACATTAGAACCATCTCCATGATCAGATGAGAAAGCTCAGGCCCAGAGATGTGACGTGGATTCCCGAAGTCCCCAGAGGATTCACGGCAAGTCCCGTAGATAAGGAAGGTATACTTGGGGAAGCAGGGACCGTTTACCCTGGTGGTAGTTTCTGACACTTCTTTGGCTGCCCGCATTTGACTTCAGACCCTCAGCTCTTTGCCTAACCAGACCCTTCTTCTCATCCCCTACCCAAGCCTCCCTCAGTCCTCTCTCCCTGATCATCCAGTTTGCAAACTGTCTGCCCACCCAGGACCTAGCTGGAGTCAGCTCTGGGGATCTGACTCAACACCTGTCTGAGCCTGACCCATCCCTGCTGCCAAGTGCAGCCACTGGGGTCTCCAAGTCATCTCGTGAGCTGACCCTGAGGGATCTCTCCAGCTCCTAGACCCAAACATTTATTACACTAAAGGCAAGGCCACATCATTTTCATGAGTCTCTTTCCCACTAGACTATAAGCTCCTTGAGGAAAGAGACCATTTACTTTTACAAATCTTTCTTTTTTATACCCAGCACAATACCTGATCCATGGTGAGCTCTCAAGAATACTGAATGATGTTGTTAATTGAGTCATTTCTTTACAAGCTGTCTAACATGCCTCAGCCCTATGGAGAGAGATTGGAGGGGCCCCAGGGTCAGTTCACATGGGAAGTTCCCACCCCATGAAAAAGAATATGTGCAAAGAGATCAGGCAGAGTTACCAGCAGTTAACAAGTATTCCACAAAAAAAGAATATTGCATGTGCAAATAAGTTTGGGGAAGGCTATGTCATAAAGAGTTAAACCTCTGTCTTTACTATAGGACCTGGAGGGATCTTGAATATGCTAATATGCAGCTCTCCAAGATGAGTATCAATAGGAATCACTCTTCTCCACACAACACCTGACTTGCACCCCGCGTCCCTTCTTTTCTGCTGAAGAATATTTGGATTTCTAGTGAATTTCTGTTTTGTTTTTAAGAGGAACATGAGCCAAAGGCGGAACATGAGCCAAAGGAATCCTCTTGTGAGCTGTAAGTCTGCCCGCTCGGTTTGAAGATGCTGACATGGCCCTAAATGTCACCACATGGATATTAAAATCTTTGGCTTCTCCCCACTCCACAGTGCCTCTGGGCTCTTTTGCCAGAGTGCTTTACGGGGGAAAATAGGCAGAGGAAATAGATGACCGCAGTGTTGCGTGGCAGTCACCTAGGAGACCAGCTGTGCCTCTCAATTCTGAGTGCAGCCCCAAATAAATGAGGCTCTGATGTGTGCGAGCTGAGCAGATCGCTCCTTGAGCATGGGGGACTGTTGCGAATGGAAACACTTTGAGCCTCCACTATGTTAGAGAGGAAGAAAGTGGAGCCCAGAGAAGTGACATAGCTTCCACAGCATCACGGAGCCAATGCTTGTCTCGTCAAATGTAACTCTCAACCTGGTTAAAACTGTAACTCAACCACCAACCATTATAAGGTGCTGTATTTTTAAAACTTGCTTCAGAAATAAATATATGCAGTCTGGGGTCCTAGCGTGGGCGTAGTAGGAAGGCCAGAAGACAAAGGCAGCCATCATCAGCCATTAGGATAGCAAGGGATTCCTAGGTAGAGGTGATGCAGGTGTGATTTGTCTCCTCCAGTTCTCAGCTGCACTTATTCCCACCTTTTGCTCACTCCCAGGCAACCACAGGGGATCTGGGAAGGAATCCTCCTCAGGTTCCCCAGGAGATTCTGCCCCAGTTTCCTGAGCATTCACGGCTAACAATTCCAAGGAGAAAGAGGCACCCGGCCTTCTCTCTAAGGGCATCCCTCTTCCCTGTGTTAAACCTGCAGCAGCAAGCCCAGCTGAGCACCTCCCACACCCCCTGACCCTCCAGGGGACTCTGCATCAGGGACAGAAGGGGAAGGGAGAAAGTGTGGTGGCTTTGTTGTCCCCTTCACACCCCACTCAGCATCCATTCACCTTCTCTAAGAGCACCCTGATCCCTGATTTCCTCCTGGTTTGAGTTGTAGTGGGATGGTAAGCCCAGGCACCTGCCCTCCAAATAAAGCAATCAAAATCTCCTTCCCCCAGAGCCTCCCTCAGTATCCCAGTGTTACAGGGGACAGGCATGGGACCACACTCAGTAGCAGGGGCTTTCTCATCTCTGCATCTTGAGTCCGTGTCCCTAGGAATGGTGATATGTCCAGAGTCCTACTCCCCTGTGGTGGCACCCTGGGCATGCAGTCCTGCTAGAATTCTACTCCTGGGGCTTTGCTTCCTCATCCTCTAGGGCTTTCTCACCTTTTGCTTGTCTCCTAGCCTAGTTTTCCAACATTCCCTCTGATTCTACAGGCACCTGATCTACCTCCCCATAACCCCATTCCCCTGGCCAACCAGAGTCACTTTATGTTGCTTGCAATCAAAGACCCCTAAGGATACAAATTTGTGCACCAATAATCCTCAGCAGATGTAGTAAATACTTAAACTCTCACCAAGTCCCAGAAAGAGGAAAATGTTTGGGGAGAAGTGGGAATGGCAGGGGAAGAAATCCAGGAAGTCTTTGAAAAGGAGGAGATGTCTAGGGATTGGAAAGATCCCCTACAGGGTCAGGAATGGCCTAAACACTTAAGCAAGTGCAGACAGGGACGCTTGTGCACAGGTGGAGCAGCTGCAGGGAGGGGAGAAAGCAGAGTGTGTCCCAGGCGCCCCCTCTGCCGCTGCTTCTGCAGGACAGCCACAGCTGGGTCCCCCCACTGCACCTTCTCCCCAGAACTGAGATGCAAATGCAGCCACAAAAAAGCTGGCACCCACCCCTTCCTTCCACCTCTGGGCAGGGGCCAAGGGGAAAGGGGCTGGGGTTTCTCAGTGGTGACAACAAAGCCAAGCCAAGGAGGCATATGTGGCAACCTTGCATCCTCATAAGGGTCTTTCCTGAATGCCCAAGCCCAGAGCTTCCTCTGAGCGTACCTGGGGGCCATTGCAGCATTGGGTTCTAGTAACTTCTCCCCCTCTCTGCCGCTCCCTCCCCGAGCTTACTGGAAAAGTTCCCTCTTCATGTTTACAATTCTCCATTTCCCACTGGGCCATAATGGCCCATGCTCCATAAGCATGGAGACTATGCTTATAATGCTCTGCATTAGTCATTTCCACAGAGATTCAAGCAAAACAGCAAATCCAAGTGAATTAATTCTGACAAAACTCTGGCAAAGAAAAAAAAAAGGAAAAAGGGCCAATTGCTTATTATAGTCCTCAAAGTCAAAACGAGGGGTTACGGCAACTTATCTTGTGTTCCCCAGTGTCAAGGACAAAGGTGAGATAAGACTGATCCTCCCTTATGCCTGCCTCTTTCTTCACAAGGAGATTGGAAATAAGGAAGGTCTGGGAACAATTTGTTCAAGGTTTGAGCTGTTGGCTCCTAAACAAGGAGTGTTCTTGGGGAAAAACATTATAATGCAATTGTGACGAAAATCTCTTTTCAGTAGATTTGCAGAACATTAAATCCACAGACGGTCTCAGATGCAGTCCCTAGTTGATGAGAACAGAGCGGCTTTTGAATCTGAGTTTTCTCCCTGCCGTACCTGAGAACCCTCTCTTTCCATTTGGGGTGCTATGTTTGAGGTTTGGCAATGAAGTGGCATTTCCTTAAAAGGAAAAGAAAATACATATTTTGGTGGCTACGGCTCAGGTAGCACACGTTTCCAGAGGAAATGAAAGTCTTTGAAAGGAACGTTTGCCTCCTTCAGTATAAATAATGTTGATCTGTCAATGTCTTAACCTCTGTTTGGTGTTTAATGAGCAAAAATATATCTTTTCAGACATGGAGCACACTGGATCCTTTTTAGTGGGCCACACTGGGGTGAATAAAGATGAAAAGAAAAGCGTTATTGTGACTCCAGTGGAATACAGTGTTCTTTACGCAATTATTCTGAAGTTTGGATCCAGGCTGTTCCTAGGGAAATACCAGCTCCTTCACCGGTATTTTTCTTTTTCTTTTTTTCTTTTTCTGCCTGCAAATCGTAACCCCTAGAAATTTTAAATTACTTCTTCGTGCTTAACAAATTAACTAATTAGATGATTTCATTTGGACATTGCATAATATGGTAGAGTTGGGGATTGGTCAAGTTCCTTGATTTGATTTGAGAACCAGTTCCAGGAGTTACTGGCTGATGGACCTCCTGAAAGCCATTTTTCCCTTCAAAGCCTCAGTTACCACAGGCATGAAGGGGGGTGATAATACCCACCTCACCCCCTTCAGCTGTTATGAAGATCAAATGAAATAATGAATTGAAAGTGCTATAATGCAGATCAAATAAAATAACAAATTGAAAGTGCTTTGGGAAGTACAAAGCATGTCACGATTAGAAGAGAGGGAAGGAAAAGGGAGTCATGGTTTATTGGGCACCCAATGCGTACCAAGTCTTCTGCAAACTGACTCTCGCAATAGCCTCCTAAGCCCTCTCTACATCTCCAATCTTACCATGCTCGCCCCAATCCAACCCGAATGGCATCCAAAATGACAGAAATCAGATCATGTCATTTCCAGCTCTAAAATCCTCCTGTCTCCCATTGCAATTATAATAGTATCCAAGCTCCTTGCCATGGCTTTATGAGGCTCTACCTGACTGCCTCCTCTCTCCCCAGTGCCTACTTCTCTACTTGGTCATACTGGTTCTTCCCATTACTGGACCATGTTCAGCTTCTTTCTGTTTTGGGGCCTTTGCACATGTCTTAACCTCGCCAATCCTCTTCCTCCTTTGCAATTTGCATGTCATTTGCTTCCTCTCAGCTAGAACTGCCATATTGACCAGACCTGTTAAGTAATATACATCTCCAGGGGGTGCCATTCACATAGACTACAGTCTGCACGACAGCACATGGTGGCCCTGTTCTCAGCCTCCAGCACCACTCCTGTTATACCCTTGACTTGCACTACACTTCTCCTTCACAGCAATTTACACATTCAGAATCATTTATTTGTTAAATGTCTATTTTCTCCACTAGTCCATCAGGGTAGGGACCATGACTTCCCTGTTCACCTAGAATCCTCAGCACCTACAACAGAAGGTACTCAGTAAATGTGTATGGACTGACTTTCCATGAAGTACAGATGAGTACATATCATGCTGTCTCAACACAAGGTCACTAAATAGGCATGAGCATTGAGGCTTGGCAAGTATCTCAGCAGCTTCCCATCATCCATCTCCATCCCCAGTGCCAGCATTGACCTGGAAGCTAAGAAGTCCTCCTATACCACAGACCAGGTGTAGAGGACCTCAGAGGAAGAAGGGCAAAGGGCCACTGGGAACTGAGTCCTGCCTTCTGCTGCTAAGAGACACATCACTGCCCACTAGAAGTATTTAGTGTCTCTCTCCAGAAATGAACTATTCCAAGGAAAAGTATATGAGAACAGACTCTCAAGTTCTGAAGAGCTGAATTTTAATCTTGCCCTATAATGGGTGAGCTGATGATTATTGGCAAGTAATTATAAAATGTTCTATCCTTTATCCTTGCTAGGATTTTTTTAATTAAACAAGTCACTTTATAAGTAGAACCCTGAGCTCTAAGGCAGAATGACTCTAATAATGTGATGCAGCAGTGTTGTTATACAGTCGATTAATAAACCTCTCAAAGTATGTGGTTGCCATTGCTTCCCTCTCACCTGGGTCTTAGCTGTAGCTAGCTTCAGTAATAACTTGTTGATTAATCAATCACAAAGGATTTAGAAACAGAAGGTGATGTCTGCTCTGTGTTTTGCATAATATTAAAATAAATAACCCTAGCAAACTCAGTGCTCTTTTTTGGTGAGACCTCATTCATTGATTCTTAGAGCAAACATTTATCAAATGTCTTCTCTGCACCAGGGATTGTGTTATGTGTTGGGAAAGATGCGTTTCCTGCCTTTAAGAACCTCACCAGCTAGTGCAGGGGGTGGGGGGAAAGAGCGAACCAACGTGCAAGCAAACAATTGCAAGCAGAAGGTCAAGTCTGTTCTGATGGAGGTATGCACAGCATCCCACGGCAGCACAGCGGGGAAGCCAATCAACTCTGCCTGAGTGAGAAGACAATTCTCAGGGATACCATCTTAGACAAAGCTACTCTGCATCTCATGTAGACACTCAAGGGAGAAGAAGGTGGGAAGGCTTTCTGGAATGTATTAGTCCGTTTTCAGGCTGCTAATAAAGACATACCTGAGACTGGATAGTTTATAAAGAAAAAGAGGTTTAATGAATTCACAGTTCCTTGTGGCTAGGGAGGCCTCACAATCATGGCAGAAGGCAAAAGGCATGTCTTACATGGCAGCAGTCAAGACAGAATGAGAGCCAACTGAAAGGGGAAACCCCTTATAAAACCACCCTATCTCCTGAGACTTATTCACTACCATGAGAACAGTATGGGGGAAACCACCCCCATGATTCAATTATCTCCCACCAGGTCTTTCCCAGAACATGTGGGAATTATGGGAGCTAAAATTCAAAATGAGATTTGGGTAGGGGCACAGCCAAACCATATCATGGAGCTACTCCTGGGCAGTGAGAACCAATCAGATTCCTTCCAACTTCTAGTTATCCATTTAAATCTGATTCCCATCATCTGAGTGCACACAGACCCACAGGAAGGAGAACAAACAAGGAACTGTTTGCAGAATACCAGCCCAGGCCCTCTCCAGGTAGACAGGAGGTTTATGGGCAGCAACATCACTCCAAATTCCTCTTGAATGAGTGAGGTTTGGCAGGGGGCACTCTGCCTAGTGCATTTTTCTTCTTCTTCTTCTTCTTTTTTTTTTTTTTTTTTTTGTAAATTTGTGTATTTCTGACGAAATTTAATTCTTAGGAGTCTCACTTGCTTACATTCCAAAATGCCATTTTTTATTCAAGGTATAAGAAGCCTCTATACACCCTTTCTTTCCAAAAATGTTAGATTTTTAAATTCCCAAAGTCCAGAATGTAGGCTCCAGATTTAAGCCTGGAAAATCAGTGAAAGTTTGAGTTACAAGTGCTCTCATCTCTGACTCTCTGGGACTTCCACAGGGCTGGTGGTGACATGGTATAAGGCCGTGCAGTGGACAGCAAGCTTGAGCTGGCTGTGACCATCGCATCTAGATTGGAGTTGGGGGCTGGCTTTTGTTGACCAACTAAAGTTCCATGGAGCTTTAGAAGGGCTGGATAGATCAGAAAATATTTTGATAAATTTCCTGGAGGAAAGATGAGAGCCAAGGAAACAAAGGAAATAGCTAAAGTGGTCCACACTAGAAACATAAGTGACCAACAAACATATTTAAAAATGCTCATCATCACTAATCAGAGAAATGCAAATCAAAACCACAATGAGATACCATCTCATACCAGTTAGAATGGCTATCACTAAGAAGTCAAAAAACAACAGATGCTGGCAAAGCTATGGAGAAGAAGGAACACTTACACACTGTTGGTGGAAATGTAAACTAGTTCAGTCGCTATGGAAAGCAGTTTAGAGATTTCTCAAAAAACTTAGAGCTACCATTTGATTCAGCAATCACATTTCTGGGTATACACCCCTCCAGAATAGATAATTCTGCCAAAAGACACATGCACTCCTATGTCTATCACCTAGCTATTCACAATAGCAAAGACATGGAATCAACCTAGGTGCCCATCAGTGGTGGATTGGATAAAGAAAATGTAGTACATATATACCATGAAATACTATGCAGCCACAAAAAAGGATGAAATCATGTCCTTTCAGCAACATGGATGGAGCTGGAGGCCATAATCCTAACTAATTAATGCAGGAGCAGAAAACAAAATACTGCATGTTCTCACTTATAAGTGGGAGCTAAACATTGAGCACACATGGACACAAACGTGGGAACAATAGACACTGCAGACTACTACAGATGGGAGGGAGGGAGGGGGTATGGGTTGAAAAACTACTTATTGAGTACTATGCTCCCTACCTGGGTGCATTATACCTATATAACAAACCTGCACATGTACCCCCTGTATCTAAAATAAAAGTCAACATTAAAAAAAGAGAAAGAAAGAAATGGGCAGAAACCAGGGGGCGGGGGAGTGAATGAAAAAGACAGGAGGGAAGATGGGAACAGAAGAGTTGAGGACCAAGCAACATGAAGGGGTCCAAGGAACCTTTCGAAGCAGAATTGGATGACACTGTGTTTGAGTCAGTTTCTGATGCTATGGTACAATTCCTTTCATCTTTCCAAGCCTTCAGTAATGTCACCTACACACAAAAAATGCCTGTGGGAGAGGTTTGTTTCAGGAAAGTTAGCAACTGAGTTACTTGGCAAATGTAGTGCAAGGTCAAACATAGACTGAAATAAACAGACCTACCGAATCCCTCAGCCTCCTCCTCTGTCCTTGTGGCATTTATCTCTTTGCTGCTTGGGCACCATATTTGGGTGAGACAATACGTAAATTGATTAATTTAGTGGAAGAAGGAGCTCAAAACCCAAGGTGACCGACCACAAGCATGTAATTTACCCCAAAATTCCTGTGACTCTGGAGGAAGTAGTTGGAAGTTCCATAACCTGTAGTTCAAGGGTGCAATAGTTTGAATGTTTTTATCCCCTCCAAAACTCATGTTGAAACTTAATCCCCAATGGAACAGCATTGGGAGGTGGGGCCTTTTGGGAGACGTTTAGGCCATGAAAGCTCTGTCTTTGTGAATGGATTAATCCCACCATAAAAAGGGTTTGCACAATATATCCACATCACGTAATGGGACTAGCTTACCACCCCCCCCACCATACCAAACAAAGACTGCCAGCACTACAACCAACACCTGCATTCGTCAAGCACCAACTGTGTTGTGTACCCAGCACCATTCCAGGCAATATGCAGATATCCACTACTTTGAGGTAGTTATTCTTACATGAGCACAGGGGTGCTTAGAGAGCAGACATAACCATATATAGAGGTCACTCAACAATTCTCATAAACTTAACTTTTGTTTGGTCTGTTCTTTTGATAGCAAAAACTGTTTATTAGTTCTGCCATCTGTAGCCTGAAGTATGGAAAAAACATAGGTTTTGGAGCCTACCTCTGACACTTTCTGTGTTAATTTGGGCAAATTCCTCAACCTCTCTGAGCCTCAGTTTCCATCACAGATCTAACACTTTCTTCCTTGCAAGATTAATGTGATATATGTAAGGAACCTAACACAGCTGTTGCCATGTAATCAGCACTCAATAAATCATAGCTACCATTTTAAAAAGACAGTGGCTGGGGAGTCTTGAGGGAGTTGAGAAAGTGTGTTGGCTCTCTTCCACTCTTCTACCAGGTGAGGAACAGCGTTTATCCCTCCTGAAGGATGCAGAATTCAAGGTACCATGTTGGAAATGGAGACCAGGTCCTTAGCAGATACCAACCCTACTGGTTCCTTGATTTTGGACTTCTCAGCTTCCAGAACTGTGAGAACTGAATTTCTTTTCTTTACAAATTACCTATTCTCAGGAATTCTGTTATAGCAGCAGAAAATGGACTCAGAGAGTTTGAACAATCTCCTTTTACCCCTTAAGGGGCAAAGAGACCCCAGCTAAATCTAGGTCTAGAATTTTATTTTCTCATTTGATCATGTAATAAATAGAAATAATTGTCCTATCTTCCAAAGGAAAAGGCCCAGAGGGTCTTTTATTTCCCTAAGTCCCATACCTAATAAGTAACAATCCAGAATTTGAATTCAAGTCTTCAGCTGCAATTTTTAAAAATGTTTTGTTTAGAAATTTTTATAGACTTACAGGAAGTTGCAAAAACAGTGCAGAGAGGTCCAGTGAACGCTTTATCCAGCTTCCCCAATTTTGGGGAATTCTTCTGCAATTTAATATTCTTCCCTTCACCCACTGAATTTAGGGATGAAGAGCTGAGCTGCAAAGATGAGTTTTGTGCTACAGCAGCCTTTTTAGGTTTACAGATCATCAGGCCCTGGGTCTCTAGCTGAGAATCAGAAAGTAAACAGACAAAGAGTTCAGCCTAAAGAAGTTCAAGTCCCAGAGCAGTGGATCTCAACCCTAGCTGCACATAATCATTATCTGGAGAGCTGTTTAAAATACAGGTTCCAATATAATCAATTAGTTCTGGGAATTAGGCTTCCATGTTTTCTGAAGCTCCTTAGGAGTTTCTAACAGGCAGATAGGGTTGAGCTGTGCCATTGGTACTAATAGGCTCTAAAGTGAGCCCACCCTCTCATCAGAGCATGGTGTCAAGCGACTCTCCTTCCTAAGATCCCATCGCTGACACCAAGATACCTATAAGAGGATCCTGTGAGTGGAGAGGCTCCTGGGGTAACCTGGCAGGGAAATTTGTCTATTGTGTTTACTGAAAGGCATTGTAGTACTGCCACTCAGAGCTGTGCTTCCCTTTCTGAAACAGTCAAGCAGTTCCGGGCACATCAAAGGAGATTATCATTCCTCTGGCACCGGCTTTGTTTTTCGCTGCCTCTAAAAGAAACAGGTCCACTTATCTCCAGAATGCTTTCCCAGAAAGCTCAGTCCCTGCTGGGTGAGGTCACCGGTCCACAATTTGCGTCCATCACACCTTGTAGGAAGTGAGGAGAAACTGACTTGCTTTGTTTTCCAGCACCGGGGAAACAGATTTCTTCTTAAGCTTCACACAATAAATTGTATTAAATCCTTTCAGCAGGGTTTCCATGGCTATGTGAAAGGAAAATCATACAGTAATTGTTTTAAATAATACAGCAAGGCAAGCTGGAGAGTACATCTTAATTTTTGTCATCTGTGCTGTGTTCCTGTTTGTACGGAAATGTTCCCGAGGCAGAGGAAAGGTTTCTGCATTCACTGGGAGTTGCTTGGTGAATGTAATGCAAGGTCAAATACAAACCAAAATAAACAGACTTACTGAATCCCTCAGCTTCCTCCTGTCCATGTGAGCCCCAGGGCTTGTCTGCTTACTTTAAGTGGGAATTAGGATGGCATTTATCTCTTTGCTGCTTGGGCACTAAAACTGAGCCTTCGACTGCATAAGCCTGATTCCTGCTTCTCCCTCAGTCCTCCATAAGGAGACAGAGTTAGACGTCTGCCCTAGACAAAGGCGATGCCTGAGAGGAACCTTGAGTATAAATTTGTCCCCCAGCTGCCTGGTACCTGGGGAATTCTGCAGGGTTAGGTCTTTCCACCAGTGTTAGCGCAGTCATTTACAACAAAACATCACGCATAACAGTCAAGGTCCTGTAATCCCAGCACTTTGGGAGGCTGAGGCGGGTGGATCACCTGAGGTCGGGAGTTCAAGACCAGCCTGACCAACCTGGAGAAACCCCATCTCTAGTAAAAATACAAAATTAGCCAGGTGTGGTGGCGCATGCCTGTAATCCCAGCTACTCGGGAGGCTGAAGCAGGAGAATCGCTTGAACCCGGGAGGTGGAGGTTGCAGTGAGCCAAGATCATGCCATTGCACTCCAGCCTGGGCCACAAGAGTAAAACTCCGTCTCAAAAAAAGCAAAAATAAAAAAGAGTCAGGGTCTTCATAATGGACTGTCCAAGATTCTGAGCCCCAACAACCAGGCTGTTGCAAACTGCCTACCCTCTCTGAGATTTCATTTCTTCATCAGTAAAACGAGGACGGTGAAACCTATACACCCAGAGATTCTGGCTCTCAAATCAGGTAAAGGATATAAAGTGCCTATCCTAGTATCTGACAAAGCATCAGGGCTCAATAAATAGTAATAGTGTTTTGTTACCATTATCATTATTAGTATTTGGTTGTAGAAGAGACTGCCTCTCTCATAATAAGGTGAACCAGAGGGTTGTTGCCTGCCTGGGTGGTATCCAGATTAAATTCAACAACTGCCACTGAGCCCCTTCCAGATGTCACAGAGCTGGCTAGTGTTGGGAAATTGGCAAAAGTCTGCTTCCTCCCCTGAAGGAGCTCTCAGTCTAGAACTAGGACCCTCACCAACTGATGCTGATGAACATTACACTCAGATTGTACTTGACCATGGCTGGCCCATGTTGTGCGATTACTCCAGGGAGAAAGCAGTTCCTAACTTAGTCCTAAACAATCAGTTGGATAAGGAAATAGAGAGCTCTATACTGTCACTGACAGAAAATGTCATGTTGGGTCCCAATCCTCTGTAGGCAATTCAGCTTCTAAAGCAGGATACAAGTAAATTCCCTCAGCCAAGCCCCAAAGAGAGTCAGGGCAGACTGCACCCCAGGGCCTAGTCCTTTGACCACAATGATGCTGATGAGAACCTCATGTGGCCGGGAATGGGGAGGTGGAGGAAAGAGAAGATAGGAGTCGAGGAGGCAGAGCCTCACCAAGCAAGTATGAGATCACTTGGCAGACAAACCAACATTGGAAGGAAAAGGACATTGGCCCTAGTCACAGTCTGCCATTTTGAACTCTGGAAGTTTATTTTAGCTTTTTTTTTTTTTTTTTTAACGTTTTACAGCATGGACAATAAAAAGTAAGAGAACACATTAAGAAGATTCGCCCACACAGAAGTCATCTGTGGAGCCAAAACCAAGACATAGTTGAGATGTTTTGCTTTAATCTGTGCCTGTGAGAGACACTTGCTCTGCAGGCCCCATGGGAGTTGTGGAACAGACTCACCAGATTCCAGGGCTGCCTGAGAGTGTGCCAGTCTATGGCCCCTAGATGCCAGTGTGGCCCTGTCCTTCGGTGCCTCTGGTCGGTGGCTTTTGCCTACAGTTCACTAGGTCAATCCCAAGCCTATCCCTTTTTCCAGATGCAGCTCATGACTCACTCGCTTCCCTGTTTAGAACTTTTTCCCAAGGTGGAGTAGGTTGATGCCAGAGTTGGAGCCCCTCCTCTGCACTCCCATGTCGCCCTCTACTATGGTACTTACCCCCTAGCCATACTTCCTGTTTACCTGTCTGTCTCCCCTGCTGGTTCATGAGCCCCTCATGATCACAGGGGAGGAACCGTCTCTTAAGTGTCGTGCGTCCCCAGAGCATAGCACAGGGCCTGGTGCATAGAGGCATGCAATAAATGGTTGTTGAATGAGTGAATGCCTATATAAATAAATGAATGGGTGACAAAGCTCACTGAGCACATCAGTATGGTGATGTGCTGAACATCAAGACATTCCTTTAAACCTCTCAGCTGGGGTCTAGCCTCTTTAAGTTTGCCCTCACCCCATGTGGAATTCCAGCACCCACTCACCAATCCACATGCACATACAGTGGACAGCAGCAGCATCTTAGGCCTCCAGGGGGCTTCAGAGCCCCTGCTCCTTCTCTCTAGGCTAGTGCCTCTGGTCTCACTGTAACAAGGGCTGGGTCTGCTCACCTGCTCACTATGACCTTAGTGAGCTAGGCCTGCTCAGCGCATGTGGAGGTGGTACGTGCCGTCTATGGAACCATAACAGCCCCATTTTAAAAGGCCAAGTGTTTCTATTTCTTTTGAGCCCAGGATTTTTTCAGAACATTTCCCCCATGAATCAAAATCCCCTATAGTCCATTATAGAAAAATGGACAGCAAATACAAAGATGCTAATGACCTAACCTTACTCTCAGGTCCTTAGTAAAATGACCAGATTCTTAAATTAATTCTTCCCACATGGCCACAAGCATCTCATCTACCTTTCAACAAAAGCAGATGACTCACACTGGTTTACTAACCATAGTAACTACCTACTGACCCACTTTCTGTCACTATATTGTCGCTTTTCATACATTCTCTCTTTTAATTCCCATAACAAACCCATTAGGTGGGTTCTGTTTTGATTCCCATTTTATAGATGAGGAAAATGAAGCTCAGATATTTTAGGTGACTTGCCCACAATCACATAGTTGATAAATGATGAACTTGAGATTTGAAACCATGACTGTTGACCTCTAAGATTTAACCTTATCTGGTTATCTCTTGTTACATAACAAACCATCATCAAAATTTAATGGCTTAAAACAATTTACTATGATCTCTCATGGTTCTGTGGATTGACTGGGTCAGGTGGGAAGTTTTCACCTATAGTCTCTCACGCAGATGCAGTCAGATGGCAGCTGGGGCTGCAGTCACCTGAAAGCTGAACTGGGCTGGATGTCCGAGATGACAAATCATATGGCCACCAGTCAATGTTCACTGAGGACTGGGAGTTCTTCTGGGGCTACTGATTGAGCATTTATATGTAGTCTGTGTGGTTTGTGCTTCTCACAGAATTTAGAATCCACAGGATAGTGGGATTCTAAAAAGGAGTATTCTAAGAGAAAACTTTTCAAGAGATCCAGGCAGGAACTGCAAGGCTTCTAATGCCCTAGTCTCACAAGTCCCAAACTTCACTTCCTGTGTATTCTATTGGTCAAGCAATTCCGCAGGGCCAGCTTGGATTCAAGAGGAGGGAGATAAGACAATAACTCTTAATAGGAAGAGGGTCAAAGAATTTGCAGTCATCTTTGTCACTGTCTGCTCTCTGATTGCATATTATTTACATTCCTCCCACATGGTAAATACACGTGTCTCCTCCTAAGACCCAAAAGTCTCATCCCATTATGGCATCCACTCAAGCTTGAGGTCCAGGATTTTATCATCTAAGTCAGATCTTGATGCAGATGAGCCTCCTTGGGGTATAGTTCCCTGAGTACAGCTCTGTCAATCTGAAGACCTGTTAGATGAAGAGACAAGTTATCTGTCCCACACACATAAATACAGTGGTGATACAGAGATAGGATAACTTCACTAAAGCTTTCATTCGAAAGGGAAAGAAACTGGAGGCACATCGCAGTCACTGATCCATAGCAATTCTAAACTGCTGCCAGGTGCATGTTGCCAGATCCTTGATTAGTGAGTTCCCAGTTGTGCCTCCCTGGGAATGATTGTAGCTCTTGGCTCCCCACTCCTAGTGGGATTTTGATTCTGCTCTCTGAATCATTCTTCCTTTTCCATAAGAAATGGCCATGTTTGCAGCTTAGTAGCCTTCTTGTCCTACTTCCTACCCATATAAGGCTCTCTGCAGTTTGAACTGTCTCTTTCCTGTTTAGTTCAGGCTGATGGTGCTTTCGCATGTACAATTCTCTTAAATTTTTTGTAAGTTTCCTAAAGACTGTTTCAGGTTCACTCCATTAGTCAAATACATACCTACAAATCTCTTTAAGGTATGCCACTTTCTGCCTTGGGCTGACAGTTAGGTGCTATGGAACAATGCCCTTCAGAATTCTTCAAAGTCTGTGAAGTAGACTTTCGCCTCTCCGTGTGGCCTGGGCTTCTTACAGTATGTCACCTTAAAGGTTTCTAAAATCTTAGCAAGCGTCTTAGAGCCATATCTCTGAGATGATCATTACCTTATACCATGTCTTACTTTGAGAACTTTTTTTCCAACTGGAGAGGCTTGGAATGGAAAACAGCTTTATTTCTAAACCCAGCAAGTCTGGCTTCTTATATTCCATCTAAGTTTTGCTTGAAACCGAATAGTTCATTATGGAAGAGGGGAGTTCACTTCCCTATATTCATACTTTACCATACTTGCCTAAGAGAAACCATTAGGCATGTTTAGCATTCTGCCTGGAAGTCTCCTTAGCCAAATCTGCCATTTCCTAGATATATTTTCTGTTTTTCACATTACCAAAAGCAACAGTATACCAAATTATCCATCATTACAAAACAAAGGATGCCTTTTTCCAACTTCCAATAACAATGTCCTCATTTTCCCTCTAGTTCTCAGTAATAGTTTCCTCAGGGACCTCACAGCTTCTTCCTGCTGCTTGGTCCCCAAAGCCAACATCCCACATTTTAAGTTTTCATTATGGCAGCACTCCAGGTACCAAATTCTGTTCTAAGTATCCACAGTTCCACAGAATGCCACCCAAAACATAATTGTTTAAAACTGCAATTTATTATTTATCATGGTTTTATGGGTTGACTTCATTCAGCTGGGTGATTCTTATCTGGGCTTTCTCCTACAGTTGCAGTCAGATGTTAGCTGGGGCTGCACTCAGCTGAAGGCTTGATTGGGATCCGTGTCTATATGGCACACTCAGATAGCTGGCAGCTGATACTGGCTGTGGGAGGGAAGCTCAGTTGGAGCACCTACTTATGGCCTCTCCATGTGGCCTGGGCTTCTTACAGTATGCCACCTGGTTCCAAGATGGACCATTCTGAGAGTGAACGTTCCAGGAGACCCAGGCAGAAACTACAACACTTCCTCTGACCTAAACACAGAAGTCCCAGAACATCATTTTCACTGTATTTTATTAGTCAAGCAAGTCACTATGGCCAGCTTAGATTCAAAAAGGGAGGAATTAAGGAAAGAAGAAGACATAGAGACTTGTCTCTCATTAAGAATCCATCTCTTAATGAGAAGCAAGCCTGTGTCCTCTCCTTTCATACTATTCTATACAAATTATGGGTCAGCTCTGCATATCTGGTAACTCATTCCTTTAAATATTGATGCTGATTCTGCTCCCAAGGCCATCTTGTCTCTTACCATAAAAAAATACACATATCCTACTAATATATAGACTCAATTTGACATTCTTCTGAGCTTTATATTTGTAAAATATGTTAACTTTTAGTAACTTTAGGACATATGAAAGCTAAAATTGACAATGGCTCTGTCAAACAGCCATCCATGGAGAACCTAGATCAAGAATATTGCCTCTCAATCCCCAGAGCTCTCTCACTCCACTTGATGGGGCCCCACGGGGCCAGGTACTGAGGGGACTCCCCTCTCTGTATCCCACCCAACACTAGTTTCCCCCTGTGCCCTGGGGGAGCCCTAAACTGGGCACTGGCTCATTCTCACAAATATTTTAAGGGGGAGTGGAAAGGGAGGGGGTCATAGCTGTTTTGTTTAACTGGAACTAGAACAGGGATCATGTCCTATTTTAGGACAGAAAGGGGGAAAGATATCAGGATCTCACTTATGCACTGGCCACCACCACTGTCACTCATCACTTTGAGTGTACGTCCCTCAAGAGTCTGTATAAATTCAAGTCAGAGCTGCAGCTACACAGCCATCCAGTGTCATAGAAAAGCAATTCATGGATGACTGATCTCTCCATTCGGAAGGATGCAGTCTTCACATACAATGATGAGAAACTGTTATTTTATAATCTTTTTATTAAAAGCTTGGCTGAAAACCAAAAAAAAAAAAAAAAGAAAGAAATATTGCCTCTCTTTAGGCAATTTATTCATGAGCAATTAGCTGCCTGAAACAAAGAAGAAAACACCCGAATCAAACATCCTTATAACCTTCAATTAATTACCACTGCTAAGTGGCAGACCAAAGTGTAAGTCTATGTCCAATTACACACCTTATGGGCCATTGCTTTTGTTGGTGTAATAAGCCTTCAGCCCCCTTTTGCTATCTTCATCCTTCAGAATGGCTATCTGATGTGGGTAAAAGTGAGTGGTCATTCTCCACTTGTGCTTCCTCTACCTCTGTCAACAAGCATGACACGGGGAGGAGGCTGTTAGGCAAGAGGGGAGGAGGAATGGAATGCAGCAAGGGCCTCTGCAATTTTATAACTATGACAAAGAATATACGCTCTCTTGCTCAAATGACCATTTGGCAGTATCTCTCACCTTGCCGAGAGCCAGTATAGCTTGGAGAGAATGGGCACAAGCTCTGGAGTCAGGGAGCTCGTATCTGGTTCCTGGCCCTTCCATTTAATGTGCAACAATGGACAAGTTATTAACCCTCTTTGTGCCTTATTTCCTCAGTTCTCAATACTCGTCCTGCTTCTCCTGTTAGTCACATGTAATTACCTGATCACTCCCTCCTTTTGAAAACACCCAGAGTGACCGAAGGGTCAGGGAGAGCTGACTTAACACTGGGCAATCAGGTGAGCACATCTGAGGAGGTGGCATTTAACCTGAGCCTTGAATGACAAGAAGAACCCAGCAGGCTTGTAACAGTCATGGCAGGTGTATTAGTTTCCTGCAGCTGCTGTAACAAATTACCACAAATTGGGCAGCTTAAAACAACAGAAATGTATTCTCTCCTAGATCTGGAAGCCAGAAATCTGAAATCAAGGTGACAAGGCTGCCCTCCCTCCAAAGGCTCCAGGGGAGAACCCGTTCCTTGCCTCTGCTGGTGGCTCAGAAATTCTTTGACTGTGACCACATCTCTCCAGTCTCTACCTCTGTGGTCACATTGCCTCCTCCTCTTCTCTGTGTGTCTTCTTCTCTGTGTGTCTGTCCTACAAGGTTGCTTGTGATTGCATTTAGAGCTACCTGAATAATCCAGGATAAGTGCCTCTTGTCAAGATTCTTATTTTAATCACATATTTTTGCTATGTAGGGTAATATTCACAGGTTCCAGGGATTTGTAGGTGGACATATATTTTTGGGGCCACCATTCAACCCGCTGCAGTGTGGTCAAAAAATAAAAAGAAAATCAGACTGGATGGGGACTTTTCAGCCTAGTAAGGGGTTTAGTTTTACTAGCAATGAGAAGCCATTAGAGATCTCAGGCAGAGTTTATACTGAGATGTGTGTGTGTGTGTTTGTGTGTGTGTATGTATGTGTGTGTGTGTGGTTTTTTTTTTTTTTTTTAGAGGCAGTATCTTGCTCTGTAACCCAGGCTGGAGCACAGTGGTGCAATCCTAGCTCACTGTAACCTTGAACCCCTGGGTTCAAGCAATCCTCCTGTACCTGAAACTACAAGCACACACCACTGATAGCTAATTTTTACATTTTTAATAGAGTCGGGGTCTTGATATGTTGTCCTGGCTGGTCTCAAACTGCTGGCCTCAAGTGATCCTCCTGCCTTGGTGTCTCAAAGTCCTGGGATAACAGGCGTGAACCACTGTGCCCATCCTATACTGAGATATGTCTTATGATGATCACTGATCACTCTTGCTGCTTTGTGAAGAATGGATTTGGAGGGAGAGTAGAAGTAGAAAGACCAGTTCAGAGGCCATTGCCAATCTGAAAACTTGAGTAGGGGGCAGATCTGATATTATCCATGTAGATTACAGGCAAATAATCCTTCATCAAAGCCTGTAACACAATATTGCTCATAAGAACAATTTTTTTGATAAGGCAACTTCTCATTCTAAATCCTACAAAATAGGACTATGTCCTGGCCCCACTTTATTTTACCTTTAACCCAAATAATTTACTTCTGCTATTAACTAAAATGAACTCATGCTCTGTTTTCCACAGCATTTGGGGACTTCCTCCATTATACCAATGACATGGTTTTAGAGTGAGGAACTCAGAGCAGCCTTGAGAAGAAGCTAAAACATTTGGTAACAACAATCAGAAAGAACAATGTCAGGTCTGCCATACAAAAGTGAAAATATTTGCAGTGGGGAGCAAGTGGGTAAGTAATAGACTGAATACTTCCTGTCTTAGGCTGATCAGGTGCCATAACAAAGTACTGTAGACTGGGTGACTTATCAACAACATAAATGTATTTTTTACAGTTTTAGAGGCTGGAGGTCTGAGATAGATCAGGGTGCCAACATGGTTGGGCTCTGATGAGGGCCTTCTTCTGGGTTGCAGATGGCTGTCTTCTTTTTGTATTCTCACATGGAGGAAAGAGAGCAAGCTAGTTCCCTGGACTCTTCTTATAAGGGCATTAATCTCATTCCTGAGGGCTCCATCCTCAAGACTTAATTACCTCCCAAAGGTTCCACCTCCTAATATAATCATATTTGGATTAGGGGTTTCAATATATGAATTTTGGGGGAACACAAATAGTCAGTCCATTGCACCCCGGCCATGCCCCGCAGGCCTTTCTTTCACGACATGAAGATTTCCTTACAACCAACTCAGTTGATGGGTCCATTAGCTTACAGGATGTGTTCAGAAACAGACTTTCTGCAGAGATGAGACTAAGCATTTTTGTGATTAAAAAGAAGCAGTGCTTTTATTAATGTTGCTTTTCAGGCCACAGTTGTCTCTTTCATGCATACAGCAGAGATCTCTGAGGTCTTAACCAAGTACATGCATCTCATGTGATTAAACTAGCCATTAAAATAGAACATTGGTTCTATTTCAAAAACAGATGTTGGCTCTACCAGCAGTTATCCCTGCAGCCACCCTCTGGTTTTGCCTTGCCTTACAGGGAAAGGGAAGAGAGGACCAACATTTATTGCCACCCACTTTGAGGGGTCTCACTTTGTGGCAGAGACTTCTGATTGTCCTTCAGTGGTCACCCTTCCTCCCTGTGCCCCTTCACCCTCGATTAGTAATAGGATCCTTGACTGTTAACTAGTTAGTGTTGCCAGATAAAATATAGGACATCCAGTTAAATTTGAATCCCAAATGAACAATGAAAAAAAAATGTATGTTTCAAATATTGCATGAGACATACTTATGCTCAAAAAATTATTCATTATTTATCTTAAAATTCTGATTTAACTGGGTGTCCCATATTTAACTGGGTTGTACTGAACAAAGATGATGTTTCTCACCTTTCCCTGAGGCTAAGTGAGACCTTGTGACAAAATTCTGGCCAAAGGGATGTAAATAAAAGTGTTCTTAAAAGAAAATAACGTGCCCTCTCCCTTTCTTCTTCCTGCCTGTGTGCTGGGATGTGAAGGTAATCCGGGAACTCCAGCAGCCATTTTGGACCATGAAGTGATCTTGGGAATGGAAGCCATTCGTGGTACAACAAGAAGCTAGAAGGAGTCTGGTCCCTGGTCTAGAAGATGAGTGAAAAATATACTTCTACCTTATTGAAGTCACTGTTATTTTGTTTTTTCCTGCTACTTGCAGCTGAAGCTAATAGTACCTACTACACTATGTCTTCTAATTCTCAGTTAACCTTGAAAGGCACATTATTCACATTTTGGCAAATAGAATCCTGAGGCTGAGAGAAGTAACTTGGCCAAGGTGGTCACATAGTAATCATTGAGTCAGATTTTGAAACCCAGTCTATGCGAAAGGTATCCTGGGCTCTTATTTTTCTACAATACATTCCTTCTCTGGGTAATAATTTTTATCAAATTCCTAAGGTTTTGTAGTATAATATTAAATTTGCTTCTGCATGTCTGCTCTCTAAAGCATTTAGCTTTCTCCCTCACCAAAAATACAGAACAAGACATTTCTGCTGTCAATGTTATAGGATCTAAAACTCCATCCCTAGATCTGATATTTGAGAGATCTGCACCAAACGACACATTATTTATTTACTTGTTTCCTTTGGGGTTGCTAAAGAAATGTTTCTAGTCTGTATTATAATAGTTCCCTGCAAAAATGTCTTAAGTGAGTTATGATTCAATATGAAGTGCTCGCTTTTATAGAGAATCGGTATTAAAAGGTCTATTTGTCTATATCTTTTGAAACTTACTGGGTTGTTTGTTGTTCCTTGTAAAATAGAATTTTCATGCAATAAATTTCACACTGAATTTAATGCCAGAAAAAAATATTTTCAATATCTATTCAGGCATAATTCTATGTTTTTTTGTTTGTTTGTTTATATTTTTGTCAAATATCAAGAGAATAGGAGACCTTAACAGTTACTTTTTTGCTTTGGTTTCTAGGAATCTTGGAGTTAAATCTCATGTTTATTTGTGGTCATTCAATCATTCCAGATACTAAAATATTTATTTCTGATTTTTTCTTTTTTAAAATCCATTTTTTCTTTTTCTCCAACAGTTTTTTTCTTTTTCTTGTCTCTACATTTCCATTTTAGGATACATTTTTATTATTATTGACTACCTCAAATTTGCCTTCATTTATTTCACAAATGCTTATTCATTGCCTCCTTTGCATACCATACTTGCCTGAAAGAAGGTAAGCTGCAAGCTATAAATTCCTAACTGAGCCTTTGCTTGTAACTCATGAATACTATTTTCTTTCAAAATGGCCCTACAAATCTCTACCAAATAACTTATTCCAGAATTAGATGAAGATCAACAGTAAACCCAATATTTTCCAAAATTTACATTCTTTCTTCTGTTTTAAAAACCAAAATATTAGCCCCACCATTCTAGCCTTCTGACAGAAAGCACGTAGCAGTCACAAATTTCAGGTGCTATTAATAGGACCAAACCTAGAGAAAATTGTGGAGGGAGTAGCGTTTTGACAGCAGCATTTCTGCTGCCATCTCTTTTGCAATTGGGGCTTTGCTCTGGGTTCCCGAACACTGAGTACTTCTGGGCCCTCTTTTCACCCACTTCTAGCTACCAACCCTCTTCTCAAAGGATATCACAGACATCATTATAGCTTTGTGTGGATGCCACTCTTTTCTCCCCCAGGGGGAATGGCATCTTCGCCCTTATAGCAAATTAGGAAATGAAGGGCTTCATCCCCGTTAGAGGAAACGTATACGCTGTTGAATAGGTTTTAAGAAGGGGGAGGAGCCAGGCGCGGTGGCTCACGCCTGTAATCCCAGCGCTTTGGGAGGCTGAGATGGGCAGATCACAAGGTCAAGAGATCGAGACCATCCTGGCCAACATGGTGAAAGCCCATCTCTACTAAAAATACAAAAAATTAGCCTGGTGTGGTGGCAGGTGCCTGTAGTCTCAGCTACTCAGGAGGCTGAGGTAGGAGAATTGCTTGAACCCAGGAGGCAGAGGTTGCGGTGAGCTGAGATCGCGCCACTGCACTCCAGCCTGGGCGACAGAGTGAGACTCCACCTCAAACAAAAAACAAACAAAAAAAAAATGGGGAGGGAGGGTGAAAAGCAAGACCTGAGGGCCTTGGAGACAGTAAGAAGCTGGGGCCTTCCTGGTGTCTCTGAAGTGGCCGTGCAGTCAGCATCCATATGCCTGCTTGTCTTGCCCAGCAAAGCACCTGGCAGGTGCATGTCTCCATGGTGATGCAGCCCGTTCTGTCAAATATTACTGAGCTTTCAAAGGGTGGAAAAACCAGCTAAGCAGAAAATTTGAGCCTTTCTGCTAGACCAGGGAGGCTGAATTGGAATTTTGATTTTCTTGCCCCCCGCCCACCGTTAGAAATGGTTGACCCCATCATCTAGGATAGCCTGAGCTTTCTGCCCTTTCAAGCTGAAAAGAGAGACCAGCAACGGCCCATATACCTAAAGAATCTGTTTGGCTCCTCCATGACATTCCCCTCCCTCACACCTGGGGTTTCCCCCTCTGCCCACAGTCTGTTCTTGGAGGAGGCTCCTGATGCAGTCCTCTCCGGCCTCACAGAGGGAAATCATGTGCAGTGATTCACAGACATTATGGTTCACAAACCCCTTTCACATGCTCTGTGAGGTAGGTTTATGACCTCTGCATTCCTGCTGAGGAAACAAGCTCAGGAAAATTTAGTGGCTTGTATAAGATTTACAAAAAATGAGAAAGCAGAGCTGGGACTAAGAGGTCATAGCTCTCACTCCAAGACAAGAGTTATTTTCAGTTCTCTTCAGCGAATGTGTCTGCTGAGAGCCAAGCAGGTTGGCCTCCTCTCGGAAGCCTCCTGCTAGCAGATGCTCGGCCCCCTTCCCTTCATTCCCCCAGCGCTTTGCTCACACCTCTCACGCTCTAGGCGGCTGTTGATGTGACTCTGTTCCTAGGCTGTGAGTCTGTCAATGGCAGGGACAATGTCTGATTCAACTCCAACTACCACATGCCTACCACCATAAATGTCAAATGAAGGAATGAACTCGGGGCTAGACCCTTACTGCTGTCATACCAGCATAAGGAGAGTACTCTAGTCCTTGTGGCACTCCGTATAGAAAAAAAACAACAACATCATTTTCTTGACACATTATCCCCACTGCACACTTGCTGTGTTCAATGAAAAAAGAAGCAGGCTTTAGGTGTTGTAGGACATTTTAGTGGGAAAGATTTAATGCCCTGGAATAATATCTGCCTCATCAAGTTCACATCAGAAAATCAGACAAACCAGAATATGGTCTTTTTTCTGTTTTTGTCTTAACGGCTTTGGAATTGTGGTCAGTGGAAACAGCATAGTTTGTAGTAAAAATATTCCTGGCTAGCCAAGTGACACATCTGGTTAGTCAAGGACAAGGAAGAGAACAAACTCTTTCATTCCTCAGCAGCTCAGGAGAAGGCATCTGGGTGGGTCTGCCCATGAGAATGTTTGTGAAGTGTCATTTGAGAAACTCTAGCAGAGCAAGGATGATGAATTTCATAACTGAAATCAGGAATCAGGTCCAGAATAAAGTTTGGACAATTTTATAAAATTGTGGAGTAGACGAGATCCTACATGAGGACAATTATTCTATCCCTCCCCTGCTCTTTAGGACAAGACTGAAATTATCCTAGAAAATTTACTCACTTTAAAAATCTCTAGAATAGGAATTTCTTAAAACTTTCCTGGATGAGCCTTTTAAATACCTCACAAACTTTATGGGAAGAAAAGTTTTCCTTCTTTCTAACCCAAATCCTTCTTGCTGAAATTCAAATCCATTCCCTCTTGTTTGAGGATCAGCCAAGGATTTAATGCCTTGATCAATTTGCATCAAAACATGCAATAAACTTATTGGTTTTTTAAGACGTGTAAAGTACACCTGTTAGCACTCCTTGTTGCAAATAAATACCCAACTCACAGTAACTAAAACCATAAAAGAAACTCTTTGATACCCATAAGTGAAAAATACAGAAGTAAGCTGAGCCTTGGCATCTTAATAATGTCAATAAGGGCCTGTCTTATTTCCTATTATCTGCTCTGCTTACCATAGTGTCAGAGTCATCCTGAAGCTATTTCCCTCATAGTGGCAAAATAGCTGCAGCAGTTCCACACCTCACAGGCTTATACCACACCATCCCTTCTGCGATAGTGTGGATGTTTGTCCCCTCCAAGCCTCATGTTGAAATTTGATCCACAATGCTAGAGGTGGGGGCTAATAGGAGGTGCTGCAATCATGGGGGCAGATCCCTTATGAATAGATTAATGCCCTCCCTCAAGGGCAAGTGTATTCTTACTCTATTAGTTCCCTCAAGAGCTGGTTGTTTAAAAAGGACCCAGCACCTCCCCATATTCTCTCTTATTTCCTCTCTCATTATGAGATCTCTGCACAGGCCAGGTCCCCTTTACCTTCCAACATGAGTAGAAGCTGCCTGAGGCCCTCGTCATATGCCCATGCCCAATCTTTAATTTTCCAGCCATCAGAATCATAAACCAAATAAACCTTTTTTTCTATATAAATTACCTAGCCTCAAATACTCTGTTATCACAACACAAATGGACTAAGACACCTTCTAAGCAACAGGTGCTAAAACTCCCCCGATGAGACTTGCTTGGGTTATGTACCCACACTTGACCCAGGAAATGTAATATACCCGATTGGTTTGATTTAATCAGGGCTCACCCTGGACCTGGTAATAGGGGGTCAGCTTTCCAGCAGCACTTGGGCTTAGTGGGAAAGAAGACGAAAATGGAATTGAAATCTTGGTACTGTTGCAAAGGGGATGGGTAAGATGGACAATTGAATACTCGGTAATTGTGCAAACAGAAATGCACCTAAGGTTAAAAAGCATGGTATGATTTGTTTTGCATATAAGACATCTCCCCAGACCTGTGGCTTGTCCACTTAGAGATGGGTTTTATAATCCTCATGTATCAGTGTTTCCTACCCTTCCCTGATGATGAGAATCACTTGGAGCATTTGTTAAAGCCATAGCTTCTTAGGTTCCTCCCTTGGAGCTTCTATTCGATGGGTCTTGGATAGGGCCTGGGAATTTTTAATTGGAAACATTCTCCAAGTGATGCTTATGAGACAACGTCCCATACACAACCAACTCCAGTGCATGCTCTTTCTACTCCTAAAAGCAGGCAGGTACACTGTGGCTGCAAAGATCTTTGGGATGAGGAGGGGCATGCTCAAATCATGACAGTTCAGTCTAAAAAAGACTTTAGGAAGGTCTTTTCAGACTTGGTCATTGTGAGTATTGGTCTGAGTCTGTAAGTGGTGAAGAAAACAATTGCTAATCCTTATTGAGTACTTAATCTGTGAAGGATGCTGAGCTGAGTGCTTTGCATGAATTATCTTCTGTAACTGATGCATTTCCTTTTCTGGAGGATTTTTAGGTAAAGCAGGGACTCTCAACCTTCTAAAACATTCTTATTAAGCACTGACACCCTTATCATGTATAAAAATCAAAATCTCCCACAATAACCATTTACATATCCATTATTGAGAAAATATATAATATCAAGAAGTGACTTTTGTCAAAGTTTTCTTTTGTTGAAATTATGGAAACCAGCATGAGCTACCATGATCAATTTTTAATGTATTGGAAAGACTTCTAGGATACTCAGAGGCAATTCTGGGAGGTAAAAAGCCAGAGCTGGAGAGCAGTTAGAGTCTGACTGTGCATTGCCTCAGTTTCTACTTCATGTACTTGCAACACTCTTTTCCCCCTGCATCCCCACTTCCCATGCTGAAATTGGGGTGAGCAGGAGGTGGTGCCATCCCGCAGTTCCCAGTTACATATTATCACAGGGCCACTCACCTGCACCCAAAAGCTATCTTTGAATTCCAATTTCAAGTTTCTAAAAGGGAGGCTGTAGTTGGCTGAGATTAGGCAAGGCGTCTGCCTTGGATCCAATTCACTGAGACTGGGGAGAAGGGGCTCATGTGGCAAAAACATGGGCCAGGAACCAGGGGCCAGTTTCTATTGGGGGGACGAGCTTAGTTCTCACAGAAAAGAAGTCTTTGAAAGCTGAAGAGAAGCCTCCCACAAGGCTATTGATACAATGAGAGTGAATCAATAGCTCTTGGATTTTTATTTTATTCATCCCAGAAGCATCTGGAAACATTTGAAAAATTGTGGTGCTGGATGTGCTCGTGGCTTCCTAGACCTACTGCAGTAACCCTTCAGCCCTCCCAGGGTCCAAGGCCAGCACGTGGGAGCCAGCGTGTTAGAGGAACAGGAATAAACCAGGTGATTCTTAGGAGTCCTTGACCTCTCTGGTTACATCCTTGGAAAGAAATGGGGCAGATAATGCTTCACCTGCTAGAAGTGATTGGATGAAGGGCAACAGATTTCCTCCCTGGCCTCTCCCAGGGCCCTCCCAAAGGCCTACCTCCTCCCTCCCTGGCCTGCCTCAGAGCAGGCCCAGCCACTGAGCCTGCCTAGCTGGTAGTAACATTTCAGTCTCACTGGCAGCTGACTGCCCACTTCCTGGCAGCTCCAAACTGCAGGAGACTAATAAAACAAGACCTAACGAATGGATGGCACTGCAGTAATAGTGAACGCTCAGATTTATTCTTGTTAATAATTTCAGTGGAGTAGGCCAAAGGGACTCTCATCAGTATAACTAGGAGATAAAATTCTGATGAATGAAGCAATACCTTGTTGCTTAAGGAATAGTGCATAATTAAGAGGATTGTTGACCCTAATTGAAATGATGTTGCCAAGGTAAGCCAAATAGCACTTCTGGACCAGAGAGGGAGTTTTCTGCCCAGGACAGACTCTCCTACAAGCAGAGCAGCTAACTTTGATTCTGGTAACGTTAAGAAATGAGCTTTGGGCCAGGCGCGGTGGCTCACACCTGTAATCCCAGCACTTTGGGAGGCCGAGGCGGGCGGATCACGAGGTCAGGAGATCGAGACCATCCCGGCTAAAACGGTGAAACCCCGTCTCTACTAAAAATACAAAAAATTAGCCGGGCGTAGTGGCGGGCGCCTGAAGTCCCAGCTACTTGGGAGGCTGAGGCAGGAGAATGGCGTGAACCCGGGAGGCGGAGCTTGCAGTGAGCCGAGATCCCGCCACTGCACTCCAGCCTGGGCCACAGAGCGAGACTCCGTCTCAAAAAAAAAAAAAAAAATAAATAACCTGCCCACAATAAGTAATTTAAAATATAGTAGCAAATCTTAAAATTCAAGGAATGCTAAGATGTACTGATTTTTTTCCACCATGAGGACTTTGACGTATCTTTTAGAAATATCTAATTCTTTTAAAGGTCTGGGGCACATCTTAAGCATATTTCAGGGCTCCTCTTGGGTAAACTGTGATGAGTCAGAGAAAGAGGCAGGACCGACAACCAACACACCTGAGTTCCAACCCTGGCTCTGCGTCTCAAGCAGCTCTGGAACCTTGGGCAAGTCACTTAACCTTTCTGGCTCTCAGAAAAGTCATTTGGAAAATGGTGGTTCCTCAATAGGCAGCAGTAAGAATCAAATGAAATGTCAAAGTGCTTTGTAAACTTAGAAACACTGTACAAATATAAAAGGAAGGCCCTGTCACTGGAGCATTCATTATGCAAGGGCCTGAAATATGGTATGGCACAAGATGGTGAAGGTTTCATATCGCAAAAATACTCACACATTGGTCCCTACTCCAAACCTCCTTTCAATTAACACAAGCACTCCTTCTTGCCAGAAGCACAGGTCTGTACCTTCCTGATGGTCTGATACCCACAATATCTGACCTTATTTGCAAATGCTGTGCAAATATATGGCAAAATGAAATTGCAAATCTGGTAATTAATGAGGGATTTCATGAGGTCAGTGAAAGTGATGTTGGAGGCTGCATTAATTCAGGCAGCTAAGCCACTGACCAAGAAGTATGGGCAGAGGTAGCCAATTCCCAAATAATGAAAGAAAAAAAGTAAGGTTAGTGATGCTTCAAAAAAAAATGATTTTAATGTCAAAGACTTAAAAGAAGCTCTTGCAGAAAATGATAAAAATTCAAAAATACTTGAATTTTATAAAAATTATTCTTTCAGGGATTGTGCTACAAAAGTTAAATGCGAAGAATTTGGTATAGACAATCATAATTTTGTTGGAAAATTTTCACATATAAAGTTTATTGTATTCATTCTTTAAGAATTAGCTGATAGTTGATATTACAACTTAAATTTTGTTCAACATAAAATAAGCTTATTTTATAGTTTTTAGTTTTATTTTCTAGGCAAAATCATAAACAAAACATTTGTTGTGCTTGTTTGTTTATTTTTTGCTTTTGGGTTTTGTCGTTGTTTTCGCTATTTACCACAGTCTTTTTGGTCAATGTTTTAGGTGGAATCACTTCCGATGTGAAGCAGTCTCAGATAATGAGGAACTTTTATAGTTATTTAATTATTATTGCTGATTTTATTATTTCCCAGTACCCTTCAATGGAAATGGTGTTGACAGTCTCCTCAAGCCCAAGAGAGGGAAAGGAGTGAACTCCCAAGCCTTTTGGAAATGGGAAGGTACAAGAGCTGCTCTTTCAGAGAGAAAGCCAACATGGCTTGGAAACCATACAGTGAGAAATGAGCCCAATTTTCTAGGCAGGTCTGAATTTTCTAGGCAGCCCAATTTTCTTGGCATGCCAGGCCGGTGCAGTGTGTTGTGGGAGAGGAGCATGGCAGAGACTGGACTGCAGGGCCTCTGTACCTCACCGACCACAGGCTGGACTAGGCCACTCCGACTTGCCAGGCACAACGCACATCCCCGTCCTCTCCAATGGCTCCATTTCTCCCTCCCCAAAACTGAGGGGGACCAAACCTTAATCAAAAGAGTTGAAGTTTCAGAACACCCTTGATAGAACCTTCACAGAGAACACAGATGCTGTTGTCAGTGCCCTTAGAAACAATAGGGCCCACCTTACCAGCAGGTTGCTTGAGGAATTCAACATGCCAGAGTCCTTTGTACTCTGTCCCTCCAGGTGCTGGGCCACCATTCAGAGAAAATGGGCAGCTGGAAGATAAGATTGCAGGGTGCTGCTAGGCAGACCTGGGTTCAAATCATAATTCTGCCACCTTACTTGTTATGCAACCTCAGGTAAGTTACCCAAACCGTCTAAGCTTGTTTTCCCTTCTGTAAAATGGAAAAGGGTTCCCTATAGGTCTACCTCATGGAGCTTGGGGTGTGTCCTAGGTCAGATTCCTCAGAAGAAGATCCTGAGATGAGGATTCAAATGCATGGGGTTTATTTAGGACATGCTCCTGCTAAGGGAGTTGGGGAAGTGGGCAGGGACCGAATGAAACCAAGCACGATACAGCTTCCCAGCCTGAGGCCACGGGGCACTCTGGAGAATGTTATTCCTCAGAGTTTGTCCTGACTCACACAAGCGAGCTTGGCTTCCAAACTCCTGCACTGGTCGTTTATTGGCTGACGGCTAGGATGACCCAGATACTCTGGCTGGCTGGCTGCATGGTGGGCAAAGAGGCCCAAGAAGCGCTCAAACAAAATCACAGGTGTGAACCATTAGGAGCATTATTATGGTAAAAAAGACCCAAGGATCTGGGCAGAGCAGGAATGGTGTCTGCTACAGCACTGGTTAAATGACATAATGGTAAACCACTCAGCACAGTGCCTAGTGCAGAGGAGGCATGGCATGTGTGCCATGCCAGCTCTTATTGCTGCTGGAATTATTAATAATACGATTGTCATCCTTCTAGGCCCTCTGCATCAGGGAATCTGTACTATGGGCCACAGCCAAGGAGCTGGCAGTCGAAGCCTCCACGTGGGTAGATCGCACACTTTAACGGACAGCAAAGAAGGGGCACTAACATTTATTGAACACTTACTGTTCAAATGTCAGGCACTGTGCTGAGCACTTTACAAGAGCTGTCTTATCTAATCCTTATAACAGCCCCATAAGATGGAATTATTATTTTTATTGTTATAGCTAAAGAAACTCATCCAGAAAATCAAAATAAATTGCCCAAACACAGCTAAAAAGCAATAGAGCCAGGATTCAACTGCAGTCATGTCTAGGTTCTAAAGCAATATTCCTTCTGCATAAGCTTCAGAGGCTGCCTCTAAAAGATGATGTGGCAGAGCCTGCCTGTTGCCTGCCCAGCATATTCTGCACAGCAATGTGCCTAGCTCAAATAATACATACATCAGCTTCCCTTGCAATTAAGGATGGCCAATAAAAGAAAGTAAAGTCATCTGGTGGGGCTCCTTTAAATAAAATGGATTCCATCAGGAGGCATTCTTTTTGTTCTTCCCCATCCTTCTCCTGCTTAGAAGACAGATGTGATGGCTGGTGCACCAAAAGCCATCATGGGCCATGGAAGCTAGAAACCTATGGATGAGGTCTGAATTTATCTAAGACTTATTTATATGAGAGAAAACAAACCTTTATATTACTATTACTTAAGCCTATTATTTCTGGTTTCTGCTTCTAGCAGCTAGACCTAATCCTAACAGACACAGATCACATGATATTTATGATCTCCTTTAAGGACTTTACTATCTTGAATCAAAGTAAATTATCCACTTGCCCCTGGCCCTCTGTCCTGGAAACATGTTGATGTATCTCCATGCTACAAAATTGAACCCATAACGTCCCAACGTGTTGCTTTATAAACATCAACAGATAATAACAATAATAAACTATGAGTGGTCTGGGCTTTCAGAATTTCCAGGGCAGGTATGATTTCTTACCTTTTGAAACTGAAGAAACTGGGACACATGCTGAGAGACAAAGCCCTGATCTGACAGTGTTCTCTGAGACCCCGGAATCACTACGACTGGCACTTTGACATCCATGCCTCCCCACACATTCCTCAAAGGAGCTGCGCCTGCCTTCTCATCTGGGAAGCAATGGCATTTTGCCCTGTATCTTGTAGCCCTTTAAGTGTCCCACTATTCGGTGACTTGTTTTTCTAACTGCAGTCCCAGGAAACAGTGCATGACTGAAAGCCTGACAAGGACTTCAATCTATTTCTTGCCACTTGCAGGAAGAGTTGATGAGAAGCTTCAATCGATAGCAGAATCTCCCAGTCTGGAGCACAGCAGAGGACTTACATAGCCAGGGATGGTTTGTCAAAGCAAATTTCACATGCAACTGATTCCATCACCCTGGGACTCTGGCGGAATAAATAATCACCATACACATTTTGTTAGCTATGCCTCGTTAGAGATGGATTTTAGGAAGTGGCATCCTGAAGGCTGCTTATCTGTCAGTGCTCCTTTAAGCATGGTAAGCTTTCCAGATTGGCTTTTCTAGAAAATTAGACCATTGCCATGGCCAGGTGCCACCTGTCATGGTTACTGGCATTGTGGGAGCCAAAGGGAGGGATATAAAGGCCTGAGCTCACCTTCAGAAAAAGTGCTGGCAGAATGCTGGGAAGACATTTCCTTGCAGAGTGAAAACTTGATCAGATCTCTTGCCAAGAAGGCTCTTGACTTGAGCATCAAAGAATTCCAGCTTCAAGTCACAGTGTATTTCTACAACTGTCTCCCACATCTCTCTTACCACACTTATTCTATCTTGAGTTGGATCCCACTGAATGGAATGTTGGATGGACCATCCCTATGATTCTGCCCGGTTTTCTGTGTTTCTATGATTACAAGGGATGTGGCCTGGCCACCATGGATGTTCCAATTGCATGTGATGTTCCAATTGCATTGAATTTGCGTACCAAGTGTATTGTGTACCAGGTGCTGTATTTTGTCTGGGAAATAGAGGGCTCAGTGACCAGTCCCTGTCCTTGAGTGGTGGGACCCTAGGGACAACAGGGCCCCTAACAACATCCATTCACACAAAGGTCCCAGGGTGTGGTTTGGGGATTTTATTTTTAATCTAATTTGGCACCTAGCATATCATGGAGCCACAATCTGCATTCTTAATTTTAAAGCCTATATCTCTTTTATCTCTGTGTACTCCTTAACATTTTTTCTGCTCTAATTCTTATATCTTATACAGTCTTGTTTCCGAGGCCACACAAGCCTCAAGAAAAATAAAGCTCTGGGACTAATTAATAAGGTTGCTGACTCTGGACTCCACCCAATTTTGTTAACAGGCTAACTACCCCTTACCTCACATTCATGTCACATGCCCCACATCTACTTTGTGTCACACGGACACCTCTGTAGGCCCTAAACCACTCCTATATCATGTCAACCATATTTAAATATGCCCATAGCCTTCATTTAGAGACACATAGGCAGAAGAAGAGAGTTACAGAGTTCTATACATACTTATCTATATTATATATTATTCTACATTGTTTTGCTATAAATTTTTTGAAAGGATGTTCAATTTTCATACAATTGAGTTTGTGAAGAATAAATTATTTTATTTTTATGATCCAAGCATTTCATATTTACCTATAGCTATATGAGACCTATACATAATCCATTATTACATGAATGGCCTAATGTTACATTTTGAAAACACCTAATTATTCATTTATTAATTTTGGCTTTGAAATTTTCTTTATGTATTAATAGTTAATAAATATTTTTACAATACCTGAAAAATTTATAGGCATCTGATATGTTGACCTACGAATAAACAACTCTGTTCTTCTCCCTCTACTCCCAGCATTACCTCAGTCAATCCCAAATTCCCTTTGTAATGGATCCCAAAAACTTCCTGCTCCCATATCCTTGCAACTAGCTAGATATTGCTCCTGGGTTCCTATTTCTGTTGCACTGGGTTCAGTGGTTACTTGAGATGACCACACCCCCAGTGAGCTCTTTATTCTCTTAAGGAGTAAGGCTCCCTCTTACGGAGTTTCTATCAAGTTTCCTAACCATTAGGCCACAAGATTACTCTTGTGGCTTCTCCATGTGCCATTTTACCCCCTGCCATAGAACATGTGTCTCAAAAGGGACACCAGGACCTAACTCTCCCCTACACTGGGATGAATTCCTGACCCCCACAGGACAGCCTTCACCTCCTTACCTTGCATCATAAGTCAAGCCCAGCATCTCGTGGTCTGACTCCAAATACCAATGCACTTATTCTCCAAAGAGTCTGGAATCTTACAAATCTGTCTTGGCATCCCAGAGTGACCCCATACTCACCTTCTGATAACACTTTACACCCTCCAAAGAATCTTTATGCAAGATAAAAGATGTTTGACTCAGAAAGATGTTCTCTCCTAAGGATATTTTGACTCCTAAGAATAATACCATTAAAACCAAAATTATGTCATAATGAATACATTTTTGTACTGAAAGGATTTTCTGGAAAAAACTCCATTAAGTCCATTTGACTCCTTGATCAACCTTCTTAAAATAGCCTAGTTAAATCCTCTTTAATTTTTCCCATTTTCATTCATATTTTATTTCACAGAAGTTATTTGATTGGGATTAATTTTTTCCTGTGTCAGTTTTATATAAAGCTTTGATGCATTACTCAATTGGTTTATTTATATCAAATATTATGGTTGTAACTTTTGCCCTTGAAAACTTACTATATAGACATTGTTCTACAAAGTTCAATATTCCCAAGTCAGACTGCACAGATTAGATTTTAACTACTAAAGGCTTTAAATTCTGTTGATCATTTCTACCAGTGATATTCACTATATAAAAAAGCTGAGAATGGTGTCTCTTTCACAGCAAAGCTACACACTCATGTCCTTAGTTAGATCTTCCAGAGTAGGCCTTTCATTTATGGCTGGATTGTAGTACAGCGAGTGAATAAGGCATGAGCTCTGGAATTGAACTGTCTGGGTTAACTTGGGCAAATATTTAATTTCTCAGTTTTCCCATTTGTGAACTGGGGTCAATATTAGTACCTAAACCACAGGGTTCTTGTGAGGATTAAAGCAGAATTCACACAAAGTGCTTCACATAGTACATTGCATGCAGTGTAAGATGTGATAGCTCTTGTTATTACTCCAACCACCTTAAAAATTCTCTGTTATCTATTACTACAGTTAACAAACCAGCCCAAAACCTGATGGCTTAAAATAACAGCAATTTATCACTCAATAATATTTAATTGTATGGGTACAACACATTTTGCTTATCTGTTCATCAGTTAATGGACATTTAGATTGTTTTCACCTTTTGGCTATAGTGAATAGTGCTTCTATGAACATTGCATACATGTATTTGAGTGCAAAAAGAAATGAAGTAGCGATATATGCTACAACATGGATGAACACTGAAGACATTATGCTAAGTGAAGGAAGCCAGTCACAAAAGTGTCTCCATAGAGACAGGAAGCAGATGGGTGGTTGCCAGGAGTTAGAGGGGGCAGGGAATGAGAAGTGACTGCTTACTGGATACAGGGTTTGCTTTTGGAGTGATGAAAACGTTTTAGAACTAGAAAGAGGTGGTGGTTGCACAACATTATAAAGATACTAAATGCCATGAATTGCATACCTTAAAATAGTGAATTTTCTGTTATGGTGTATTTCACCTCAATTTTAAAAATCATCATAACAGCAATTTATTATTTCTCGTGACTCTGTAGGACAGCTGGGAGGCTCTGCTGGCTTCACCTAGGCTCCATTCAGCAGGAGAATTGGCTGGGAGGGCAGGTCCTCTCTTTCACCTGGTCTCTCATCCTCAAGAAGGCCAGTTGGAGCTTCAAGCAAATCCCTGTGAGCAAGCACTTACCAAGTCTCTGCTTGGGTTATGTTAGCTGATGTCACATGGACCAAAACAGGACACATGGCTAGGCCCAGAGTCAGTGTGGAAGAACACTACACAAGGGCATGGTATCAGAAAGTATGATTCATTGGGGGCCATTATTGTGATAATCTCTACAAGCATCATTCTAATCATCTACCCCAACCTGACTTGGTCTGAAATGACTCCTACATCCTGACTAACATGGAATAGAAAGCTTGGGCTGCATGGCTTTAGAAGAGTAAGATGCAAGTCTCAAATGTATTCAGAGTCCTCAGAATGAAAGGAAACTCAGCTTCTTTCAGCATTCCTTTTTTTCCAGAGTTCCCCCCGTATTTAAGTTCAATGTTTTTGATCAGAGACCTCTTGTTATGATGAATTTAATCTGAAACAACTGAATGAAGGGCAGTGGTGATGCAACACAATGATCATCTTCACAGTGTCCAATTGTAAGTGCTCCGGAGTCACCACCCTGACATTCCTGGGGAGTTAGTCCTATCAGAAAGGGCTGGTGGCAGCTCTATTGGGAGGGGCTCCCACAGCCAGAGCTGCCTGGTAGACAGAGTACCCACAGTGCCCTTAAAGACAACTGTTGTTTATGGAAGACACCTGCACCCACTACCTTACTTTAACCCTGCAAGCTGGTACTATCATGATCCCCATTTTGCAGATGAAGAAAGTGGTAGGACAGGAGATGCACTGCCCAAATGCCCTTTCTGGAGGGAAGGACTTGCCTCCAGCTGTCAGCTCCTTCAGAGTGTGCTTGCCATAGACAGCTGCTTTGCCCAAGGGCATCTCTTTCCTTTCCGGGTAGCCCAAATGCAACAGCTAACAGTGGCAGGGGTACAAAGACCCATGACAGGACACCTCTGAGGGCTGCGTATGCTCCACAGCTCCCAATAGGGTTTGCTGATCAACTTCTCCCTCTGTCCCATTCTACCCCCTCCCCCTACAGTTTACACATGTTGATCCATAATAAACACTCGCCACTTCCCAGTTGGTGAATCTGGGCAAGTCGCTTTGTCTTCCTGTATAAAGGGTGTGGTGGAGGCTGTCCTGCCCACTTCACAAAGTGTCAACAAGATGTAGAAATGCTGGTGAGATTAAGGCAAAATATGCTGACCCCAATATCTGCTTTTTGATCCACCAACGTGCCAATATCTTTTCTTGGATTCTCAGATACACTCACCCCTGGTTTCTTCAAATGGTTATAGCTATTGATCACTATGCGCTAGTCACTGTGGTGATAGTATTACCATGTGCTAGTCACTGTGGTGATAGTATTACTCATAAAAATGCTATGAAGTAGGCACTATCAGTAGTAGATTTGTTATTTTCTATTCCACTGTTTTTAGAGACATTTAGATCTGGTGAAATCTGTTAAGCAATTCTAGAAGTGTTGGTGTGCAATATTGGGAGTAGGACATGGGGAGAGCTGAATTGCCCTGTGCATAGAGGGGAAAGAATTTGGCAGTCTGAGAAATCTAGGAGGACAGGAGTAAAGAAAGATGAGGAAAAAGAACAGTGAATGAGATAATAAGCTGCTTGTTCAGTATCCCCAGATTGTCTGTAAGGTATATTAAGCTTGCAAAGTGCTTGCTATGAGTGGGTTTTGTGGAAATCGGGGCAGGAGCTGAGTTTTGAGTGTGGGCTGATGGAGGCAAAACAGGCTACAGCACCAATTGGTAGCTGGGACAGAGGACTCCACATGAGCATAAGCCCTATTGCTGGAGAAGGATTTGGGTTCCCCTAAACTATGGCCTATAGGTCTGAGTCCGAGGCATTGCTTTCAAAATCACACGATATTTTGTGTGACACAAGAGGTCCTGAGCCTTTATCTGGGGTAGGTATGATTATGGCCGTATTAAAGATCAAGAAACTGGCCCTCAGAAAGGTCAAGCTATTTACCCAAAGTCATCAGCAATCAGTGCTGGGGCCAAGATTCAAACCCGTATCTGTCTTGTTACAAAGCTGGCGTTCCCATGGCTACCCCAACACCATCCTTTTCGTTCCTCTGCCACCACCACCACTCTGCCCCAGGCCCACCATACTCTGCCATTCTCACACAGCCAAGCATGGTTTTCCTGCCAGGTCCCAGCACAGACCAAAAGGTGGAGCCACCAGCCCGCAAGAGACCGTCACTGGGGTTCAGAGGCAGGAGGGCCAAGAAGACAAGTGCCACGGCACCTCCTGTGGCTTCACCCTTCACCTCCACTTCTAGTCAGCCCCTTGCCCTCCCCACCTACAGCCACATGCCTCCCATGCAAGCAGGCAGAAAATCCCCCCAGAAAAGAGGCAGGTGGAAAGGGTGGCACCTTCTTCCACGACAAAGGAATCTCATGGTGGGCACCCCGGATGCACTGCAGCAGGAATCCTTTAACAATGGAACCAAGAGCAAGGGCTCCATGGTGGGCCAGACTCCCAAACAGAAGACGGAGAGCCCAGGCACTGCCAAAACCACACGCCACAAGAGGGACCACTCTCCACCACTTCCTCTCAAATAAACAGCAGCGCAGCACTGCCCAGGGCCGGGGCTACAGCACAAGGGCTGCCAAAGCTTCCATTAGGAAGCCCCTCTTTTCTGTGCTGAAAATATAGCTTTCAGAGTTTATTCTGGGTTCAGACCCCTGCGTCATCTTGGGAGCCGGTTTCAAACTGACTTTTCCTTCATTTAGATTCTCCAGGGATAAAGAACTCCCTCACTACCCACTCCCCCAGCACACAGCCTTCGCCAAATAACCGAACAAAACTCCTAATTGTTTAAAGTGGTTTTACTTTTCGTTTTGGATTTTTTTTTCTTTTTTTATTTTTTCTGTGTTATGGAAATCAGAGAACAAATCGCTCCTCTAGGTAGGGCTGGAGACTGGACTGCTCCATTGTTTACAGGTGTGTATGTGGTTGGGGTGAGACGCGGGAGGACCTCACAGTGCCCCTCCTGCACGGCAGGAAACAGGACACAAATGCCCTAGCCATGGGGCCAGCTGAGCCCCCTCAACCAGCTGAAGGGGCCTATAGCTTTCTGTAATGCTGCCTGTTGGTTCTCCAGCTAACTCCCAGCAGGAGAAGGAGGAGGGGGAGGGGGAAGGGGAGGGGAGGGGGAGGGAGAGGGGAGGGGGAGGGGAGGGGGAGGGGGAGACTTCTCTGTTGAAGGCCTCAGTCCAGAGTCCTGGGCTGCCCCTGCTGGCCCCACATTCTCTTTGAGCATCACTTTGTCACCCCATCCTCCCACAGCTGGCTGGAATACAGAGCTAGGCTTGACCACAGACAAGGGAAACGGAGGCGCTCAAAGGGCCGAGATAACTGTGCACAGTCCCCTGGGTCTCCGCCTTGGCACAGGAAAAGTCTCCCTTTTCTGGGTGGTCTCTGTTTCCTTCTGCTCTAAACCTCATCCTCAGAGCAAAGCTTTCCCTCTTCCTTTCTCCCTCTGGCCCAAGGCTGGGCACCCCCTCTGGACTCCTTTGATTGCTAAAGGAGGAAACTGTCTTTTCTGCTTGGACCCAGGCTCCCCACTTGGACTTGTGGGTGGAATTATCTGGACACCCACTTCTCCCAACCTGATTAACCCATTTATGTCCCGCCGTGAGGGCTCTCCTTTTCTCTTATCCCACATCAAAGTCTGGACACACCAAGCCCCTAAATTTTGAGCAATGCATCTAAAATTCTCATAATTCCCTTGTACCCATCTCCTCTGTCACCACAGCCCAGCCCAACCCGGAGGGAAGTGCACCGAACCACCACCACCAAGCACAGTCCATCTCTTTCTCTCACTCATGTTCTTGGAATGTGTTTGTGTGGAGCATTTCTCACTAACAATCTTTTCCCCGGTGTTATACATTCATTCTAGTTCTGTCCTGCTCTGTCCAGAGGTGAACCCTGCCATCTCTCTGAGCCTCGGACACTTCACCTATATGGCCAGTCTTACATCCATCCCTCATGTGGCACCGTCCAGGGCTGGAAGATGCCCCTGCACCTGTGTGTCCCTCTGCCACCCACATTCACAAGGCATATCTTGTCGTGGGTTATCCCCAGGGGAACAGACCCATTATGCAGAGAGTGAAAAACTCCCAAGCCTCCCTCAAGTATGAACCCTGTGGCTCCCAGGAAAATCCCATCCCTGATTCTCGAGGTGCCAGCCTGTATCACCGGACACTGTGCCTCTGCCCCTGAGGAAGCCCCTTCATCTGTCAGTAGTGGCCGTTAGCCTCACTTTTTGGACTTCCCTGCCTCACATGCCCACAGACAGCAACCACTATCTGGATTATCTGTAGCCAAGAGGCACATCAGAAATACAGAGGGAAAATACCAAAACCTTAAGAAAAGAATAATAGTAATTAAACAAGGTTTGATGCCTTGAGAGTTGAAAGCATGTGTATGTCACATTGAAGCTGCAACCAAATTTCTATCATATAAAGACTGTGCTACTGTGTAGAAAGGCAGGGTAGGGAGTTGCTGATGCTCGATGCCTGACCCTGGCCCGGATCCTCATAAATAAGTGTTTTTGGTTCCTGTCCCTCCCACTTCCTTATTAACAAGGATGACCTGGGAATGGAGTGCTTCTTCAGTGGGCATCTATTGTTTTGGCCTGCCCAGCATCCATCCCCCCTTCCTCTGGTACTAGCACCATGATTTATTTTCATTTGGAAAAAAATCATCCCTTTCCTATTGCCTGTTCCTGTAGCTCGGGTGGGGCTGACCCCTTTCCTGGCTCCAGGGCTGGGCAGTGACCCAGTTCTTAGCAATTGACTCAAGTGTTTATAATCAACTAATAAGCCAAGAGTCAACCTCAGGACTTTTTTTTTTTTTCGCTGGTACTGGCAAGGAAGAAATACTTTCATGCTTTATTAGGGTTACTGAAAGGGTAAGATTTGCAGGCCTAGAGCACCAAGACGCCATCTTGCCACAGGGAGGAAAGGGTCTGCCCCTGGATCAAGTCGTATCTGAAACCCAGACTGCTCCTGGACTTTTCAATTCTATACATAATTTGAGCCTTGTTTTTTTTTTTTTTTTATAACTTCCATCTAACTCCAAACTTTTATTCCTCTTTTACAGATTAAAAAAAAAAAACTTAGAGAAGCTAAGTAACCTTCCAGGTTCCACACGCTAGCTAGTAGCTCTGAGTTTTGATATGAACACAATCCAAACTTTTTTTTTTTTTTTTTTTTTTTTGAGATGGAGTCTCACTCTGTCACCTGGGCTGGAGTGCAGTGGCGCAATCTCGGCTCACTGTAACCTCTGCCTCCTGGGTTCAAGCAATTCTCCTGACTCAGCCTCCCAAGTAGCTGGGATTACAGGCACCTGCCACTACACCCAGCTAAATTTTTGTATTTTTAGTACAGACAGGGTTTCACTGTGTTAGCCAGGCTGGTCTCAAACTTCTGACCTCATGATTCACCCACCTCGGTCTCCCAAAGTGCTGGGATTACAGGTGTGAACCACCGCACCCGGCCTGATTCCAAGTCTTAGCTGTCATACTCTACAACCTTCCATTATATTCCTTCCCTTCACTCTATGCTCCAGACCCAACTCTAGTAAACATTTAACAGACAACCATTCTGGAACATGTGGTGTCACCATCAGGTACCCAAAGCCAGTGACTCCAGCCAGGCTTACTTGTACCACTGTCCATATCCACTGTGCTTTCTTGGTTCCAACTGGAGTTTCAGTTTGGGTTGTGAAGGCCAGGGCTTTCAAACACAGACTTCAAGCCAGCTATAAGGTGAGCATGTTCTGCAATCTGCATTTTACCATTTTTCCTTAGCCAAGAGATCCACATCATTTTCCACCAATTGCATGTTGACCCAGAAGCTACTGGAGCACTCAGGGAATGTGGACTACCTATGGATGACTGTTTGGCAGAACTGTCTCTTTTTAAGCTGGCTTGGGTCACCATGGTTCCAGCTCAACTAGGGCCGAGGAGCATTTAAAAATACCAAACAAGTTGAGGTGAGACATCAAAACCCTTACATCCAACTCCAATTAGAACAATCCCATGAAAAGAGAACCTGAGAAATGCACAGGCCATACCATGTTGGGAATGACTCTCCCTGTTTTCCCCTAGCCCGCAACCAAGAAGAGGCTGAGATAAATAAGGTAAGCTTTTCTGGGAGGATAATATAACAGAAGTCCAATAACAAAAAGAACAGCCTTCCAAATGGTGATCTTTAGCAAAGTTACTGGGCTATGGGGAAAGTTCTCCATCTGGAGGTCTAGAGCAATCACTATTTGGGGGGATTTTTGGTTTCAAATGAGGACAACTACTCCTAGCCAAATTGTTATAGAATCAACACACAATTATCAGCAAAGTACGTGCTTGTGTTTAATCCTCTCACAGGATTATTCTAGAAACTGGGGCTAGATTGAGAAGACTGTCTTTAATCAGAGGCCAAACTAAAGTTTTGGCTGCTGCTGTAGCATTTTGCATTATTCAGATGCCTCAAATGTAACTGTTGAAATAAATGTTCATGCTTAATTTGAATGCAAGGTGACACCACTTGATTTTCATGCTGCTTAGATCCACAGGGAATCCATCAAAAAAGTCAATCATACATGGTAAAACTACCAGCGCTGATACTTAAATTCATAGCTGGTTCACATCTCTTGCCGAAGCACCAAATACTTTTTCTAGGAAGCCAACAATATAGATTTAACACCTAAAAATAATTTTCTTGGCCAAAAACAGCCTCCAAATCATTGCGAAATATTAATAGATGTATTTTATTTGGAAAGAAATAACAGAAAATATAAAATTAATCCCATTGATCAAAAAGAATTTAAAGTGCTTCCACTGAATCATGAGTAAGACAAAGAAACTCACAAAATCTTCCAAGAAGAATCTACTGTATTGCCCTATGACCTCTTGGTCATATGCTGGTTTTTGTTAAATTTTTATTTCATGTTTTCATTGAACTGTTCGTATATACATATATGTATATACATATATATATACTTACACATATCTATATATTAATCTATCTATCTATCTATCTATCTACCTATTCTATCTATCTACTCTTCCCATTTAGATGAAATAGTAAGTGCAAGCCTGTATTCTACAGGTCCTTTGACCCTATGGTGCCTAACGCATGCCTGAGATCACAGAAGGTACTAAACAAGCAAGCTGTCTGAATCGATGAATAAATGTTGACTTCTCCCTTCTCCAAGGTATTCTAGCAATGGTGGTCATGGAGTCTGATGAACCCCTGGCCTTAGAATTGTGTGGTGAGTGCTTATCTAACAGCAATGTTCCTTCTTCCTTGCAGTTCCCAGGGAAACAGTCCTGGTCAGCCCAAGCCAGTCATGGCAATAACAGTCCCCTTTGCCAGCAATTTGTCTAAGGGTGAAGACTCATTTCTGGCCAAAAAGATAGAAAGCAAAGTCCATTGGGAGGCTTCAGGAAATATTTTCCTCCCCAGTAAAAGAGATAGGGTTCTAGGGGAGAAGTCCTTGTTTGCTCCCTTTCCTAACTTTCCTGTTTTAAACACTGTATTTGGGGATATGATGCCTGGAACAGAAGCAGTCATCTCAGGGACATGAGACAAGTTTGAGGACAAAAAGTCTTTGCCAAATCCAAAGATGTTGGAGGGGAAGGACTGGAAGGATGGAAAGAATCTGGAAGCTTGATAAGTGAGCAGCTAAAACAAAGCATGGGATCACCTACCTCCAGATTCCTTATTACAAAAATAGTGTCTGTCCTTATTTCTGGGCCTAAGTCAGGGTTTCTGTTACTTGCAACTGAAAGCATTCTAACTGAATCATACACCCTTGTTAAAAACAGGAGTAATTGTGTCTCCCCTCTTCTAGGTATGTTATAATTGAGAGAACAGAGGTTTGGGAGCCAAACAGACTCCAGTCAGACAGAATTCTGGCTGAGTAACCCTGAGCAAGTTCCTTAATCTTCAAAGCTTCAGTGTAATTAACTATAAAATGTAGGTAACAATGAAGACTTCATAAGCTTGCTATTGTAAAAAAATAAAATAACAACTGTATATAAGTCACTTAGGCATGCAGTAGCTGCTCAGTGTTAACTCCTTACTTTTTTACTTTCCATATAATCCCTGTGTGGAGTAGAAGGGTCAATTTTTTGTGAAGGGGAAAGCACACTCCCATGGTAATATCAAGAAACCTTGATTTTATTTTTCATCATCTTTCTTATTCCAAGACAAGACAAATGATAGGGACTGCTGTCCATGTGGGAGGCTGGAGTTCAAAGAACAGCTTCTAATCAGCAGGCCTGCCTACGTGGCCTGTACACAAACAAATCCCTCATTTAGGAGCTGTTCTTGCCTTTTGTTGAGCCTGATGCTATCTGTGACTCAGCCTGATCAAACCATCTACTTAATGCCTCTATTCAGAAAGGCCTCCACCTGCTGGGCTGCTTTGGGCCAGGAGGGTCTCTGTTTCCCACAGGCTGCCCGCAGCTGGGAGCCTTTAAAATGTGGACCCAATTACCTCAGTGGGCAGTGATCCCCAAGTGAGTGTGCATCATACCCCGGCAGCCTCAGGATGGTGTGGGTCTGAGGACAAGCAGCAGGCAGTCAAAGCTGGCTTGCTGGCCACTCTCATGGCCTTCCTGGACACACACCTAGATATGGCCCATGCACACACACACCCTTTCCACACTTTCCTCCCTGGTGATTAGGCACAGTGATCGTCACCCCCTGGAGAGCTGAGAACCTATCTATAGTCACACACTGTCCTTCCTCCTTCCTGAAGGCATGAGGACGATGTTAGCCTAACTCACAAACTCATACTGCAAACCTCCACCAGAGAGGCAGTGCACAATAATGGTTAAGAGCCTCTACCCCTAGTTCCAGGAATTACAACTTACATAACCTTGGGCAAGTCACCTAAACCCTCTTGGGCTCTTTTATCTCATCTGGAAAATGAGTATGAAAATATATTTGTTTTGATAATGTGTATAACGTGCTTAGCACTGTCCTTAGCATGTGGTACCCACTCAATAAAATGGACTCTCCCAGTCCCCTTGTATATTAGGAAGGGATCATCTCCTCCTGCCAAAGGACAACCCCAAGGCATGGCCCACCCAACCTGCCATCTTAATTGGCTCATAAGATCAACATTTGCACTAGTCCAAAATATTTGTCAGATACCTCCTATGTGTGAGCATTTGGGATCCAGCAGCAAGGATCTTTCAGAGGTTACAGTCTAAGGGAAGAAACAAACTCAGAGACAAAGTCATAGTCATGAATCATAAATCCTATCAAGGAAAAGAGGGAGCTGTGAGAAGGAGTACAAAGCGAGCAGCAGGAGTGGGAGTATCATTTTACTGAAAGTCAGATAAGACCTCTTGCTGAGAGAATGGCATGTAAGCTTATAGGGACTCAGTGTCCCTCACATAAATGCTAGAAGGATAATAAATTGTCCTCAGGCCAGAGGTGGCACTAGTAGCAAGACAGGTTCTCAAAGCACAAGATGAAGAGATCTCCTGATATGGTGGGGCCCCACAACCTTGCTTCCTTAGGGACAATCTGCCCTGTAATCATAACCTCCTCCAGAATGTGCCTGGGTTCAAATGCCTCACCTTGCACCCTCGTCCCCCTCTTAATGCCCTGAATTATCTCATAAATCATCTAGTCCCACAGCACTTGGCAAAGCAGCACCAGGCTTTGATGACCATATTTTCCACATAGTCTTGGAATTCAGGCTATTTAGTATTGAAGCTCAAAGTAATTTTCCCCTAGATTTATTCACTCTGTTCCACTCTGCAGGTTTAACCTCCTGTCCAGGTTGCTTTTCAGCGAAACCACTTTTAGAGATTGTTTTTGTTCTACCCCAATTTTCTGGAGTCATTTAAATTCAAGGGACCTCTTAGGAGATTGCAGATTATATATACATGTCTACGTATAAAGACAGAGAAAGATCCCTGGGAAAGTCATTGTCCAGAATCACACTGGCTTTGCTTTTCCTTGCTTTCAATTACAGACTCAGGTGCTGTGGAACATTACTAAAGCACAGTGTACATGGTACATTTCCAACATTTTTCATTTGCTTTCCTGCTCTCTTCCATTTCCCTACTTGATTTCCAATGTGAGAGTGATTTGGTGCCACTGTTTTTTGCCCAAAGCTTTCTGCAGGTAATAGCTTCCCTCTCCCACCCCTTTTAATCCATTTCTATTAGGTTCATGCTTCTCCTTCACTTGAAGTTATTCCCAATCTCTGCTCCTGAGCTCTTCTAACCTCTCTGTAGTTTGTCACTGATACCTTCATCAATTTCTAAGGACCATTCATTTGCATTCATTCAGTGCTTAATGAGCACCTACTATGTGTAGGCCACTGGGCTGTGGGAATACAAAAATGATTAACACATACTGTTTTATTCTTCTGTGATCTAAGGATCACATAATCTCTGGTGGGAGCAGGCAGGTAAACAGGTAAGTACAAGTCATTACATCAGTTACTGTAGATTGAAGTGTGGACAAAATATTGCAGAAATAAAGAAAAAGGGAAGGATTAATTCAGCCTTGAAAGATTAAAAATAACAGCACAGAACAAGTATATCTGAGCTGTATGTGAAAGGGCTTTCTTGCTGAGTAAACAGCTTGTGTAAATATGAGTGTTCAGAGAACCAGATATGGTTCACACTGGCTGGAGCACAGTACAGGGTGGCAAGGGGAGATAGTTAGAGACAAAGATGAGAGGAGTTTGGTATAGGTTGGTTAGGGCCAAAATACAGGTCAACTGAACAGTTGACTGTAACTTACTGTAAATATTAAATAAATAAAAATCCACACACTTGTAGTGACAGTAAAGAAATCATGCCCTTATTTGAGACCAGTGGAGGTTATTATACCGACTTCTGATGCTGAAAATTGGTGATTAAAGGGAACGTATTAAGTCTTTACACTGCCTTTTTAGGAGAAAACGTAGTTCTTTGCCAGAAGATGAGGGAAAGACCTCCCTTATACCAGAATGCCAACTAAAGTACGTAAAAAGAATGACAGGATTATAAAATCACCATTTTGCAACCAACGGTGAAATACCTGACTTGGGCAAAAACCATCAATGGCTGCTAAAACCTTGGGATGAAGTTTTGGGGAACATAATATTCTCTCAGTAACAGAGTACCATCTAGAAATTACCAGCTAACTGGAAAGGGAAAATGCATCTTTACAAAAGAGAGACATGGTGATCACCATCTTAACCAAAAGATCAAACTTTTGGCACAACCGTAGGACAACCTCTCATTGTGCACCTTCTGATGTGACATATATAAAGTACACAGCTTCACTTAGGTAGTATCTTCGGTGTTTCAACTGCATCTTTAGTTACAAAAAAAAAAGGGGATAGAGGAAAAAGTTAAAACCAAGAAGAAGCAATTGGACAAATCTAGAGTATGGGGCATCCTACAAGACAACTGCCCTAACTTCTTCAGAAAGTTAATGTCACGAGTGGGAAAATTTAAAAAGACTAAAGAGATATAACAGTCAAATGGAATGCCTGAATATTATTAAATCCTGATTGTAAAACTAACATGGTAAGATAAACTTGGAAACAATAGAGACATTTAAAGACATTTAAATATGGACTGGATACTAGATGGTATTTGGGAACCAATTTCTAGTCTTATAATGATCTTGTGATTATGTGGGAAAATATCTTTTTTTTTTTTTTTGAGACAGAGTCTCGCTCTGTCACCCAGGCTGGAGTGCAGCAGCATGATCTCAGCATACTGCAACCCCTGCCTCTCGGGTTCAAGTGATTGTCCTGCCTCAGCCTCCCAAGTAGCTGGGATTACAGGCGTCCACCACCACGCCCCGCTAGTATCCTTATTTTTAATGAGATGCACACTGAGTATTTAGGGATGAAGCATCACGCAACTAATTCAAATGGTTCAGCAAAATAAACATATATACACACACATAGACAAACTAAATATGTCTGAAAGTTCACAATCACTGAACTTAAGTTGTAGGTATACAGGTGGATTGTACTTTTCTGAATATTTGTAAGTTTTCATAATAAGGAAGTCTGGAAGAAACAAAAGGAAAGGGCACATAATGGAGGGCTTGTTATGAGCTCCTTGGGATTCTGGATCCTACTGCTGAAGGTTTTAACCAGTGCTTGACATGATCAAATTGACATTTTAGAAAGCTCATTGATGTATTGCATTTACTCAACTAGCATTTATTGATCACCCACATCCAATGTTGAGTGAACCCTGAGGTAGGTGCTGTGGGAGACATGAAAACCAAAAAGGCATCGTCTGGCCAGAAAAGCACTTACCATGCAATAGAGGAGATGAGACACAAAACACTGAGCACAAGGTAAAGCTTTCTTGTCACAAGGGGTAACTGGGAGACCTGGGGGGAAAAGGCAGATGCACGGTGCCTCCAGGTGTTAGCTGGTGTTCCACGCCCACAAAATTATCTCAGAAAGCATAAAACTACAGGTGACTGAAAATCACCTGTCAGCTCTAGCCCCTTGAACTTTCCTTATTTCTAGATGGCAGAACCATAACCCCGAGAGATACTGGAAAATGCAAGATTTCCTTGAGGTAGGGTGTAGGAACGTGACTCATTTCTGGCCCAAGGGACCTGACTTAGGTCTCCTGAAATCCACCAGGGACTACTGACAAAGATCTTCTTTCCTGATAAAAACAGAGACATGTAAGAAGGACCCCTCCTCCCCCTTTCTTCCTGCCTCTGAGTGCATGTGGGTGAGGTTGTGATGCTTGGAGCTGGGGAATTGTGAGGGGAAAGCCAAGGGAAAGAAAGAAAAGATGGCAGACTCAGATCCCTAATATCATTGAGCCGCTGAAGCCTACAACCTGACAACCTCCCATTACCAGACTTCTTCTTATAGAAGCAAAATTTCCCCCTTTCCAACGAATTTATCAGCAGTTGTTGATATATATGGCCCAAAACCGCACTCAGCCCTCATCTGCAAGCATACTGTGTCTAGAGCCAATCCTAACCTTTGAACAACGCAGTTGAAGGAAGCCTCACCCACCAATGAGTCAAGTCGGTCCTGCTCCTAGTTGTTATGACCACATGCATGCTGTAGTTCAGGATGGTAAAGAAGTTTCACATTCATATGCCAACTCAGATTGATGGGCAGCAACTGGATAATCCGCTGTGCAGAAAGTTAAATACAGGTTCTGTGCAAAGAAGTGTCTAGATTCATAGTGCCAGACATCTGCCCTGGGCCACATGCTTACCGTCCCATGGATGGATGGAACTTGGAATCAGAAGACCCAAGTTTGAGTCCTGGCTCTACTACTTTTGTGATTTTGGTCATTTAACCTCTTTGAGCCTTCTTATGGCATAGTAGTTATAATCAAGATAATATAAGTGAATGTGCTTTGTAAACCATGAAGTGTTGGTCACACAGATGATAGCTACTGTCTTATATTTGTCAAACCTCAGCTGAGGACCAGGTTGACAGGATGGAGGAAGAGGAGGAATTCAAGACTCGAGCGCTGGATGGCCAGTAGCTGGACACCTGACAGGAGGTTCTAAGGCCAGAGTTTCAGGTGAAAGTGAATGAGTAGTAGTGAGTTGTGGCCCTGAACAGTGAAATATAGTTGGAGAAGATTCCAAAAGCAGGAGTGAAGACACTAAGGGCAAATAAAGATAGAAATCATGGACTGGATAGCCTACGCTGTACTTTTTTATTGTTCTAACACCTGAGGGATATGACCCTACCCATCAGTTATAGTGGCTCCCCATGGCTGGGGACTTTTCTGAATCTTCAGAGGAGCAAGCGAATTTGCCAAATTTCCCTCCCTAGGTGGTTCTAACGTGCCTCCTTAGGGCAGTGTTTCTCTTTCCTCTGTTGCAAACCACTAAAGTAGACTAGAATGAAGAAGCCCAAAGTGCAAGAAGAAATAGACAGTCCAAAGCTGGTAGAGATCTTTGGTAAGCTCAGGGTGGCAGGACCATTTTATTTTTCTCTCCTCCCTCACCTATGGCCTAGCACAAACCTACCACATTTCCAAAAAGCCCAGGAGGTAACAGTGAAAAAATCAGAAGAGGGCTTTTTATAATAAAAGTCAAAGCTAAAAGGGGGGCCAAGGACTCTTGACTAGAATGACCCAAGAGGCCCTCCCTCTCCAGGTTATGGAAGGCCTGAGTCCCTTGTGAAGTCTGACCTAAAGGCCAAAGGTGAGGGAGGCTTCCTTTAGCCCCCTCTTCAACCCACATGGACACCTAAAGCATTCACCAGCCCCATGCAGGAAAATGGAAAAAAAGATTGACTGTCAACCCCAGGTGAAAGCTAAGAAGAGACTGAAGCCTATGGCAGGTGGGTGGCGGGGTGGAGTGCAGGTGGGGGAAGAAAAATTCAAAGTTGTATTTGTCCATAGCTGTATCTCCAATGTCTACACCAAGGACTGGTTCATATAAGAGGCAATGAGTGAATGAGCCCATGGAGAAGTAGTAAATCCCAGATTGAATGGGTTGTCCAAGGAACTGAAGAGAGGTATTTGAAAGAGGGCCTGGACAACAGAGGCTCTGCACCCACAGAGAAGCAAGTGCATAAATGAAATTGAACTGGGCAGAGAGCCCCTCCCAATTCATAATCCAAGCAGACTCTGAGTGAATCCTGAGAGGAAGATCAGGCCTGGAGATGCTGCTCTCCATCCCTTCTGCATTCCACATATCAGAAAAACTCCAAGGGTTTAAATTATGTTTAACATGCAAAATTAGGAGATTCTACATAAAGATACTGTTGATAAACTGAAGATTATTCCTACTCAAGTCAAGAGCTATATGTGAGCTGGTGCATTCTTGAACCAGACTGCCTGAATTTAAAGCCTGGCTCATTCATTACCAGCATGATCCTGAACAATTTACTCAACCTCTTTTTACCCCATTTCTTCAACCCATCCCCTCATTAAGAGATAATTATCACTTGTTATAAGGACTTAATATATTAATCCTTGTATAACGCCTGCAACAGTGCCTGGCACATGATATGCCTCAATACAATTAACTACCATAACATGTGAGGCACATATGTGTCAAAAGAATACAAGTTAAGATGTTGTGAGGGGTTAAATTGCTCCTGCCCTCACACCAAATTCATATGTGGAAGTCATAATCCCTAATACTTCATAATGTAGCTGAATTTAGAGACAGGGTCTTTAAAGGGTAATTAAAGTTAAATGAGGTCATTAGAGGGGCCCCAATTCAAGATGACTAGTATCCTTATAAGAGATTAGGATATATATACACACAGAGACACACACACACACACACACACACACACACACACACACACACACACAGAGACCATGTAAAGACAGAGAGAGAAGAAAGCTATCTATAAGCTGAGTGAGGCCCTCAGAAGAAACCAACCCTGCTGATACCTTGATCTTGAATTTCTAGCCTCCAGAACTGAGAAAATAAATTTGTTGTTTAAGCTACTCAGTCTGTGGTACTTTGTTATGGCAGCCCCAGAAAACTGATAAGATCTTCTTATGAAACAAATGTGGCCCACTTCACAAATTACCAAATTCAAATGCCCTCAGGCATCTGAATATAAACTGCTTTAAATTCATTCATTCATTCAACACTGTAGCACCTACTATGCCCTGAACACTGCATGTTTATTAAAACCCTTCGTCATATAAGCCAATTTTATTTTCTTGTCAGTAACCACCCACTTCTAATTTTGTCCATTTTCTGCTGGGCAGCTTAGTGTGCCACTTGGTTGTCTGCCACTGCTTCTCCTGATTAATGGGAAATGATCCTTGTTATGGATCTGAAATGAACAGCATCAGAGTATGTAGTTCTCAGCTCTGGCTAAACACTAGAATCACCTGGGAAGTTTTAAAAATACCTACACCCAGACCTATCCCTTACCCCATTCTGATTTAGTTGGTCTTCGTGTGGAGCTCTGGCAGTGTTTCTGTAAGCTTCCCAGACAATTCTAGTGTGCAACCAAAGTTGAGAACCACTACTTAAGTTTAAAAGGGACTTCAAGGTCACCCCCCCTTTCCACTCAAAGTACAGTTCACAGATCACCAGCACTGTCATCATCTGGAAACTCGTTAGAAATGCAGAATCTCAGGTTCCATCCCAAACTACTAAATCAGAATGCATATTTTAACACGATTCACCACACAATTCAGATGTACTCTAAAATTTAAGAAGCACTGTATTCCTACTAGAATCTAGATGATTCATAGAATCTAGATTATTCTAATGGGAGTTCACCGCTTCTGAATCAACTAGAAAGCATGTTAAAAACTAAGCTACCTGGCTTCCTCTCAGATTCATAGAATCTCAATCTTTGGGTAAAAGGCCTAGAAATCAAAATTTTATGTATTTTTGTGTAGCTAGTCAGGGTCTGCGGTTTGGGAATCACTTATCTAGGGCAATGTATATATTCTCTCAGCTGCCCAGCCTCTGTTTAAAAACCTTCCAATTCTTTTTTGAAAATCAGAAATATAACAGAGATACAGGTTTTTATTTTTCCATCATGCATGCAAACTTACAACTATTTATACTGTTTAAGAACACAGAAATAATTGCGTTATTAACAGGGTGTCAAATTACCAAGTAGAACAACCAGTTACTAATTATTTTGGGGAGGTTATTTTCACAGAACACAGCAACAATTTCCAAATTATTCTTCCAAAACCAGAGTTATGAGACCAGTACAAGCTGATAACAATGCTAATGGTCACACAAGTTTCCATGTTACACAGAAAAAAAGATTGACATTCTGGTGAAGGGTCTCAAGTACCTTACCATATCAGAATTTTTGAAAGAGTTTTACAACAGAACAGTCTCTCTCTTGTTTTGTAGATGCAAGGGAAAGGAAGCATCCCTCTCATTTCTTTTTGAGACTCCTTGTTAATTCTTAAAACACATTTCTAAGGCCCATCTCTGGAACTTCATTAGTTAACATTAAAAGCAAAAAGCAGACCTGATGTGATTATGATAGTGCACCCCATCACTATCACCATCAAAAGAGACTACCAATCTCCCAAAGTAGTCACGGTTGCATTGGCATAGTGTCTTGGATTTTCAATAAACAATACAGGTGAAAAGAGAGAGATACAGATGAAACCAGGTTGACCATAGCTGATAAGTGATGCAGCTAGGTGATGGACACATGGGGTCCAAGGACCATCCTCTCCACTTCTGTGCATGTCTGAAAATGTCCATAACACAGAGCAAAAAAAAAAAAATAATAACAAAAAACAAAAAAGCAGACTTGCACATCTGTATCTTCCCATTAGACTAAAATGGGGAAAGTCGTAAGACTTTAAAGGCAAAATGTGCAGCATATAGCATTCTTCTGCATGTACAAAGCCACACCTAGAACAAAAAAATAAAGCATCCAAAGTAACATTATTCCGTTTCTGGTTTGTCTCTGTGGCTTATAAAATCTACTAATGATAAGATTGGACAAAACTTTGGGAACATCCTCAACTAGGCATCCTATTTGTTCATAACCCCTTCAATTCTCATTTTCCAAGCTAGGGAGGTCCCTCCCATACTCTATCACTGAGAGACAGGCATGCTCCCCCTGCGGCTTCTCAAGCCATTTCTGTCTGATTTTGCAGGCCCACTCCATACCAGTATCATGCCTACTCGACGGTTTTGCTCCAAATCCCCCACCTAGCACACCCTTGCTACAGCTTTAAGCCAAGGACTCTCTTGAGGAACTTAGAATGAGGCCTCCCTAACAAAAGAGAAGGTAGGGAAGAACAGGTGTAGATACAGTCCTTCTTACCCACCCTCAGGGATAAGAGAGGGAAAGGCCCAGCTCTGCTTTTACACCCACTGGAAATAACCCGGAGATCCAAAACAGATTCTGCCCATCCCAATCCCCATCCCCCAGGAGAAGCTTGAGATGCTCCATATTGGAGACTAAAGCCCACTCCTGGGGCTATTTGAGGTAGAAGCAAAGAGAGCAAAGGACTGCTGAAAGTGGGAAAGCTGGGGATTGAGGTCCAGATGGCCAGAGGCTACCACAAAGGAGGAAACAGCAGGAGGCACTTGGGTCTTAGGAAGCATTAAAACAAAGTCAAAACAAGAGTAAACACTAGTCTATGACATGGCTGCCTTGGGGTTTATAACTCAAGCAGATGCTAGGCATGAAAAGGATTTTCAACTTCAGAACTGTAGAGCAAGCGCAGGAGACAGGTTCAGGGTTTGCCAGCAGATCCACTTGGCCTTCTGGTTTCCTCAACTCTCTTTCAACCTAGTATGTGTGCGCAGTGCCAAGTTCTCAGCTACCTCCCCAGCTGTATGTAGAAAAATGTGGTTTTTCAGTTGTTTTCTCTGTGGTACTATTTAAACAAAATAAAAAAGAATAAGGAAAGAAGGAAGGGGAAGGCAGAAGGGGAGGAAAGGAGGCTACCAGGAAAGGGAGGGAGGAAAGAAGAATGAGAGGGAGGAAATGAGGGATGAAGGCAGGCAAGCAAAATAAGAAGTATAAGTGACCTGAAGTCAAGCAAGCAGAGGCCCACAAATCAGAAATACCTCTTCCCAGAACCCCTACTATGGCACTCTGCTCACATCTTAGACGGGAATAAGGGAAGTTGACAATGGTATCTGGATTCTATATAGGCCCAGTCCTCACCCTCACCTGGAGCCACAGCATAATGACAGTGAACACATGTCCACACATACCAGCCCGCCCATCAGTCTGGCAGCCAGTAGGGTTCCTGGAAAGCTGGGGAGGGTAGGTGTGTGTCTCATGCACTGGTAGGGGGCCTCGGTCCACAGGCAGTTCTTGAGGTCCTTGTTGACCAGGAAGCCAACTGGGGCTGACAGCAACCCAGACAAAACTTAATGGCTTGATAGTGACACGGCATGGCGCAGATCTTGATGAAAGTTCACCAGTAGAAGGGCCCAGAAGCAAGAAGAGACACATGATGGTACAGAACACATGGCATACTGTTTCTTGCCCTTAACTTCATGCATGCCCAGCAGTCAAGTGCCATTCTGCAGAACATCAAGCAGGATGGGTATCACAGACCACAGGCCAAAGCCAGAAATAAAGCAGGTGACATCTCAGCTGGTGACCCCAGACCCACAGAACAGGAAGTTCTGGCTGATGACTAATACCATGTGCACTGGCTTCATTCTGCAGTGGCAATGGAAACGCTTGCATAGATGACATGCATGGCCAGCATGAACACGAAGCCCAGCAAGTCACTGGCCCTGAAGGAGCAGAGCTTGAGGATGCACTGGTCGTCCTGGAGGATGACTCATGAGTGTCCATGTTAAAGACAAGTAGGAAAGGCCAGAGCCAAGAACAAGGTCCAGGCAATGTAGATAACAGGGAGCACACATCTAAAGTATGTGTGCTTAACATATGAACAGTCCGGGTGCGATCACATAACATGTGACACTAACGTAGAAAAGCAAGAGGCTATGGGAGGCAAAAGAACATGATCATAAATGCCATATTCTTGTAACTAAAGTCCAAAGGGTCTATAGTACACAGAGGCCAACATGAAGAGAAGGCAGAGAGCCAAATATGTAGTCAACCAGGAGCAGCCCAGCAGGAGGTAGCAGGGAGACTTGTGCAGGATCAGTTGGATTGGCTCACCCCAGGCTGAGTAGTCTCCATTGGCTGCTTTCCTGGACCTTGCCTGCCTTCTTTTTCCTTTCCTTTCTCTACACGAGCCCCTTCACTCAAAAGGTAGAACTGCAAGGGATTGGGCCACAATTCTTCGTTGATTATCTCCACAATCTTGTCAGACTCAATGGAGCTGTGGTTTGAAAACCACCCAAAGAAACTACGGTTGTTTTCTGGGTTTCCCTGGCTTAGGGACTGGAGATCATGCCCTGGGAGCCACTGGATTGGAGTAGAACGAGACACCACCTGGCCAGAAGGACCACACCCATATTCCTTGATGAGCACCTTATTTTGGAAATACGGGTTGCGATCGAAGTAGAACTTGATTTTGTAGCCCAATCTGGCAAGGCCGAGCTCTTCCACTTCCAAGCTGTTTAAGTAGCTCAGTACCTCTTTCTCTTGGCTATTCAGAAAGGATGCTAGCTGGGGATGGTTCTGAAATGCTTGCCCCCAGAAGCCCGGGATATTTTGGATGAGGTGGTTCCTGCGCTCCAAGTGCTGCAGTCGCAACTGCCCAAACTTCCTGGAGAGCCGAAGGTAGGCCCTGTCCGCCTGGGCGTTCATGTTCTCCAGCTTCAGCTGCACGTTCTCCAGCGTATCCATGCTGCCTTCCGTCGCTGGGGGCCCCGACCCTGCATCCCTCTCTTCCTTCTTTTCCTCCCCAGCTGACACCGAGGTATTCTCCCCTGCCGCCCCTTTCTTCTGCCTCCCACCAGCTATGACCTGAGGCCCCCTCCCCGCGGTGCTACAGGTTTCTGGGGCCTTCTTCCCGGCAGGGCCACGCCGGTTTCCAACGCGGGGGGCATTTTTCGGCCTTCCCACGGTTCCCGCTGTTCCCACGAAGACAGTGTCTGCGGCCAGGCGCTCCGAGAGAGATGCGGCCTTCCCCGGGCCGGGCCTGGCCGCGGCCTGCCCGTGGTCCCCCGCAGCTCGGGCCCGCAGCGCGAGGCCACAGTCCAGGGGGAGCCGGCAGGCGGCCTCCTCCCCGAGCCGGAGGAGCTGCGCGGACGCAGCGGCTTCCAGGCCACCCCACCCCGCGCCAGCCTGCACCTGTGCCGCCTGGGTGTCTTCCCCGAGACTCTGGTACTGTGAAGGGTCCGGGTCGCGCGGGGCGTCGTCCGGAGCAGGGCGGACTCGGGCTTTGGCGCGGCCTTTGCCCCGGTTTTTGGCGCGGGAGGACTTTCGACCCCGACTTCGGCCGCTCATGGTGGCGGCGGAGGCAGCTTCAAAGACACGCTGTGACCCTGCGGCTCCTGACGCCAGCTCTCGGTCGGGACCGAGCGGGTCTCTCCACGGCAACCGCCGACGTCACGAACGTACAACTGTACCGTCGCGAGAGGACGTGATGCGCCCGGTGATTGGCGCCGCCGCTGCGGCTGCGCAGGAGACGACCCCCGCGGGCGCTCCCACCCCCATCTCGCGCGGACTCGCTTTAGGTCTCGGCGAGTTTCTCTGATATGCGCTCGCGGGGGTGCTGCCATTTCATCTCTTCCGCGCGGGCTCATCGTGCTCTCAGGGTCTCGTTGAACAAGGCAACGCTAAGAGCCATCACCACCTGTCCCCCATCACCTGTTTTCTAAACTAAACATCTTCAGCTCCTCCAGTTATCTCTTGTGGCATCTGTCATGAAGAAAGTGCTCGGGCGTGTGTGTCTCTCTTTGAACACCTTTGCTGAGGGATTTGCTCTGGTACCTTAACTCCAGAGAACGTAAAGGTGGATGCTATAATGCCGGGCGTCAAAGCGATTTGGTACGCAGTAAGATGATAGTAGAAATTATAAAAATAATGGCAACTAGTATTTTGTATCATTTGTGCCAGGCACTTTACTAGGTGCTTTAAATGCATTATCTCAATTTACAAAGGAGGTGTTGATATCATTCCCATTTTCGAGATAAGAAAACTGCATCTCAGAGACACCCGGGCACATTCCCCAGGTTACACAGTAAGGGATGGAAGCACAATTCAAACTCAAGCCCATGGGACTCCGTATCCTATGCCTTATATTTGGAAATGGCAAGTCCTTCCAGACTTGTTCCACTGTCAATTACTGGGCTGGCTCTTAAGAAATCAGCCTTGCTCCTTAACAAACAGGCTTCCGTGGACCACCTGACCACCTCTTCTGCCTGGGAACATCACCCGAGTCCCCCAGCTGCCTCAGTTTACAGATCTGGACTATCACTCTAGGTATAGGACCAGAAGTGAAGACCTGTATTAGAGCTCCTGTAATTGGAGTAAGACAAGAATGTGGTGAGAGGTGAAATTATTATTCAGGGAGCAGATTGAGGTTCAGAAGCAGAGCCTCCACGTGGCACTGCAGAAGCCCTAGAAACTTCTTACACTGTGCATGGAAACAGCCGGACAACCTCCCCCACAGTCCCGGAGGCAGCCCTGGACCACGCTCTTACTAGTGAGGTAATAGGACCATGAACAGTGAGGGGACCTGTGGCTAATGTAAAAATATAAAGAAAAACCTTTTGAGGTGGTCTTTTCAGGCTCAAAGGGAACAAAAAGGCCCTTGTAACCAGCTAGTGGAGAGATAAGCCCAAAAGCCCCGGGACCTCATTACTCAAAGTGTGGTTGTGGACCAGCAGCCTGATATCACCTGAAAGCTTGTTAAAGATGCAGAATCTCAGGCCTTTCCCCAGACCTACTAAGTCAGAATTTGAATTTTAACAAGATCCTGGGTGATTTGTATACACCCCTAAGTTTAAGGAAACAATTTAAAGAGGAATTATTTTTATACAGATGGCCCTATTTTAAGCCGGCCTAATACAAGTGATTCCTCATTTTCTCAAAAGCTCTAGAATAGCCTGCAAGGCCCTGTATGATCTGGCAAGTCTTCTATCTGCCACTACATGAGTTACCTCTCTGACCTCATCTTCTCTCTCCTCTCTCCCACCTCTAGCTACACTGGCTTCCTTGCTGTTCTTAAACTCACTAGGTAAACTCCTGCCTCAGAGCCTTTGCACTGGCTCTTCCTTCTACCTTAAATGCTCTTTCCCAATGTGGTTGGTGGCCTTGGCCAGCTGCCTTCACACTTTGCTTAAATGTCACCTTCTCAATGACCATCCTATTTAGAATTGCCACCCACCCCATCCCTTTATCCTATGGTACTTTTTCTTTATTCCAACACACTATACCAATTATTTATTATGCTTATTAACTATCTCTTCTCTCTAGAATGTCAGCTCCATGAGGGAAGAGATTTTTGTTTTGTTCACTGATGTATCCTCAGTGCCTGCAACAGTGTCTGACATATCAAGAGCACTTAATAAATACTTGTTGAAAGAAAGAACCAATCAAAGCAGAGTTTTCAAAAATGGGTTTGTAAATGATTGTCTGAAGTTCAGAATAGCTCCCCTTTTCCCACAGAAGCAATGCTATGGATGCTGTATTCTCAGATCAACTCATGGAAACCTACTAAACTCATAATTTAGCCAAAAAATTATCTTTTGTTACAGAGCACCATTCAGGGACAGTCTGTAAGTAAGAATTTAGAGTGACAAATTTAAAAATTAAGTTGGGAGATTTAATATTTGACTTAAAAGGGATTAATTAGTGCAAGGATTATCTTAAATTCTTGTTGAAGGCCCTTTCATAATAATTTCTTCCCAAGGCCTTCTGTGATCACCCCAGACCACAATAAGCAGCCTTGTCCTTGATCTCACAGAGTACTTGTTAACTATAGTATTCATTTGGCAGTGGGGCACACCCTGTTTTGTACCAGTTCTTTTACAAAATTACCTCTTAAGCTAGATAATCACAGCCTGAAACTCTCCGTAAACCTCAGAAAAAAAATTAAAAAATCATCTGACGCATTTGCCAACCCTCTATAGACTTTAGACATTGATGGGTTGGCCCACTTCTTAGAACACTCACAGATCAACCCATCTCTGTTGTCAAGAGTCTTAATCCAGCGTCAGCATCTGCGTCATGTAGCAGTCACCAATGGCTAAACCACTGTAGGATTAACACAGGGCTGGGCCATTGCAATGTGTTTATTATACAATCTGCCTTGAGCCTTTTTTCATCATGTCAAAGAGATAAGCATCAGATGAAGGGAAATAATTTAAAAAAATACCCCTCTGCTCTAAGCCACCCAGTTCCCCATGGCTTTTGTATTTAAGAGTTTGGTCTGTGCTGCTGAACTGGACTGTGTTTTCTTCTTGGGTCTTAATATTTAACTTTATGTGGAACTGTAGTTTGTGTTCCTAATTGGATAGTAAACTGTGTAAGTGTGGAGACTGTGTCTCTTTTTACTTTTATCTCTCAGAGTACCTAGCATGGGGCCTTGCACATACCAGTAATTATAATGAAAGTTTACATTTATTTCATACTTTTATATAGTGCTATGCCTTAACTCATTTAATCTCTGCAATCACCCCATGGGGCAGGTGCAATTATTGTTCTCGTCTTGGAGGAGGTTACTGCCACACAAAATGGTTCCATAACTTGCCCAAGGTCACACAGTTAATAAATGTTTTTTGCCCAAGCGATGCGACTCCAGCACCGTGCTCTTAATTAAAAATACATAATGTAAAATTATGGCTTAAGAGATTAAAACTCTCTCCAGTGGGTAAAAATACCTTTTAATGTTAAAAAAATTATATATATTAAAAATATATATACACACACATATGCAGATGCATACATATACACATAATACATACATCATTTAGTTATGAGTCATTTATTTATGGGGTATACAATATACCTGGCATAGCAATACTCAACATAAATTTAGTTTCAACAGCCCATGATGAGAACGAAGCATCTCTATTTGCACTGCATTTATCATAAGCATCCTGTTAATATTATGAAAGAAATGCAAGTTTACTGTCATGAACTCAGAGATCCTGGAGTGTTGTGAACTTCTTGCAATATCTGCAGGCTTAAGTTGATGGTAATATAAGCATTTAATTGATTATTTCTAATGTAATATTTATTAGCAAATATTTATTAGAAATTCATAAAATATTTTTCAAATGTTTATGTGTATTATGTCTATATGTATGTATATGCATATGTACTTGTGTGTATGTAATTCAAAATATTAGAATAAAAAATCTTCACTTTTGTTTTCTGCATATTGTGCTTTCTCCGTTCCTTTTGATATGTTTTCTTTGAATCACAGAAATTTACAAGCTGGGAAAAAGACATTTGTCATCCAGCCTATTCCTCAGCCAAGGGAACAATATTCCCCATCATTTCTCTCGTAGAGCTTTAGGATCCCAGACTTGACATTTTTAGCCACAGCACTTTTCTATTCTTCCCCAAGGAGAAAGTTTAAGTCTGTTAGATAGCAGTGAGTATTGCTTACTGTGTGGAATTTTGCCAACCAACCCTCCCAGGTTACCAAAGGGTATGGAAAAGAAGGCAGTGTCCTAAGAAATATTTTCATAGTCAAGGAGGGAGGGAGAGAAAAATCTGCCTCTTATGATAAATTTCAAGACTATTTGAGCTTAACATCTTGAGAAATTTGCCTAGCTTCTTGCCAGTTCCTCGCCAAAGAGGAAAATTTTATGGTAGACCACGTCACTTATTTCAGATCATATCCTATAAGTAGCTATAAAATATTTTAAAGTATTGCCTGACGTATTCTTTCTTCTTGGCATTTCCTTTTTATCCTGCAGCATCTTAACCATTAAAAAAGATCTTAGGCTAAGGCTTTTGTTCTAGAAAAGGGAAAAAAAAAGCAAAGAACCCAGCAAGCAGAATTTCAGCCAGTCAAATTCTTCACTTTGAATTTCAAAATTGGCTCTTAAGAGGGTAAGACACAATATCATGGAAAGAGAAAGATATATATATTTGATATATATTTGAAGAGCTAAATGTGCGCACGCACACACTGCCTCTACTCTCACTGTGTGTGAGAGAGAGAGAGAGACGTGTGTGTGTGTGTGTGTGTGTGTGTGTGTGTGTGTGTGTGTATTTAGCTCTCCAAAGATAAGTCCTGGAGCACTAATAGCATAGAGTTTATAACATTAACCGTAGAAGAGGAAAAACATGATGATATACAAGCCATTTCTCTGCTACACAAAGAGGAGCTAAGAACCTTTTCTGGTCTGGAGTCGAGGAACTTGGAAAAGATTCAGAGAGTGAATAGTTGGTGTAGGGTCTTGAGAAATGCTTCTCACGGTGACCACACAGTGACCACCACATGGGTCAATACCCTTGGAGCATTGGTAAAGACAACCTTCTCTGGACAAGACAGAGGTATGGGAATAGGGAGAATTAGTTCCTAACTTGACAATTGAAACTCACACAAGAAAGGGCTTTTCTCAGAGGGCTCCATACCATCAAAGGGCAGCCAAGACAGTATAAAAGTATGTATAGGGTAACAAAGAAAGTTCTGAAATGGCTTCTCTCACCCTGTATGCCCCCCACTCCCAATCTCTGGCAGCCCTAGAATGAAGTGGAAGGGCAGCCATATGTTCCTCAGGCTTGCTAAGAGAGGTCCAGAGGTTGGCTAAGAGCAGATGGAGTTCAACTGGGTCTTGCAAGCTAGGCCCAGAAGTTGCAGAGTAAAGGGCTTGGTCATCAGATACCATGAGGATGTGCCGCATCAACGTACACAATAAAAGTAGAGGAAGATCCCAAAGATTAGGCAGGGCCAGCTAAGCTTCAGCAGAGGCCAGCAAAGACAGAAGATGAGATGCACACCAGAAACCTTTTCACCAGTTATGGGATGGATAACCCTTGGCTCCTGAGAAGATGGAGAAAAGAAACAGGGAACACCCTAAATGAGTACATATTTACCTCAAAGAAACTTGAATTTCAAGTAGTACGTTACCAAGTTGCCTGAATTGCCATGGTTACATTCATCTGGATTTTATAAATTGTTATAACTATAAAAAATTATATTCACTACAATAGTATTTTCTGGACCAGACCCAGTATCTAACAGATGTAGCCATATAACACTAAGGCAGAAGAAACTCAAGAAACAAGTGACTTTAAAACTCCCTGGAATATAAGTCACATTAATAATTTTAGAAAATAGCAAAAGGTATTAAAAAAAGACTTCATAAAATATGTTATGATCGCAAAAATCAAGAAATCCATGAAACTCGAAATATGAGCATTTTTTACAACAGTTAAGAGTAACTTCTAAAGCAAAACTGAGTGCTCTCCAAGAAAGTCTTTCATTCATTGCTTATGAGTTAAATTTAGAATGGTGGGTACACTCCATTTATTGCAGTTATTGCTTTTAATACATAATTTAGTAATTTATCATACACTTGAATTCTTCTCCAGTTGGGTTACATATGCAAGCCTTTTGCCTCCAACCAGACCAGAAGCTTCAAGTTGCAGAAACTGAACTTGCTTTATGTAAGCTGCATGGTGCCTTCTCCCTGAATTACTCCAAAGCCATTCCTGCACCAAACAAACCTCATCAATTTCCAAACCAAAAATAAGTTGTTCTCAGTCAACACCACCACGTGTTTTCTAGTGCAGAAAACAGCAAGGATGCAAGGTCTTTCTCTTCCCTACCATCTCTTTTTATGCCACTCAATAATGCTGATATCATACTTGTTTATATCTTTACGGTTATACATACATACAGACACACTCTTAACTTCCTTACCCCTCTTTTTTTTTCTCCAAATACAACACATCAATTACTGGTGTAGAAATATACTAAAGAAAAAAGTAAAGTTGCAAATTTTTCACTTGGAAGATTAATTAAGAGGAAAAGATCCCAACAGAACCTGGATATGCCAGATGTTGTTGAGAAACAGCAAGATGGAAAACAGAAACTGGAATCATATCCACCTCATGTACTCTTAAGGTCCTGGATGGTTTTGAGAGTGAAGAAAGCATACTGCTTCAGAGAATGGCCAGGACCAGCACGGAGTTAGGGTCCTGGGGTAAGGTGGGGGAGTTGTCTCAGATAACCTGGCACACCTCAGACACCAGCCAAGCAGCTTTGGTGGTGAGAGAAACCAACTAGAAGACCCTCCCCCACTTTATCAAACAAGTCATCGTTTTCATGGAGCTAGGAGTTTGTACCTAGGACATAAGAGATATGAACAAAGATAAAATTAAGTTAAATTTTAAATGAATGGGGAAGCATTGTGTTCAATCATATGTTGTAATCAATTAGAGTCCATAAGTATGGGGTTTCATTGTTCCAATTTATTTTACCTGGGCTAATTTAATTGAAGATACTCCTTGGCTTCTGGAATGCCCACTTTAGTTATTTATTTTGTATTTGTATAACACTTGGTAGCAATAAGACATTTTTAAAAGCACTTAAAAATGAATATTCAAGAAGAAGGACAAAGGAAAATTAAGGGCTGGGAAGAAAAGAACAAAACAGAGTAAATTACCCAAGTGCATTCAATTTTATTGTGTTTGATATACTTGCTAAAGGCAGGCCACAGATTGGACTCTGACCTTTTATCCATCAGTGCAAAGAGAGAAATCAGATGTGGTATAACATTTATAATGTTTGTAATATTAAGAAAGAAAGAAAAAAACAGATTCTCAGGGAAAACACATTTATTTACAATACTTAACCCAGAGAAGAATGTCAAGATTGAAAGTCCCAGGAGAATCCTGACACTGAATCCAGCACTGTGGGCCCGTCCTGTGGCACTCGCCTTAGGCTGGTGAGCAGAACAGAGAGACACTTCATAAAAGCAGTTCCATGGTGGTTTAGGTCCAAAACTAGAATGACTCAATCCAAGGAAACAGTTCATAGAATTTAGAGGAGACAGTGGACATGTATCTCAAAGTCAGCCTCTGCAAACACCGCCTTCTTCAATTGACATTATTCTCCCTGACAAGAGCCTGGAGCCTGGGTATTGTCTGTGGTAGACAACATCACATGAGGAATGGACTGTGTTGAATTTCATTCTGTTTCCTGCACCAAATGGGTACAGAACTTTCCTGAGAGCCATGCCTTCTGTTGCTTTCAAAAATGTTTTCCCACTTCAAGTCCTCCCCACCTCACATTCAGACTAAGTTAGGTCCCAGTGGAGTTAAACATTTTTCTTCTCAGAGTGACTCTGCACCTTGGTTTCTCCATAGTGTCAGAGATGGTTGTTCAGGTCAGGGTTCAGGTACAGGGTCATGCAGGTGGTGGAATGAATAGTGACCCAGTGCAGTCCTCAGGAAGTCACAGGGGCTGGGAGGGAGTGCGGGTTATGCCTCATCTCAGGCTGACAGTTGCCACTCAACTCCAACTGCGCGCTGCCGTGAAGAACTCTGCATTTTTATGTGAAATTTCTTACTTTTTAAAATCCCATGAGAACCAAATGAAACCATTCTGCTTGTGGGCTCCACGGTGCAACCCCTGTTCCATGCCCATGTTCTTTAAAAACTATGTTTTTCAGTGAAAGCATGAACAAATGTCTGGAAATTATTTGAATTCCCCTAAAGAACAGAGATTTTTATTCCTGTCACTCCAGAGACACTTTTGAAAATAAATAGCAGTAATATGATTCAAGGTAGGACTCCACCTTGTGTGGTTAAAGAGGAAGGAATTGATGGCAACTGGAAGACAGCTTTTACAAGTAAGGGATATTTTTGTTAAGCAAGATTTTTATTCTTTTTCATTTTAAACATCAAAGATGATGATTGTGTGGGTTTTTTTAATTTTTTCCTTTTTTTTTTTTTTTTTGAGATGAAGTTTCGCTCTGCTGCCCAGGCTGGAGTGCAGTGGTATGATGTCAGTTAACTGCAACCTCTGCCTCCCAGGCTCAAGCGATTCTCCTGCCTCAACCTCCCGAGTAGCTGGGTTTACAGGCTCCCACCACCACGCCTGGCTAATTTTGTGTGTGTGTGTTTTCAGTAGAGATAGAGTTTCACTATGTTGGCCAGGCTGGTCTTGAACACCTGACCTCAAGTGATCCACCTACCTTGACCTCTCAAAGTGCTGGGATTACAGGCATGAGCCACTGTGTCTGGCCTTATTTTTTACTTTTGTAGAGACAGAGTCTTGCTTTGTTGCCCAGGCTTGTCTCTAACTCCCAGGTTCAAGTGATCCTTCTGCATCATCCTCCCAAACTGCTGAGATTGCAGAAATGAGCCCATGCTTACCCGTGATTATTTTTAATTGGTTTTACTTTTTCATACATAGGGTTCTGTGCTACCTCTGTTTTCTTTTTCTTGCTTGCTTTTTTTTTTTTTTTTTTTTTGCGACAGAGTCTCGCTGTTGCCCAGGCTGGAGTGTGGTGGTGCGATCTTGGCTCGCTGCAACCTCCACCTCCCAAGTTCAAGCAATCTTTGTGTCTCAGCCTCCTGAGTAAATGGGATTACATGCGCCCACCACCATGCCCAGCTAATTTTTTGTATTTTTTTGTAGAGACAGGGTTTCACCACGTTGGCCAGGCTGATCTTAAACACCTGACCTCAGGTGATCCGCCTGCCTTGGCCTCCCAAAGTGCTGGGATTACAGGCGTGAGCCACCATGCCCGGCCTGTTTTCTTAAATATGTAGTTTAGATTCCCCAAACATGTTCTTCTCCCTACAATATGAAGGCTTTACCAGACCATCTCAGACACATTCATGCTGCTTGCAGCCCTTAGCAGTGGGATCCACAGATCTTTATTGAGCAACTAACACGCTCCTGACAGGAACGGCAGACTGAGTGACTAACTCTGCCTCTTTGGATGATTTTTTCCTCCCCATCTTAATCAATATCTACATAATTGATCAGGTGAGCCAGATGGCCCTTCCGCTTCACAGATTAAGACAATTAGGACACCAGACAGGTGTTCAAGCTGGCATTTTTCATAACTAAGACAAGAAAACCTAACACTTTATCTTCCTTGGAAAAAGGCAAGCTCCATCTGGTCCTGGGCATGAATCAGTACTAATTCATACGCTATCTAGCTAAAAATGGGTACAACCATATTTAGACAAAATACGGTATAAAAGGGAATTATGTGTCAGTAAGTTTGTAAGAGCTCCCACCACAGAATCTGGATTGAAATATCATAGTAAAAACCTAATAGAATACTGAGAACACTGTGTGTACCAACATTTTACAGACACTCTTAAGAGAAAGAGGCTGGTTCTAGAAAGCAACTAGACTCCCTTCTCTAGGACCAAATCTCAGAGAGACGAAGAGCTCTGAGACCGGGGGAGCCTCACAGCTCTGAGCTCTGAAATGACTGGGGGGAACAAAAAGACCTAGAAACACAAGGCGAGTTATAAGGAAAGATTAAAGATCTATTTCTGGAACCTAGACTTACAGAGGGTACTCTTCCCATGCCACATGCTATTTCAATGGGAGAAAAAATGCAAAACAAGTCGCAGTTTGAACATGGAATGGTTACTTTATTTAGAACGAGAAGAATGTTTACCATTCTGTAGCTAAACATAGGACTTGCATTTCAAGAGGCCAGGGGATTTATGCTTCCCTCTATGACATGTTCTCTTAACTCCAAGCCCCAGTGTTCCATTGCAAGAGTAGCAGAGGGACTCAGCTGTAGTGGAGGGACCCCACTGTAGCAGGGATCATCCTAGAAATGACACTGAACACCAAGCAGGCCCCTGCAGAAGATTTATAAACATAAGAGCCACTCCAAAGTACCTGGGCACCCTACCCGCCACACGAAGGAGAACTGAAAAATAACAGAAGTGCCTCTGGGAAGGAAATGACAAATATTCCTCCTGTCTCTTGCCTTCCATCACTCATACCAATTAAAAAGTAAAACGAACATCGCCAGTGACAACAATCAATTTTCCCAGTTTATAATCAAACAAGATTTCAGCAACCAAGAATGTTGCAAAAAAAATTATTACCATAGGCCCTGCATATTTCTATAGTAAATAAATTCATTAATCATCAAGAGCGCTTATATGATATTCTCTTGATGATGAATTAATTCACTTATGAGAAGAGAATTCTGGAAAAAGTCATGTTAAGAATCCTGCAGGTGGAGAATAGCTAATGGATGCTGGGCTCAATACCTAGATAATGTGTTGATCTGTGCAGCAAACCACCATGGCACACAAAGATTATCTATGTAACAAACCTGCATATCTGGCACATGTACCCCTGAAGTTAAAATAAAAGTTAGAAATTTTAAAAAATTAAAAATTAAAAAAAAGAATCCCTGGCTGGGCGCGGTGGCTCACGCCTGTAATCCCAGCACTTTGGGAGGCCGAGGCGGGCGGATCACGAGGTCAGGAGATCGAGACCATCCTGGCTAACACGGTGAAACCCCGTCTCTACTAAAAATACAAAAAATTAGCCGGGCGTGGTGGCGGGCGCCTGTAGTCCCAGCTACTCGGGAGGCTGAGGCAGGAGAATGGCGTGAACCCGGGAGGCGGAGCTTGCAGTGAGCCGAGATCGCGCCACTGCACTCCAGCCTGGGCGACAGAGCGAGACTCCGTCTCAAAAAAAAAAAAAAAAAGAATCCCTCAGGCATAATTCAGTCTGGCCTTCTGGCCTCGATTTTACCATTCAAGAGTAACTGGAAAATATCATGCATGACAAACCACCCCCAAAATTACACACAATTAACAAAGTAAAATGTCATTTTAAAATTAAAATAGAAAATATGTTGATGTTTTTAGGATGATGTTTGCTGAACGGGATAGGTGGGACCATGTGGGATGGAGGAGGGGGCTGGCAGGAAAGAGTGGCCACAGGCAGGGTGCTAATTTATGAGTCAGTATGCATGAGGATCTAAAGAAATCTAATCCAGGTTTTTATGATTTTTAACTCAGAAAAACGCAGTTACCTGCTGACAAGAAGCAGCAATGCTGAAATAAGAGAAAAGGGAATTGGGACCTGAATTTGTTTCCTATTGCTGGTTTAACAAATCACTACAAATTCTGTAGCTTAAAACAACATAAACTTATTATTTCACAGTTCTGGAGGTAAGAAGTCCAAAACGGTCACACTGGACTAAAATCAAGTTGTCGGCAGCTCTGTTCCTGTTGGAGGCTCTAGAGGAGAATCCGTTCCCTTGGCTCCTCTCTCTTCTAGAGTCTGTCTGCCTTCCTTGGCTCTTCCAGTCAGCAGTTACATCGCTCCTACTTCTGCTTCCATCATCACAACCCCTTCTTTCACTCAGACCCCCCCTGCCTCCCATTTTCACTAATAAGGACCCTCATGATAACACTGGGCCCACTCGGGTAACCCAGTATCATCTCCCCATCGCAAGAACTTTAACTCACATTTGGAAAGTTCCTTTCTCTATATAAGGTAACACATTGACAGGTTTCTGGGGATTCGGATTTGGACATGTTTGGAGACCATTATTCTGCCTAACACAATGCCATAAATTATTGAGCTTTATTGCTAACAGAGAAGTGTCAGAAGAAAATGAATGATCAATTGTCATGTTTTATAATTATTCGTCCCCCTCTCATACACACTCAAACCTTTTTATTCCTGTGCCCTATATCTATTTTATATTAGAAATGGCTAGAATTTGCTGGGTGTTTGTAAGTATCAGGTACTGTGCTAGGCAACTTACTTGCATTTTCATATTTAATTGTCTCAACAATCCAGTGAGGTAAGTGCCATCCTCATCCCCATGTTGTGAATGGGAAAACTGAGGCTTACAGAAGGTAAGTCATTTGTCTGAGCTTTTACAGCTGAAATTCAAACCTACGTCTGTTTGAATTGAGCTAGGGCTCCTAACCAATAAGAAAAAAAAAACAGAATATATTGAGGCTTACAACAAACAAAGGTGTATTCTTCCTTATGCTCCATATTGGACACCACGTATTCATCTGGGGCCTGCTGCAGCCTGCACATCATCATCATTCTGAGACCCTGGCTGAAGAGGCAGCCCCTGCCTGGGAGATTGCCCTTCTCAGATGTTGCTCTTCGTCAGCAGTGGGGAAAGACAGGGATGGGGGGGATCTTCTTGGCGGCTTTTAGGGTGTTAATTTGGAAGTGATGTGCCCCACTTCTGTTCACATCTCATTGGCCAAAACAAACTCAATGACCAAGCCTGATATCCATGTAGCTGGGACGAATCATTCTGTCACCATGCAGGGCAGCAAATATTTGGAAATGATACCACACTCTGCTATGGCTCTTAGCTTCTGTGCTCACTGAGATGAGAGGAAAAACAATAAACTATTATTATCACAGAGAGTCAAGATGACTTTGGACTTTCCTTAGTGGCACAGCACTCACCTCCAGGCCAGATGGACTCCTGGATCTATGTAGAAGAGGCCACCTGTATAAAGGGAGATTCTGAGAACCTGAAATTTTCCTTCATCCAGATGCCCAAAGTATCTGACACTCCACCAGTAGAGATAAAGTTGTGCTGCCTGAGGATAGCTATGTGCTACTAGGAGTTATGACGTGTTCTTCAAGGAGGCTTTCTCCCAGCTGGTAGGACTCTTGGTATGGAGCTCCCTCAAAGCAGCAGATGAGAAAGAGTAAGGGTCTCCTAGTCTGAAGGCTTTGTAGAATTCTAATCCAGATGAAGAACACTCTTCTCTGAGGACAGTTCTTAGGACTCAAAGATTGGGAATGATGATTACATCTTGTCCAGTATTTCTGAAACAAGGAGCCCTTGGTGTGCTATAAAGGTGTCTCAGAAATAGCAAGAGAGATACACATAACCCCTACATGCCCTTATGCCCTGGGGGCTTGACATACACAGAAGCTAAGGCTAGGATAAGAAATGGGGCTTTCAGTCCATCAGCAAACAAATGGATAAAGAAAATGTGGTATATGTACACAATGAAATATTATTCAGCCTTGAAAAAAGAGACCCTGCCATTTGCCACAACATGGATGGACTTGGAGGACATTATGCTTGCTAAGTGAAATTAGCCAGACATAGAAAAAGAAATATTGCATGGTTTTACATATTGTGGAATCTACTTTTTAAAACCTCAAATACACAGAGAAAATGAAACAGTAGTTATCACAGGTGGGAGTGGGGAGAGGAAATGGGGTGATGTAGGTCAAAGGATACAATATGGCAGACATGTACGATGGACAAGTCTAGAGATCTGATGTACAACATGAGGACTGAAATTAATAAAATTGTATTGTATTAGCAATTTTTGTGAAACAAGTAGATTTTAGCTGCTCTTATCACCAAAAAAGTAACATGTGAGAGGACAGATATTAATCTGCTTCACTATTGTAACCATTTTACTATCTACACGTATCTCATATCATCATGTTGTAAACCTCAAATATACACAATAATATTTATTTTTTTAAAACAAGAAATGGTGCTTTCAGGACTGAGACTTAAAGTAGATTAACAGAGAGAAGTGTTCTTTTTGATATAAAAATACAAGACTGTCTGCTAAGAGTGGCTCCATCTTAGGGGGCTAGAAGTTCTGTCTGTCAGGTATACCTGTGGTTCTGAATGGCTCTGCATGGCCCATCCATAGAGGATGGAGCTGAATGACCATCTGGCAGTGTATTAGTCTGTCCTCCCGCTGCTAATAAAGACACACCCCAGACTGGGTAGTTTATAAAGAAAAAGCAGTTTAAGGGACTCACAGTTCCATGTGGCTGGGGAAGCCTCACAATCATGGCAGAAGGTAAAGGAGGAACAAAGGCTCATCTTACATGGTGGCAGGCAAGAGACCATGTGCAGGGGAACTGCCCTTTATAAAAACATCAGATCTCGTGAGACTTATTCACTATCATAAGAACAGCATGGGGAAAAACCCACCCCCATGATTCAATTACCTCCCACTCGGTCCCTCCCATGGCACATGGGGATTATGGGAGCTACAATTCAAGATGAGTTTTGGGTGAGGACACAGCCAAACCATATCAAGCAGGAAGCAAAGAAGAAGAGGGTGATCATAAAGGGCAGGGGGATGGCAGGGACGGGGAGGCAGGGTGGTGAAGGAAGCTCAAGGGCTGGTTCCAGGGGAGGAACAAGGAAGAGAGAGGGTCAAAAGGGGAGGTTTGTTCTCTGTGACTCCGAGAAGGGCTATGTGGGTGAGCTCCATAACTCCTGGGGTGCAGAAGGTTGCATGGAGGAAAGTCACGCCTCTGATGCCCCTACCTCCTTTTGAATTCCTTGGGATGGACATGTGAGCTGAAATGGCCACCAGCAAGGCTGCTTAAAAACACTTATTATATTTTTACTTTTTTCTGTCACAAAAGCATTGAGTGCACAAACATAAAAGGCTTCCACTTAAGATTTTGTTTGAATGTTTAAAAACAAAGAGTGAAATGCCACAATTTAATCCAGTGTTCTTATCTCATGAAAAAGGAAATGGGAGCACAGATTAAAAGACTAGTCTAAGGTCAGGAGAAAAACAGGTAGAAAGTTGAAGCCACAACCAAGACTTGGGGCTCCCAGTCCAGTGCTCCCTCCCCTACAGCCATATATCCCTCAGCTCCTGGGTTCCCATTGTTGGTGCCCACAGCCTCCTAAGTGAGGGGAGGCAACCCTTTGCTTTCCCTGGGTAACTTGTTGAGGCAGGGTAAGTTATTTACTTGGATTCTGCAGCAGCACCACCCGGCTTTGAAAGCAACCAAACCCTCATCTTCCTGAGTTACTAGGCTCATCTGTACCCATAAGAGCCACAGCATAGGAGAATGTGACCTGGCTTCACCCGGGTTCCCACTGTCTTGTCACATCTGTTCTCTTGGCCTCCTCTTATGGACCCTGGAAAGACCTCTCCTGCTTGCCAGGTTGGGGCATCCTGTTAGCTGGCTACCAGTTGGATTTTTCACAAGTTTGCCACGTTGCAGTGACAGGACTGTGTTGAGGCCCAGATGCCTCAGCATAAATAAATAACACATCTGGGATGTGGAAGGGGTCCAACTGCATATTATAGAAGAAGCTGGGGTGGAAACAGAGCCAAAGGATACACATCTGGAAACAGTTAAGTCAGGAGTAAGTGGGGAGGAGGATGTAGTAGAAAAAGAGAGAAGAAAGGTTGAGGGGAAAGATCAAACTAGGAATTACTGTTGTCTGGAAGGATCTGAATTAAAATTGCTAAGAAACAGAACCATGGTTTATATAACAGCTGAATTAAGAGCATTCCTATAAAAATGATAGTTTATAATAATTGACCTCAATGCAGAGAGGCTGAGCAGGACCGAGCAGCTGGAATCCTGGACGTCTGATTGCTTTGGATGTAGCTAGGAGGGGTGGTTCCCTCCTAGCTATTTGAATCTATAAATGGCTTCGCAGTGAGCAGGGTGAAGGAGTTCAACCCTGCGCAGATGAGAACCCCAGGGCTCCCTGCCCAGGATCACCAGGCACTTGGGAGGCTTAGTGAGTTCCCAGGTTCCTGGGCAGCCTCCGCTTAACATGCCTGTTGTGAATATACAGAGCATTAAAGAGGAGGCCTGGGAAGAGGGGGACGTGCAGTGACACCGCTTCCTCCCAGCCAGAGACCCAAGCAGATGATTCACCTAGATGAATCAGGAATGGCTGCAGAGGGAACTGCTCACACCCATGCCCCCAGCCAGCAACCGAAAGCTACAGTGACATCACTACACAGAGGACAGAAGTCTAAGTAACGGGGAACTTAGGACAAAAAGAAGAGAGAAAAAAATATCCTTTTCTCTCCCTCTCAATGGAATTCAAGTGTATGGATTACCTTCTTAATGGATGGCCTGATTTAATCTCCTGGCATAAAAATATTCCAAATTAATCCATCATTAAGAGAAGACAGAATGCAGGCATTCCAAGCAAAACACAGAAGCACAGGGCAAGGCTTTTCTCATTTCTTCCAGCCCCCTTTCACTGAGTCTCTGTTTTATGACAGGTAATACAGGCTGGATCCTAAGAGAGGCTCCAGCTGACTTGGGGCTGAACTTTGATGGTGGTAAAATGTAGGCTTGTCATTGTTTAAATAAAAGCAGATGACTCAGCAAAATGGACCTACCACCATGGCAACTTTTACACCTGGTTTGGTTGAGATTCCAGGTTTTCTACATGTGCAGGGAATCTGAAAGAATAAATGGCTTTCTTCGGGTCTTGGTTAGAAACAGTTTCCAATTGGCGATAATTGTACTTTAGAGAACCCTCAAAATGATCAAACCATAATGCTACTCTCAAATACTAATCCTTAGTTTGTAGGTTCTCAGTATTCTAGTGGAGGGGAGAAACCAGTCCATCTTCCAATATCATATGCCTTGTGATTCTGAAATCTTTTAATAAAACATAATTAGGGAATATGATTAGAACTTGGTATGATTCAGTTTTAGATCTGTGCGTAATATTAAAAGCTTTGTTCATTCAAGAAATATTTACTGAGTCTTCTAAGAGCCTGGCATTATGCTGGGAGCTGATGGGTACATTGCTGAATGAGACAGAGCCCCTGCTCTCAAGGAGCTTATAATCTGGCCACCAGAGTTTCTGCAACCATCGTAACAGTAAAAACACAGCTGTTAATTCTGTTCAAGTTAATTTTCCAGAGCACCAGTGAATTTGAGGGCAAAAGAAGGCTGCATAGCTCTACAAGTATTCCATCCTCAAAATAAAAATAGAACTATATTTAGAAAATCTTAATTTTGTGGCATTTCAAGAGCACAGAAACTACATAAAGAGAGATAAGCCAAAATTCTTTCTGTAGCCTGGTTATTAATTTGCGGCTTAAAATCTGCTGCAGGAGACTCCAAACCAAAGTGATATTTTGTGGAAGAACTGGGGAGGTTGAAAATAATGGTTGAATATAACGTCTCCTAAAAGTATCTCCTTATTCAAAATCCACACAATTCAGGAGCAATTCTGACCAATGTGAGATAGTTTAGGTGCTGTTTACCAGCTAAAATGGCACTGCCATGTGGCCATAGCATAAACACCATTTATAATATATCCTGCCTGTCTGTTTGAAATTATATGATTTGGGGCTCATTGTTTGGTTAGTTTCGGGGTAAGCTGGATTTTTTCTGTTTGTTCCTCCAGATCCTTCTCTACTCTGCTCTGTATTCCCAGGAAGTCCATCTATATGGACTGCATCAACAGGTTCTCTAGCCTTCTGGCTTCCAGGAATGTTTCACCGATGGCTGGCACTTGCAAGAAATCAGGGAGATGGGGTCGGAGGAGGAGCCAAGATGGCCGAATAGGAACAGGTCGGGTCTACAGCTCCCAGCGTGAGCGACGCAGAAGACGGGTGATTTCTGCATTTCCATCTGAGGTACCGGGTTCATCTCACCAGGGAGTGCCAGACAGTGGGCGCAGGCCGGTGGGTGCGCGCACCGTGCGCGAGCCGAAGCAGGGTGAGGCATTGCCTCACCTGGGAAGTGCAAGGGGTCAGGGAGTTCCCTTTCCGAGTCAAAGAAAGGGGTGACGGACGCACCTGGAAAATCGGGTCACTCCCACCCGAATACTGACCTTTTCAGACCGGCTTAAAAAACGGCGCACCACGAGACTATATCCCACACCTGGCTCAGAGGGTCCTACGCCCACGGAATCTCGCTGATTGCTAGCACAGCAGTCTGAGATCAAACTGCAAGGCGGCAGCGAGGCTGGGGGAGGGGCGCCCGCCATTGCCCAGGCTTGCTTAGGTAAACAAAGCAGCCTGGAAGCTCGAACTGGGTGGAGCCCACCACAGCTCAAGGAGGCCTGCCTGCCTCTGTAGGCTCCACCTCTGGGGGCAGGGCACAGACAAACAAAAAGACAGCAGTAACCTCTGCAGACTTAAATGTCCCTGTCTGACAGCTTTGAAGAGAGCAGTGGTTCTCCCAGCACGCAGCTGGAGATCTGAGAACGGGCAGACTGCCTCCTCAAGTGGGTCCCTGACCCCTGACCCCCGAGCAGCCTAACTGGGAGGCACCCCCCAGCAGGGGCACACTGACACCTCACACGGCAGGGTATTCCAACAGACCTGCAGCTGAGGGTCCTGTCTGTTAGAAGGAAAACTAACAACCAGAAAGGACATCTACACCAAAAACCCATCTGTACGTCACCATCATCAAAGACCAAAAGTAGATAAAACCACAAAGATGGGGAAAAAACAGAACAGAAAAACTGGAAACTCTAAAACGCAGAGCGCCTCTCCTCCTCCAAAGGAACGCAGTTCCTCACCAGCAACGGAACAAAGCTGGATGGAGAATGACTTTGACGAGCTGAGAGAAGAAGGTTTCAGACGATCAAATTACTCTGAGCTACGGGAGGACATTCAAACCAAAGGCAAAGAAGTTGAAAACTTTGAAAAAAATTTAGAAGAATGTATAACTAGAATAACCAATACAGAGAAGTGCTTAAAGGAGCTGATGGAGCTGAAAACCAAGGCTCGAGAACTACGTGAAGAATGCAGAAGCCGCAGGAGCCGATGCGATCAACTGGAAGAAAGGGTATCAGCAATGGAAGATGAAATGAATGAAATGAAGCGAGAAGGGAAGGTTAGAGAAAAAAGAATAAAAAGAAATGAGCAAAGCCTCCAAGAAATATGGGACTATGTGAAAAGACCAAATCTACGTCTGATTGGTGTACCTGAAAGTGATGCGGAGAATGGAACCAAGTTGGAAAACACTCTGCAGGATATTATCCAGGAGAACTTCCCCAACCTAGCAAGGCAGGCCAACGTTCAGATTCAGGAAATACAGAGAACGCCACAAAGATACTCCTCAAGAAGAGCAACTCCAAGACACATAATTGTCAGATTCACCAAAGTTGAAATGAAGGAAAAAATGTTAAGGGCAGCCAGAGAGAAAGGTCGGGTTACCCTCAAAGGGAAGCCCATCAGACTAACAGCAGATCTCTCGGCAGAAACCCTACAAGCCAGAAGAGAGTGGGGGCCAATATTCAACATTCTTAAAGAAAAGAATTTTCAACCCAGAATTTCATATCCAGCCAAACTAAGCTTCATAAGTGAAGGAGAAATAAAATACTTTACAGACAAGCAAATGCTGAGAGATTTTGTCACCACCAGGCCTGCCCTAAAAGAGCTCCTGAAGGAAGCGCTAAACATGGAAAGGAACAACCGGTACCAGCCGCTGCAAAATCATGCCAAAATGTAAAGACCATCGAGACTAGGAAGAAACTGCATCAACTAACGAGCAAAATAACCAGCTAACATCATAATGACAGGATCAAATTCACACATAACAATATTAACTTTAAATGTAAATGGACTAAATTCTCCAATTAAAAGACACAGACTGGCAAGTTGGATAAAGAGTCAAGACCCATCAGTGTGCTGTATTCAGGAAACCCATCTCACGTGCAGAGACATACATAGGCTCAAAATAAAAGGATGGAGGAAGATCTACCAAGCAAATGGAAAACAAAAAAAGGCAGGGGTTGCAATCCTAGTCTCTGATAAAACAGACTTTAAACCAACAAAGATCAAAAGAGAAAAAGAAGGCCATTACATAATGGTAAAGGGATCAATTCAACAAGAAGAGCTAACTATCCTAAATATATATGCACCCAATACAGGAGCACCCAGATTCATAAAGCAAGTCCTGAGTGACCTACAAAGAGACTTAGACTCCCACACATTAATAATGGGAGACTTTAACACCCCACTGTCAACATTAGACAGATCAACGAGACAGAAAGTCAACAAGGATACCCAGGAATTGAACTCAGCTCTGCACCAAGCGGACCTAATAGACATCTACAGAACTCTCCACCCCAAATCAACAGAATATACATTTTTTTCAGCACCACACCACACCTATTCCAAAATTGACCACATAGTTGGAAGTAAAGCTCTCCTCAGCAAATGTAAAAGAACAGAAATTATAACAAACTATCTCTCAGACCACAGTGCAATCAAACTAGAACTCAGGATTAAGAATCTCACTCAAAGCCGCTCAACTACATGGAAACTGAACAACCTGCTCCTGAATGACTACTGGGTACATAACGAAATGAAGGCAGAAATAAAGATGTTCTTTGAAACCAACGAGAACAAAGACACAACATACCAGAATCTCTGGGACACATCCAAAGCAGTGTGTAGAGGGAAATTTATAGCACTAAATGCCCACAAGAGAAAGCAGGAAAGATCCAAAATTGACACCCTAACATCACAATTAAAAGAACTAGAAAAGCAAGAGCAAACACATTCAAAAGCTAGCAGAAGGCAAGAAATAACTAAAATCAGAGCAGAACTGAAGGAAATACAGACACAAAAAACCCTTCAAAAAATCAATGAATCCAGGAGCTGGTTTTTTGAAAGGATCAGCAAAATTGATAGACCGCTAGCAAGACTAATAAAGAAAAAAAGAGAGAAGAATCAAATAGACACAATAAAAAATGATAAAGGGGATATCACCACCGATCCCACAGAAATACAAACTACCATCAGAGAATACTACAAACACCACTACGCAAATAAACTAGAAAATCTAGAAGAAATGGATAAATTCCTCGACACATACACCCTCCCAAGACTAAACCAGGAAGAAGTTGAATCTCTGAATAGACCAATAACAGGAGCTGAAATTGTGGCAATAATCAATAGTTTACCAACCAAAAAGAGTCCAGGACCAGATGGATTCACAGCCGAATTCTACCAGAGGTACAAGGAGGAACTGGTACCATTCCTTCTGAAACTATTCCAATCAATAGAAAAAGAGGGAATCCTCTCTAACTCTTTTTATGAGGCCAGCATCATTCTGATACCAAAGCCGGGCAGAGACACAACCAAAAAAGAGAATTTTAGACCAATATCCTTGATGAACATTGATGCAAAAATCCTCAATAAAATACTGGCAAACCGAATCCAGCAGCATATCAAAAAGCTTATCCACCATGATCAAGTGGGCTTCATCCCTGGGATGCAAGGCTGGTTCAATATATGCAAATCAATAAATGTAATCCAGCATATAAACAGAGCCAAAGACAAAAACCACATGATTATCTCAATAGATGCAGAAAAAGCCTTTGACAAAATTCAACAACCCTTCATGCTAAAAACTCTCAATAAATTAGGTATTGATGGGACGTATTTCAAAATAATAAGAGCTATCTATGACAAACCCACAGCCAATATCATACTGAATGGGCAAAAACTGGAAGCATTCCCTTTGAAAACTGGCACAAGACAGGGATGCCCTCTCTCACCACTCCTATTCAACATAGTGTTGGAAGTTCTGGCCAGGGCAATCAGGCAGGAGAAGGAAATAAAGGGTATTCAATTAGGAAAAGAGGAAGTCAAATTGTCCCTGTTTGCAGATGACATGATTGTTTATCTAGAAAACCCCATCGTCTCAGCCCAAAATCTCCTTAAGCTGATAAGCAAATTCAGCAAAGTCTCAGGATACAAAATCAATGTACAAAAATCACAAGCATTCTTATACACCAACAACAGACAAACAGAGAGCCAAATCATGAGTGAACTCCCATTCACAATTGCTTCAAAGAGAATAAAATACCTAGGAATCCAACTTACAAGGGATGTGAAGGACCTCTTCAAGGAGAACTACAAACCACTGCTCAAGGAAATAAAAGAGGATACAAACAAATGGAAGAACATTCCATGCTCATGGGTAGGAAGAATCAATATCGTGAAAATGGCCATACTGCCCAAGGTAATTTATAGATTCAATGCCATCCCCATCAAGCTACCAATGACTTTCTTCACAGAATTGGAAAAAACTACTTTAAAGTTCATATGGAACCAAAAAAGAGCCCGCATCGCCAAGTCAATCCTGAGCCAAAAGAACAAAGCTGGAGGCATCACACTACCTGACTTCAAACTATACTACAAGGCTACAGTAACCAAAACAGCATGGTACTGGTACCAAAACAGAGATATAGATCAATGGAACAGAACAGAGCCCTCAGAAATAACGCCGCATATCTACAACTATCTGATCTTTGACAAACCTGAGAAAAACAAGCAATGGGGAAAGGATTCCCTATTTAATAAATGGTGCTGGGAAAACTGGCTAGCCATATGTAGAAAGATGAAACTGGATCCCTTCCTTACACCTTATACAAAAATTAATTCAAGATGGATTAAAGATTTAAACGTTAGACCTAAAACCATAAAAACCCTAGAAGAAAACCTAGGCATTACCATTCAGGACATAGGCGTGGGCAAGGACTTCATGTCCAAAACACCAAAAGCAATGGCAACAAAAGCCAAAATTGACAAATGAGATCTAATTAAACTAAAGAGCTTCTGCACAGCAAAAGAAACTACCATCAGAGTGAACAGGCAACCTACAACATGGGAGAAAATTTTCGCAACCTACTCATCTGACAAAGGGCTAATATCCAGAATCTAAAATGAACTCAAACAAATTTACAAGAAAAAAACAAACAACCCCATCAAAAAGTGGGCGAAGGACATGAACAGATGCTTCTCAAAAGAAGACATTTATGCAGCCAAAAAACACATGAAAAAATGCTCATCATCACTGGCCATCAGAGAAATGCAAATCAAAACCACTATGAGATATCATCTCACACCAGTTAGAATGGCAATCATTAAAAAGTCAGGAAACAACAGGTGCTGGAGAGGATGTGGAGAAACAGGAACACTTTTACACTGTTGGTGGGACTGTAAACTAGTTCAACCATTGTGGAAGTCAGTGTGGCGATTCCTCAGGGATCTAGAACTAGAAATACCATTTGACCCAGCCATCCCATTACTGAGTATATACCCAAAGGACTATAAATCATGCTGCTATAAAGACACATGCACACGTACGTTTATTGCGGCATTATTCACAATAGCAAAGACTTGGAACCAACCCAAATGTCCAACAATGATAGACTGGATTAAGAAAATGTGGCACATATACACCATGGAATACTATGCAGCCATAAAAAATGATGAGTTCATGTCCTTTGTAGGGACATGGATGAAATTGGAAACCATCATTGTCAGTAAACTATCGCAAGAACAAAAAACCAAACACCGCATATTCTCACTCATAGGTGGGAATTGAACAATGAGATCACATGGACACAGGAAGGGGAATATCACACTCTGGGGACTGTGGTGGGGTGGGGGGAGGGGGGAGGGATAGCATTGGGAGATATACCTAATGCTAGATGACGAGTTAGTGGGTGCAGCGCACCAGCATGGCACATGTATACATATGTAACTAACCTGCACAATGTGCACATGTACCCTAAAACTTAAAGTATAATAAAAATAATAATAATAATAAAATAAAATAAAAAAAAGAAAAGAAATCAGGGAGATGGAGGAGAGAGGTCAGGCTGTCTATGCCCAGGGCTCCCTCTCTGCCAAGTCACTGTGGGTCAGTTGCGTCTTGTCCAGAAGTCCCCAGCTTCTGTCAGGTGGCCCTCTTCACAACCACTCTCCCAGGGGCTCATTAATGACTCATTGCCTTGTCCTTTCAGAACTGAAGGGGGTACAAGTACTATTCCGTGTAGTTTCCCTACATCCTCCTCACACCTTTATAAACAGTCATTTTGTCCAATTAAAGTGTGCCATATATTTCCTGCTGGAACCATGACAGATACAGGGGATTTCACATTATTTCAAGTGTTGTACCTAAAGGAAGGCTTTATTATTATTTTCATATTACAGGGTTTCAAATTTCCATAGTAAAATTTGCATGAAAAAGCATTAATTTCAACAGATCCCCATGCCCATCTGTATCAGTAACGGTAGAAAATTGTTTACAATAACCTGCCTTAGATTTTCCTTTCTGGCTTAAACTATTCTCATTTATGACTTTGGGCTTTCCTTTTCCACTTTACTTAATTTAGCTTAAATAGTAGATGTAAGGTTGTCCAATAACTATTCCCTCCACCCTGGCTTCATTCATTCCTTGGCAAAAGGACAAACAGAGTTTACAGTGGACACATTAAGGCAATCATCCCTCTGCCTTTCTAGTCATTGGAAATCCATTCTCAGGCAACGTAAGCTCTGAAATATTTAGAACAAGCATGTGACATCTCTCCTTCCACTGCAGCACAGGGTTTAATTTTTGTTTTGCTTGATTTCATCATTGCAGCCCTTCTTGCTGGGTCACTGATTCAGCAGTATATGGTTTGGCTTCCACTACAGCTCAGCAAAGCCAAGGCACACAGTTTGGCCATGGGGCAAATGGGTGTCTGTTACCAAAAGCTGTGGTACATCTGCTAATTTATGGGCATAACCCATCATTTCAGCATTTCCCACCTCCATCTGGAACTCCCCATCCATCCATTCATTCTTTTTCACTGATGCCATTTCCACTTCATCATTTGCAAGGAAATGCATTCTGGAAGCATAGTGGGAACGGGCAGGCAATAACTTCCTGAGATGCATGTCCAAGGAACATACATTTAAATGAAAAGGCAAGGATGGACAGTGACCCACCTTCGGATGGGCAGATGATCAGCATACTGGCTGACAGCATTGACTTTAGAATCAAATCTGGATCTTCTGCTTTGTATTAGCTATGTAACATGGGCCAGTTGCTTAACCTTCTTCTCTATTAATACCTACCTCAATGGCCATTGTGGAAAGTAAATGAAGTAATAGCATAAAGCTCTTAGCACAGTGGGTGACACAGTGGGCCTTCAATAAATGGTAGCTAGTCTCAAACAGTGAGCCCCTTGGTGGCTTCCCACCCTCTTTTTCTTTTTAGACGGAGTCTCACTCTGTCACCCAGGCTGGAGTGCAGTCACACTATCTCGGCTCACTGCAAGCTCCGCCTCCCGGGTTCCCGCCATTCTCCTGCCTCAGCCTCCCGAGTAGCTGGGACTACTGGTGCCCACCACCACGCCCGGCTAATTTTTTTTTTGTATTTTTTAAGTAGAGATGGGGTTTCATCGTGTTAGCCAGGATGGTCTCGATCTCCTGACCTCGTGATCCCCCCGCCTCGGCCTCCCAAAGTGCTGGGATTACAGGCATGAGCCACCGCGCCAGGCCAGCTTCCCTCCCTCTTAATTCTTTCAGATTAAGCACACCCTCTACCTTCCATTGCATGGTTACGACACATAGGAACAGAGAGAATTTTCCTTTTATTGCTATGTTTAGATTTGCTAATCACTTTTAGTCACATTTTCCTGTCCCATACAGACCTCAGCTCTACAAACCCACGATTATGAAAAAGGGCAGCGTCATAGGCACATAAGGTTTTCCCCTTTTAACCTCTTTTAAGTCATTGTTTTTGGGGTGAAGGGTTAGGCTGAGCTGTACTTCTCTGATGCCTCTCTCCGAATAATAAAAGGCCAGAAAAACACCATTTAGCCCATAAAACGACCTAGCAGCTAACCCTTCCGATTTTCCTATCTGCTTACAACTCCTCTATTGGAATTGTTTTTATTTTCTACTCCTTCCTTTCCTAAATCTATGAAATTCAAATTTAATTCCTCCGGTGAATAGATATCACTGAAGAATTTTAAGCAAAGAGATTTAGACTTAGATCCTCAAAAGATCCTTCTGGGGGTGTATAAAGAATAGGGAGGGAGGGCTCATCTATCTCAGTGCTGATGGAACATTAACATGCATCTAATCACTGTAAAAATGCAAGTCCTCATTTGCAGTAGGCTTGGGGTAGAGCCTGGAATTCTGCACTTCTAATCAATACTGCTGGTCCATGGGGTGTACTTGCGTTCCAAGGAGCCAAACCACCTAATAATACAAGCTCTGATAGTCCAAGTTCTGATTTAGGACCATTGCCCATATCTTGCCCCATATAACTCCTAGTATAGTGTTCATTATAGTTAACATGTTTAATAATTGCTTTCTGACAATGCTGATGTCGATTGCTGACAGTCAAAAAATGAAGAGAAATTAAATTATTGAAAATGTGCCCGGAAGATTTCTAAATGCTTGGTTTTTGTTTGAGGGTAGAGAAAAATAACCCTGAGTTTACCTACCTTAGTTTAGGTTTTGCCAAACAATTCAACAATTTCAGATGAATTTTTCAGTTCAATAAAATAATGGGTCAATTCAGAAAAAAAAAAAAAAATCTGTCACTATGGTTCTCTGGTAGCACTGACAGGTTAACTTAATGCCCCTTGTAGAGAAGGACTGAGTGTCCGAATGCCTAAAGTCCTTTTCTCAGTCAACTCTTCTTCCTTTCCCTGGTCTGATGTGGAGACAAAGTCACTGGGGCTGCATTGCCCGTTCTGTCACTCACACTTCTCTAAGCCACTCAAATCACAAACGGTTTGCTTGTTCCGGCAAAGAGTGAACGATCTACCTCAGGGACCCTCATTTTCCCAGATCAGAGGTTCTCAAAGTGAGGTCCTGCACCAGCAACATTAGCATTACCTGGGGACTTGGGAGAAATGCAAATTCTCAGCCTGGACTTCAGCCCTATTGGATCAGTGATTCCGGGATAGGCCCAGCACTCTGTGTTTTAACAAGCCCTCCAGCTGATCAAGTTAGAGAACTATTGCCCTCAACTTGGGTTTCCTGGTGGAGGAACTTCAGCTAAGCAACCCACCTGATAATTTTTCCCCACCATAAAGAGAAGATCTATGTATAATTGCTGAGTGCGCAAGAAGAGATTAGACATTCTAAGCTTGGCACCTCCTGGGATCTCTGATTCTGATCTTCCTTTCCCCGGGGAGGATCCACTCTGCCTGCTTCCAGCCATACTGGAGGTGGTCTGCCCCACTAGGGGAGGCCTGTGTCTGTCCAACTGTGCCTGAGACAGGGTGCAGAAGTTTAATTCTAAGAAAAGTGTCAGGAGACCCACTGTGGATAATGTTCACTTCTCCAGGGAACATTATCCATGATAAAGCTGATATGTGATCTCCATCTCTTTGCTTCCTGTGTGTTATTTCTCAAAGGATCCCAAATTTGGAAGGTGAAAAAGGATGCTCTTTATTGAACCTCTAAAACTCCAACATATTGTTGTCTGAATAAAAAAACCCACGAGAAATAATAACAGTTAACACGATTTACTATGTGCCTATTTTCTAAGCCTTCTCCATGTAGTAATTCACTTGTGTCCCCACAATTCTCTGAGAAACACCCTGTTATTATCATGACATTTTACAGATGAGGAAACTTTGGCAGGGAAAGATTTAAAAACTTGTCTGAGGTTTTGTAGTCTAGACCTGTGAGAACTGTGACTTAACCCCAGACAGTCTGGTCCCAGGGTCCTCCCTGCTATATTGATGAGGATTGCTACTTTGGTTGAAAAGAATTGCTTCTTGGGGAGAAAATATCTCACGTAAGTGACTGAAGCCAAGAAGTCTTGATTCAAGGCTGGAAGCTTTGGGCTTTTTGACTTAGTCCATTCAGGCTGCTATAATAAGATACCATAAACTGGGTGGCTTATAAACAACAGAAATTTATTTCTCACAGTTCTAGAGATGGGAAGTCCTAGATCAAGGTGCTGGCAGATTCAGTGTCTGGTGAGAGCTCAGTGTATTGTTCACAGATAGCCATCTTCTTGCTGTGTCTTCACATCATGAAGGATGAGGGAGCTCTCTAGGGCCTATTTTACAAGGGCACTGATCCCATTCATGGTGGCTCCACCTTCTAAAACTGTCACCTTGGGATTAGGATTTCAACCAATGAATTTGGAGGGGACACAAACATTCAGATCATAGCAGCTTTGTAAGTGTTCAAGTAAAAAGAGAACATGCAAGTTTTTTAACTTGGAAGTTAACAGCAGCCTTTGCTGTAGCTAGGGGACTGCCTCATGTAGTATTCGCTTTCTATTGCGGCATAAAAAATTAACACAAACTTAGTGGCTTAAAACACCAAACATTTATTATCTCACCATTCCCGTGGTTCAGAAGTCCTGGCATAGCTATACTTGGTCCTTTGTTCAAGGCCTCACAGAGCCACAATCAAAGCATTGGCCAGGGCTGTGGTCTCATCAGAGGCTTAGAGTCCTCTTCCATGCTCACATGGTTGCTGGCAATATTCAGTTCCTCGTGGGCATATGACTGAGGCCCATGCTCCTAGAGGCTGCCCCTTTCTATAGGCCATTCATAGCAGGGCTGTTTGCTTTTCCTAGACTAGCAGGAGACTCTTGCTTTTAAGGCTTTCACTTGATTAAGTCAAGCCCACCCAGGATCATCTCCTTTTTGTTTAGTTCGAAGTCAACTGATTGAGAACCCAGTCACAGATGTGACATGACATCATATTCACAGGTACCTCCCACACTTCAGGGGTGAGGATTATACAGCTCATGTATACTAGGGGGCAGGAATTTGGGGGGCAGAACCTTAGAATTCTACCTACCACAATAAACAATGACTGTGATGTCCTTTGAGGTTGTCTTTGGTGTGACCTTGCAGGAGCACTTTATGCCTGAGCAGGCATGGCTGCAGCAAGAATTTGATTTTAGGGAAAATAGAAACTTTTGGACTTACTCAAGAAATCCTAAAATCAACAGAGCTATAGTACACAAGCTGTTTGGACACTAGGGTATGAAACAATTGCTTTTCTGCTTATGTTACGTTTCTTAGACATTTCTAGAGGCGAGGCCTTTAAACTACAAAGGCAGCTATATTATTCCTGGATGCAGAGCACCAACGTTCATTTTATGCCAGTCATGCATAGACAGTGCTAAGTCAGCTACACAACATGCAGTTCTCCGTATGTTGTTTAGAACTGTATTCAGGCACAAGGGGGGGAAATGTGGAAATAGGTGGCAAATCCACAGACTCAACTCACCCACAAGCTTCAGTCTCCAGTTCGTTCTGAACTTGCTAACTACATACATTCTGGCCCTCACTTTACATTCCAGGGTCCTTAACTTTGGTGACACTCCAAAAGGGTAATAGATTTCACCAACAAATGTACCAATAGGAATAGGAGCCATCAATTTATAGAGAATATTCCAACTCTTTGGGTTTAAATAAAGAAAAACAGACCAAAAAAAAAATACCCTCAAAAAGCTCAGTGAAATTATTACAAACTCAAAGCTAAGAGAGCAATTTAGGCAGTCTGAGCCTGAAAGAGTGTTTCTGAAAGCAGATTTGTTCAGAAATTCAGGGAGGAACTGGAATGATTGTCCAAATATGCTTCTGTCTCACTATCTAAACAAGGGCAGAAAGAAAATTAAAGACAAATAAAAGCAGATGGGCTGAGTAAGCCTAGGGAAGAGAAAAATTTCCTTAAAAGAAAGATTGGACTTTAAAAGACAAGATAAATGGGTATAGAGGAGATAAAGAGGCACACCCAGCTCTAACTGCTCATAAAGAGAAGATTAAGAAGAAGATCCACCAATCTAACACAGCCAGCTGCAACAACCCCTCCTCTGCCCTCACCCTCAAGGGAATCCCTAGTTCGGGACCCCACTGGGAGGCATGCTCTTGCAGCTATAGGAAGAGAGTTCATCATGAGAGCAACTGCAGAAATCACACACGGGAGACTGCACTGCTCTGCCAGGTGATCACAGAAATTTTAGACAGATTGAAGAGGGAAAGATCCAACTAAAATATTCAAAAGAATTACTGGGTGAGTTTCAAGGTAGAACCATTATTGTAAGTAAAGGTGAAGTATTACCTCTGATCTAAAAGAAGATGCCGAGAAATCCATGGAATTTGGACAAAGAAAGCCCCAGTGAAGATGAGACCTTCTGAAAGGAAGCAAAGCAGGAAGAAAATAGTTGCAGGCCTCAGGTTACATATTGGTCTGATGGGACTATACCTCCTAGGCTGGAGTATCCCATATATGGAAGTGAAGGTGGAAAACTTGTGTTTGAACAATGAATGCTGGGAAGATCCAGAAATCTTTGACTCCTTAGCTCTCAGCATGAAGAACCCCAGAGACAAAATCTAGAGGGGTATAAAAAAGACAAACACAATCCTAAAATTTCAAAGTTATGGTCAGGGAATGGTGGCTCAAGCCTATAATCCCAGCACTTTGGGAGGGCAAGGCAGGAGGATCACTTGAGCCTAGGAGTTTGAGACCAGCATGGGCAACATAGAGAGACCCTGTCTCTATGAGGCAAAAAAAAAATTAGCTGGGTGTGGTGGTGCATGCCTGTAGTCCCAGCTAACTGGGAGGCTGAGGTGACAGGATCGCTTGAGCCTGGGAGGTCAAGGCTATAATGAGCTGTGATTGCACCACTGCACTCCAGCCTGGGCTACAGAGCAAAACCCTGCCTAAAAAAATAAAATAACATAACATTTTAAAGCTTTAGTTTGCTTTACAGGAGAGAAATAAGACCCTGAATTAGGCTTGGTGACTAGGGCTGCCACTGCTGTGAATTTCTTTCTTTCTTTTTTTTTTTCCTTTGAGATGGAGTTTCGCTCTTATTGACCAGGCTGGAGTGCAGTGGCGTGATCTTGGCTCACCGAAACATCTTCCTCCTGGGTTCAAGCAATTCTCCTGCCTCAGCCTCTCGGGTAGCTGGGATTACAGACATGTGCCACCATGCCCAGCTAATTTTTGTATTTTTAATAGAGACAGGGTTTTTCCATGTTGGTCAGGCTGGTCTCTAACTCCCAACCTCAGGTGATCTGCCCACCTCGGTCTCCCAAAGTGCTGGGATTACAGGCGTGAGCCACCACACCCGGCTGTGAATTTCTAAATTTGGCAAGAAAGCAGGAACACATCAACATTCAGTCCCTAACGAAGAAAATGGTTTTCAGGTGTGGCTTCTACACTCGCCTCCAATATGGTTAACCAGTGCGATGTCACCTCTTTATGGAAGATGTCTCCCAGCTGAGTTTAAATTAAAAGGTTATAGGCTATGGACAAGTATCTTAGATAGAATGGTTGGCATTTTGATAAAGATGAAACTGAAAATTCCTCTTTCTCATTGCCTCTGCTACAGTCTCCATGGCATTAAATCTAGACTTATGGGGATATAGTTTGGCCAGATATACCTGCTCTAGAACATGGGTCCCCAACCCCCACGGTACTGGTCCATGGCCCGTGAGTAACCTGGTTGCACAGCAGAAAGTGAGTGGCATGAAGGTTGGGCGAGCATTACTGACTGAACTCCGCCTCCTGTCAGATCAGTGGTGGCATTAGATTGTCACAGAAGTGTAAACTCTATTGTGAACTGTGCATGTGAGGGATCTAAGTTGCACACTCCTTATGATAATCTAATGCCTGACCTAAGGTGAACAGTTTCACCTCAAAACCATCCCCCACCACCACTATCCATGGAAAAATTGTCTTCCATGAAACCAGTCCCTGGTGCCAAAAAAGGTTGGGGACTGCTGCTCTAGAAGATGATAATTTGCTTATGGTCCTCTAGGAGGTGGTAATTTGTTCCAGAAGAAAATAATTGATAATTTTGGGTATCCTATTAATTATTGGGACTTATTAAACTAAGAGACTTTGTGTTGAATTAATTCACTTCAAAGGCACCAAAGGAAACACACATCTTCCACTCAAAGGAACTGTACACTCAGGCCCTGAGAATCCTCCTGGTCCAGCCTGAGCCAAACATGCCTGAGAATGGTTCCGGCCATCAGACCAAAGATGTCCCAGTAAACTTACAAATCACATCCTTGATGCCTTTCTCACCCCAGCTGTCCTCCAGCATCTCCTTCTCCTGCTCCTGACTCCCATCTCCCCAACTGCCATGCCCCACTCCCTCCCTCTTGTTCCCTCTCTGACAATGAGCCTTCTAGAGCCATGCTGTCCACTGTGATAGCCACACATGGCTATTAAGCTCTTGAAATGCAGCTCTTCAAAATTCAAATGTGCTGTAAGATTAAAATACATGCTGGATTTTGAGGACTTGGTATGAAAAGAAATAAAATATCTCAGTAGTTTTTGTAGTAATTAGATGTTCAAATGATAATTTGGGGGGTTAAACATAACATACTAAAATTAATTTTATTTATTTCTTTTGCCATTTTTTTCTCTTTTATTAAGTTGGTGCAAAAATAATTGCAGTTTTTGCCATTGAAAGTAATGCCAAAGGCAGTAATAACTTTTGCACCAACATAATACCTTTTCTAAATTAAAAGATTTAAAATTACCTATGTGGTTCACATTTCCTTCCTTCCTTCCTTCCTTTCCTTTTTTTTTTTTTTTTTTTATTTTTTGGACACAGTTTTACTCTGTTGCCCAAGCTGGAGTGCAGTGGCACTATCTCAGCTCACTGCAACCTCCGCTTCCTGGGTTCAAGCGATGCTCATGCCTCACTCTCCTAAGTAGCTGGGATTACAGGCGTGTGCCACCATGCTGAGCTAATTTTTATATTTTTATTAGAGACAGGGTTTCGCCATGTTGGCCAGGCTGGTCTCGAACTCCTGACCTCAAGTGATCCACTCACCTCAGCCTCCAAGTGCTGGGATTACAAGCGTGAGCCTCCACGCCCAGACGGTTCACATTATATTTCTATTATAAGTCTGGTGCCCCAGGCCCCAGCCATCTCACTCCATCCTCCCCTACTCCTGGTCTGCTGAGGCACCCAAACCAACCTAACTTTCCTTCTTCTGTATGAGCATAAGATTTTGGTGTTCTTAGTTGGAGAATTATTTAATAAATGAACCATCACACCATGATCATAATGGTTGACTATGCTTACTTTTGTCTCTCCACTTGTACTTTTGAACACCTACCATGTTTATGGATTGTACTTGCTGTCAACGAGGCATACCAAGGAAGATAGGACAGCCCCTGCCATCCAGAAGCTAATAAGCTGGCAGGGTGTCCTCATTTAATTAGAGTAATCCGAAACACTGACATATCCTCCCATAAAGGAATGAATCAAACAGGAATTCTAGGCACCATGGAGGAATTAGGAAAACTATTTGTATTATGGGTTATAAAGAAAGTTTCATGGAGCCCTTCAATTCATACCACGTGTGTCTACATGCTTCCAGCCCACTGCATTGTCAAGCAGTTGCAGGCTTTTGGTTTTTCGAGGGTTTTTGTCCCTGACAAGAATTACGAGGTATCTCTTTCTCTGGTGCAGACAGAGAAGAAAAGTAAATGACTTGAGCCAAGTTAGAGAAATAAAACAAAATGTCAAAATATCTTCTATTCTGTCTCATCCATTTGAAGAGCCAGGTGTCTGGGAGCTGTGCCTTGATGGGTTCACCCTACAACATTTTCTTCCCATTTCTGCTCAAAGCAAAACCAATTAAACAAGAGCCCCACTCAGAGAGGAAATAAGTTCTGAGAGAATGGTTATTTTGTCTCTTTTCTCTTTTCATTGAGGAAGGTAATGGCGCCAGTTCAAGAAGCCAAGGATAATTTTGTTCATAAATTGTATACTTTGACCTCATGGTTTTTAGCACAAATTAAAGATGGGATCCAGTTTCAGTTCTCTTTCTTTTGAATTGGATTATTTTAAAAGAGGGATGTTTTCCCTGAAGTATTTAGTATTTGCAACCCAAACATTTTCTGCTCATGGCTGTCTACAGGGCTGCCTTTTAGATATAAATGTTCCTAATAGATCACAGTTTGAGGCTTAAAATGTCCATGTTTATCCCAACATGTTTATTTCCTTTCTCCTTCTGCAGACACTGTAGTCAATTTCTTTTCCAACCCTTTTTATCTCAAAGAAAACAAGCTTTATCATTTGGAAGTGTATCTCATGCCATAAAACCAGGTCAATATTAAGAGAAGAGTGTAATCACATAGATCAGTATCAGACACCAAATGCAGGATTTAGAGTGGAGAAAGATGAGATTGTAATGACCACAGTAATTAATTGCAAAGAATGGAGAAAATAGAGCCCAAGCTTAACTGTGGAGATCTTATTTATTGGGACCTCAGTCCCTGTGCCCTGGGACTGAGATCCCTCCAGGCAGGAGAAAAAAAACACTCTACTCTGTCTACCTTCAGCTGCCATAGTTAAGTCTGAGTGCCAGGTTCTGGTTATAATCAATCACTGACTTATTTACCATGCTGTACAGACATTCCGGCCCTGAATGCACCCACAGTTTACAAGGTTCATGATTTTCTTTGTGCCTATATGCCTCCCTCCCCTCACACCAGCACCATGCTTATCTCTTTCCTTGCTCATCCATGCCTGCCAACCTATATGTCCTCTCTTCTCCCTACTCAAGAAGAACCTCCTCTGAAACACCTTCTCCTTTTTACTTTCTCCTCCCTTTTGCCTCTAAAGTTTGTGTATTTCCAGAGGCAGGCTTCTCATCTCAGTCTCTAGTATGTACCCAATCGCAAGAGTTCAACAGCATCCCTGGACCCTTCGTCTCTCCTGATGAGGCCCCTTTGCAGCACTTGGTTTCAATCCTACTTATCTAACTCTTCCTGGAAACCCTCAATTTGTCCCTCAGGATTCCTAAACAATATGTTCAAGTTGAGTTTATCATCCCCTTGTCTCCCGACCCATCATATGCTTACCAGCAGTGTCTCCCACTTCAAACCACCTCAACCTGCCCTTCCTTGTTAATTTTCTGTCTCAGTGAGAGAACTTCTGTCCCCCTAGATACCCAACCAGAAATTCTAGAGTTGGCTCTTCCACCTCCCTATGTCTTCCCTGTGATATTCAATAGGACTTCAAGTACTGTGCATTCTGCCTCCTGAACATCTCCCAAACCTGCGTCCTCTGCATCCCCTTCACCACCACCCTTGTCTTTTCATATTGGGATTCTCCTACCTATGCTCTCTGTTTTCATCCCAGACCCCCTGATCTGTCCTCTCTATGGCCACCAGAGTCATCTCTAAAAAGTGCAAATCCAGGAGAAGCCTTTGATGACTCCAGATTATTTTAGGATAAACTCTAAGCTTCTTCTAAGCACACAAGGTCCTGCATTTCTCTCAAACCCCACCTCTTGCTATAACCACAATGAAGTACTTGTGGTTCCCAAAGGTGCTCCTCTCTCTAGGCTCAGTGCCTTTATACCTGTCTTCCAGGAAGGTCCCTTATCCATATCTTTGTCTGGCTAAGTCTTACGTACTCTTCAAGCCTCAGCTCAGAACTTCCTTCAGGGAGACTTCTGTATCAGTTTGGATGTTTTCAGCTCAACTAACAAAATATCCAACTAGATATTTAATAGTATAATAAAGAGGTTTATCTCCCCAGTAAGATGTCTGCAGCAGCAGTTTCACAGCTGGTTAATTTAGCAGCTGGAGGATGTCTGAACTCTGGGCTGCCTTTTTTTTGTCTTGGCTTTCCCGGTACGGACTCAAAATACATGCCTTAACTCTAAACATCAGATCCACACAAAGCCATAGTCAAAACAAGAAAAGAAGTGAGGAATTCCCCTTAGACACCTCTCCTTTTTATCAGAGAGAAAAACTTTCCCAGCAGACTTTGCATCTGGTTCCCTTAAGATCTGGGTCTCCCGTTTACTGTATTCAGACGACTGACAAAGGGAGAAGAGTTGTTGTGGCTTATCTGTGACTGCGGGAAGAAAGGTATCTTCTTTGAGTACACTCTGCCTCATATAGAATAAAATTAGTGTTCTCTTGGCAAAGACAGAGGCAGAGACAGTGACTGGGGGAGGCTACCAACAGTTTTGGCCATGGCTTCTTCACCCAGAGTCCCTTGCTCATGGCTCTCTTACCAGAGTGAGTTAGATGCTTTTCAAGTACTCTGTTATTGTCTTTCCAAAGTACAGTTTAGTTGTTGATTTACTTACCTATTTCCTTACACTAACCTCCTCAAAGTTGGGGACTGTTTTATACATCACAATTCCTTGGAGGACCTAAGACTTGAGACCTAGCTAAGGCCTAAGGCCTAGTGCATAGCAGGTGCTCAATAAAAATAAATCCATAAAAAGCATTGATTGAATGATTGTATCATTGAACTAATTAATTAGTAAATTGTCCAGGACACTTTCCACATAGTCTAGAATTGTAGTGCATTAATGCTAGTAATTTGACCCAATTGATATATGGCCGATTTGTGCTATTTGCTCCATGCAATTTCTATTGTCTTACTGTTTTTATGACTCAGCCCTGTGATTTGTTACCCACTGCAGCAGCAACCAAAGGACCATGTTCTTTTTTAAATAGAGTCAATGTTTTCTGGTCCTTCAAGCGGCCATCCTGGGGTTATTGAGACATCTTTTTTTTCTCTTGGTCCATCAGTGCTCTGCCAAGCCAGCCTGGATCAACATCATCTACCATCCTCCCATCTTTAGGGTAGAACTTCAAAGGCAGGGTTTCTTTTCCTAGGTCAAGTTGACCTGTAACTTCCATCTTCCTCATACTAACTCTCAGTTTGTAGAACTGCATAAGCTCTGCAAAGTGGTCACAAGCTTCTCATCCAGTCAGTGCCTTAACAAATATTTATTGAGGGAATTAATGAATGGATCATTTGACTGACTTGTGTGTAATCTGCAAAAACAGGCATAAGCAGACAAGAGTTCTCATTTAAAAGGTATGTGCCTCAGCTAAAACACCTTTTAAAATAACCAAACCAGCAGCTTTTATCAATGTTGGCATTCTTTCCTCAAACTAATTATCTGCTTATATAACTGACCTTATTAAGGGCTGTTGCCACCTTCTTAAGTTATCTTTGGACACCAAAATCAAACCCAAAGACAATTTATGATCTTGCCAGTTTCAAAGACTGCCATTTTGATGTGACCAGAATTCCCTATTGAATTCAGAAATCCAATGCAAATCTTTGTTGGAAAAGACGAATGTAAATTGAATCAATAAACGAATAATAAATAAAACAGTCGATGATTAACTTAGTCATGAAAATAAAAATAGAAGTGTCAACTGAAGCACCCTCTGCTAATTTTCTATTATAAGATAAACATTAGCTGGTTGATGAAAATTTGTTTTTGACATTTATACAGAAGATGGCTCCTTAGCAAACCAAAGCACTACAGAATACTGTCATGGCAATATCCCGTGTGACAATGAGGACTGTCCCATGGCAGAAATCATAGTCAGGTTCCTCGAGAATCCCCTCAGCACAGAAGAAACATCAAATAGAATGTTCTATTAGAAATTAAGGTCTGTGAAAACAAAGTCATAGAATCGTGCCCCAGACAGCCAGACAGGAATACCTCTTGATGCAGCTCCCCCAAGATGTAAACCAATCCATGAAACAAGGGAACAGAACTGCCAGCAAGCATTGCCCACCACTACGAACCAAAGGCCAATCTTGGCTCACCCAGTCATAAACTCCTAGAGGACAGAAACAGCTAGATGATGATATTATTTGTAAATAATAAGGCTTGAGCTGACTCTGAAATGCACGTTCATAAAATTGCTGAGTGAAGATGAGCTTTAGAACATAGTTAATCCAAATTCCTCTTCTAACTGAAGAAAAAACCAAGTTTTAACGAGGGAAAGGGACATGGCCAATCTCATGTGGCCCTCTCTGGGGAAGTTAAGACTGGACCCCTGGGCCCCTGACTCCTACCCAGGGCTCTTCCCACTTTATACCATAAAGTCCCTACCACATTGCCCTGCCTGCGGCTGGCTTTCAATACAACTTGATGAATAAATCATGTCAATCTTCATTATGTATGAGCATGGTCAGATCCCGGTTATGTGGGACCTATAATTCAGGGGGAGGGCCTTCTTTAAGAAAAAGGATGCAGACTGAGCGCAGTGGCTCATGCCTGTAATCCCAGCACTCTGGGAGGCTGAGGCGGGTGGATCACTTCAGGTCAGGAGTTCAAGACCGGCCTGGCCAACATGGTGAAACCCGTCTCTACTACAAATACAAAACTTAGCCAGGCATGGTGGCACGCACCTGCTGAGGTGGGAGGCTGAGGTGGGAGAATTGCTTGAACCTGGGAGACAGAAGTTGCAGTGAGCAGAGATCATGCCACTGCAGTCTAGCCTGGGTGGCAGAGTGAGACCCTGTCTCAAAATAAAGTAAATAAATAAATAAAATAAAAGTAGGTAGAAAAGTGAATATTTATTTAGACTGTGAGAAGAAAGCATAACAAATTAGAAATATAACAAAGTTGACTATTAAGTATCACAAAATCCAGAAACCTAATATTTCTATTGAATAACTGCTGATATGCTTCTACAATGCTTCCTTCTTTCAGTTCTTGGCTTCATACTATGATTTTCACTCTTCATATCAGAAAAACTGTATAATCTTTTCTGGAGAGAAAACAGTTCAGTCTTCTAGCAAAAAAAAAAAGGTTGTTTTGTATTATTAATCGCACAGAAAAGTTACTTTCTACTTCACAATTTGTTATTGATTATCTTACATAAATTTTTTGGGTGGTTATCAAATTTGGGGAAACTTGTATCTGGTTGCTTTTTTAATCAGCTGTAGGATTTCAGGGCATTTCTTGGCTAATTTTAAGAGTTTTTAGAATTCATGACACACATTCACTAGAGAAAATGTACTTTAAAAGTCCACTATATTATAATGTGCTACATAATTTGTACAACAAATTACTCTTACGATACACAATGATTCAAAGATGAGTACGTGTAGGAGTTTTGTTCAGTAGAACATTTGTTTTTTCAGGCTGTTTCTTGCATGCTGTTTCATCTCGAACCACCAGATTTCATCAGGACAAGATACATTAGATTCACAAAACTATAATGTGATATGCATGCAAAAATATGCAACTTTACATTTTGAATGGAGTCACTGCTTAAAGTACTGTCACAGGTTGGTATCCTACAAATACAAGAATTCAGATAAATTCTATCTTATGAGACTCCCATTATAATAGGAAAAACTGTAAGATGTATGATCAGCGCACACACTACATTACTAAAGTTTATTTATTTATTTTTTTTTTTTTTTGAGGAAACAGAGTCTTGCTCTGTCTCCCAGACTAGAGTGCAGTGGCACAATCATAGCTCACTGCAGCCTCAACCTTCTGGGCTCAAGCAATCCTCCCACCTCGGCCTCCCAAGTAGCTGGGACTACATGCATGTACCACCCTTGGTTGGCTAATTAAAAAATATATATTTTTTTGTAGAAATGGGGTCTTGCTATGTTGCCCAGGCTGGTCTAAAACCCCTGGCCTCAAGCAATCCTCCCACCTCAGCCTCTCAAAGTGCTGGGATTATAGATGTGAGTCACAGTACCTGGCCTAAAGTATATTTCTAACAGAAGAGAACTTCATTTCGACTAAGAGTTGATGCGCATCTAGTTTCCTAATTATAATTTTACACATCTGGTAATAAAAGAAATTTTCACAGGTTAGTGCGAATACACTTCAAACCTTGTTTCTCCCCCGCTATTTTGGGACTAGGCACTGAAGGACACAAGCACACTATGGTCATACTGTGGTGTGGTCTCCAGCCTTGCACTGTTGTGTCACTTCACCCAGTGAGTGAGCACAGTGAGTGAGAGAAGGATTTCAGAAAGTCATCTGCACCGGAGAGCCAGCAGTAATGGAACAATACATGCAAGTAACTGCAAACTATGTAAATATATCCCACTAAGTTAAATTAAATGTCTCTCCAGCTTTACATTACCTTGGCAGGATCCCAGAAAGTTCATAGTCATGTTAGTCACCTGACCCAAGAGAAAGACAGTGCTCTTAATTGATCATGGTTAAAATACCACTTTGCAAATTTTACAAAAATGTATCATCATGTGGACATAAAGCTGGAAACCCACCCATGTCCTTGGAATGGGCTTCCTCAGTGAGGGGCCCTGAAGCTTTTGCTTCATGAGGTTTGTGGTCATTCTTTTCCTATGTAATGGCCTTTCTATGACTGCTGCGCAAAGACAGGAAAACAATCAGCAGTATCATATTTAAATGTGAAGGACAAGGATTGAGCATATGGACTGCTGGAACATGTATTCCTTTTGTAGGGCTGCCATTACAAAGTACCATGAACTAACTGGCTTAAGGCAATGGCAACTGGTTGGCTCTTAGCTCTGGAGGCTAGAAGTCTGAAATCAAGGTGTTGGCAGAGCCATGTTCTCTCCGAAGGCTCTAGGGAAGAATGCTTCCTTGCCTCTTCCACCTTCTGGTGGTTCCTAACAATCCCTGGCATTCCTTGTCTTGTAGATGCAATTCCTTGTCTCCAATCTTTGCCTCCATCATTACATGGTCCTGTCTGAGTGAGTCTGTGTCCCTTCTCCTCTTCCCATAAGGACACTAGTAATACTGGATTGGGGGCCCACTCTAATCCAATATGACCTCATCTTAACTAATTACATCTACAAAAACTCTATTTTCAAATAAGGTGACATTCTGAGATACTGGAGTTAGGACATCAACATATCTTTTTTGAGTGACACAATTCATCTCATAACAGAAAGGAAACAATGCTGTCTTCACTATGTATTGGTTATCTGTATGATCCTAAGCAGCTCAAATTTGTCATTCAACAAACATCAGTTAGCACTAAGTGTGTGCTGGGGATACTGAGAAGAGTATGATCAGGCAGCCACTCTTAGAGAGCTCCCAGTCTGGGAGAGAGATAAGGAAACTAGCAGTGCAATGCAGAGTGGTGGTTGCTAAACTGGAGGCATGTGCACACAGTGAGATAGGCCCACTAAGGACAGAGCCTGAGAGCATGAGGGTTTGAGGGGCTCTACAAAACGTGGCCTGTTTGAACAGAGTCTTTAAGAATGACTAGATGCTCACCAAATAGACAATGGAAGGCAGAAAATTCCAAGTGGGAGTAATAATGCATGAAAAGGCTTGGATTAATGGAAAATTGTTCATTTGAGGAAATTTTGTGTTATTTTGTGCGACTGGAAGGAAAGTGTCCTTTGACATGGCAGATTAGGCCAGAAAAATAGGGGGACTCAGGTGATGAAGACACAGGAAAGTGTGTGGAGGGTGTGTGTGTGTGTGTGTGTGTGAGAGAGAGAGAGTGTGTGTGTGTGAGACAGAGAGAGAGAGAGTGTGTGTGTGTGTGTATCCACATGTGAGCCAGGGGTAGAGCCAACCATGGTTAGAAGTCTGGTCTTTATCTAATAAGGGGGATGGGTACCAAAAGGAAAATAACTTGACTGGGTTTGCATTTCAGAAAGATTGCTGGGGCATCAGCGTGAAAGGTGGATGAGAAGGAAAAGGAGAGCAAAATGGTCTCTCTCTCTGACACCCTCGTTTGGCTAGGCAGGTTCACACAGGCTATCTTCTTTAACCTCTTCAACCACCCTTTCAGATACACTTGAAAGGTGTGGGAACTGGGGCACGCAGCAGAGGAAAATACCCACAGTTCATAATCAGCCAGCTATTGGCTACTCGGTCCATTGGCTCAAGGCATGGCAGTAGTCCATGGAAGAGGCCATCGGAGCCTGACCTAAGGCAAGAAGCAGCGTGATAAGGAGGAGAAGATGGAGGCAAAGAATGCTCAGACTAAATTCCCATCCATGGAGGCATGGAGGGCAAGACAGATGGCCTCACTGGGCCTGTTTCTTCATCTGTCATGTGGGGAAAACAGGCCTTACTAATATTCCCACAGCCTCAGGTCGAGTGATGACCACTATAACAGAACACCTTGAGGAGATGAAACGCACAGGGTCACCTGAGCATTGCCACAGAGGAGAGCTTTGTTTTTGTCACTTTGGCCTCTTTTTCTGGAGTATTCACACTGTAATAAAGCTAAAATCATCCCAGGGATTATCCAGGGAAAAGGAAAATTTCAGGGAGGGAGAATAAGGGCAGGAATTGATCTAGTGCCTCAGACACAGGAAAGTGTGTGGAGGGTGTGTGTGTGTGTGAGAGAGAGAGTGTATATGTGTGTGTGAGAGTGTGAGAGAGTGTGTGTGTGAGAGTGTGTGTGTGTGAGAGAGAGAGAGAGAGAGTGTGTGTGTGTGTGTGTGTGTGTGTGTGTATCCACATGTGAGCCAGGGGTAGAGCCAAGGCTTCTTCTTTGTCTTTTTCTTGTGTTTTTATTTTCCCCTGCCTTTCTCTCTCTTTCTTTCCTTGTCTTTTCCTTGTCTTCATTTTCTTTTCCTCTCTTCTCTTTTCCTTTCTTGGATCTATTCCTTTCTGGGGTATCTCTAAAAGACCCCGAACCCCCTGCAAAAAACAAACACAATTATTCCATGAAATCTCTTATTTGGTTGAGATATTGCTCTTCAAATTTATCCCACCACCTTAAAAATAACTACAATGCTTGCTTTAACTTTGGTAGTCTTATCTCTGCCACTTTGATGTCATTTAGCTTATATAAGGGCAAGATGGCAGAGGTGGTGTTTTGTTTTCTTTTGTTTTGTTTTGTTGTTAAATTCTTCCCTACTTCTATTTCCTAGCTCTCTCTATATTTGGAGTTTAAGTGTAGTGGTGGCTGATTTTGAGTTCCTTTTTAAATCTAATCCAGTATAAATATTAACCTGCTTAATATTTAGACATTTATAGGCTCACTCAGCTTATGTTTGGTACTTATTTTTTGTTTGTTTTGTTTTTATGGAGACAGAGTCTCTCTCTGCCACCTACATTGGAGTGCAGTGGTGTAATCACAACTCACTGCAGCCTCAACCTCCTGGGCTCAAGCAATCCTCCCAACTCAGTCTCATGAGTAGCTGGGCCTACAGGTGTGCCCACTCATGCTTGGCTAATTTTTAAATTTTTTTATAGAGATGAAGTCTTGCTATGTTGCCCAGGCTGGTTTTGAACTCCTAGCCTTGAGACATCCTCCCACCTTAGCTTCCCAAAGTGCTGGGATTACAGGCGTGATCCCACAGATCATGTTTGGTATTTTAAAGTAAAAACAAATGTGAGTTGGAGGACTAAAGAAATTGTTAGCATAAATTTATCTTTATGAGATCATTTGTATTACTTGTGATTATCTTCCCAGACACCAGAGCTTGAGCATGAAAAGTCAGGCTCCCCAGGCCTCATAGGATAGAGAAGCCCTCAGGGAGTGCAGTGGGTCTTCCCCTGACCCCACCTCCAGAAATGCCATGCAGGTGAATTGCTTAACATATATACTATATTAATTTTATATTCTCATAGGCACATCATTGCATGCATCAGATTAACTCTATTAAAAGGCTTATTAAATTGTGATAATAAATTAACTTCACAAATCCTCAATCGTTTATATTTGTTGCTTATTGATACGTTTACTCATACATGTTAAGGATTGAGGAACTTTATGTTCCACCCTACCTTTTCATTCATGCATGCATCCATCAGTCATTCTTCATTTTACAAATGTGTATTAAGAAACTACTATGTGCTATGCTATGAGGATAAAACCATACCATAAAATGATAAAACAAGTGAATTTAGTGAAAAATTCATTGAGATGTTTATGCCCTATATAAATGTGTTATGTATAACTGTGTTTTCTCTTTTATGCGCAAAGATGATCCCTACAGCCTGCCATCAGCAGGACTTGTACCTTAGCTACTTTCTGGTCATGGCATGGGGTGCCCTAAACCATCCCTTCCATACCCCAGGCCCTGTGTGATCCTAGATATGTGCAATGCTTGTATTCTGAGACTCCATTCACTCATACACTCCAGACCTGGGTCTCTACATACACGGGTGCTGAAGATTTTCAAATCATTTAAAAGTTAGGGATGTCTGCTTTTATCCTACAAAAAGTACCTAAACTACCTTTCCTTTAACCACAATGGTCACATTGGTTGTGTGTGCTAAAACCATTGATTTTCCAAATATAGTGCCTGCATTTAGCAAAGAGAGTAAATTCCCCTTAGTTGCCACAAAGCCAAACAATACTGGGAGAAGCCTGCCTATTGAGGTGGAGCTGATGCTGGGGCAGAGGGATGAGCTCTGGCCGCAAGTTCATTGTGGCAGGCAGACTTTCGGCATGTGAGGGACTAAGCCCAGACAACAGGGGAGCCAGCATGCTGATGCATGACCAAAATACAGGGAAAGAGAGTGTAGGAACAGACAATACTCAGAAACACACGGGCAGGCAGCAGGGCCAAGCAAAGTCTGTCGGCAGACACAGAGACCAGGCTAAGCTGCTGGGGCAGGGGGCAGGCATCAGATGAGTGCAAAAGAAGCTTCCCTCAGGAAGACAGAAGAGGGCAATGATAGAGTTGACTCCAGAGGCAGACAGAGGTAGGTGTGAATCCTGATCCAGCTACTGTGTAACTATGGAGGAAACCACTGGTAGATTTCTTTTTTTTTTTTTTAATTATACTTTAAGTTCTAGGGTACATGTGCACAATGTGCAGCTTTGTTACATATGTATACATGTGCCATGTTGGTTTGCTGCACCCATTAACTCCTCATTTACATTAGGTATTTCTCCTAATGCTATCCCTCTCCCTGCCCCCGACCTCATGACAGGCCCCCGTGGGTGATGTTCCCTGTCCTGTGTCCAAGTGTTTTCATTGTTCAATTCCAACCTATGAGTGAGAACATGTGGTGTTTGGTTTTCTGTCCTTGTGATAGTTGCTCAGAATGGTTTCTAGCTTCATCCATGTCCCTGCAAAGGACATGAACTCATCCCTTTTTATGGCTACATAGTATTCCATGGTATATATGTACCACATTTTCTTAATCCAGACTATCATTGATGGACATTTGGGTTGGTTCCAAGTTTTTGCTATTGTTAATAGTGCTGCAGTAAACATATGTGTGCATGTGTCTTTATAGTAGCATGATTCATAATCCTTTGGTTATATACCTAGTAATGGGATGGCTGGGTTAAATGGTATTTCTAGTTCTAGATCCTTGAGGAATCGCCACACTGACTTCCACAATGGTTGAACTAGTTTATACTCCCACCAACAGTGTAAAAGTATTCCTATTTCTCCACAGCCTCTCCAGCATCTGTTGTTTCCTGACTTTTTACTGACTGCCATTCTAACTGGTATGAGACGGTGTCTCGTTGTTTTGATTTGCATTTCTCTGATGACCAGTGATGATGAGCATTTTTTCATGTGTCTGTTGGCTGCATAAATGTCATCTTTTGAAAAGTGTCTGTTCATATCTTTTGCCCACTTTTTGATGGGGTTGTTTGTTTTTTTTCTTGTAAATTTGTTTAAGTTCTTTGTAGATTCTGGATATTAGCCCTTTGTCAGATGGATAGATTGTGAAAATTTTCTCCCATTCTGTAGGTTGCCTGTTCACTCTGATGGTAGTTTCTTTTGCTGTGTAGAAGCTCTTTAGTTTAATTAGATCCCATTTGTCTATTTTGGCTTTTGTTGCTATTGCTTTTGGTGTTTTAGTCATGAAGTCCTTGCCCATGCCAATGTCCTAAATGGTATTGCCTAGGTTTTCTTCTAGGGTTTTTTACGGTTGTAGGTCTAATGTTTAAATCTTTAATCCATCTTGAATTAATTTTTGTATAAGGTGTAAGGAAGGGATCCAGTTTCAGCTTTCTACATATGGCTAGCCAGTTTTCCCAGCACCATTTATTAAATAGGGAATCCTTTCCTCATTTCTTGTTTTTGTCAGGTTTGTCAAAGATCAGATGGTTGTAGATGTGTGGTGTTATTTCTGAGGGCTCTATTCTGTTCCATGGGTCTATTTCTCTGTTTTGGTACCAGTACCATGCTGTTTTGGTTACTGTAGCCTGGTAGTATAGTTTGAAGTCAGCGTGATGCCTCCCTACTGGCAGATTTCACACCTGAATCCTCTTCTTCGTGAACACACATCCCTTGTTGTTAGTTGTGGCAACTAACTAGACATGACTGCATTTTAGCCAATGCATGGTGAGTGGAAGCAATCGGGACTGGTCCTCCACTCAATTCTCCATGCTGCTGCACCATTGGGTTGACCTTGGAGTTGAGAGGTAAAACTATAAGATAGATGGGGCTTGGCCTCTGAATAATCACTGCTTGGAGGAAAGCCCTGGCCACTCAGAAACATCTGCTCTGGATTTCAGGTGAACAATAAATGCATTTCTATTGTGTTGAAACTGAGATTTAGGGGGTTACTGTTACTGTAGCGACTATTACCTTAACTCATACAATAACTTAGACAAATTACATAACCTTGCTAAAGCTCATCTGAAAATTTAGAGGAATATTAATCAAATGATTTCCTATCACTCTTCAGCAACCTGGGATTCTCTTTCCTAGATAGTTTCCTGTTCCATGATATCGCTTCACAGAGGCTCTGCTTTTATATTGCTGATACTTGAGAAAGGAATTCCTTGGCCATTCTCTCTAAAACACTACTCTTCTCTTGCAGCATCCACCATCATTTTTCTTCTAAATTTATCTTCCCCTCAATTTTATTGACATATAATTGGAATACAGTAAAATGTACATATTCAAACCATGAATTTAATTAGTTTTTCCATGTGTGCATACCTTGCCCTGATTTAATTTTCTTCTTAGCATTTATTTCTACCGATTTATTTGTTTGTTTGTTTATAACCTGTCTTTTCCATTAGAATATGTTTCATTAGAATGTAAATACCATACCTTTTGGGCAGCATGGGTGACTTTATGTGGGAGCTATAGTCCTAGGCTGGCTCTCTTCATGGTTTTCCTACATCTAATTCATCCAAGAGCAAAAAAAGCCAAATAGGTTCTCTCCTGCCTGCTAATCCTAGGCAGTTGGATACAGCTGCATGGAGCACCGAGTTGAGGGGAATTCTAAGATTGCATTTATCTGGGCTTAGCAGAAATGAGAATGGTGATCCATTAATGATGCCTACCTCGAGTAGGAAAGTAGGAAGTGTCACAGGCATATTTGCAATTATTTTCCTAGAAACTATTGTGGGGCTGACCCTGCTGGTGGGGGTCAAATCATCTCAGCTGTGGGAGGAAGTGAGCCACAGAGGCTGGGAAAAGGCAGGACCTGACAGTAACATTGCTGAAATGCCATTTACCGCCTGCACTGGCTGTGATTACGCAAAGGCTGGCAGTTGTGTGATTAAATACACTGAGATGAATAGTCTGAATGGGCTTTGGGCTCCTGGCTTTTTTCCTGATGATTTTCAATGGGTAATAATAACATGGTGATAACTTCCACATAGGAAGAGGACACAAGGGCACAAGAGGACTTTCATGCCCACCTTAACCAGGCTTGTGCTTACCCTGACAATGGTTGCATCTCACTAAATTGGTACTTATGCAAGCCCCCTTTTCATTCCAGCAGCATGATTTCTTTCCATGGGATGCCTTAAAGCAAAGCACCTAGAGCCTGATGAAGCCTCGTCTGACAGTAATTGAAGATACAGACTAAACCCTCAAGGTTTGAAGCTCGCCACATGTAATTCAGCCTTGTTCCAGCAAGCCATAAATCTGAGATGTCTCCTTTTATCATAAAGTGTCTCTTGCAAAATCATTTTCTGTTTGTCCAAGACCAAGCTTCAAGAGATCCACTTTACTGCAGCCAGATCTAAAGCCTGGATGCTGCCTAATATTCTCTAAAGCCTTGGAATTTGAATAGCTCAGAGGCTGAAACACAATATACATTAAGTGCTTAACTTCTTCAGGTATCCCCTCAAAAGCCACTGAATCTCGCTGCTGTGCAAGTCTCTCCTTAGTAGAAAGTCAGGAACCCAGTGGTCTTTCCTACCAGTCTTCAGAGTCACTTGTAATTGTAAGGAACATGGCTGTGCTTTCGTCAAGGATAGGCCGAGGTAAACATCCAAAGTGACTCAGCGAGTTTAGAGTGCAGGCATATAACTCCACTTGTTATCACAGCCATGTAGCCATAACATGGGAAGGCTTATCATTTGGCTCTAAGCCACTATTGTCTGTAAAATATATAATTGCCCTGCTGACACTGTACAGGTGCGCTCATGCCCAGAGAGAGACAGAGTTAAGCTACTGACCCTGAAGGCGAGGGAGAGCTGGCCGTACAGCTGTGCATGGGAGTGGCTGGCTCAAGCAGCCAAGACAGAGCAGACAGTGTAAGACAGCTGCTGATAAGAGAGCTGCTGAATGAAGCTGTATTTCAGCTACCTACGGCCCCCCATCGAGTGTTCTTTCAGCTATCTGCCATTCGTCCCCCCACTCCCTTCAGACCTCAGCATGGGCTGGAACCTGAACTTGAACCTAACAGCAACCCTTTAATGTATGCAGTGGCAATGGTTAGGGATTCTATCACCCATCATTGCCAGTATGACACCCACACCCAAGCTAGCGTGTATGTGTGTGTATTCATATCCGTGCTCATTTTTAAGTCTTTTAATTCTTTCAATACACTTTTATTATATTTTCCACCTAATTTTTTGTATTTTTAAAATGTTTTACTAGGTACCTCTTATTTTTGAACACTATTTTGATATTTTACTTCATTATTAAAATGATTGCTGGTATATAAAAATGTATTGTTTTGCTGTTATTCTTGTTTTTATTGGTTGTTTATCCAATCATTTTGCTAAACTTTCTTATTAATCTTAATAATTTGTCTGTAGATTCTTTTAGATTTCCTATATAGAAAATTTTATATTCTGTTACTAATGACTCTTAGGATGCTTCCTTTTCAATCTTCCCTTACTGAACAGGTCAGCATCACTGAAATAGAAGTACATGAAATAGAAGTAGAGATGATAAGCACTTTAGTCTTATTCTGATATTAAAGAAAATATTTTCAATAGTTTTCCTTTTTTTATTTTATTTTATTTATTTTATTTTTTTTGAGACAGAGTCTCCCACTGTCACCCAGGCTGGGGTGTAGCGGCACGATCTCAGCTAACTGCAACCTCTCCATCCCAGTTCAAGCAATTTTTGTGTCTCCGCCTCCTGAGTAGCTGGGATTATAGGCATGTGCCATCACGCCCAGCTAATTTTTTGTAGAGATGGGGTTTCACCATGTTGGCGAGGCCAGTCTCAAACTCCTAACCTCAGGTAATCCACTACCTTGGCCTCCCAAAGTGCTGGGATTACAGGCATGAGCCACCACACCCAGTCAATAGTTCTCCATTTCTTATCATGTTTGCTGTTGGGATACTTTAGCCTGATTTTTGAGGTTAATAAAGTTTCTTCCTATATCTAGTTGCTCAGTGTTTATATTGTGAATATATGGTGAATTTTAGCAATACATTTTTCCATTACTACTGAGATGACTTTGTAGTTTTCCCCTTTAATTTATTAATTGACTTTCTAATGTTAAACTAATCTTAAAAGTCTTTGGGATAAATCCAACTTATCCATGGGGTATTATTCTTTTCATGCATTGCTCAATCCAGCTTGCTGATATTTTGTGTAGAATGATTGCCTCTATGTTCGTAAATGCCACTGAACTGTCATTTGTATTTTTTGTACTGTCTTTGTCAAGTTTTGGTATTAAGAGTATGCTAGACTCATATATTCTACAAGAAATTTTATAAAATTGAGATTATTTGTTCATTGAATGTTTAATAGCGTTTAACAGTAAAATTGTCTGGGCCTGATTATTTTTGGTGGGAATACTTCATAGTACTCATTGAGTATCTTTATTGATTATAAAATTATTCATAGTTTCTATTTTTTCCTGAATCAGTTTGTTGAGTTATATTTTCCTAGAATTTGTCAGTTTCATCTAAATTTTTAAATTGATTGGCATTATTCAAAAGACCTTATTTCCATCTTAATAATTGCAGCATCTGTAATCATATCTTTACATTTATAATATTAATTTGTACCTCCTATCTCTGCCATTAAGTTTTCAGTGTGTCAATTTTATTAGTCTTTTAAAAACACTTTGGCTTTGCTGATCTTTATTACATGTTCATTTTCTGCTTCTATCTTTGTTATTTAATTCCTTCTACTTCCTTTGGGTTTATTTTGCTATTCTTTTTCTAACTTCTTAAGAGGAATACCTAGTTCATTAATTTTCTTCCACGATTCTTGTCTGACTATGCCTTAGACTATAAATTTTTCCCCAAATATAGCTTCAGTGAAAACCTAAAACTTTTCATAAGTAATATTTTCCATTCTATTTCATTCTAAATAGGCTGTAATTCTCCTTGTTATTTCTCCTTTGGCCTTGGAATGTTTAGAATTATGTCTTCAGGTGTCTAAATAAATAAAATTTTTGTCATATTTTTCTTTTTTATTTTTAGCTTAATTATACTATGATTAGAGAATATGACCTATGTGATTAAAATCTTTTAAATGTGTTGAGCCTTGCCTTGTGGACTCATATGTTGTTGATTTTCATAAATGTTTCTTGTGTGCCTCTGAAGTGTGGGTTTCCTGAAACTGATTGCAGTATTTCATTTATGGAACTGATCTATGATTATATGAAACTTGTTAATTGTGTTATGCAAATTTTATCTATCCTTAGTGGTTATTTTCTTAGCCTGCTTGTCTTCTTACTAAGGAGATATATTAAAATCTCAGCTGGGCACAGTGGCTCACACCCGTAATCCCAGAACTTTGGGAGGCTGAGGTGGAGGATAGCTTAAGGCCAGGAGTTTGAGACCAACCTGGGATACATAACAAAACCCTACCCCTACAAAAAATTTTAAAAGATAAAAAAAAAAAAACCTCTCACTGTGATGCTGGATTTGCCTATTTTTCATTGAAGTTCTGTAAATTTTTACTTTATCTATTTCGAGGCAGCATTTTTAAGGTTTGTATAAACTTTATTATTATATCTTTCTATTGAACTTAACCATCTCGAAATGAAGATATTCCTCCACTAGAAATATTTTTCCCTTATGGTTTATTTTGATATTAATAAAGTGAAACCAGTTATCTCCTAATTAGCATTTGCTCATTGTTCCTTTTGCCTAAGCAGTAAATGAATAAACTACATTTTGTTTCCTATTTGATATGGTCATATTTGCCTTTTCATTGGAATGTTTAGTTCATTCTCATGGATTATAACTACTGATATATTTGGATTTATTTCTGGCCATTTTAACTCTATCTGCCATAACTCTTAACCTCTCTTTTATCTTTTCCATCTCTTTTTCTGTTTCTACATTCTGAATAATTTCTTCTCTTATCTTCCAGTTGACTAATTCTGCTTAGCGGTAACTAATAAATTGTTAAAAACAATACATATGTTAATTCAATTATAATACTTATAATTTTATGCAGTTCTGTTTTATTCTATTTCAGATTTGCTTGCCTGATCTTTTTTTGTTATTGTTGTTTTAGTGACATCTTTTTTTTTTAATTAGTGACTTTTTAATTTTTTATTATACTTTAAGTTCTGGGATACATGTGCAGAACGTGCAGGTTTGTTACATAGGTATACACATGCCATGGTGGTTTGCTGCACCCATCAACCTGTCATCTACATGAGGTATTTCTCCTAATGCTATTCCTCCCCTTGCTCCCCATCCCCTGACAGGCCCTGGTGTGTGATGTTCCCCTCCCTGTGCCCGTATGTTCTTATTGTTCAACTCCCACTTATGAGTGAGAACAGGAGGTGTTTGGTTTTCTGTTCCTGTGTTAGTTTGCTGAGAATGGTGGTTTCCAGCTTCATCCATGTCCTTGCAAAGGACATGAACTCCCTCTTTATGGCTGCATAGTATTCCATGGTGTATATGTGCCACATTTCCTTTATCCAGTCTGTCATTGATGGGCATTTGGGTTGCTTCCAAGTCTTTGCTATTGTGAATAGTGCTGCAATAAATAGTGCACACTGTGAATATGTGCATGTGTCTTTATAACAGAATGCTTTATAATCCTTTGGGTATATACCCAGTAATGGGATTCCTGGGTCAAATGGTATTTCTAGTTTTAGATCCTTGAGAAATCGCCATGCTGTCTTCCACAATGGTTGAACCAATGTACACTCCCACCAACAGTGGAAAAGACTTCCTATTTCTCTACATCGTCTCCAGCATCTGTGTTTTCCTGACTTTTTAATGATCATCATTCTAACTGGCATGAGATGGTATCTTCATGTAGTTTTGATTTCATTTCTCTAATGACCAGTGATGATGAGCTTTTTTCATGTGTCTGTTGGCCACATAAATGTCTTCTTTTGAGAAGTGTCTGTTCATATCCTTCGCCCACTTTTTGATGGGGTTGCTTGTTTTCTTTCTAGTAAATTTGTTTAAGTTCCTTGTAGATTCTGGATATTAGCCCTTCCTCAGATGGATAGATTGCAAAAATTTTCTCCCATTCTGTAGGTTGCCTGTTCACTCTGATGATAGTTTATTTTACTGTACAGAAGCTCTTTAGTTTAAGTAAATCCCATTTGTCAATTTTTGCTTTTGTTGCCATTGCTTTTGGTATTTTAGTTATGAAGTCTTGCCCACGTCTATGTCCTGAATGGTATTGCCTAGGTTTTCTTCTAGGGTTTTTATGGTTTTAGGTCTTACATTTAAATCTTTAATCCATCTTGAGTTAATTTTTGTATAAGGTGTAAGGAAGGAGTCCAGTTCCAGTTTCAGTTTTCTGCATATGGCTAGCCAGTTTTCCCAACACTATTTATTAAACACGGAATCCTTTCCCCATTGCTTGTTTTTGTCAGGTTTGTCAAAGATCAGACAGTTGTAGATGTGTCATGTTATTTCTGAGGCCTCTGTTCTGTTCCATTGGTCTATATATCTGTTTTGGGACCAGTAACATGCTGTTTTGGTTATTGTAGCCTTGTAGTATAGTTTGAAGTCAGGTAGCATGATGCTGCCAGCTTAGGATTCTCTTGGCTATACAGGCTCTTTTTTGGTTCCATATGAAATTTAAAGTAGCTTTTTCCAATTCTGTGAAGAAAGTCAATGACAGCTTGATGGGGATAGCATTGAATCTATACATGAGCATGGAATGTTTTTCCATTTGTCTGTGTCCTCTCTTATTCCCTGAGCAGTGCTTTGTAGTTCTCCTTGAAGAGGTCCTTCACATCCCTTGTAAATTATATTCCTAGGTATTTTATTCTCTTCATAGAAATTGTGAATGGGAGTTGATTAGGCTGTCTGTCTATTATTGGTGTATAGGAATGCTTGTGATTTTTGCATATTGATTTTGTATCCTGAGACTTTGCTGGAGTTGCTTATCAACTTAAGTAGTTTTGGGGCTGAGATGGTGGGGTTTTCTAAATATACAATCATGCCTTCTACACACAGAGATAATTTGACTTCCTCTCTTCCTATTCGAATACGCTTTATTTCTTTCTCTTGCCTGATTGCCCTGGTCAGAACTTCCAATACCATGTTGAATAGGAGTGGTGAGAGAGGGCATCCTTGTCTTGTGCCGGTTTTCAAAGGGAATGCTTCCAGCTTTTCCCCATTCAGTATGATATTGGCTGTGGGTTTGTCATAAATAGCTCTTATTTTTTTGAGATACGTTCCATCAATACCTCGTTTATTGAGTGTTTTTAGAATGAAGGGCTGTTGAATTTTGTTGAAGGCCTTTTCTGCATCTATTGAGATAATCATGTGGTTTTTGTCATTGGTTCTGTTTATATGATAGATTACATTTATTGATTTGCATATGTTGAACCAGCCTTGAATCCCAGGGATGAAGTCATCTTGATTGTGGTCGATAAACTTTTTAATGTGCTGCTGGATTCAGTTTGCCAGTATTTTATCAAGGATTTTCGCATCAATGTTCACCAGGGATATTGGCCTGAAATTTTCTTTCTTTTTTTATTTTATTGTGTCTCTGCCAGGTTTTGGTATCAGGATGATGCTGGCCTCATAAAATGAGTTAGGGAGGAGTCCCTCTTTTTCTATTGTTTGGAATAGTTTCAGAAAGAATGGTACCAGCTCCTCTTTGTACCTCTGGTAGAATTTGGCTGTGAATCCATCTGGCCCTGGGCTTTTTTTGGTTGGTAGGCTATTAATTACTGCCTCTATTTCAGAACTTGTTATCGGTCTATTCACAGATTCGACTTCTTCCTGGTTCAGTCTCGGGAGGGTGTATGTGTCCAGGAATTTATCAATTTCTTCTAGATTTTCTAGTTTATTTGCATAGAGGTGTTTATAGTATTCTCTGATGGTAGTTTGTATTTCTGTGGGATCAGTGGTGATCTCCCATTTATCATTTTTTATTGCATCTATTTGATTCTTCTCTCTTTTCTTCTTTATTAGTCGAGCTAGCAGTCTATCTATTTTGTTAATCTTTTCAAAAAGCCAGCTCCTGGATTCATTGATTTTTTGAAGGGTTTTTCATGTCTCTAACTCCTTTCGTTCTGCTCTGATCTTAGCTATGTCTTGCCTTCTGCTAGCTTTTGAATTTGTTTGCTCTTGCTTCTCTAATTCTATCAATTGTGATGTTAGGGTGTCAATTTTAGATCTTTCCTGCTTTCTCTTGTGGGCATTCAGTGCTATAAATTTCCCTCTAAATGCTGCTTTAGCTATGTCCCAGAGATTCTGGTACATTGTGTCTTTGTTGTCATTGGTTGAAAAGAACTTATTTATTTCTGCCTTAATTTCGTTTTGTACCCTGTAGTCATTCAGGAGCAGGTTGTTCAGTTTTTATGTAGTTGTGCAGTTTTGAATGAGTTTCTTAATCCTGAGTTCTAATTTGATTGCACTGTGGTCTCAGAGACTGTTATGATTTCTGTTCTTTTGCATGTGCTAAGGAGTGTTTTACTTCCAATTATGTGGTCAATTTTAGAATAAATTCGAAGTGGTGCTGAGAGGAATGTATATTCTGTTGATTTGGGCAGGAAAGTTCTATAGATGTCTATTAGATCCTCTTGGTTCAGAGCTGAGTTCAAGTCCTGAATATACTTGTTAATTTTCTGTCTCATTGATCTGTCTAATATTGACAGTGGGGTGTTAAAGTCTCCCACTATTATTGTGCAGGACTCTAAGTCTCTTTGTAGTTCTCTAAGAATGTGGTTTATGAACCTGGGTGCTCCTGTATTAGGTCTGTAAATATTTAGGATAGTTAGCTCTTCTTGTTGAATTGATCCCTTTACCATTATGTAATGCCTTTCTTTGTCTTTTTTGATCTTTGTTGCTTTAAAGTCTGTTTTATCAGAGACTAAGATTGCAACTCCTGCTTTTTTTGGCTTTCCATTTGCTTGGTAAATATTTCTCCATCACTTTATTTTGAGCCTATGTGTGTCTTTGCATGTGAGATGGGTCTCTTGAATACAGCACACCAATGGGTCTTGACTGTTTATCCAATTTGCCAGTCTGTCTTTATATTGGGGCATTTAGCCTGTTTACATTTAAGGTTAAAATTGTTATGTGTGAATTTGATCCTGTCATTATGATGCTAGCTGGTTATTTTGCCCATTAGTTGATGCAGTTTCTTCATAGTGTCAATGGTCTTTACATTTTGGTATGTTTTTGCAGTGGCTGGTACCAGTTTTTCCTTTCCATATTTAGTGCTTCCTTCAGGAGCTCTTGTAAGGCAGGCCTGGTGGTGACAAAATCTCTCAGCATTTGCTTGTCTGTAAAGGATTTTATTTCTCCTTCACTTCTGAAACTTAGTTTCATTGGATATGAAATTCTGGGTTGAAAATTCTTTTCTTTAAGAATGTTGAATATTGGCCCCCACTCTCTTCTGGCTTGCAGGGTTTCTGCATTGAGATCCACTGTTAGTCTGATGGGCTTCCCTTTGTGGGTATCCAGACCTTTCTCTCTGGCTGCCCTTAACATTTTTTCCTTCATTTCAACTTTGGTGAATCTGACCGTTATGTGTCTTGAGGTTGCTCTTCTCGAGGAGTATCTTTGTGGTGTTCTCCATATTTCCTGAATTTGAATGTCAGCCTGTCATGCTAGGTTGGGGAAGTTCTCTTGGATAATATCCTGAAGTGTGTTTTCCAACTTGGTTCCATTCTCCCCATCACTTTCAGGTACACCAATCAAATGTAGGTTTTCTCTTTTCACACAGTCCCATATTTCTTGGAGGCTTTGTTCATTCCTTTTCATTCTTTTCTCTTTAATCTTGTCTTCGTGCTTTGTTTCATTAAGTTGATCTTCAATCTCTTATATCCTTTCTTCCACTTGATCAATTCAGCTACTGATACTTGTGTATGCTTCACAAAGTTCTCATGCTGTGTTTTTCAGCTCCATCAGGTCATTTATGTTCTTCTCTAAACTGGTTATTCTAGTTAGCACTTTCTGTAACCTTTTTTCAAGGTTCTTAGCTTCCTTGCATTGGGTTAGAACATGCTCCTTTAGCTTGGAGGAGTTTGTTATTACCCACATTCTGAAGCCTACTTCTGTCAATTTGTCAAACTCATTTTCTGTCCTGTTTTGTTTCCTTGCTAGCGAAGAGTTGTGATTCTTCGGAGGGAAGAGGCTTTCTGGTTTTTGGAATTTTCAGCCTTTTTGCTCTGGTTTTTCCTCATCTTCATGGATTTATATACCTTTGGTCTTTGATGTTGGTGACCTTCGGATGGGGTCTTTGTGCGGTCATCCTTTTTGTTGATGTTGATGCTGTCGCTTTCTGTTAGTTTTCCTTCTAACAGTCAGGCCCCCCTTCTGCAGGTCTGCTGGAGTTTGCTGGAGGTCACTCCACACCCTGTTTACCTGGGTATCACCAGCAGAGGCTGCAGAACATCAAATATTGCTGCCTGCTCCTTCCTCTGGAAGTGCCCCAGAGGGGCACTTGCCAGATGCCAGCAGGAGCTCTCCTGTATGAGGTGTCTGTCGACCCCTGCTGGGAGGTGTCTCCCGATCAGGAGACTCAGGGGTCAGGGACCCACTTGAGGAGGCAGTCTGTCCCTTAGGAGAGCTCAAGCGCTGTGCTGGGAGATCCACTGCTCTCTTTAGAGTCAGCAGGCAGGAATATTTAAGTCTGCTGAAGCTGCACCCAGAGCCGCCCCTTCCCCTGGGTGCTCTGTCCCAGGGAGAGAAGAGTTTTATCTATAAGCCCCTGACTGGGGCTGCTGCCTTTCTTTCAGAGATGCCCTGCCCAGAGAGAAGGAATCTAGAGAGGCAGTCTGGCTACAGTGGCTTTGCTGAGCAGTGGTGGGCTCCACGTAGTCCAAACCTCCCAGTGGCTTTGTTTACACTGTAAGGGGAAAACCGCCTACTCAAGCCTCAGTAATGGTGGACGCCCCTCCCCCCACCAAGCTCAAGTGTCCCAGGTCGACTTCAGACTGCTGTGCTGGCAGCAAGAATTTCATGCCAGTGGATCTTAGCTTGTAGGGCTTCTTGGGGGTGGGATCCACTAAGCAAGACCACTCAGCCCCCTGGTTTCATTCCCCTTTCCAGGCGAGTGAACAGTTCTGTCTCACTGGCTTTCCAGGTGTCACTGGGGTATGAAAATAACTCCTTCACCTAGCTGGGTGTCTGCCCTAATGGCCACCCAGTTTCATGCTTGAAACCCAGGGCCCTGGTGGTGTAGGCTCCCAAAGGAATCTCCTGGTCTGCAGGCTGTGAAGACCACAGGAAAAGTGTAGTATCTGGGCTGGATAGCACCGTCCATCATGGCATAGTCCCCCATGACTTCCCTTGGCTAGGGGAGGGCATTCCCCGACCCCTTGCACTTCCCAGGTGAGGCGACGCCCCACCCTGCTTCTGCTCACCCTCTGTGGGCTGCACCCACTGTCTAACCAGTCCCAGTGAGATGAACTGGATACCTCAGTTGGAAATGCAAAAATCACCCACCCTCTGCATTGGTCTCGCTGGCAGCTGCAGACTGGAGCTCTTCCTATTTGGCCACCTTGCCCAGAAAAAAAATGTTGCCTATTCTTTATAGATTCTTTCCACTGCTCATATTTTCAAGCTTGTCTCTTACTTTATTAAATATGTTTACTATAGCGATCCAGAGTATTTTTAGGTCTGTTTCTGAAGTCTGTTCGTTCTGCTGTTGCTTTCTATCCTTGTGATTTTTTAACTATGAGCTGCTCAGTTTGCTTGAAAATTTATCTCTGGAAATTGCTTAAGGGCCTGGGATGACGATGGGTTCCTCCAGAGATAACCCACATTGGCTTCTGCCACACTCCTGGAGGCCTGTCATTATAAGTCTAACTTTAAATCACATTCATGGCTCAATGTTTTTTGAGCTGCTAATTCCGTTTAAATTCAGACTTCAAATTAGCATGAGGCCCACTGTGTGGCTAAAAATTCTGAGAGGACTTTTCCTCTGATTAGCACCAAGTTTTGAGACAATTAATTTCCTCTGCAGATAGGGGAGAGAGGAAGGATAAAACCAACCCCTTAGGGTCACCGCTTTTTAAAGAGAGGGTCTATTATTAATTTCCCACCTTGTACACACCCTGGGTTTTCTCCTGTTCCCTGTTTTCTATGAGGCCATGAAAAAAAAAAAAGATTAAGTTTATCAGGATCAGCAACTCTACACAAAACATCATAAGCCCAATTGTGGTTCTCAGTAAGTAAAACCAGGTCACCCTCTGCTTTTACAATTACCATATTGTATATCTAAATGTCAAAAATTATCTGACCTACATTTTCAGTTTAGTGATTTGACACAAATCCAAAGATGGTGTGTGTGTTTCAATAATACAGCCACTACTTCAGAGCTTCATAATTCAGTACAAAGGAGAAGGCACTAATGAGAGTCAGGGGCTGGGAAAACATTGTGTGATACATACAGGCAACATTCTCGATAATATCATAGAAGAAAAAAAGCTTAGATCTTAGACATCTCAAGTGCAGCCTCTTCGTTTTACAAATAAGGAAACAATAGATCAGAGATGCAATGTCATATAACATATTACACAGCTAATAAATGTCAGAGCCATGGTCAGAGATCATCTAACTTTCAACTTAGTCTTTCTTCCTCATAAAACTGTGGTTTCTAAACTTGAGTAGGTAGGATAAAACTTCCCCATGAGTCACTCCTCAAAGGTTCTTTGATCAAATAAATTTAGGAAATTCTGCACACCATAACTCCCTCTTAGAGACTTAGAAGCCATACAACATACCTAGGGCTCAGAAACATTGTGAAGTAAAGAATTCTACATAACTATTACTTCACAAAGTAAGTTAACCATAAAAATCTTTTTCTACAGAATACTTGCTAATACTGTACAGGGCACTGGTGTTTCCCAAAGCAAATTAGGAAATGGTCCCTTGAAAAATCATCTCAGCTACTTTCTAAGTAGCATGAAACTCTGCAGTTATTACATCCCCAACAAAACAAAACAAAAAATCCTCCTGCACATATTATTTTATTACATTTGAAGTTGGCATGCCTAGAGGCATAGATCAAAATTTTGCCTCATCAGTTATTTGAACTTTCAATTGTGTAAATAGAAAATTTTAATCTTTTAAAAATGAATTAGAGAGGACTTCCACTTCCAACTATAATGGATTACCTCTTATCAGACCACCTCTCCTACTAAAAACAATTCCCAATGTTGAATAGAATATTAGAAACAGCTGCTTAAAGATATCAGTAATCAGTTAAGGCAGCCAAAAGTTGCTGGGCCAAGACCCCAGGGAGGAGGGAAAGGCATTTCTGTGAGCCTTTCTTCTCTGCCAATTTGTAAATGAAGTAGAGTCAAGAAGCCAACCAAAACGTAACTTCTCAGAGCTTTTTGCAGTTTCATGGAGCTACAGAAACAAAAATTGAAGTTTTAGGTGACAAATAAGTCAGTACCTAAAGTCCTAAGATACTACAGAAAAGGAAACTACAGGTAAGAGGGCCCCATATTCTGTCTGTGTGACTTTTCTCAATGAAGAATTTGCTGATTCTCAAGTTGCACAATAAACAAAACAACAGCTAAGAGGAAAAAGCTAAGCAGAACTCTTAGGATTCTCACGGTGCTAGGAAACAAAAGTAGAGGTTAGGGCCTGACAAGAGAAGGGGCCCTAGTAAGCACAGAAGACTTTCCAATGACAGTCCTGAAGGGTTACTCTCTAGAAGACAAAAACTGGAAATATATTAGCCTTTAAAAAGACTGAAATCCAGCTTGGAATGGTATGATTTGCAACAGGATCAAGGTCATCTGTGACTTCTCTAACTGCTACAAGAAAAGTTAACCCTCTCTGAAAAAAAAAAAAAAAAGCCTCTACAATTTCTCATAGAGATATTCTGGCCTTGAATAAAAAGAAAATTTACAGATATGCCAAGAGAAAGGACTGTATGACTAAAAACCAAAGGGAAAATTAGATAATAGGAATAGACCTACAAATGCTACAGATAATCACCGTCAGATACAGACTTTTAAATCACTATCTTTGATATCTTCAACAAAATAGATGAAAATATAAAAATTTCACTAGAGAACTAGAATCTATAAAAGCATGAAATGAGAATTATAAAACGAAAAAATGCAATTACTAAAAATAAAATCCCCATAGTGAAATTATCAGGAAACTAGATACAGCAAAATACAGGATTAGTAAATAAATGATAGGTCCATAGAAACTGATAGGCCGGTCTGCAGAACAGCAAGGGAAAAGAATGGAAAAATACTGAACAAAGGATAAGAAACATGGAAAGTGGTAGAAGGTCTAACATATTGTAATTCACCTCCCAGAAGGAGAAGATAGAGAGAATAGGGTAAAAGCAATATTTGAAGAGATATTTAGGCTGAGAGCTACCTAAAATAAAGGCATCAAACCACAAATTTTTAAAATTCTACAAATTTTAAGTAGAATAAATACAAAGAAAGCCATACCTAACCACATCATAGAAAAATTGTGATAAACAAAACCAAAAGGATATCTTAAACCCACTTAGGATAAAATATGCATTACTTTCAAAGATAAGGTAATCTTTGCAGTTGACTACCAACAGAAATTATGGAAGCAATGTTGTCTTTAAGTTGTTAAATGAAAATAACTGCCAATATCCAGTGAAAATGTCCTTCAAAAATAAAAACAAAATAGGCTGAGTGCAGTGGCTCACACCTGTAATCCCAGCACTTTGGGAGGCTGAGGTGGGTGGATAACTTGAGGTCAGGAGTTCAAGACTAGCCTGGCCAACGTGGTGAAACCCTGTCTCTACTGAAAATAAAAAAATTAGCTGGGCATGGTAGCACATACCCGTAATTCCTGCTATTGGGGAGGCTGAGACATGAGAATCGCTTGAACCCAGGAGGTGGAGGTTGCAGTGGGCTGAGATCACACCACTGCACTCCAGCCTGGGCAAGAGAGTAACACTCTGTCTCAAAATAAAATAAAAGCAAAATAAAACATTTTCAGGCAGAAAAAGAGATTGAAATTGTCATCAGACCACCTAAAGGAAATACTAAAGCGAATTCTTTAGGCAGAGAAAAATGATCCTACATGGAACATGGAAATACAGGAAAGAATGAAGATCAATGGGAAGAATAACTTTATTGATACACCTAAATAAAAATTGACTGCAAAAAAAATGATAAAGATACTTTGATTTTAAATATATGTATAACAAAAATACGTGACAAAAATAGCAAATTCAGAAAGCAATAAAAACAATTGAAGAATACTAACATTCTTGCATTATTTGATAAATGGTAGCAGTACTAATTTATAATGTGCTCTAATAATTCAAGGTTGTATATCATAGTCTATTGAATAATTTAATAGAACAGTAAAAAAAAAATAGCTATGACTAACAACCTAATGGAGAATAGATGAAATTTTAAAATTTGGTTAGGCCATAGGTAAATTTTAAAAAGGAGAAAAACAGGAAACAAGAATGTATGAGAAGGCCAAGCACACCGGCTCATGCTTGTAATCCCAGCACTTTGGGAAGCAGAGGTGGGTGGATCACTTGACGTCAGGAGTTCAAGACCAGCCTGGCCAACATGACGAAATCCTGTCTCTACTAAAAATACAAAAATTAGCTGGGCTTGGTGGCGCATGCCTGTAGTCCCAGCTACTCAGGAGACTGAGGCCGGGGAATCCCTTGAGTCAAGGAGGCAGAGGTTGCAGTGAACCAAGACTGTGCCACTGCACTCCAGCCTGGGTGACAGAGTGAGACTCTGTCTCAAAAAAAAAAAAAAAAAAAAAGCGATAAGTAGAAAAAAAGGACAGGACAAATATTACAAATACAACAATAATTACATTGTTAATATATGAAATGTACTTTAAAAACAAAGCTTGTTAGATTGTATTGTAGATAACCAATTACATGCTGATGACATTAAATGGGGGAACAAAGTTGATGTAGCTTTAGTAATGTCAAACAATGTAAACTTTAATGCAAGAAGATTATCAGAAATAGAGACATTTTATAATGAAAAAGCATCAATCCACTAAAAAAGACAAAACAATCTCAAATTTGTTTGCATCTAATAGCATTGCCTTAAAACATATAAAACGAAACTTAAAACCTAAGGGAGAAATAGAAAAATTTACGATCACAGTTGGTATTTTAATACATCTCTCTTAGTAACTGAAAGAACAGACAATGAATTAGCAAAGATATGAAAGAGTTCAACAACACAAATAATGAATCTGATCTAAATAGCACATACAGAACGCTCTGCCCAAAAAACTGAAAGATACACTCATTTTTCAAGTGCATATAGAACATTTACTTAAACTGACTATAAACTGGGCTGAAAAGAAAGTCTTAATAAATTTTCTAAAATTAAAATTATATAAAATGTTTTCTGACTTCATTAAAAGAAAGCCATAAATACATAATAAAAATACAGTTAGACTATATACATTTAGAAATTTTAAAATATATTTATAAATGACCCATGGGATCAGAGAGAAATAAAAACAGACATTGGAAAATAACTTTAACTGATTAATAAGATTATAACATATCGAAACTTGTGAGATGCAGCCCAAGGTGTGTTTACAGATAAATATATAGTCTTAAAATCATGTATTAGAAGGGAATTAAGCTTGAAATTTAATGATCTAAATATCCATCTCAGGAAAGTTTTAAAAGACATAAAGATCATGTCTTTCTCAGGGACATGAATGGAGCTAGAAGCCGTTATTCTTGGCAAACTAACTCAGGAACAGAAAAGCAAACACCGTATGTTCTCACTTATAAGTGGGAGCTGAATGATAAGAACACATAGACACATGTTGGAGAACAACACACACTGGGTCCTGTCGGGGGTGGTGGTGGGGAGAGGGAGAGCATCAGGAAGAAGAGCTAATGCATGCTGGGCTTAATACCTAGGTGATGGGTTGATCTGTGCACGTGTTTACCTATGTAACAAGCCCTCACATCCTATACACGTACACCAGAATTTAAAATAAAAGTTGAAGAAAAAAAAGAAATGGAAAAAAAAAGACATAAAGAACAGAAAATTAATGAAACAGAAAACAAATTCAGAGAAAACTTACAGAGACAAAAGTTGGTTCTTTAAATAGAACTTTATAAACTCTATAAACCCCTAGCAAGAATGAAGGAAAAAAAGAGAGAAAACACAAATTACCAATATCAGAAATGAAAACAGAGACATCATTTCAGATCTAATAGATATTTAAAAGGTAATATGTGTATATTACAAACAATTTTATGCCAATACAATTGAAAATTTAGATGAAATGGGCAAAGTCCTTGAAAAACTTAATTTACCAAACTGACTCAAAAAGAAATAGACATATAGCAATAGAAATATGAATAGCCCTATATTTATGAAAGAAATTGAATAATATAGAGCTTCCCACTTTAAAAAACAAGCTCATTTTAAAATGCAAATCTGGATGGCTTCACCAATTTTTCTAAACATTTAAAAAATAATGTTAAATTTATACATATTCTTCCAGATAAAGAAATAAAATAGTCTGTATGTCCCCATTTGTATCATGAAGCCAGGATAAACTTGATACTAAACCTCACAGAAAACAATTAACAACAAAATCCCTCTCATGAAATAAATACAATGTTAGCAAATCCAATTCAACAGTAGGTAAACATATCATACAACACAATCAAGTTGGATTTATTTCAGGAATGGAAGGTTGGTTTAACATTCCAAATCATCTTTCTAATTTTAATCTCAATAGATACAGATAAAGTATTTAATAAAAGTCAACATACATTTACTATAAAAATTCAACAACTAGGCACAGAGGTGAATTTCGTGATAAAGTAAATTTCCTGATTAAGTAAATTTATCTTATGAAGGTGTATACAAAATGCCGACAGCCAGCACCATTATTGTTTTGAGTTATTAAGCCATTGGATAATTGTTAGGTTTGAAGCCCATCCTTGTTTACTTTTCTTTGTTATTGGGGGCCAGGACTCTGCAAATCACATTTTCACTTTGCCAGCAGAATCCATGTTCAGCTGTGCCAATAAGGGGCATAAGAGGGAGGCTCCAAGGCTGGAGGAGGAAAAAGGTTTTCTCCCTCCTGTTTGCTTTCCATTTATGTTTGTATTAATGCACCAGAAGTTCTTCATCCTGACAGCAACAGTTGTTCCTAATAGTGGCTGTTGGTGCCACTCTGCAGTTTTTTCCTACTTTAGAATCTGTCTCACCATGCCCCTCCAGGGATCCCAAGACCAACTCTGGAGTTGCTCCTTCCCAAGACCTAAGACTAGCCCTGGAGTTACTCCCTCCTTCAAGATTGGAACCCCAGCTCCAAGGAACCCTCTTCAAGGTTCCCAAGCACCAGCACCAATCAGGCAGTGAGTGACCTGCACCCAGGGGTCTATGATCTGAATCCATGGAGACCCTCATCTAAGCTTTTAAGTTTTATGACTACCAACCTCTTCTCTTTGTTTTCCCAGCACTGGACTAGTAGCTGTTTCCTGTTGTAACAACAACCTCTGTGATACCTACTGTCCTCTCTGCCTTTTCTCTTCTCTGAAATGTGGTTAACAATTCTTCAAATTAAATTCTCCCTCTTAAAATAACTGGCATGGTTTCTGTGTCTTAACTGATGCTGACTGATATAATGCATAATGGTAAAATTTTGAAATCTCCTCCCAGTGAAAATGAGAATTAGCAAGGACACTGCTGACATCTCTTCTATGAAGCAATATTCTGAGAGACCCAGCCAGGACAGTAAGACCAGAAAAAAAAAGTAAAAGGTAGGAAGATTGGGAAAGAAATAAAATTCTTATGACAATGTGATTGTATGCACACATTGTATACAAAAAGATGTACCTATAAATTATTAAAATAAATAAGTGGACTTAGCAAGATTGATAGATAAACATATCCAGGGCAATATAGAAAAATAAATTGTATTTCCAAATACTAGCAACAAATCATGACAAAATAAAAAAATTTTTAAGGTAATATTTATATTAAAATTATGCAATTGCTATAAATTTAACAAAAGATGAACAAAGAATTATTGACAGAAATTTCAAAAAACCTAAGAAAACAAAAGGATTGCATCCACTGACCAAGAATACCACTTTGTATTTCTGCGAGTAGAAAATAAACTTCAACTGTGCTAAGCCAATGAAATCTAGGGATTTATTTGTTATATGTGGTGTTAGACTCCATACATATATTAAAATCACAAATGTTGTGGCTAAAAATGCAATCCAATATGACATTATTTTCTCAGAGATCAATTATTTGTTTAGCCCCTCAAATGAGGCTGTTATTAGATTTCATTTTAAAGAGTTTTAATTAAAAATCAGTCTTTTTCTTCAGCTTTCACTCTACTCATTTCAACAAACTGAGAGGCTTTCCTATTTGTTAGGCTTCAAGGATAAGTTGAGCCAAACTGGTCCCAACCCCATTCTCATGACCAAGGGAAGAAACCCTGGGAGGAACACCACTTTCATCATCTTTCTTTCCTAAATCTCTTACACAGTTTTATTAAAGGGCAGAGTATCAGAGACAAATTTGCCTCCCTTGCCTACTGGTCCTTTAGAGTATCTGCTCTAATCCTTAGCTTCTGGGCAGATGATCATGTGATCCTCCCCCACCCCACAGCCAGGTGGTGTGTAACCAAAAGCCAGTGATTTATGGGTTCACCAAACAAAAAAGGTTCTTTCTTCTGGGACTGGAAGGTTATTCATATCCATTTTAAGCCACATTCATACCAATAAGAAAGCAAGGAAACCAGTCTACAAAGAGAAGCCAGAGAGTAGTGCTCCTGTCTAGAAAAAAGCAGGAGCATGTAAGCATTTGGAGAGAAAGAACAAGAGAGACCACCTCACAGTTTTCTACCTCCTTTTGAGGCTTAGCTATACTTCCTGAACATGAATCCCATCAGACTTCCCTGTAAGCTTCCAATAAGCCCCTTTCCCCTTGAGCTAATTTGAGTTGGCTTTGGTCGTTTGTAACAAAATAGACCCTGATTAAGGCAGAGAGTGTTATGACAGTATTTAGCCAGGAGTCTAAAGAAGAGATGAATCCTGTCTTCTCTCAGTTATCCTTCTGTCAAAGTACAATTTTCAAAATATTAAAAATCTAATTTTCATGTGGATAGATAAGTGAGCACATGTCAAAGTTTTATTCAACTCATTAATGAGAGAAGCAGGATGACAAAGCCAGTGCGAAAGAAGAGATGAGAAAATAGGACTTCTGCAGTCAGAGGGAAGAAAAGGATTCCAAAGTAAAATTGCAAAGTCAGACACAAAATTAGTTAGTGTCCAAGAGAGCAGTAAAGCCATAATATTTGCAATTGTCTTCTCTACAGGACAGAAAATTAAAATTATCACCACCTTTCTACTATTATAAACAACCGAGCCCAAATCAATGTACAAACTATGTTGTATTCCCCTGGAGTGTAAGAAAACACTTAGGCAAGCTTCTCAAGATCAATGCTTCTCAAACTGAAAATACAGACTCCTAGGCCCTGCCCCCAGAAATTCTGGTTCAGTAGGTCTTGGGCAGGGCCTGGGAATTTGCATTTCAACAAGTTCCCAGGTGACATCATTAGTCAGCAAGCCACACTTGCAGTAACATAGCCTTAGATGACATTGCAAAGTCATACAGTAATCCTTTTGCTTTATTTCCAAGTTTTGCATAATTTTCTTAACACTCCACTCAAGGTCCCCAGGGGAAATCTAAGCCTCCAGATGACAAAAAGCAAAATAAGGCTAAATAACACTTCACTCTTGGCTGAAAATTTGAGTCCAAAACTGAATGAAGAACTTAGATGAACAAAATGAGGTCATAGGGAGGAGTCTGTTCCTACGTTGAACAAATGCAGGTCCTTGACTATTTTCCCCAAAGCTCATATTTGAGATCTTCATGTTACCATTGCAGTGCAAGGAAAAATTGATTCAAGCTACACCACCAAAGAAAAGAAACTAAAGAGAAAGGGAGACAGCAAATTCCTTCCAAAATCAAGAACGAAGCTGGCCTAGGCTGTCTTCCCAGAGGGACCTCAGTTTGGTGTCAAAGTAGAGGATAGCACTTCTAAAGGGGAAGAGAAGAGGCAACAGGCCTTCTCCCAAGGGAGCAGTCTGAGATTATTGTGGCTCCAAGGGATAAAGTCACCGGATAAATTATAGGAGACACAACTAAATTTGAATTTCACATAAACAATAAATAATTTGTTAGTGTAAGTATGTCTCAAATATTGCACAGGATATACTTACGCTAAAAAAAATTACTCACTGTTTATCTGATATTCAAATGTAACTGGGCATCCTGTATGTTTCTTTGCTAAATCTGTCAGCCCTAGCAAGAGAATATCTCAACAGGGCCACATCACGTGCAATGGCCTTGTAGCACAGGATACAAACTCGAATGCCTATGGGTGCCAGGAGGATGGTATAATTCAATCAATTACATTGCAGCAAATCTGGGCCTGCATGCTGCTCAACAGGTGCAGCCACCATACAGTTCCAGCCCATTTCCTGGAAAAGGGTTGTAGGCTCGGTGTTACTGGGTCTGATATTTCAAGATATGCCAAAAATTTAGCTTTATGTAAAATCTTCCAATGTTTGGCTGTTGGGACGTAATTCCATTTTTTAAAACATTGAGCAGAAATAAGAATCTCAACCCCCTATAGATTTCACTCAGTTAGTTTTTTCTCAAATCTCACCAAAGCAGGTCAAAACTTCTCTTCCTGGGTATATATCCTGGTCTTGAGACATTGCCAAGGAGACAGAAAGAGAAAAAGAGGAGGCCAATTTGTCCAAACTTCCCAAGAGGAGAAAATAACCTTAAACTTCTCCCAGATACTAACCCCCCAGTTTTTCTTTCTTGCTTTGGTTAGTCTTTTTTTAAAAAGGTTATTGGACACTTGGTGGTTAGCCCACCCAGCTGTGCTGCTGGCCTTCATTGGTAGCCACTCCTGACACGAGGGTTTCAGTCACATCTTTCTTACACTCCCTATTTACACAACAGGGTTATTGAGATAAGGAAATTACTTACATCTATTTGTGTGCCTAGTACAGTGCTTTGCACAGAGTGGAAGATAATTGATAGTGATGAATTCTTTTAGCTTTTGTATATCTGAAAACATCTTTATTTCACCATCATTATCTAAAAAATAATTTTCATTGGTATAGAATTCCAGGTGGACAGGCTGGGTTTTTTCAGTACTATATTTTAAAAATGTTACCCAACTCTCTACTTACATGCATTGCTTGTGACAATTAATTTGTTGTCATTCTTATTTTTGTACAAAATATGTCATTTTCTCTGTCTGCTTTTATAATTTTCTTTTTATCACTGGTTTTCAGAAGTTTGATAATAATGTCCTTTGGTGTCGTTTATGCTTCTTGTACTTGAGGTTTGTTGAGATTCTTGGATCCTTGGGTTTATAGTTTTCAATAAATTTGGGAATTTTTAAGTTATTATTTCTTAAATAATCTTTCTGTTCCCCTGTGCCTCCATCAGGAACTGCAATTATGCACACATTCAGCCACCTAAAGTTGTCCCACAGCTCAGATGCAATATTCTTTTTTTTAAATTCTTTTCTCTTTGTGTGTTCCATTTTGGGTATTCTCTATTGCTATGGCTTCAAGTTCACTAATCTTTTCTTCTGTGTTTTCTAATCAGGTATTAATATCATTCAGGTATTAATATCATCTTGGATTCTGTTTTCATCTGATATGGAGAAGCATTGGATCTGAGTGGGACACATCCTCTCTAATGCACCCTGCCTTTTCCGCTGCTCCAAATTTCACACAAGCGTCAGAAAAATTCAAGACAATCTAGAAAATCTAAGTACAAATACAAAAAGGAAAGTGTTTTCTTTCAAAGCTGTGAATTATATAAAGTGAGTAAGCTCAATAAACATTTGCAGAAGTGGGAACATGTGTTAGTTCATTCTTGCATTGCTATAAAGAAATACCTGAGACTAGGTAATTTATAAGGAAGAGAAGTTTCTTTTAGTTCATGGGTTCTGCAGTCTGTACAAGAAGCATGATGTCAGTATCTGCTTCTGGGGAGGCCTCAGGAAGCTTACAATCATAGTGGAAGGTAAAGGGGGAACAGATGGTGTCACATGGCAAGAGTAGGAGCAAGAGAGGGAGGAGGAGGATCCAGGCTCCTTTTATTTATTTATTGTATACATAACGTGTGTGTGTGTGTGTGTGTGTGTGTGTGTGTGTGTGTGTGTGTGTGTATATTTTTTTTTTTTTTTTTTTGAGATGGAGTTTCACTTGTTGCCCAGGCTGGAGTGCAATGGCACGATCTTGGCTCACTGCAAACTTCGCCTCCTGGTTTCAAGCGAATCTCCTGCCCCAGCCTCCCAAGTAGCTGGGATTACAGGCGCCCACCAACACGCCAGGCTAATTTTTGTATTTTTAGTAGAGACAGGGTTTCGCCAAGTTGGCGAGGCTGGTCTCAAACTGCTGACCTCAGGTGATCCACCTGCCTTGGCCTCCCAAAGTGCTGGGATTACAGCCGTGAGCCACTGCACCTGGCCCAGGCTCCTTTTAAACCACCAGCTCTCACATGAACTCAGAGTGAGAACTCACTCATCACCAAGGGAATGGCACTAAGCCATTCATGAAAGATCTGCCCCCATGATCCAATCACCTCCTACCAGGCCCCATCTCCAAAACTGGGGATCACATTTCAACATGAGATTTGGAGGGGACAAAACTAAATCAGAGTGGGATGGGCAGAAGGGACCAACATTCCACCTCTTGTTTGGAGGGCTCCTGTTTCATTCCTTCTAGGAGGGTGGAAAACCTTCAAAATGAGATCTGCTGTTCCGCTTTCACTCTGTGCTTCCTTTGTGAGAGGACAGGGAAGGAACTGGAGTGGGGAGCTGGGACAGAATGAAAGGGAAAACCCTTTCTAATCCATCTTCTTGCTCTCAAGCTGCAGGGTCAGGTAGACCTAGGATTGAATCCCAACTGTGCCCCATACCAGTTATTTCACCTTGGCAAGTTATTACCTCTCTAAGCCCCAGATCTTCATCTTCAAAATAGGAATAATATTGCTGGCCTCATGGTACTGTTGAGAAATAAATTAGGTCATGTTGAACAATGCAAGTAACGCAATTAGCACAGTGGTTGACATGGAGAAATTAACATTCCATACATGTTTGTTGTATGGTCATCACCCTCATTTTTGTTACTGTCATCACCAGGACCATGTGATTAAAGATGAAAATCTAAATGAACCGCCAGCACAGATCTAATTTTGGAGGTTGGAATTACAGGTCATTTTTATTTTCTAACTCTATTTAATATGAAGATTTATTTGCTTTTCTAAACAGAAAACAAAAGATAAGTTATTTTTAAAAGTTGACCAGTGTCCTTTTGGGATTCCCTTTATCGTACACTGGTGAAAGCTATCTTTGTATTTCTTACCTCTCTCTGCTCAAAGAAGGAACAGTTATGTAGGCTGCAAGCACCCACAGCAGCCCTATAAAGGTAGCCATGCTTCCTACGAATCTGAGAGCTGCAGAGAATGAAACACCCCTCTCCTGCCCTGATGCATTCCAGATTTGGCCACAGGCTCTCTAGACACCAGAAAGAAACAGAGGCTCCAGACTGGCTTGGTTACTATGAAATGAAGTGCAAGAATACTTGACTCCAACTGGGGCCAGCAGTAGCGTAAGGTGAGTGAGATGCCTAGGGTGCAGAATGGAAGGAGGCGCCGACAGTGCACTCAGGTGACCCTGAGAGTATTGCTTCCTTCCGTTTTGCACCGTAAGTACCTCACTCACTTTACCTTAGTACTGGCCCTAATCCCAACCATGACCATGTCCAGAATAATAGCCAGGATCCCAACCAGCCTCCTACCCCACCTCCCCAGCCCTTGGAAGAGAAAGAGGGTTTATCAGACAGTTCTTTATGGCAGGTGTACTGCCTAGACACCCAGTGGAAAATTTACATCCAGAAATCTGGGGTTGTATACTCTGGAGGGAGCAAGGCAGCCTTAGGCTCCAACCTAGTTGAGATAGCGTTGTCATGTCCTGTCCACCTTCTGGGGTCATGGTGCCCTCTGGTGCAGTCAGCCTGTCCCCCAGACTGTACAGTATGTGCCTTCTCTCTATCCACAAGGTTCTGCAGGAGAACCAAACCAAACAGCTCTCTTAGCCAGAAGCTGAGCTCATCAGCAATTAACTTCCTTCACAAGCAGCTGCTAGGCCCCCATCTGTGTTGGCCTTCTCTTTCCATTTGTCTATAGGAATCCTCCCCTCTCTCAACTGCACCAAGGTCTGTGATACTATTTCCTCCAGAGCATCACAGAACAACTCCCACCCCAGTTGCCGCCCCCTTCTACCTGCCAGAACAGCAGCCTCCTGTCAAGACCCCTCAGGTTTTCTGGCTTTTTTGGGTTGCATAGATCAGCATAATCCTTAGTGTTGAAAGCAGTAGATAATTAATTTCTGCTAATGATTTTCTGCCTTGTCTCCTAGACTCCTTTCAGTAACTCCAACGACAATTTCAGCATTAAATGATTCAGCACTTCCCTTGCTTCCAAAGGAATTCACTGCCTGGTTTATCTATTTGGCCCACTGAAACCTCCCTTTGCCCTTAGCTACAGTTTCCCTCTCTTCTCTGACAGGTAGTGTTTCTGAGTCTCCCGGCCTCCAGCACTGCCCATGTTGCTGCTCCACTTGCCCCTCCACCCTGGAGTCAAAAAACACTGATAATAATACAAAGAAAGTCTGATTCTTCTGTCTTTGGCATGCCTTGCAAATCCCTGTCAATAACTAGAAATTTAACAGGTGTTACTTTTAGTGAAGGTATTGTTGACCAACTCTGCTTCCCCCAGCTGGGTTCCTTGAATGGCCCTTGATAAGTGTGTGCAAGACCATGTTGTTCCTCTTGGGGACTTCTTTTCCTTACTCAGTCATGAATGATGAAACAGACCAGATGTGGCCCCGAGCTGCTCAGGTTGTAGGAAACAGTGGGAAAGATTCCCCCACTATTTCCACTTTCACTAGGGCTCGCACTACAGAATGCAGACCTTTGCCTGAGCTCACTCTGGCGTTTCATCTTGCTAGCCGTGAAAACAACCCAACACAGTCCTGCCTCCTTTCCTTTAGCAATTGTCATGTGTTGGGCATCAGAATTATTGTCTGAAAAGTTATTTTCTTTCTCTTACACTCAGATGCCCAGAAACATGTATCTGGGCTAACTAAAAGACAGAAAATCTTTATTCATAAAATTTATATGGGAGAATTAACACATGATACCATCACACATTCTTCTGACTCTTTAGCCAGTCTAAGTTCTTTCTTCCACTTAAATTTGTCCTTAAAGCAAAGGAAGGCCTGATGAGTCATGTAGAATCTGTGAGTATATTCAAAGCTTCCAATAATTACTTTCTACCCATCACATGAGAGGTGACTGGTGACACAGATGTTTAAACATGGCCTAAGTTAGTATCTGACCAGAGGCTATCAAGGTTATTGTGAGATGATCATCTTATTGATAATTTAAAATTGGCAGTGTATTTGGTTCCATTAACTCCAAATCAAGACAGGCAGTTTCAAAATTGCTTTCCCTGGTAAAAAAAAGCTCTGTCTCCAGAAAAAAAAAAGAAAAAATGGAAGAGGATGTTTGTGGGTGAAGAAATGTCCCCTGGGCAGGAAAGTAGAAACAGACCATGCTTATATGACACTGAATAATAGTTAGAATAAATGGTTCAGAGCAATGACTAAATAGTCAGAGCTGCCTGAAGCAGCTGAACGAAGTAGGATTTTCACCAGTAACTGTTTGATTACAACCCATTAAAAAGCTGACTTGGTGCCGGGTGTGGTGGCTCACATCTGTAATCCCAGCACTTTGGGAGGCTGAGGCGGGCGGATCACTGGAGGTCAGGAGTTCAAGACCAGCCTGGACAACGTGGTGAAACCCTGTCTCTACTAAAAACACAAAAAAAATTAGCCGAGTGTCGGGGTGGGTGCCTGTAATCCCAGCTACTTGGGAGGCTGAGGCAGGAGAATAGCTTGAACTTGGGAGGTAGAGGTTGCAGTGAGCTGAGATAGCGCCACTGCATTCCAGCCTGGATGACAAAGTGAGACTCTGTCTCAAAAAAAAAACAAACCTGACTTGCTTTGCCTCCTTGTTCCCTCGTCTTCTAAGTTCTGCTTTTTTGGCCCACTCTGGATGGTGCAACACTCATTGTTCAACCAGTTTATCCCAAAAACATTTATTGAGCACCTATTCCATTCATAGCACTGTGCTGGGCCCAGGAGAAATACGAAGATGAAAAAGTTATTCTGTACTGTCAATGACATTAGAGTAACCACAGACATATACAAGTAAATAAAAAATTAAAAGTCAGAAAAGAAGGTTATCATTGTTATGAAAGAGATATAAGAAAGAACAAAGAAGGCAATTTGCTCTGAGTAGATAATGTTTATTTTGATTTCAGTCATGTTAAAATTAGTTGTCTAATGGGGCATTATGATTTTCCAAGAAGAAGATAAAGGATGCCTTGTTTCCCAAACTCATGTTCATGGCACAGGGTGCCTTCATTTATGGCAAACTGGTGACTCTCTTACTGAACTCAATCTGGAAAACGCTGGAGAAAGGCATCTATTGTGCAGAGGAAGATGTGTTTGGTAAGGGAGGTTGGGGTGTGATGGAAAGAGGCCTTGAAATTTCCTGCTCAGAGGAAACTGGCTCAGCCTTCTTTGCTGCATTTGTGTTTCTCTGAGGCCAGAATGGTTGTCCAGTCAGTTTCACATGCTGGTGTGTTTCATTCAAGGCGGAACTTGTTCCTCGGGATGAATCTAGCATAGTGAGGGACCCTCTCCAGAGCCTTTGCTTCCTCAAGTCACTCAGTGTGTTTACCCCCGGTCAATGGGCACAAAACAAATGTTCAGAGCTAAAATTAAATGAACCAACAACACATTGTAAAGGCAAAACCAGAGTGCCCCTATTTACACATCTGTAAAATGGTGTTTACCATTTGCAAACCCAAAACATGCTAATTACAAAGATGAATAAAAAGAAACACAAAGCATTGTGTACCCATTGAAAAGAGAACATGCTTCAGAAAATAAAAAGTAAAGTTTGTCAGAATATTGTTTTTTCTATGAAATGAGTTAATGGATTTTGTGTACAATCCTAACACATTTTGTAAATCAGAATTTATAAAATTCAAAACCTGCCTGATGAGTAATAGGCCACTTGAGAAGAATCACCATCTTGGGACCAGATTCCACCAACATTCCTAATGGCTAATAGTTATTTTGTGTTTGCAATTTATGAAGTACTTTTGTGTCTGTGATCTCAATTAATGTTCACAGCAATCCTGTTAAGAAGTTAGGACAACTCTTGCACCCATTTCACACATGAGAAAACTGAGGCTTGGGTAATATCTGCCCAAGAGAGTGTAATGAGCATCAGACTTGGCCCTGACACTCTCACCCCAGAGTGGTCCTTCCACTCCCCTGTGTTCTCTCCTGGGACACGTGGCAGCTGCTTTAAGTACCAGACTTCCCAAAGGGACAAGGAGTTTCCTCACCCTCTTATTAATTCAAATATGTATTCATTCATTTAACAGCCCTCACTGAGTGTTGCTAGGCACAGGAGATATCATGGTGGCAGAATGTAGGTACCCCCATCCTTCTCCAGTTCTTAGTTAGCTGAACAAGACACACAATGAAACAAGCAGTAATAATGGAGTGTGGTTATACTATGACAGGGCAGCCACAGTAGTCACTGGCCTAAACTGAATGTACCCATTGTCTATAGCATTCAACTGTCCCTGGGCTTTGCAGCCTTTTGCATAATAGTAATAACTATCATGTCAAGGCTCAAACTCAGAAGGATCCACTTTCAGGCTCACTCACGTGGGAGCTGGCAGGATTCATTTCCTTGGGGCTGTTGGACTGGGAGCTCAGTTCCATACTACTTAGCTGGAGGCCATCCTCAGTCCCTTGTCACATGGGCCTCTCCTTAGGGCAGCTCATCACATCAGAGTCACAGAGACAGAATGCAAACAAGGTAGTCTTTTACAAGCTGATCTCCAAAATGACAGACCATCACTTCTGCCATAGTCTACTAATTGGAATCACTAGGCCCAGCCCACATAAACACAGAAGGAGAGGGTCATGCAGGGAGCAAACATCAGGAGATGGGATCACTGGAAGCCATCCTGCTACTCTTGCCAACAGCTAATTTGTAGTATATTCAAAACCCAAATCCAAGTCTGTCTGACTTACAGTAGCTGTGCCACGTCCACCAAATGACAGTCTCACAGGTCTCCAATATGTGCAGAGTTCATTATATTACATTTCCAAGGCACTATTACATGTGTGATTTGTTTCATTCAAGGTACACACGGGTAGATATCTTAATTCTCATTTTATAAAGGAAAAAACTGAAAATCACAGAGTGTAAATGACTCATGGACTTCTGTAGGTCATGGTAATTTTTAGTGTTGAAGTTAAATGACTTTTTAGTGATGGAACCTAAATGATACGCCCAAGCTCACACCAGATGGAGCCTGGGTGCAGGTTTTCTGCCTCCAAATTCCAAGAAGTTCAATGCTGTAACTGTATCTTCCATTGATTTCCACCTATTTTCCACAAAGCCCTCCCATGCAGCTCCTAACTCCCACCTGTCTGTAGATAGCAGCGTCAGATCCTAAAGCCACCTAAAGCCCATCAGAGGGCACCTCAGGCTCCCACGACTTTCCAATGTGACTGCACCTCCAAAGCCACCATGACGGGAAGATTGGGAATGAAGCGAGAAGAGGAGGTCTGAGAACTTTGGGATCGTCCCCTGCGTGTTGAAGACAGATCTCACTTCCCTTCTTGGGGATCACAAGGTAACTTTTACAGAGTTAGAAGTGGAAAAATGGCTCATCCAGTACTCAAAGAGCATCCATCTTACTTTCGTTCTTTTGCAGGTAGCTCTGGCAACTCTTCTTCTTCTCTTGCCAGTCATAACCAATCACTGAGAACTCCCAAATCCCCTTCACACCCACCCTCTGCTGCCTGCTCATGCAGCAGCCTCCTTACTGAGTTGTTTTCCTGCCTCTAGTCTCCACCCTGAAATCCATTCTCCATGGCACCCAGAGTGAGCTTCCCAAACTTTGATCTGATCTTAGAACTCTCCTACTTAAAACCTTCCATGGTTCCGCATTGCTTCCAGCATAAGGCTGATATTCCTTATCATAGTGCCAAGGCCCTGCCCATCTGGCCCTCTCCTTTCTCTGCCAGCCTTAGCTCTCATCATTCTCCCATCATCACTTCTGCTCCAGACACACTGACCTGGCATGGCCAGTGTCTCCCATGCGCCCTCCTCTTCCTCATTTTCTGGCTGTCCCTGCTGTCTCCCAACCCCTTTATTCTTAACCTGATCAAGACCTCCAACTCATTCCTCATCTAGATTTGGTATCCTTCCTTTGTCATCCCATAGAATGTCTTGCTGTGCCTGTCACACTGTGTTGTTATTGTATGGTCAGCACCAGAAGGAGCGAGCCTGAGTTTGCCTTGTCAGTGATATCCACTGTGGCCAGCATAGTATCAGGGCCATGGGAATAACTTAGCAAACTTGTTGAACGAATGAGTGAATGAAAGCAATCTCCATTCCCATGTTCCTGGGATTAAAGGCTTCCATGTGCTTACTCACCCACCCACGGGTCACCGAGCTTCCTTTAGTCCTGATGACTCCAGGGGGATTGTCCAGTCATTGGTGGGGCCCCCCACTGCTTGAGGCAACCTATTCATACATTTGTTTTGTCAGCAAACATTTGTGCCAGGCATGTGCTGGGTGCTGGAATAGAGTTGACGATGAGTAAGGAACATAAGAGTCCAGTCCAAAATGAGTTCTCAGTCTGGTGCCTGGAGCTTACGCAATTTCAGAGTTCCTTGGGGAAATAATAGGTTCATCTTTAAAAGTACCTAATAAAGACACTATCTTGGTATTACTATCCTCTTTCAAATATGTCTGATTTTTACTCACTGTAGCATTATCAGCTTATTCTACTCATATTCAGCCTATTCTGTCCACTGTTATATTTTTGTTTCACTTTTTAAGTTTTGGGGGTATGGGGCCAGTGGCTAGCAATGTGGCAGGGCTCAGACCTCCTCTGCATTGATGACAGCCCACACACCAGCTGCAGCTTTATTGTTTGGAATTGTTTTTGAGATGGTAATTATTTTAGGAGTTACTGGTGAAAAGCAATATGGGTCAGCAATATAGTCAGCAATATACTTTAACATTTTATGACCCTTTCTTCATTCCTTTCTAGTTAAAAAATAAAAAATAAAAATCCTTCTTAAGGCTTAGGGGGTTGTAAGCTTCTATAGGATTTGAAGCCATCATCGTTAGAGTTTGCATAGTTCATACTCCAGACTGCTCCAGTCTATGAGAGGAGAGGAATGCTCCAGCAGGATGGACCTGAGTTTTTCTCCTCCAATATAAATAATTATATTATTAAATGTACCTACAAATAAATAGGTACATTTATTTATTCATGTATTTATTTATTCTCTCATTAGTTCTAGTATTTATAATAGTCATAATTATGTAGCATTGACTCAGTACTTACTGTACGCTAGCCACCACATTAAATGGTTTCCATTTATTACCCACCACAGCCTTAAAAAAAACCTTAGTACTCTTGCTATCCCCATTTCATAGATAACAATGAGGATGCTGAGATTTGACAAGGTCAGGTAAGTCACCCTGGATTAAGAGTCACACAAGGATTAAGTGGCAGGACAGGAATTTGACCTCAGGCCAGCCTAACATGGGAATTCACATTTTTAACCACTGCACTCTTCTCAATTCCCTTAATTCCAGAAATATTTGAGGTGGGTTACAAAAACACATTCAGTACACAAGAAGGCAAATCAGTGAAGTAAACAGATAAAGAGGAAAATTCAGGCAGAAACAAGTAAGATGAAGTTAGACTTAATATACTACATATATACCCACAGAGTCCTGTGCACTTTGTAGAAGAACGCAGCAAATTTGATTCTATATTTCTCAAAGAGAGAAATGTATTCATTTACATGTTTTACCATATTCATAAAATCAAAAACAAACTAGGTGCTCAGGGGAAAAAACTCTCCATCTTGATACTGAGACTTACAGAAAACTTCTCACTTGAGCCTCTTAAAAAATTACTGTGTAACATAATAATAGACTGTTGAACTTTACAGCATCCCTACAGCAAAGTCAGCAACCATTCTGTGAGACTGTTTCACAGATCCATTTATAACACATCTCAGTGTAGTGAAACATCAAAGCCTAGGTTAAAAGGGCAAACCTCAGATTTTACAGCTTTCCAATGGCTTGGCTGAATCCCAGGAAGCAGAGCTCCAAAAACACATTTTCTTACACCAAGCCTGGAGATTTACTCCCTGACACCAGTCTGGGGTGCAGGAATTCCACAGCACCAGTCAGATGCAGGCCTGTGTCCTTCCGTAAAGTGTACAGGTGTTGACATCTTCCTGTGAAGAGCAAGGAACGCATACAGGATGAGCATCTGATGTCTGTGCCTCACCCCCACCTTTATGCAGAGCCAGACACTGGCGGGGCTCAGATCCCCTCAGAAGAGGATTCTGGTGGCATCAGGTAATGTGGGTGATGCATTCTCAAAACCTTACTCCATAGAGCATGGCTATGATCATTTCAACCTGGAAAAGTGTTTAGTCAGCTGTTACTAAACTCTAGGCATAGTCATGTAAAAGTCAATCAATCAATACATGGATTAAAGTGTATTTTGACTATATAACACTAAGCAGTATCACATCCTGTGGGAGCCTCCAAGGTAAACCAGTAACAAAATACATGGACTTGTAGAGGGTTGTTAGGACAAGTTAGACGTTGGAAGATGTTGTTGATATGGCCAATGGGACTCAACCTCAGCATCTGGAACAATTGTTTCTTCCCACCTCCTTTAAAGGCAACTGTCAGAGTCCAGACATGGCATCCTAGAGCCACAGAACCAATCTGTCCACCTAAACAGTACATCATCATCCCTGGGCGCAACCAGGAGTCTGCCTACATGTATTAGTCTGTTTTCACACTGCTATAAAGATGCTACCCGAGACTGGGTAATTTGTAAACAAAGGAAAGAGGTTTAATTGACTCACAGTTCCGCGTGGCTGGGGAGTGGCTCAGGAAACTTACAATTATGGCAGAAGGGGAAGCAAGCATGTCTTACATGGCGGCAGGAGAGAGCACATGTGAAGGAGGAACTGTCAAACACTCACAAAAACATCAGATCTCATGAGAATTCCCTCACTATCACGAGAATAGCATGGGGGAAACGACCCCATGATTCAATTACCTCCCACTAGGTCCCTCCCTCGACACATGGGGATTATGGGGAATACAATTCAAAATGAGATTTGTGTGGGGACACAGGGCTGAACCATATGACTACACTCTAAGTGGGAGTGTGAGGCAGGCTGTGCTGCTGTGCCTTAAAGAACTGTGTGGTCACTGAACTTTGGATCCTACACTCCATCAGTAACCATTTTACACATACATATATATAGTAGATTATAAGTATCAGTTACTGTACAGTATTTTATAAGCAATACAAAACATCCATTAAAATAAAGATTGGGAGGAATGAAATATAAAATGAATATAGAGAGAAGTTCTCTGGAAGTTCTATTTTCTTCCCACATTTCTTCGTATCATCCTGCACACTCCTCTTTGGAGAACACTGTCTTAATGTAAGAAGCTGGGCCTTCTCTAAACCACCTCTTGGCACTTCCAGCAAGCTTTTCATCATCCAACCCCAACCCATCTCCCCAGCTGTCCCTGCTGGTGCTCTCCACCCATACTCCACTATCCACCATGACAGCATACACACCATTTCCTGCATGCACAATGTACTCTGCATTTTTTTGTTCATGTCATTCCTTCATCCCAAATGCCTCTCCCTCTTTCTCCAGCTATCAAAATTTTCAGCTTGCAAGACCCAGTTCAAATTCTATCTCTACCCTGTAATTAACCTAGATCCCTTCTCAAATAGAATGAATCACTTTCTTCCATAATATTAACTAAAATTATATTTTCTAATCTTCCCAATATCCCTGCAAAGTATTATTGAGTATTTGACAGATCAGAAAAGGCTCTTTTCTAGTCAGAAAGACTATAGAAGGCTCTTTTTCTAGTCAGAAAGACTATAAATGGCTCTTTTCTAGTCAGAAAGACTATACTCTCAGGAATCATTTCTATAGTTTTTTACTAGAGAAATTTCTCTGAACGTGTAGAGCACTGGAAACCGTGAGGAGAAGCTGCCTTCTCTTCTGAGCATGAAGTGAGCTCTCAGTGTTGCTTCTCTGCAACTGCCATTTGCCATTGATGATCGTTCTTCTCTTCCTCTGGGAGAGTAAAAGGGTACAGGATGCAGTCTGAGTAATTACTGCTTTAAAAAAGAAAAAGAAAAGTCTCTTGGATATTGTGTAATTAACCCATACCCCTAGTGACTGACAGGAGCAGAATTTGAACTCATAACACCCCGGTGGCTATGTTCTTTCCAGTGCACTAAGGTTTCCTTCATGCCTTGGCTTCCCATGACAGAAACTGCACTCTATATATATTCTCTTATGACATCTTCAAGTAGCCCTGTGAATACATATTATCATCTCTAGATTGGAGCTGAAAAAACAAAGCCTTGGAAAGGTGAGGTAGCTTGCCTAACGTCACTTAGTTAGCAAACAGCAGGGATGGTTCCAACCCAGGTTAGTCTGACTGTAGATCCCATATTCTTTCTGTTTTGCCATGCAAGTGGGTCTATTCTTCTCATTACTTGTTACTTTCACCTCACTTTAGCTTTTAGTCATTTTGCCTTGGCTTAAATAGCAACTTTAATACCTCTTTCCTTCAATGCTCTGTGAGGTAACTGAGGACAAGAAAATATGTTTCACTCAAGTCTCTGGTGGCCAGAAACTACATATCAAAAGTATGTTTATAAATGTGAAGTTGAACCCTATAGGAAGAATGATTGCAAAGAAATCTCAATTCACTGTGCTGTCTCTGTCTCTAGAGTTTTTGTACCTATTGGCTTGCCAACACTGCATTCAAAGAATATGGAAAGGAAACTGAAAACGGTGGAAGAGACCACCACCTCTTGCTATCTCCTAAAAGATCATTTTTAATAAACTGCAGCCTACCCTTGAAAACTGTCTATCATAAGCAGAGTGCTGGCAACATCTCCTGAAAGATGATAGAGGTCCAGGTGGCCATCCAGATGCTGGAACATGCCTGAGGACGTGGGGGGATGTTTAAAATAATTGATAATTTTGAAAACAGAAAACAGTTTATTATACAAGGATATAAAGAATAAAATATTTTGTATAGCTGTACAGTGTGTTTGTATTTTGAGCTAAGTATTATTACAAAAGGGTCAAAAAGTTAAGAAAATTTAGAAGTTCATAAAGTTAAAAAGTTATAGCAACCTAAGGTTAATTTATTATTGAAGAAAGAAAAATATTTTTATAAAGTTAGTGTAGCTCAAGGGCACAGTGTTTATAAAGTATACAGTAATGTAGAGTAATGTCCTGGGCCTTCTGAGAATGTATCCCATCACTAAGTGACATGATTGTAGTAAACTCCTTGCAGATGTTGACTAAGTCAAAGATTTTGAGATGAGAAAATTCTCCTGGGTTATCTGGATGGGGCTAAATGCCATCATATGTATCCTGGTAAGGGAGAGGCAGAGGGATATCTGACACAGAAGAGAAGGCAATGTAACCACAGGGACCAAGACTGGAGGAATGTGGCCACAAGCCAAGGAAAGCTGGGAGCCACCAGGAGCTGGAAGAGGCAAGGAACCTACGCTCTTCTAGGGCCTTTGGAGGGAGTGTGGCCCTGCTGACTCTGGTTTCAGCCCAGTGATACTGATTTCAGATTTCTGATTTGTGGTAATTTGTTAGAGCAGCCATCAGGAATTAATATACTAGTAAGAGCTTTAGTGCAAGGGGATAGAAGCGAATGACACACATGACAAGTAATAACTTAGGTACAGTACTCAGCACCTCTCCAGTCTTAAGCATGCTCAAAACCTTGGCTACCGCATTCCAGGGAAACCAGGCTATCCCCCACCACCAAAAACCCATGCTTCTTTGGACATTCTATCAGTTCAGATGGAGGATGATTATTTCTAAGATGACCACTCCACCATCCACCAAAGTCCTGCAAAAAATAACTCTCTGTGGCTTTCCAGTTAGTTAAACCCACCACGATCATGGGCTTCTCTTTATTATTAAATATAAGTTCTAATGGATGCTATCCTCACCTTCATTCTCATCCCTGTACCTCCTTGGATTTTATCTCCTTAGGCCTGAACTCCCACTGGTCCCAAACCTTCCACCAGGCCATTTGGGAATGCTACCCAATTTAAAGCACCTTGCTATATCCTCAATATTTTCCCCATGCCTTTACTGCTCTCACTCCATCTGGGTTTTGCCTATCACATTGAGAACCCCAAGCCATTCATCCCGTCTACTGATCAGTCCTTTCTCTCTTCACTTCCTTGCCCACACGGTCCAGATCCTACAGCTCATTAGTTCAGCCGCTCCTTTGCCAATATCTTCAAATCCCTTACTCCATCTGTCCTCCTGTTGCACCTGCCTGGCAAAATCCCACACCCAAACCAATGCAAACATCTGGCCTTCCTCATCTCTACCTGGGCTTCTGGCATTCCTCATCTCTACCTAAGCTTCTGAGCAGTGGCGAAGAAAATCAAAATATCCATCAAAACTCTAGCTAATCATGGTCTCTGGCCTCACCTGGATCCTTAAGACAGTGTTCGCATTTTTCTAGTTAGCTTTCTCGACAGTGGCTGTATCAAACCTTCTCCACTCTTACCAAAGCCCCTATGACTTCTTTACCCTCTCAGCCTTGTGCATTTATTTATCCATTCATTGTTTCTTTCAACAAATACTGGCTGGGTGTCAACCATGTGTCAGATGCTGCACTAAGCATAAGGACAACACAGTGAAAAGACAGATATGGCCGCTGCTCTAACAGGACTTAACAAGCTACCGGAAAACACTCTCTCAGAAGACCACCTTTCTGAGAGAGGAGACACAGAAGCTATCTGAGGATTATTTCCACCTTCCTGTGTCCAGACTCACATCGTTGCACCTTCCTTCTATCCTCCTTTTTTGTACAAAGAGAATCATGTTTCTCCTGTCAACAACCAGTCCCTTGGCCGATGCTCCAAGGTCCCTTGCGTCCCCACTCCTTGAACTCCTTGTTCTCTAAGTTATCCCTCTATCTTGAATTGCCGCCCTTTCTTTCTCTTTCTAATGTCTTTTCACCACCAGTGTTTAAAAGGTCTTAGGTCTTTTCCATCTAAAAAAATATATAATTACTCTCCCAAGCTGCTGTCTTATTTTTCTCCTATTCACAGGCAAACTCGTTTAAAGAGTTGTCTGCGCCCCTAGTCTCTGCTTCTTGCTTCCCAGTCCCCCACACACCCACTATAATTTGGCATATGCTCCACTCCCAGGCCCCGTCTTTCTTGACGTCTGTATAGGATTTGACACCGTTGATTACTCCCCCCTTTTTGAAACACTACTCCTTTAGTTTCCATAACACTACACTCTTCTGGTTTGTCTTCTGTCTCTCTGTGATAAGCAGAATTCTAAATATGTCCTCTCAAAATTCCCATCTCCCAATTATTCAATTAAACACTAATCTAGTTTTTGCTGTGAGGAGACTTTACAGATGGAGTTCTGGTTACTAATCAGCTGACCTTTAAATAGGGAGAGTGACCTGGATTATTCAAGTGGGACCAATGTAACCACATCTGCCCTGAAAAGCAGAAGAGGAAGGCAGAAGAGTCAGTCAGAGAGATGTGGCAATAGAGAGTCAAAATGTGAAAAGGACTGTGCTGTCACTGCCGGCTTTGAAGGGAGCCATGAGCCAGGGAGTGTGAGTAGCCTCTAGAAGCTGAGGACATCTTCCATTCAGCAAGGAATTTTACCAATAACCTGAGAGAGCCTGGAAATGGATGCTCCCCGCTGGGGCTTCCAGCCAGGACTGCAGCTCTGCTAACTCTTTGATTTCAGCCTGGTGAAACTCTAAGCTAAGAACAAACTAAAAACCAGCTGAGTCATGCTGTGCCCAGACTCCTGACCTACAGAACTGAGATAATAAATGGATATTATTTTTAAATGATGAATTTGTGTTCATTTGTTATGGCCACTATCAAAACTAATACATTTTCTATCTGCTCCCTCTCTGCCTCTTTGGGGACCTGTCTTCCTCTATCTGTCCCTTAAACATCATTTTCTGTTCTACTCATTCTCGTGAGTAGTATTATTAGCTCTATGCTTCCATTTCTATCTATATGCTACTAAATCCATAAGCCATAACTCTTTGTCAGATATCTTTGCTGAGTTCCAAACCAATAAATCCAGCTGTCTGATAGATATTTCCATCCATATGACTCAGACGCACCTAAAACTCAACATATCCAAACTTGAACTCGTTATCTACCCCTATAGCTGCTCTTACTCCTGAGACCTCTATGGCATAATAGTTATCCAGCTGCCAAAGTCTAAACCGGAGCCTCATCCTGGCTTCTTCCTCTTCTTTGATGCTAAATCAAATCCCCACATGCTATCTATTCCAACTCCAATTTCCTCTAATCCTTCTACTTCCCTCAGTTTTTGCAGCACAAGTCACCATCATCTCTCATCCATGCTACTGCAAAAGCTCCTTACTGGTCTCCTTCTCTCCAGTGGTACATCCTCCAGTTCATTCTCCCAGCTGCAGTCAAAATATCACTCCTGAGATAAAAATCACTCTCCTTGAGGGAAATAGAAGAGTAATATGTCTAAAGACCAAGTTACCATTCTGAAGAATGAAGTCAAGAAAATCATCCATAACTAGGGCAAAAAGATAAAAAAAAAATGAAGGAAAAAGTAAGAGACGTGGAGGATTACTTCATGAGGCCCAATATCATCTATGATTTCTTAAATGTGGGACTGGGAAGTAATTTTTAACATAAGAAAATATTCCAAAGTTCTAGAAAGGAATTTCCAAGTGCCCTAGACTATTAATTAAAAAAAGACCCATGCTCAGGCATATCCTAATAAAATTTCTCATCGGATGCCTGAACACCAGGGAGAAATATATTGAATCTACTAATATAAAACAATTTTAAATCTAGAATCCCATTTTCATCCAAACTAACTGACTAATAGAGGTCAAAAAGAAAGTATTTTCAAATATACATAAAGACCACCTCTCTAAATGAATTGTCTATGATGTAAACTGTGCCAGTATTTTAATTAACCTCATACAATTCTAGAAAGTTGTCACCTCTGACAGATATGATTAAAGCAAAACAAAAAATGTCATTCTACCATGACTTGTAAGTAAAGAAACCAGGATCACTTACAGTTAAATCCAAATAAGTTGGTGCATGTTTTGCAGCTGACCAGATTTTAGAATTTTGCTATCTCAGGGATAGATTATACTTTGATTCTTTGAAGCACAATGGGATGAATTTCAGAACACCAAGAGACAGGCTGATCAAAGGATTTCACCACCCTTTATTCACTATCATATGCAATGTTTAAATAATATTTAGACATTGCCCATATTGATTTCAGCTCTCTGCCCAAACATTGGAAACACCAATTATGTAAACAGTCCCAGAATCCAGAGCTAGGGTTGCTTGCATAGTGCTTAAGGGTAGAGTATACAAAGAACGCCAGGAACCTGATGCCAAGCCCTACAGGGAACTTTCAGGTTATAATTCCAGCAAGCCGATTATAGACCTGTGGCTAAATTTACTTAAAACCACCACCCAGGGCGAAATCCATTGTGAACACCAGCCATGGCAAAATCCCATTACAACTTCCTTCTGATACAAAGGCACATAATAAAAGAGCAAGCAATCAAGAGTCCCAACCAAAAGACCTCAAGTGGGGCCTCACAAATATTTTTTCTCCATTTCCCAGATCTTGCAAGATAGGGCTGTAGAGCCCTTGGGCATGCTGCTGAAAAACACTGGTTACCATTAGCAACCACTGTTTATTCCAGGATTTTGTTTTATTATTGGCTATAAGGATAGTTACACCAAAACCTTTCTATGCTACATCAGTGACACAGTGGAAGCTATTTTAATATTATAAACTCATGTGATATTTCAGTTTAACTCTAATTTTATCTTTTCTTTTCTGATTTTATGTAATCATTTACTGATTCATTTTTTTCCAAGAGGCCAGCTTTTCTCCTGTTTTCTGTATAACTGTTCCTAACAATTTTAATACACTCCTACTATATGTTGTCACCAGGTGTTTAAATTACAGTATTCTTCAAAACTTTAAAAATCTTAATTTTTCCACAAAAAAAAATTAACAAATTCACTAAGGCAGAAATAAAACACATTAAAAACTCACAACTAGAGAAGGGTACCTCTGAGGTAGGCTGAATAATGGACCCATAAGTTGTCCACATCCTAGTCACCACAACCTGTGAAGATGTCACTTTATATGGCTAGAAGAACTTTGCAGATGTAATTAAGTTAATGATCTTGTGATGGGGAGAATACGCTGCATTATCTAGGTAGGATGAACGATGAAATCACAAGTATTCTTATAAGAGGAAAGCAGAAGAAAATACTACTATGGAAGAAAGGGCAACGTGGTGACAGAAGCAGAGATTGGAACGGCATGCTTTGAAGGTGAAGAAAGGGTCCACAAGCCAAGGAATCGGGCAGCCACAAGAAGGGGAAAAAGGCAAAGAAATAGTCTCCTCTCAGAGCCTTCAAAATAAACTAGACTTGCCAATACTTTGACTTTAGCCCAGTGAGAACTGATTCCATACTTATGACCTTTGGAACTATAGGAGAAAAAAACTGTATTGTTTTACATCACTGAATTTGTGGTAATTTATTACAGTTTCAGTAGGAAACTAATATAACCACCCACAAAAAAAACCTAATTTATTTGGGAATTCAAAAACACTTTTCAAAAAAACTAGTTAATTAAAAGAGTAATTACAAACTATTTAGAAAGGAAAGGGTGTGTACTACATATTGGAGGTTAAGGGATTTGGCTACTGCAGTAAGAAAAAAAAAAAAGTAGAGAGAGGATTCTGGGAAGACAGCAGAGTAGGAAGCACCAGTAATATGTCCCCCTATCTAGACAAAAATTGCACTGGCAGGATCTGTCTGATTTAACTATTTTCAAACACTGGAGTCCATTAAGTTTTGCAACTTCCAGGGGAAGTTTTGAATAGTAAACTGCATTAATTTTGATCAATTTCAGCTCTTAGCCCAGCAGCAGCTACCCGTCCCTCACCCCTCAGCCCCATGGCAGGTGGTTGTGCATGCGTTCCTAGAGCAATCTGCACACAGCTTGCAGGAGCCAAAGTGAGCAAAAAACATTCTGTCCTCCAGATATCAGAGATCTGTGCTCTGTGCTTTGATTGCTAATTTCTACTTCTGACCAAAGAGGTGCAAAAAAGTGTTGGCAAGCTTTTCCTCTTCTGCCTGAAAAGATGTCCAAGGGATTTATTTATTTATTTGGAGATGGAGTCTCATTCTGTCACCCAGGCTGGAGTGCAGTGGCATGATCTCAGCTCACTGCAACCTCTGCCTCCTGGGTTCAAGCGATTCTCCTGCCTCAGCCTCCCAAATAACTGGGATTGCAGGCACAACAGGTGCCACCACGCCCAGCTAATTTTTTTTTTTTTTTGTATTTTTAGTAGAGATGGGATTTCACTAATGTTGGCCAGTCTGGTCTCAAACTCCTGACCTTGTGATCACCCTGCCTCGGCCTCCCAAAGTGCTAGGATTAGGGCATGAGCCACTGCACCTGACCCCAAGGGATTTAAAGTGAACTTTCCACCCTTTTTTTTTTTTCCCTTTTGGGAGCCAGATATTAGACACTAGAATATTTAAAAATAACTGCATATGCAGGGAGAATTAGAAAGTGACCAAACATGCCCAGAGAAAGGCACAGGCTCAGAAAAGGCTTGAGAAGATGTTGAGTTTACACTTCAGGCTGATCCTTGGCACAGAGACAACCCACAACAATCAAATCCAAAACAATTAAAAATAACAAAAACCAGCAAACCCTCGGAGAAGGGGAGAATTTTATTTCCAAAGTTACCACATTATTAGATTTAAGTGTCTAATTTTTAACAAAAATTCACAAAACCCAAAGGAAGAGCAAAGAAAGGCCCATTCAAAGGAATAAAAAAAATAAATCAACAGAACTGCCCCTGAACAAGATCTGATGGCAGCTCTTCTCATCAAAGACTTTAAAACCACTCTTTTAAAGATGTCCAAAGAACTAAAGGAAAATGTGAAGAAAGTCAAGAAAATGATGTATGAACAAAATGGAAATATCAATAAAGAGAAAAACCTAAAGTGAAACCAAAAAGAAATGCTGGTGCTGAAAAATACAATAACTGAAATGAAGAATTTACTAGAGGGATTTCAAGTCAGATTTGAATAGGCAGGAGAAAGAATCCACAAAAACTTGAAGATAGGACAATAGACATTATTGAGTCTGAGGAGCCGAAAGAAAAAAGATTAAAAGAAAGTGAACAGAATATAAGAGACCTCTGGGATACCATCAAGTGGACCAACATATGCACTGTGGGAGTCTCAGCAGAAGAGAAAGACATAAGGACACAGAGAATGTTTGAATAGATAATGGTTGAAAACTTTGAAAATTTGATAAAAGACATGAACATAAACATCCAAGAAGCTCAATAGACTCCAAGTAAAATGAACTCAGAGACCAACACCAAGGCATGATCCAACTTTCAAAAGACAAAAAGAGAGCAGCAGGAGAGCTCCTGAGAGCAGCACCTAGTCACATACAAGAAATCCTCAGTAAGATTATCAGCCAATTTCTCATTAGAAATTTTGGAGGATGAAAGGTAATGGGCTAATATATTCAAAGTGCTAAAAGTAAAAAAAAAAAAAAAAAAAAGAAAAAGAAAAAAGAAAAGCCAACCAAAAATTCTATATCAGGCACAAATGTTCTTCAAAAACAAGGGAGAAATTAACACATTCCCAGATAAACAGAAGTTATGGGACTTTATTACCACTATGACTTCCCTAAAAGAAAATCATGAGGGAGTCCTGCAAGGTGAAATAAAAGGACAGTAGACAGTAACTTGAAGCCATATGAAAAAATGAAGATCTTAATAAAGGTAAAAAAAAATGGACAATTATAAAAGCTAGTATTTTGTAATAACAGTTTTTATTTTCTACAGAAGTGTAACTACACCTTTTGTTTTCTACCTGATTTATGACTAATACATTTTCTAAAAGATTAGTCTTAAAGCCAGTATAATCATAACTTTGATTTGTAACTTCACATTTTGCTTTCTCCATAATTTAAGAGACTAATAGTTTATTTCTTGGGGGCACACAATGTATAAAGATATAATTTTGTGACATCAACAAATGAAAGGACTGTAAAGTAAAGGAGCAAAGTCTTCGTATGTTATTGAAGTTAAGCTGGTATAAGTTCAAATTACAGTGTTATAACTTTTTTTTTTCTTTGAGATAGAGTCTCACTCTGTTACCCAGGCTGGAGTGCAATGACACGATCTCAGCTCACTACAGCCTCTACCTCCCAGTTCAAACAATTCTTGTGCCTTAGCCTCCCAAGTAGTTGGGACCACCAGCATGTGCCACCGCACCTGGATAATTTTTGTTTTTTTAGTAGAGATGGTGTTTTGCCATGTTGGCCAGGCTGGTCTCAAACTCCTGACCTCAAGTGATCTGCCCTTGTTGCCCTCCCAAAGTGCTGGGACTACAGACCCAGCCAAGAGTGTTATAACTTTATAATGTTAAAAGTAATACCCGTGTTAACCACAAAATAGTTACAGAATATACACAAAAAGAAATGAGAGAAAAATTTAAATATTTTAACTACAAAAAACTGACTAAACACAAAAGACAACAAGGAAGAATATAAGGGATTAAAAAGCTATAAGACATATAGAAAACAAACAGTAAAATGACAAAGGTGTCTCCTTATCAATAATTACGTTAAATGTAAGTGGGACTGAGCGCGTTGCCTCAAGCCTGTAATCCTACGATTTTGGGATGCCAAGGTGGGCAGATCACTTGAGGTCAGGGGTTCAAGACCAGCCTGGCCAATGTGATGAAACCTCGTCTCTACTAAAAATACAAAAAAAATTAGCCAGGAGTGGTGGTGCATGCCTGTAATCCCAGCTACTTGGGAGGCTGAGGCAGGGGAATTGCTTGAACCCAGGGGGCAGAGGTTTCAGTGAGCTGAGATTGTGCCACTGCACTCCTGCCTGGGTGACAGAATGAGTGAGACTTTAACTCCATTTCAAGAAAAAAAAAAAGTAAATGGATTACATTTTCCAATCAAAGGACAGAGATTGCAGAATAGATAAAAACATATGGCCCAGCTATATGCCATCTACGAAAGACTCACATTAAATCTAAAGACACAGGTTGAAAGTAAAACGATGGAAAAAGATATTCAATGCACATAGTAACCAAAAGAGAGCATGGGTGGCTATACTAATATCAGACATAATATATTTAAGCCAAAAAAGTTTATAAGAGATAAAGAAAAACATTATATATTAATAAAAGAATATATTATATATAATAATTATAAACAATAATATGTAATAATTTTAAACATTTACACATACAACACACCATCAAAATACACAAAGCAAAAACTAATGGAAATTAAGGGAGAAATCAATAGTTGTTTAAAAATAGTTGAAATCTCAATACTCCCCTCTCAATGGATAGAACAACCAGACAGAAGATTAGTAAGTAAATAGAGGACTTACACAACACAGTAAACCAACTACATCTAACAAGCATGTACGGAACACTTTACCCAAGAACAACAGGACAACAGGATACATATTCTCCTCAAGTGCACATAGGACTTTTTAAGGATAAACTATACGTTAGGCCACAAATTAAGTCTCAATAAATTTTAAAAGGTAGAGATCATACAAAGTTTCTTTTTTTACCACAATGGATGGAGTTAGAAATCAATAACAATTAAAACTGGAAAATTTGCAAAATTGTGCAAATTAAACATCACACTCTTAAACAACTAATGAATCAAAGAAGAAGTCATGTAGGAAATTAGAAAATATTTAGAGATGAAAGAAAACAAAAATATAACACACCAAAACTTATAGGATATGGGGAAAGCAAGCCGTGCTCAGGGAAAACTCAAACAAATCAGCAAGAAAAAAAAAATCCTATTAAAAAGTCGGCTAAGCCCAGGGCCAGCCCCATCATCATGGTATTGGTAGCCTCACCCCATCCATGTCATCCACGTCACATCAGGATGTGCAATCTTCCTTGTCCTCTGTTAGTGGAATTTGCCTGGGAAAACCTCCACTGAATACTGAAATTGTTGCATGCCCATGGATTTCTTACAACAAATGGGGAACGTGGTGTTTCCCACCTCTTGTGGGTAGAAACAAACTGCAGTCTGCCTTGAGGAGGCAAGAAGGCAAAGCCAGGGCAGAGCCTTGCTGCAGGAAGCATTCAGTGAGAAAGCAGGTTTAGATGCTTAGGAGGGCTGAGGGAGAAGATTCGACCAGCACTATCTTTGCTTCAAGTCTTAGGATGTCTGAACTTTCTGCTTTATGTTTTCAACTATCTTTTTTTTTAATGGCATAACCTACATCTTGCTTTTAAAAGAAGTAGCCTCAAATTAAACTTCTTAAACTCTGATGCTCTGGGGCTAAGAACAACAAGTTTGGATCTCGTGCCGTGTAATCTGATGTTTCATTCTGCTGCCTCCATCACAGAACAGAATCGCTTTCCAGAAAGGCAGTTACTGGAAACAGCAGAGGCTCCCAGCAGTGGGAGGGCTGCTCAACAATGCCTCCTCCCCCAACACCCTTTTTTTCCTCTGAGGGGCCCAAGGGTTATGGCTTTCATGTCTAAGTGTGGGGACAGAGGAGGGAGAGGCAGAGCCTGGGCCCAGAGAGGACAGCCTGGTCTGAATCTGGAATAATTAATGCCACCCAAAGAAAAGGTCCTGCTACGTCCACTGTTGTCTTAGATCTAACGATGCTGCTATATACAAAACACTGATCATCCAAAAGCTTGAATCTGTTCCTCCTTGAATGACCCTGTAGATGCTTGACCTCCACCATACCTCCACATCATTATTTATGTCTTTGTAGGAAAATGTGCACGTGCTCCATGCACTATGGGGAAGGGTGTGTTTTTAAATTAATAAAGTGTGTTACCATCAGCCATATAAAAAAAAAAAGTGGGCTAAGGACATGAACAGACAATTCTCAAAAGAAGATACACAAATGGCCAACAAGCATATGGAAAAATGCTCAACATCACTAATTATCAGGGAAATGCAAATCAAAACTACAATGCAATGCCACCTCACTCCTTCAAGAATGGTCATAATCAAAAAATCAAAAAATAATAGATGTTGGTGTGGATGTGGTGAAAAGGGAACACTTTTACATTCTTGGTGGAAATGTAAACTAGTACAACCACTATGGAAAACTGTGGAGATTCCTTAAAGAACTTAAAAGTAGATCTACCATTTGATTCAGCAATCCCACTACTGGGTATCCACCCAGAGGAAAATAAGTCATTATACAAAAAAGATATTTGCACACGCATGTTTATAGCCACACAATTTGCAATTGCAAAAATATGGAACCAGCCCAAATGCCCATCAATCAATGAGTGGATAAAGCAAATGTGAGATATATATATATATATACATGCACACACACAATGGGATACTACTCAGCCATAAAAAGGAATGAAATAATGGCATTTGTAGCAACCTGGTTGGAATTGGAGACCATTATTCTAAGTGAAGTAACTCAGGAATGGAAAACCAAACATCATATGTTCTCATTCATATGTGGGAGCTAAGCTATGAGGATGCAAAGGCATAAGAATAATACATTGGACTTTGGGAACTCAGGGAAAATAGTGGGGGGAGCAAGGGTTAAACAACTACACATTGGGTACAGTTTACACTACTGGGGTGATGGGTACACCAAAACCTCAGGAGTCACCACTAAAGAACTTATTCATATAATCAAACACCGCCTGTTCCCCAAAAACCTATTGAAATTTAAAAAAAAAAAATTCCCAAAAATAGAAAAGCGCTAGACCTTCTGGCTTCACAGGTGAATTCTATCAAATATTTGTAGAGAATTATTACCAATCCTTCTCAAACTTTTCAAAAAAGTTGTCGAGGAAACAACACTTTCTAACTCACTCTATGAGGTCAGCATTACCCTGATACCAAAGCCAAACAAAGACATCGCAAGAAAAAAAAACTACAGGTCAATATCCTTGATGAACCCAGATACAAAAATCCTCAACAAAATACTAGCAAACCAAATCTGCCAGCACATTAAAAGAATAATACACCATCACCAAGTAGGATTTATTCCTGGAATTTGAGAATGGTTCAACATACAAAAATCAATCAATGTAACACATCACATTAACAGAATGAAAAAATTTACATAATCACCTCAATTGATACTGAAAAGGCATTAGATAAAATTCAACACCTTCTATAATAAAAACAATTAGCAAACTAGGAAAAGAAGTAAACTACCTCACTAATAAAACCATTTATGAAAAACTCACAAGGAAGATTATAATTAACAGTGAAAGACTGAAAGCTTTTTCTTTAAGATGAAGAACAAGGCAACAATGCCCACTTTCACCACTTCTGTTCGACTTAGAACCAGAAGTTCTAGGCAGAGCAATTAGTCTACTAAAAGAAATAAAAGACAACCAAATTATAAAGGAAGAAGTAGAATTAGCTCTGTTCACATATGATTTGATCTTATGTAGAAAGCCCTAAATATTTCACATGCAAAAACTGTGGTAACTAATAAATTAATTTAGCAAAGTAACAGGATGCAAAGCCAACACACACAAATTAGTTGCATCTCTGTATACTAACAATGAACAATCTGAGAGGAAATTTAAAAAATAATTTTATTTACAATAGCATCAAAAAGAATAAAATGCTTAGGAATTAACTTGACCAAGGAAATGAAAGACTTGTACAATGAAAATTATAAAAAATTGCTAAAGAAATTTTAAAAGACATAAGTAAATGAAAACACATGTCATGTTCATGGATTGGAAGACTTAATATTGTTAAGATGTCAATACTACTCAAAGCAATCTACAAATTCAATACAATCCCTATTAAAATTCCAGTGATGTCTTCAACTGGAATAGAAAAACCCATCCTAATATTCATATGGAGTCTCAACCCTGAATAGCCAAAACAATCTTGAAAAGGAATAACAAGGCTGGACGGCTCACATTTCCCAATTTCAAAACTTACTACAAAGCCACAGTTATCAAAACACTGCGATACTGGCATAAAGACAGACATATAGATGAATAGAATAAAATAGAGCCCAGTAATAAGCCCTCCTGAATATAGGGTACCAAGGGTGTCAAGACCATTCAATGGTTAAAGGACAATTTTTTCAACAAATGGTGCTGGGAAAATTGCATATCCACATGCAAAAGAATGAAGTTAGACCCTTACCTAACACCATATACAAAAATTAGCTTAAAATGGATCAAAGACCTAAATGTAAAATCTAAAACAATAAAACTCTTAGAAGAAAACATAGGACAAAAGCTTCATGACAGATCTGGCAATGATTTATTGGACATGATATCAAAGGCACAAGCAACAAAAGAAAAAAATAAATTGAACTTCATGAAAATTTTTAAAATGTATACATCATAATGCCTTTTAAAATATGAGAAATACTTTGTACAACTTCACATTAATAAATGTGAAAGTTCACATGAATTGTATGCTTTTCTATGAATGTGTATGACTTATGAAGAGGAAGGAAAAACTTAATGAACCCATAATCACTTAATAAATTGTTTAGATTGTCAGAGAGTTATCCTGAAAATTATAGTAAGCTCAGATAATTTTAATGGCAAGTTCTGCTAAGCACACAAGCTCTGTGTTATTTAAAATAATACAGAGCATAGCAGGGTGGAGTAGGTGAGCTGTTCATCTCATTATGTGAGGCTGGCATACCCTTGACACCAAGATGGAAAAAAATAATAAAGAAAGAAAACTACGAACCTCACTTAGGAAAATAAATACAAAAGTCATACAATAACAGCAAATAGAATATGGTAGTAAATTTTTTAAATATACATCATGATAGATTGAGTTTATGCTGTTTGCTGCATTTCCCTTTTTCCCACTGTAACATTCTTTAAAGATGGACTTTGTCTTATTCATCAAGTATCTATCAAAAGTAGTGCCTTGCTTGCATATAGCAGGTGATAGCTAAAAGAATGGGGTAGATCTACATGTGCTGAAAAGGAAACAATTTCTAAGATATATGATCATGGGGGAAAATATATTGCAGAAAATACAGTATAACTCAATGTGTGCAAAATATTGATTACATATATGGGCCTGTGTTCTATAAATATATGAAAGGAAACTGCCTGGAAAGATCCATTAAATAGTAAGTAATGATTACCTTTGAGGGGAAGCAATTTATCTGATTACTGAGACATGAAAATGAGAAAGGAACATGTGTGGCTCATGCTGGGCTCTTTTTTGCTGTCAAGTTTAGATCAAGCTATCTGCAGGACACATTTGTTCTTCCCTCCTCCAGGCAACAAGCACCAGGATAGACTCTACTTTGCACAGGGCACAGGGCCATGAGCCTGCCAGTGCCCAGCTGCTCCATTCCCGCCTGGATGGACAAGTTCAACTCAAGATGGGGAAGAAGCATCTTGCCTATTTTGGCCTTAGGTCCAAATAGCATTTTCTAATCCCATTTTGTCAGAGATAAATTTCATATTTTGATTTCAATCTAACTTCTGTGTCTTTTTCTCAGTAAGTTCAGCAATTCAACCAGAGATGGATATGAATAATTGGCCACTTCAAAACTCCAACAATGAAAATGTATTTATATATTAACTTGGAGAGTCTGCACCCATAGTGTGATTTCAAAATACAGAAAATCAAAGTTATTAGTATTGAAAAGAAGCAATTTGTCTTAGATTCCATTCAGTTCAACACAGAGATATTAATTACCTGCTATACTGCAAGCAAAGCACTGCTTTTGATAGATACTTGGTGAATAAGACAAAGCCCAACCTTAAAGGACATTACAGTGGGGAAAGATGGAATGAAGCAAACAACAAATTCTACACAGAGCAGAAGAAAAACAAATGCTCAAATAGAGGGAAAATCAAAGCTCTGGGGGAACAAAGAGATTGGTCACTCAATTCTACTTTAGGAGAATCTGCTCAGACATCACAAAAGAGAAGGCATTTGAGATCACTAGAAGGATGAGTAAAATTGTAATGGTGAAACAAGGGCAGAGAGAATAGTGGAAGCAAAAGCACAAAGCAAAATTCTACACATTCTGAGTTTGTAGAACTCTGAATTGCATGCCGCAGTTGGGACACATTAGAATGGAAGAGGGCCAGAGAGGAAGAGAAAATGGGAAAAGGGGAATGTAGTTATATGAAGGAAGCTGATGAACATTGGGCTCAAGAATTTAACGTTGTGCTGTAGGCAGTGAGAAACCATTGTGGATTTTTGTGTATGGCATGACATGATAAGATCTGTGCTCTAGAAAAATAATTTTGGTGTGAAGAATGGATTGGAGAAAAAAAGAGAGAGCATCCAGTTAGGAATTTACTGCAATACTGGTCCCTGGAAGTGACACTAAGGGTCTGAGCTGCAAGCATTCACATCATTAAACATAAAGGAAAGTAAGAGCAAAGGCAGAGTTCATGAAACATGTTAGATGTGGTGAAAGAGAACTGTTTCAGGCTCCAGCAAGAGACTTTGAAGGGAAGGAAGGAAGAGAGCCCTCTCCAGGTGTAGGCTGGCCACCCAAGAGCAGGAGGCAGTGCCAGGAACCCAGCAGCCAACAGGAAACCCAGTTTCTGGAACAGGCTGAAAAGATGTCACCACAGAGCAAAGTGAAAACTCAGGGAAGTTGCAAAGTGGTCCTGGATCCCAGGAGCGGAATAGATCCTGCTTTTAATTCTTTTCCTTTTTAAACAGAGGGACTCTGGTGCTGTGGCCCCGGGATGGGGTTTCTCATCTCTCCCCCAAGGCCTCAATTGGTCAGTCAGGCTCCTGCTTCCGAGACAGGGGACATGCACATGTCCTGAAGCAGGGGCACAGTGGGGTTTGGGGGTGTGCCTCTCCTCCTGAGCCACATCAGTGCAAGGGGGAGGACCAAGGCCAGCCACACTGGGATAATCGGGGACCAGATAGACACAAAAAACCTGGTTTGTTCCTCCCCGATGTTTCTTCAGTTTCATTGTTCTTAAGTCTGGAGGAAGCAAGCTTCATTTAATTATCTCCAAGATCTCTAGAATGTGCATGCCAAAATCCTTTCTATTTTAAACCCTTCCCGGTTGAGTCTTCTTTGATCCCTAAAAACAACTTTAATTATACAAAGATCTCAATCAACTTGATTAATTTTTAATGTGCATAGAAGACTACAACAAACTTTATTTCCATCGAGCAAAAATACTTTTCAGAAGCCTAAACAGCCTGCCGCTACCTTTGCAATTCACCACCATCATTTTATAACCACTAACTCTGGGGACCCCCCCAACACCAAGATTTTAAAAGTAAGTGCCTGTTTTCTATTTCTTGCCACACCAAGATTCACTCCATAATCCCCCACAACCTGGCCCTCTGGCGGATGAGCAGGGAGCTGGCCAGAGCACAGCTGGGGAGCTTGGCTCCATATGCCTCACCCTGGCAGCTGGGGATGGTGTGGGCTGCTAGGGAAGCTTGTGTCATAATAGCCTCAGTGTCTGAGGAGAACACGCCAGGCAGCAGAGGGCTGAACAAAGGGTCACTTGTATGAGCTGGACCGGGTCTGCTGCTGTTACTGTGACCTGGCTCCCCCAACCATCAGATCCTCCAGCTCTTATTCCATCCCCTTCTCTTTTCTCCCTGGGACTGCTTTAGTGTTGCTCCAGAAATGAGTGCCTCTTCCAAACCCCTGTGGTTCTTAGTGTCAGGGCTGCTTGATCATATCCAGGGCCACCAAGAACAGCAACAACAGAAGCAATGTAAATGTAACAGCTCCTATTGACCGAGTGCTTGCTGTGTATGTGCCACACATGTGTCTTCTCAAGTTATCCTCCCCACAACCCCCAAGGTAAATTTCCCTAGTGTTCACATACTATAGATGAGGAAACTGAGGCTTAGAGAGATCCATTAGCTGGTGCAACATTGCACAGCTGGAAAGTAGTGACTTGAGTCCAGGACTGCCGACTCCAGCCCTGGACCTCGTAATTGCCACTCTACACATCTGAGTTTGTGGAGCTGTGTGTTTCTCCATTTACATTCTCCATGCCACTCACCAAGTCTCAGAGAGGAAAGGGGAAAACATAAGCTACCCTACTATAGGTGCTGAAATTCCATGAACTTTGGGCAGGGTGAGAATTTTGGAAAGACATACAATAGACTGCCTCAATGAGCCAGAGACTAAAATTAGTAGGATAGGGTTAGGATAATAGAAAGACTCCAACAAGATAAAATTTAACAAGGAAAGAGTCCTACCCTGGACTCCACATGGGTAAATCCAGATGCCTGGCAGAACATCATGTGAGAAACATGAAAGGGTTTAGACAACACTGGTACTTGAAACATTACTAATAATTATAATAATTATAATTCTAATACCAGCACTGTGCTATGTGCTTTTGTTGAATTAATAACTTGATTCCCACTTAAAACAAATATATAACATTATAATGGTAGGGTCTTTAGTAGTCCTCATTTACAGAGGAGGAAGCTGAGACTCCAAAAGCTCTTAAAATGATTTCCCGCAGTCCCTCATCAGTAAATACTGGAGCCAAGATTAGAACCCATGCAGTCAGATTTAAAATTCTGCTCTGGCACCCTCTGAGCTGTACACAGGTCCACTCAATAACCTGGTGCCATTGTAGACTGCATGCACTGCAGTTTCTAGAATGAGGCAAGTGCATTCCACACTTCCCTGTGCCACACCAAGCCACAGATAGGGTATCGCCACATCCAACCCGGGAAGCCATGCTTTAAATAAAGATGATCAAGTCTGAAGCATTCAGGACAGCAAAGGAACCTGAACTACATCCCATAAGGAAAGTTAAAGGAATTGGCCATACTTCCTTGAAGAAGACACTTCTTCAGATTCTTTCAGTATACTGGGAGGACTTGCTGGTGCAAAGGGACTGTATTTATTTTAGATGGCCTTAGGGGTGGAGCTAGGACCAGAGGTTGGAAGTAGCAAGGAGACAGCCTTCTGCTCAGCAGTCTAGCATCACTGGCAAATGCGGGAGGGACAGAGATGGCCCTTCACTGGCTTTCACAAGCCAGGCCACCACATGGCAGAATGTTGTCACGGGGGCTCCAAGCAGCAGAATGTAGCTGGCAAGATGACAGTAGCAGACCATGTGTGCAATGATTCTCCCATCTCTGGGGATGCTCTGTCCAACACCTCTCAACTCACAGAGACACCCCGCCTGTAACTGTTACCAAACAAAGGGGCTCCTGCTAGAAGCCAATACTAAGACACCAGGTTTCTGAGAAAAGAAAAGCTTTTTGTTGTAAGTCAGTTCCCAAGAAGACAGGAGTCCAGCTCAAATCTATCTCCCTGTGCTGGATTTAAAGCAGTAATTTTATTAGAAAAGGCATAGGGAATGGATCCCGGGATTAGCAATTGATTGGTGGAAGGAAAGGGGGTCTGGGAAGTCCTCAGTCATGCAGTTATCTCCTCATGCTGCCTCATGGGCCCCATGTGTAAATTTGGAAGGAGCTAGTATGAAGCACATGGTGGAAATTCAGACTGTGACATCAGCAAGCTCCTTCTGTGCAGACTGCACTTAGCCATATTGGTTCCAATCAATTTAAGCCAATTTTTTTTAACTTTAAGTTTGGGGTACATGTGTAGGATGTACAGGTTTGTTACATAGGTAAACATGTGCCATGGTGGTTTGCTGCACCTATCAACCCATTACCTAGGTTTTAAGCCCAGCATGCATTAGCTATTTTTCCTGATGTTCTCCCTCCCCCCAGCTCTGCACCCCCCAACAGGCCCCAGTGTGTTGTTCCCCTCCCTGTGTCCCTGTGTTCTCATTGTTCAGTTCCCACTTATAAGTGAGAACATGCAGTGTTTGGTTTTCTGTTCCTGTGTTAATTTGCTGAGGATAATGGCCTCCAGCTCCATCCATGTCCCTGCAAAGGACATGATCTCATTTATTTTTATGGCTGCACAGTATTCCATGGTGTATATGTACCACATGTGCCTTATCCAGCCTATCATTAATGGGCATTTGGGTTGATTCCATGTCTTTGCTATTATGAATAGTGCTGCAATGAATATACACATGCAGGTATCTTTATAATAGAATTATTTATATTCCTTTGGGTATATACCCAGTAATGGGATTGCTGGGTCAAATGGTATTTCTGGTTCTAGGTCTTTCAGGAATCACCACACTATCTTCCACAATGGTTGAACTAATTTACACTCCCACCAACAGAATAAAAGTGTTCCTATTTCTGTGCAGCCTCACCAACCTCTATTGTTTCTTTATTAAGCCCATTTTTTTAACCTCACAAGTGGAGGGAGTTTCAGAGTTTCAGCAAGTTGTTTATTTTCTTATATGCTCTCCTGTAAACCCAAGAACAGAGTCATTGGCTTTTTAACTCTTTGGGGCATGGTTTTAAAACCATTCTGTATTGTCCAAACCCTCTCTCATCCCTCATTCCTGCCCCAGCCACAGATGATCAAACGGGGGCAGATGCCTGATCCAAACAAAGCCATCAGATACTTCACCCTGGGAATTGAGGCCTGGGAATGGATAGGAGTGGGCAACTCCAAGTGGCTGACCCCATAGCATGTCAATTTGAGGGCTTTATGATAGCTATGTTCTGCCAAGTAGCCACAGGAGCAAAGGAATCAGTCTGCAGAACAAAAAGGACACAAAATAAGAACCTTCCAATTCCTTGGACTGGGCCCTATCTGGGGGTGGCTCTTCTGCCCCTGAGCAGAGGAAGATACCCTTGTATCATTTTTTAAATATTCCCTAGGGAAATTTTGACACCTGTAATTAGAAGAATCTTGATTACGATAGCAGCTGGCCGGTAAGGTCCCATCACTCAGAGGGTGTGTGACTGACGACGGCATATTCCAGTGCAGCCCTTTGAAGTCGGTTCTTGAAAGACAGTACGTATATTGAAATAAGATCCTGAAATATTAATCTTGAAGCTTCCTCTTTCTTCCCTCACTTGCCAACTGTGCAGGAGAAGAAGTCCCTGAGTGGAGCAGAACTTGCAGTCTGTGCCACAACAAGATTAGAGTGCACCCCTTTCCCTAATTGGTCATGGGCATCTACAGGTCCTCGAGCCACAGGGACACTGAAAAAAGGTAACAGGTAATAGTCAGACTCTTTTTACCTCCAAACTAGACTTTTGGAAATCCAAAGAGAAAGCCCTGAGTGGAAGGGAACATAGAGTTTATGACGGAATCAAGACTAGAAAGAAAATGGAGGGAGAGGGAGCAACTGAGCAGCCCTCCCTGGAAGATGAAACAAAGGGCACCAGGATGGGTGAGGGCACTAGCATGGTGGGGCCATGACCTTGGGGGTTCTGTCGACAAGAAGACTAGACATGGCATGGAGTGCAGAAATTACTCTCAGAGAGGGAAGTCTGTGTGGAGAGGCATCTTAGCCCCTCCTAATGAGTCAGTCTAGTGCCTGTGGATCATCCCAACCCTTGGAGGGAGCAGCTCCCTTGCAGAGGCTGCGCTGCAGGGTCTTTGACAGCAGCCTGCACATCTCCCAGCTCATCTGGCTGCCTGGGCTACAGGACTTTGCCAAGCCCCCATCAGAGCTTCCTCTTGTGGACCCCTCCCTTATCAATGGCCCAAAATGCTCTAATGTCCCTGAAATAGAAGGTGATGGCCTTCACCCTGGAGGAGCCACGGTGGTGTGAAAGCAATGAAGGCATGAAGCCTTCATTGAAGTTGATTTCCTTGGGTCACATCAGTATTGTCCTCAGTTTCTGTCATTCTTGGCACCTCCTAAAGTGCAGCCCTTATCACCCCAGGTGCTCTCCTCTCACCATCACATGTGCTCTCTACTACTCCACCTTTTCTTCCCCTCCTTTTGAACCTGCCCTCTCTTATCAACAGAATTCACCCCTCCACAGGATGCCTCAGCAAGGCCCAGACCTCCAACACACACCAATTCCCCATTCATCTTCTCAAATAAGTGTGGCTCTTCTCCCCTTAGCCCAGAACATCCCCAGGCCAGGAGGGACACAGTATTCCCCATGTTGCTTCTAACCTTTTTCATCTGTACTTTCCCCCTTCACTCACCTGTCACTTTCTCCTCAGTCACTTACTCTGGCATCTGGTGCAGCATCTTCATTCTCCATCCACAGCCTGTCCATCTCTCCTAGTGATCTCAGCTTCCTGAAACAATACTTCTGAGTTCCAAGCCTCACATTCCTCAGTTACCTCAATTTCAACTACCTCCACCTCTGAGCACAGCCTGACTCTACCCATAGTCGATTCTCTTCTTTTTTTTTTTTTTTTTCTTGAGACTGAGTCTCACTCTTGTCACCCAGGCTGGAGTGCAGTGGTGTGATCTCAGCTAACTGCAACCTCCACCTCCTGGGTTCAAGTGATTCTCCTGTCTCAGCCTCCCAAGCAGCTGGGATTACAGGCACGCATCCCCATGCTGGGCTAATTTTTGTACTTTTAGTAGAGACGGGGTTTCGCCATGTTGGCCAGGCTGATCTCAAACTCCTGACCTCAGGTAATCCACCCGCCTCGGCTTCCCAAAATGTTGGGATTACAGGCATGAGCCACTGCCCCTGGCCAATTATCTTCTATCTTAAACCCCAGCATTTACAATCTGAAAGTCTTTCCTGCAAATATTTTTAACTCCATCCTTAACCTCCTTGTACCTCAGTTCTGCTGCACCCCCTTTCTTTTTTCTGTCAATGAATAAAGACTTTCCCTGGTCTTGTTTCTCCCCTCTCTCCACTGAGCCCCCTTAAACAGTAACATTTTGTGCACTTGCAACACTCATATCCCCTGTCCTTCCACCTCCCCCAGCCTACAAACTCAACCCTGGATCAACCCAACAATCTGCCTTCTACCCCCTCTGATACTAAAACAACTTGGGGCAGCTGCAGAATATCTCACAACCTCTCTGGCTGGGGCTGTTATCAAAATGCCAGGGTTTTGGTCTAGGTCCCATAGCTCCTCACACAGAATGCCAATCACTGAGACAATGAGTATTGCCAGAGAAGAAGGCTTTAATTGGGTGCGGCAGCCAAGGAGAATGAGAGAGAAGTCTCAAATCTATCTTCCTGACTGGCTAAAATTGAGGGCTTATATAGTGGGAGAGGTGGGAAAACAGAAACTAGGGAGAGATACAGAAGCAATTATGATGGATGAGGGGTCTTGTGGCTCATTTTCTTGATGCCATGAGCTGGTGAGTTTCAGTCGCTTGCCTGAGGGTCGGTTTCCTGAGGAAAGAACTCAGATGAGACAAATGTAAGTTTCAGGTTTTAAGATGGGAGGGTCAACTTCTCTGTGTATTCAAAAAACCCATGAATATCAGTTCTATGGAACAACTGGGCCAGTTCCAGGGTTACTACAATGTGTAGTTCTCAGCTAGCCCTTTGGCACTGCCATCAATCCTTTGATTTATTTTAGATTAACTCCCTTTCTTCAGTAAATACACCCAACTTTGCAATTACCCTACTAGTCTGAGTCAGTGATGTGCCATTATTGGCTTCCTCCCACTGATGTCCAATATCAGTAGGTGCCCCCATAAGATGGGGGTGGGGGTGGGTGAAGTTTAAAGTACTAACCCTCTAGTAATCACCTGTCTGGTTTCCATGGCAATCAGTCCTTTTTAGGAGCCTGCCAGGCCCCCAAGCATGGAAATAAAGGAAAATTTTGAGTTCCTTCAAGGGAAATTCCAGGCATCTAGCTACCCTTCAGAAGACTACAGCATAGTACAAATTATATATATATTTGGTCCCTACACCCAGCCTGCTGCTCATTTTCTGGACACAGCTCCTGAAACTCTTAAAATCTCCCAAGCGATGTTGTCTTTTGTATGCTAATGTGGTGACTGGTGGCTGGGATCCTGGATGCCTCAGGATGGGGACTGGTTGCCATGGAAACTAGAGAGGTGAGTACCAGAGGGTTAGTACTTTAAACTTCACCCACCCCCACCCCCACCCCCTACTCACCTCTAGGGAGAGGAGAGTCTGGGAGTTGAGTTAATCATTAATGGCCAATGAAGTCTTCATAAAAACTCAATGAATAAAGTTGCAAGAGCTTCTAGGTTGATGAAGACATCCACATGCTTGGAGGGCTACTCACCCCAACACTACCAGGACAGAAGCTTCTATGTGCAGGACCCTCCCAGACTTCACCTTATGTGCCTCTTCATCTGTATCCTTTATCAAATGCCCTATGTACCTTTTCATCTGTCACCTTTACCAATTTCTTTCTTCACCTCTATTCCTCTGCATCCTTTATCAAATCCTTTATAACACACCGGTAAATGGTAATGTTTCCCTTAGCTCTGTGAACCATTACAGCAGATCATCCAGCCCAAGGAGGGTGTTGTGGGAACCCCTGATTTATAACCAGTCAGAAGAGAAGATGACAACTTGTACTTGCAATTAGCATCTGTGTTGGACTGTTCTTGCATTGCTATAAAGAAATACCTGAGACTGGGTAATTTATAAGAAAAGAGGTTTCCTTTGCTCATGGTTCTGCAAGCTGTACAGGAAACACAGTGCTGGATTGTGCTTCTGGGGATGCCTCAGGAAGCTTTTACTCGTGGAATAAGGGGAAACAGGAGCAGGCAGCTCACATGGTAAAAGCAGGAACAAGAGCGAGTCAGTGGGAATGTGGTGGGGGAAAATACCACACACTTTTAAATTGCCAGAAATCATAAGAACTCACTCACTATCATGAAGACAGCACCAAGCCACGAGAAATCTGCCCCCATGATCTAAACACCTCACACTAGGCCCCACTTCCAGAATTGGAAATTACAATTCAATATGAGATTGGGCAGGGACAAATATCCAAACTATATCATTATGTTCCTGGCCCCTCCCAAATTTCATGTCCTGCTCATATTGCAAAATACAATCATGCCCCCCCAACAGTCCCCTAAATTCTTAACTCATTCCAACATTAACTCAAAAGTCCAAAGTCTCATCTGAGACAAGGCAAATCTCTTCCAACTATGATCCTATAACGTCAAAACATGTTAGTTACTTCCAAGAAACAATGTGGGTATTGAAGTAGTGTCATTGTCTGTGGTAAATACCCAGGGTTCATTGTCTCATGCCAAGATTAAGGACACGGACACACATGACGAGTGAGTTTAGGAGCAGAGGTTGAATAGGCAAAAGAAAGAGAAAGGAGAACAGCTTTCTCTCTTATGAGAGTGAGGGGTGCCCAGAAGGGAAATCCAGCCCATGGAAGAGCACACTGGATTTTATAGACAGGCTTGAGGAGATGGTGTTTGATTTACATAGGGCCCACAGATTGATTGGACCAGGTGAGATGTCTACATAATGCATGAGGACGGCTGGCCACCCCATTCTAATCTTACGCAAATGGGCTTTCTACTTGCCCAGCGCCATGTTGTCTGCTCCTTACTGTACACGTGGCTGGCAAAGAGAAGAGAACATGGAGCCATCATTTTGACAATGCCTAGGCCCAGGTAGCCTTTTCCTATTGGCACAACTGCCAGCATTCACCAGTGCAAGCTTCTAGCTTGCTTGTCTATGTTTGCAGCTTAATTTTACAGGATGCTCTTTGTTAGAAAAGAAAATGATTTGGGGGCTGCTTTTTATTAAAAGGAAAACCTTACTGAGGACTTTGTTACTCTATCTGCTTAAATGACTTCTTCTTAACTCCTATATCAGTATAGGCATTGGGTAAACATTGCCATTTCAAAAGGGAGAAATTAGCCAAAAGAAAGAGGCTACAGGCCCCATGCAAGTCTGAAACCCAACAGAGCAGTCATTAATTCTTAAAGCTCCAAAATAATCTCATTTGACTCCGTATCCTGCATCCAGAGCACACAGGTGCAAGGGGTGGACTCCCAAGGCCTTGGACAGCTCCACCTCTCTGACTTTATGGGGTTCAGCCTCTACAGCTGCTCTCACAGGTTGTTGAGTGCCTGAGGTTTTTCCAAATGCAGGGTGCAAGCTGCTGGTTGATCTATCATTCTGGAGTCTAGAGCGCGGTTGCCCCCTTCCCACAGCTCCATGAGGCAGTGCCCCACTGAGAACTCTGTGTAGGGGCTCCAACCTCATATTTCCCCTTTATACTGCTCTATTAGAGGTTTTCTGTGGGGCTTCTGCCCCTGCAGCAGGCTTCTGCCTGAGCACCTAGGCCTTCTCATACATCCTCTGAAATCTAGGTGGAGGCTGCTAAGCATTCTTCACTCTTGCATTCTGTGCACCTACAGGCTTAACACTACACGGAAGCTGCCAAGGCTTATGACTTTCATTCTTCAAAATGGCAGCCCAAACTATACCTGAGCCCCTTTGAGCCACAGCTGGAGATGGAGGAAGTATCCCAAGGGTGTGCAGGGCAGCAGCCTGGGCCTGGCCTACAAAACAATTCTGTTCTCTTAGGCCTCCAGGCCTATGATGGGAGGGGCTGCCACAAAGGTCCCCAAAATGTTTATGAGGCCTTTTCCCCATGTCTTGGATATTAGCACTTGGCTCCTTTTTAATTATGCAAATATGTCTGGCAAGTGGTTGCCTCACAACCTGTTTGAATTCCTTTCTTGAAAACACTTTTTCTTTTTTCTGCCACATGGCCAGGCTGCAAATTTTCCAAACTTTTATGCTCTGCTTCCTTTTTAAATATAAATTCCAACTTTAAGTTATTTGTTTGCTCCCACATCTGAGTATAGGCTATTAGAAGCAACCAGGCAACATCTTGAATGCTTTGCTGCTTAGAAATTTATTCTGCCAGATACCCCTATGTCATCACTCTCAAATTCAATCTTCCATAGATCCCCAGGGCATGAACAGAATGCAGCTAAGCTCTTTGCACAGGACCTTTGCTCCAGTTCCCAATAAGTTCCTCATTTCCATCTGAGACTTTGGCAGCTGGGACTTTACTGTCCATATCAGCAGTTTGGTAACAACCATTTAACCAGTCTATAAGAAGTTTTAAACTTTCCCTCATCTTTCTGTCTTCTTCCAAGGCCTCCAAACTCTTCCAATCCCTGCCCATTACCCAGTTTCAAAGTTGCTTTTACATTTTCAAGTACCTTTATAGTAATACCCCACTTCTGGCACCAATTTTCTGTGTTAGGCCATTCTCACATAGCTATAAAGAAATACCCGAGACTAGGTAATTTATAAGAAAAGGGATTTAATTGGCTCATGGTTCTACAGTCTGCATAGGCTGGCATCTGCTTCTGAGGAGGCCTCAGGAAGCTTTTATGGATGGTGAAAAGGGAAGCAGGAGCAGGCACATCACATGGTGAAAGCAGGAGCCAAAAAAAGTTGGGGAGAAGGGGAAGTGCCACAAACTTTTAAATGAATAGATCTTGCAAGAACTCACTATCACAAAGAGCAAGTCATGAGGGATTCACTCCCATGATCCAAACACCTCCCACCAGGCCCCACCTCCAGCATTAGGGATTAAAATTCTGTATGAGATGTGGGTGGGGACAAATATCCAAACTATATCAACATCTGAAGTGGGGGGCAGTCTTGTGGGACTGAGCTCTTAACTTGTGGGATCTGACACTAACTCCAGGTAGATAGTATCAGAATTGAATTAAATTGTAGGACACCCAACTGGTGTCAGAGAATTGGTCAGGGTGAGAAACCAGACCCACACCACCACATCTGGTGTCAGAAGTGAAGTATTGAGGGTAATATTGAATATAGAGAAAGAGAGTTTGCTTTTCCTTTATGCAGACCAAGTTCAAAAAGACCCTCCAATGATTCCCCCTGCTACTCATGAAGAAGTGCTGGTTGACATTCTCTGGTTTGACCCAAGCAAGCTCTTTGATAAAATGGTACTACCCCAACTCCTGGATATTGATGTGCAGTCTCTGAACACAGATTTCTACAGCAGTGGGTAGACTCCGGGGATAGGCCTGATGGGACTTATAGTGTTTCTGAGTAACCTAATGCTAGGAAGCACCATTCATCCACAGAGGCCACTTTTGGATAGAGACTGCAATGACCCTAAGAAACTCCTTCAATTTCTATAGTCTACCTGGGCACAACTTCCCTTGATAATATTTTAAAGCTGATTTTCAATTACTGCATATCACACTTCAAACACTATTCTAAGTGTTAGTACATGTATAGTATATAGTAATTCATTTAATCCTCACAATAATCCCCTGAGCCCAATACTATTATCATCCCCACTTTACAAATGAAAAAACTGAGCCAGAAAAAGGTTAAGTAACCTGCACAAAGCTGGTAAGTGATACAGCCAAGATTCAAACCCAGCAATTATGCCCCAAAGCTCATACATTTGACCACTTCCCTTTACTGTTGCTGAGGTCAAGTGAGTGGCAATCAGGATCACTGGGTTTCTTAAGATCAGCTCAGCTCAAACTTCCATTCACATCCTGGGAAAACACCAGTGCCCTGCTAAAGGTTCTTGAGATGTCTCGAGGGGTCAAGGGTCTCATGGTCACCTCTGGCACCAATTGTGTAACTCCACTAAATGTCTCATGATTCCCATTCTTAACTCCACATCTCATGCATATTAATTTATCTCTACCCTGGCATTGACCCAATGGGGAAATTCTGTCTCTTCCCTTAATTGAGTGTTTTTCAAACTGCAGGTCCCACCCATGGTGGATCATATAATCAATGTAGGAGGTTGAACTAGAATTTTTTTTAATTAACTAGAAAACATAAAAGTTCACAGGGGGAATTGTGGCAATGTAAATGCTGACACAAATATTGTGGCCAACTGTTCCTTACATGTGAGAGAGACAGTGGTAGGTATATAATGAATATACACAGTGGCTAGGAATGGGTCATTTATTCTTTTGCTCAATGACATTTTATTCTGTTCCTCAGCTTATGATGGTCAATTTGACCATCACCATAATGGTAGAGTTAATTTGGTGCACTTTTATTTTCTATTATCATAAATTTGCACTTCCTCTGTCAGCAAAATTATAGAGGCTTTCAACTGAGTTTTGGTGACCAATTTGCAAGGTGGTTTTCAGAAAGGATACTTTCAAGCAGGACTTTTTTTAGTTTCACAACAATTGTTATCTTTTTTATTGAAACAGTGTAACTTGTCCTTCAACTGTCTTACTTTATTATTAGAAGACAAAAGATTGAAGAGGGGGAAAATCCAGAGGCATGTGTGCCAGTTCAACAGCTGAATCTGGAAGTTCAAAATTAATGATATTGAGCAAAATGTTCACTCTAATCAATAAACATGGACTTAATTGAGTTTTATTTTTAAAAAGTAAAAAGTCAATGTAAGCTTTTATAATGAAGATTATTTTAAAATGCATTTTATCTTATATGTAAACTTCTTTGAAAATGACAGAAACCAATGCATCTTTGGTAAGTATATATTTTCACTAAGTTCTTCAAGAATTTTCAAGTAGGGAAAAGAAAAGACATGAATTACTGACACAATTTCTCATTTAAGAGGTAGTTCAATATATTGGTTAAGTACCAAACTTTGAAGTTAGTTGCTTGGGTTTGGATTCCAGAACTTCCTTTTGCCCTCTTGGGCAAGTTACTCTCTATGGCTCAGTTAATATAAAACAAAAATAATGATGATAATTAGTTTATGGCATTGTAAAAAAAAAAAAAAATACAAGCAAAGCCCATGGAAAAGAGCTTGCAGACAGGGACTGCTATTCAGGGGTCTCCAAACCCCAGGCCATGTATTGATACTGGCCTGTGGCCTGTTAGGAACCAGGCCACACAGCATGAGGTGAGCGGCAGGCCAGCAAGCATTATCACCTGAGCTCCGCCTCCTGCCAGATCAGCGGTAGCATTAGATTCCCATAGGAGTGCAAACCCTATTGTGAACTGTGCATGCAAGGGATCTAGGCTGTGCATTCCTTATGTCTGGCAGAAGAAATTTCAAAAATCTAATGTCTGTAATGCCTGATGATCTGAGGTGGAACAGTTTCATCCCAAAACCATCCCCCTCAATCACAGCCTCCAGTCCATGGAAAAATTGTCTTCCATGAAATTGGCCCCTGGTGCCAAAAAGGTTGGGGACTTATGCTACCTATAATACTGTATATAGGTGTTTGCTGCTTGTAGTTTTAGTCACTTTACAGCAGCTAATAAGAAAGCCTTATTCTAATATGTAGTTGTATCTTGGGTGGTAAAAGAGAAAATGGAACACATGGTTCCTAAAATGTATTATTCTTTTAGTACATATGAATATATGGGTGTAATTTTAAATAATAAACCAGCAGATCAAATTAAATCTCTTCGTCTTAGTGAAAACACAATACCACTGTACAGAATGCACAGGCTAGTATAGATTTCAAAATCTGACTTAAGGGCACTAGTTTTCTAAGAGAAGCAATATTTTTATGTCAGATGTATGTGGTTAGATAATTCATGGAGAATTTGCTATATAATTTAAATTTATCTTATTTTATTTATTTATTTTTTTTTTGAGATGGAGTTTCACTCTTTTTGCCCAGGCTGGGGTGCGATGGCACGATCTTGGCTCACTGCAACCTCTGCCTCCCGAGTTCAAGCAGTTCTCCTGCCTCAGCCTCCTGAGTAGCTGGGATTACAGGCGTGCACCACCACACCCAGCTAATTTTTGTATTTTTATAGAAATGCGGTTTCTCCGTGTTGGTCAGGCTGTCTCAAACTGCCAACCACAAGTGATCCACCTGCCTTGGCCTCCCAAAGTGCTGGGATTACAGGCATGAGCCACTGCTCCCGGCCATAATTTAAATTTAATCTCACATAACTGAATTACATACAGTTACAAAATGAGAAGAGTGCATTATTGATCAATATGAATTAAACTAGAGCACTATTAAAAAGCATAGGAGAGTAAATACACCTGGAAAATTTGGTGGAGTTAAATGCTACTAATAACAGTGCATTTGGAATGTTTTATATGTCTTGATATGGGCGTCTAAAGATATTCTACCAAATCTCATGGACAAATAGAAAACTTCATTCTAGACTGTTAATTTTACTGAAGGAATCTCACTGAATAGCTAACTTTTTGGAATATTTTATTGAGAGACTAGAGTTAATCATATCTACTTACTATATCATCCCAAAGTTTACTGGTTGTTACAGGGAAAGTGTTGAACCTTGTATATGAATTCTGGAATGAGATTCATATTTTTCTAGTTAAGCTGCAATATCATTTTGCAATTGTTTCAAAAATGGTGTTTGTTAATAAAATTGGCATATTCAGCTGATATTTTCGGCATTCTTAATGAACTAAATCTGAAACCATAGAGAAAAATCAACAAGATACTCAACATAGGGATTTCAAAAGATTTATTTGCCTACTAAAACTTAAGTGATCACCCTATCTATTAAATGTTCCCAGTATTGTTACAACATATCAGAGAGAACATTACTAATGAACATCGCCCAATTGAAATAGAATTAGAGATATTGTTACAACTTCCTTCTGAACCAAATTTTTCATCTTTAACTTTCCAAAAGAGAAATTGAAACGTTAAAGAAAAATGCTTGGATTACAAATCCATTTGCTTTTCCAAAGCCTGATTCAATAATTAAGCTTCATTGGTGTTGTCCAAAGAACAGAACAAATCATTGCAGTTAAGTCATTCATGCTGAAGAACGATCACAGTGATCACAAGACTTACGTTTATGTCCATCATTTTTTATTAAGATTGAATAAGAATTTCTATAATTAACTAGAAAAAGTATATTGCTATTATCATTCACAGAAGCCCATTTAGGTTAACTAAATCTTCAACTATGACTGCATTAAAAACAAAGAAAAAATGTCATCAACAATTCACCAGATGTGCTAGCAACCTTGTGCACATATGTCTTAGAAAGGATGAAATTATGAACAGGCAAGCACAACTATCTCATCACATCATCTCTGTTTATTTGAAATCATATAGTTCTTATTTATTTGAACTATTTCTATGTTGCATTTAGGGATTAATAATACCATATTTAATATTTAACTTTATGTGTTTACTTTATCACACAAAATAAGGACAAGAATTGTTTTGCGGACGTGTGTGTGTGTGTGTGTGTGTGTGTGTGTGTACAGGTGCGCGTATACTCATTTTGGGTTTAATGAAAATTCATCCCAACAAGATTACCTGAATCAGTCCTCTCAACCTTACTCTAAATCACTCATGAAAACAAGGATGTTGCCAACATCCAAACAGGACCAAGGTCTGCATAACAGAGGGCTTACATGGCCATACATGTAACTATCAACTTGAAGTTGCAATTTATGTTTTAAATTTTATTTATTTATTTATTTATTTATTGGAGAGAGGATCTTGGTCTGTTGTCCAGGCTAGAATGCAGTGGTGCGATCATGGCTCTCTGTGGCCTAAACCTCCTGGGCTCAAGCAATCATTCCACCTCAGCTTCCTAAAGTGCTGGGATTACAGGTGTGAGCCATCATGCCCAGCCAAAATTACAATTCAATTGTCCTTGTTCTTAAGTCATGTCAGCCATCATGGATCACTTTGAGACCTCAGCCTCCTGCTGTGTGCTGGCTCCTCTCTTCCTTTTTCTACCCCTTCCTCTCACTACCCCAAAACCCACCTCCCCAAGTCCCCCAAGAAATTCCAAGTTTGTTTCACTCTATTAAGCACAATATTTCAACTCTCCTCAGCCAGCTCCATGTCCACCTTCCAAAGCCACTTGAAGTGTCCACTAAATAAACTTAGGCCCATTTCCCTCTAGCAGACCTCTCCTCCTTTACATTCTCAGGCCCCAAACCTATCTACCCATCCTACCTTCCTGCACCCTTAGGATTCAGAAAGTCTCTCCTCAAACATAAATCTTCTTGAGACCACCTCTTCCAGTATTCTCAGGCCTTCCTGACTCATCTTTCTTGCTCCAGCCCCTGCCACAATTTCCTTTTGTAATTGTCAGTTTCTTGTGAAAAAAATCTGCCTACAGCCAGGACCACTCTGAGTGATCTCTTTCCTTCATCCACTGAGATCTGAAACTCTCCCTCATGTGGGAGTTGTTCCTTCCTCAGCCTCTCCCAAAATGGCTCTGCAAGTAACACTTCCTGAGCACTTAACTCTCCTGGGTACTATGCCGAGTGCTTTGCATAAATTATCCCCACAACAGCCCAGCTTGGCAGATTCAGTTAGTTCCTGCATTTTACTAGAGATACAACTGAGGTTTACAGAGAAAAGGTAATTTTCCCATTCATTCAGCGTTAAGTGGGGCAGCTGGGATTTGAAAATACTGTCACCCTGGTGTGACAGCCCAGGCTCACTACTCCATCCACCCCTCTCCTGTGTTAAAAATCACTTCTTGCACTCAAACCACACTCTAGTGAAATTAGAGCAAAGCAGGGAAAAAATAGAAAAAGACACCTGATCTTCTGAGAATTCCTGAACTACAGGAAGGAAGGGCTTTGTTTGCTCACTGCTTGATATGATTTGGATCTGTGTCCCCAACCAAATCTTATATCAATCTAATCCCCATTATTGAAGGTGGGGCCTGGTGGGAGGTGATTGAATCATGGGAACAGTTTCTCATGAATGGTTTAACACCATTCCGCTAGCCGCTGTTCTTGTGATAATGAGTTCTCATGAGATCTGGTTGTTTAAAAGTGTATAGCACCTCCCCACTCTCTCTTCCTCCTGTGCTGGCGGTGTGAAGATGCCTCGCTCCCGCTTCTACCATGATTGAAAGCTCCCTGAGGCCTCCCTAGAAGCATAAGCCACTCTGCTTCCGTAAGGCCTGCAGAACCATGAGCCACTTAAACCTCTTTTCTTTACAAATTACTCAGTCTCAGGTATTTCTTTATAGTATTGCAAGAGTGGACTAATATACTGCCGTATCCCCAGAACCCCGACCGCTGAACACAGAACAGATGAGGGGCTCAGAATTAATTGCAGGGTAAATAAATGAATGGAGTTTCAAATTCTATCTCTAACCATTAATTTTTTTTCTTTTCTTTTTTTTTTTTTTTAAACCGTGTCTCACTCTCGTTCTGTCACCCAGGCTGGAGTGCAGTGGTGCGATCTCGGCTCACTGCAAGCTCCCTTTCCCAGGTTCATGCCATTCTCCCGCCTCAGCCTCCCGAGTAGCTGGGACTACAGGCGCCCGCCACCACACCTGGCTAATTTTTTTGTATTTTTAGTAGAGATGGGGTTTCACCATGTTAGCCAGGATGGTCTCGATCTCCTGACCTTGTGATCCGGCCGCCTCGGCCTCCCAAAGTGCTGGGATTATAGGTGTGATCCACCACGCCCGGCCACCTCTAACCTTTAATTTCTTAGCAACAGGAGCAATAGTAAAGGTTTTCGTATGTAGCTCACCAAGCACATGCACATCCGTTACCTGATTCAAGCCTAACAACAGTCCCATGAGTTTAGAGTTACTGTCATCCCCCTTCAGTGAGTACCTACTATGTATGGAGTACCAGGACATAAGCCCAGTGGTATGAAGAAGCATAACCATGCTACCCATTCATTCATCCATTCAACAGGTATTTATTTATTGAGCACCTGATAAATTCCAAATACTGTTCTGGGTTCCAGGAATTGAACAATGAACATGAGGGCAATCTCTGCCCTCATGGAGTTTTAAGACTAGTGGAGAAGGCAGAAAAACAGATATGAAAATATATTTACAGTATAATGCAAAGGAAAAATACATGTTATTGAAAATAGTAAAGTAGGAGGGAAATGAGGGTTATTGCTCTATCTAGGGTGCTCATATTTGAGCAGAGCCCAGGATGATGTGTGCAGGAAGGAAAGCCAAGCACATGCCTGGATGGCAGGGGGAGGCAGCGGGAGAGTGGTGCACCGGCACAGGCAGGTGTGTACGAAGCTCCCCTAAAGAACAGCCAAGACAGGGATGGCCAGAGTTCAGCCTGATGGAGGGAAAGAGTTGTCAGGCTGCAGCCCTGTTCAATAGCCCACAAGATGACTCTGTGAAAACTTGAAAAAGATATTGCTTCCCCTAAACACCTTATTTCAACTGCCAGAAAATTGCCTGGCGTTGTGCCCCTGCCATTGTGCACAGCTAAAGAAGAGAAATTCAAGAAAGAACCCAGGCATAGTCCAGAAGAGAAGGATCCAGTGAATGAAACCGGGACAGAATGGGCAGGGTGGGAACCAGGGGAGTGTAGTATCCTACAAGCCAAGTGAAGGATGCCTCAAGAAGGAAGGAGATGGGTGGGATGCTACTCATCAGTTGAGATAAAAACTCAGAGATTTCCAATAGATGGTCATTGCAGACCTGGAGTTTAGGTGGAGTAGTGAGGACCCAAATCTGATGGAATGGATTAAAGAGAGAACAAAAAGTGAGGAAATTGAGGCAGCTACCAGAGACAACTCCCATAGTTTAGAATAATATTAGAAATAAAGGGGGGAAATGGGGCTGAGCAGGATGTGAGGTTAAAGATAAGTGGTACTGCAGAGTGTTTAAATTTCACTGGAATGACACAGTAGAGAGAGATAGGTGATGCAGAAGGAAGCAAGAAGAGCGGGAATAAAGTGCTGGAGTAGGCGAGAGCAGAAGGGATCCAGCATGCAGGGGGAAAGCCAGCCCTAGGTAGGAACAAGGACTTCTCATTCAAGCAACAGAAGTAGAGATGCAGGAAGGATCGTAGATCTTGTAGTTGAAGCCTACCAAAATTCTCTTTCAATTGCTTTCATTTTCTCAGTGACATAAGAAGCAAGTTTATGAGTGGAGCAGAGAGACCATTGCTGGTCTGAGGAAAGAGAAGACAGGAGTGAAATCACTCTTTGGGAAAGTGGGGATGGATTGACAAGGTGAGTGAAGCCCCTCTGCCAGGAAGGGCTGAGTGCCTACTTCAAGTCCAAGGTCAGGAGTTTAAAGTGAGGCCAATTGACAAGGGTGTGTGCTCTTCACAAGCCATAGGGAGCTTCTTGGGTGAAGGAGGAGAATAGTCCAAGTTGGATTTAACCAGGATTGAAGCTTTGCCAATAAGTACAAAGAAAGATGAGATGAACAAGGGAGGTGAGTGGCATGCAAGAAAATGTATGCAAGCCAGTTCATGAAATCTCAGCTGGATAACGGGGAAAGAGATTGACAGAGAAAAGGAATAAGGTGGATTGGCAGTCTCAGAGGCCCCAAAGAATTGCTGGAGTTGGGATACCAAAGGGAACAGGCTAGAATAGAAAGACAGGATGATCAGAGAGCACATGAAGTGAAGTGGAGACTTTGAGGTGGTGAGGGAATGGTTAATAAAAGTCTAGGGTATGGCCCTGGAATAAAAGACTGACATGGTCCAAGGATAAAATCCTTGCAACTGAGAGGCCAAGTGTTGGATGAATTATCTATGTGGATATTCAGAATACTGAAAATAATGACATAAGTGGCAGTGGAAAGACTGAAATCCAGGTGCTAAAATTCTCAATAAATGAGGGACATGCGGAGGAGGAGCGTAGGTGACACAAAAGGAGGGTGTGGGATATGGCGGAGCCCGGTGGCATGTGCTTCCGATGCACTGCAATTCTTTACAGTGGGTGCAACAAAGGTCTGGAAACAGCAGGGAGAATCAGGGATATCTCACCTGCCTCCAGGCTCTAGATGTGAAGACGGCAGGAGAGAAAAGAAAAGGAAGGAAGCACCACTTGAATGGGCTGCAAAAAGATGAAGAAAGTGTTCAGAAAACAATTTGAGACTAACAGGATTTTGCTGATGACCGTCTGGGAGCCCAGAAAGCTTAGTGCACAGGTTTGAGGACTGGGAAGAGTCAAAGCTTGAGTTAGAGAAGGGGCTGTAAAGGCAGCAAGAGAGGGAACAACATGGGTTGGCCTGAGATGCTGGGTCACTCACAGTGTCCAGGTGAATAGGCCATTCTTGGGTAGGGCACAATGGGAAATGAGACCTAGTGGGTGATTATTCCTAGATGCTGCCTCTTTAGGGACTGGCCTGGGAGTGCTGAGTGTTGAGAGAGAGGAATTGAACGTCTTTCCAGAAGCACTAATGGACACCAAAGCGTTTTGCACTAATGGACACCAAAGCGTTTTACTTCTGATCTAACTTGTTCAGGTTCCCTTATTCCTGATTTCTCTTTGCTGGCTGGGTCCTGATTTCCTGGCCCGATTAAGCCAGTGTGAGCTTCTGAGCATTCTGCTACTTGGATCAACATCCAAACCTGAGCTCATCTCTGCACTAGTGAACATGCCTCTGTAATTCCACCTACAATAAATAGGCTATGGAAGTAAATATTTGGGGACTGTTCTGGTTGCATTCTCTCTAACCTGGCCCAACACTAAGGGCTTTTCATAACATGAGCAGTAAATAAAACTAACTGAGCTTTATTTTCAGTGAAAACACTCAGACACCCCTTCCTGGTAGACAAACACATGGGAGAGAAAGCATGAAATGAGCGAATATAATGGCAGCCAGAGGCCATGGTATTAATTATCTTTTTATTCTCTTCTTGTAGAATATGACAATCCCAGATCATGTCTTTTCACACCTCTCTGTCCTTAAACAAGCTATTCTTGCCCCTTGGGTGTGCTTCTTTCCTTTGTCTACATGTAGAATTCCTACTCAGTCTTCAAGACCCAGTTCAAATGCTATCTCACCTTCAAATTCCTAGATCAGCCTCTCACTTCTCTAGCCAAGCTGCTTCACTGTATTTCCTCGTTAGTTTGTTATAATTTGCCCCATTGGGTCCAACTCATCTTGCAACACTCCAGCTCCTTCCTGGGGCTAAGAGTCACCTCATCCTTCACCTCTTCCACTCATCACCACTCTTTGCTCAATGGCTTATGTCTTCTTATCCTCCAGTTTTGCTTATAAATCATTTCTTCGAAGAGGCTGCCCTGACCCCTTTTTTAGGGGTAGGTCCTTCCTGTTATTTTTTCAGTGGACAAAAGGTCCACTGTTTGTGTCCTTCAGGCCCTGATCATAATTGACCACTGTTTCCGGCTCTCTCTTCCAGACAAACACATAGTCCAGCTGCAGCCATCTCCCGCTTCCCTCCCCATCTTCTGCGAATGCTTCTCCATTAAATCTAGCAATAGACAGCATCTAGAAATGAAGACAATCATTGCCATCCTATCTTATGTCACCCTAACTGCATTTTTTCTTAACATGGAACTGAGTTTTACCTGTTCTCTTTTCATCATCAACAAGCCCTGTGTTGCTGAAGATAACTTAGCATACAATGGAGACTGGGTGGGTGGAGGGAACCATGGCTTCCTACTTCAGCCAGAGCAGAGGCTGGAGAAGAAAGAGGTGCTTCTCCTCTCTCCCTCTCTGGGCCAGGACCACTGGTGCCAGCTCTGCTTGATCTGGGATCTCTTAAAGCCAAGATCTGAGATTTGTTTGGAGTCAGAGGACAGAGGAAGAGTTTCAATCAGAATTTAAATTCTCCCATTTGGAACTCTATGGAGAAACCAGAATGATCTTCTCAAAGGGAAAACCTGATCAGATCCCTCTCCTGCTTATAAATCCCTTCAAAGACATCCAATGCTCATAGGATGAAATCTAAACCTCTTGACAGACCTGTGAAGCTCTGAATGGTTTGAGTCTTGATCATCTCTATGGCATCGACATCAGCCTCCTGGGGTCTTTGAGGGCCCCATAATTAGCACCTTTTTTTCCCACTCAAGTTCTGACCAATGGAGAAATAGGACAAAGGGGTAAGCATCTTTGTCAGTGATAAAGGCAGGTCAGAGGAATGTAGCTTGAATCTGTGCACTGGTGTACCTCGCACTCAGAACCTCAGAATTAGGATGCCCAGGGGAAGATAGTGCTGATCCAAGGCAGGCCACCCTCTTATGGGCAGAGCCCTCCCTGGAGGACCAAAGGGATCTCAAGCTCCCTCCCTGAGAAGAAAAAAAGGCACTGAACTGCTTCTGTCCACTACAGACATCATTCCTACTACACTCCAAGGGAGGTGAGTCAGTAAGGGGTAGAAAGAGGCCAGGAATGCTCTAATGAAGTTACCTCCACATGAGAGAAAACTCAGGAGAGGGGAATAAGGACCCACTCACACAGCCCTCCCTCACTTCTTCACTCTGGCCACATTATCTCCTCTCAGCTCCTCAAACTCACCTCCTTCCACCATAGGGCCACTGAACATAGTGTCCCTCTGCTGGAATGTGCTTCCCTCCCCTTGGGCCCAGTTAACTTCTCCTGATCCCTCAGCTCTCAGCTGCAACATCATGTTCTTTGGAAAGACTTTCCAGCCCCACTCCATTCCCACCCAAGACCAGTCTCTCATGTCTCTCTCATTCGTAGGACTCGTCACGGTTGAAATCTTATAAGGTGTATATGATTGATTGAATAATGTATATCCTCCCTACTAGCCCATAAGCTTCATGAGGGCACAGCCTGGCACAGTTCTTGACACATAGTAGGCATTTCATACTCACTGAATGGAATGCATGAATGAATGAATAAATATATTTTGGAGAGAATTAACAACATACATGTGCACACACACACACAAGCCAGAGATTCCACAGACAGAACTACACATTTCTGCATGCAAGAATGGGACCAGAGAGACAGTTGCAGTCTTTCCCTGGGAAATAGCCTTGGAGGTGAATACTTGCCTACAGAAAGATTGTTGGGGAATGTTCTTAGGATCAACACCCCTGGGGAAGTGAAAGAAGCAGGACTCAGCATAGAGAGCAATTGAAAGTCATAAGAAAGGCCTTGGTGGAACCTATGCAAGCTCTAAAGCTGAACGGCCTTTCAGAGATTTTTTGAGCCAACTCAGGGGGCCTGGCCTTTGTAGCCCCACTGTACTGATGAGTCATTGGAAGTGGGCTTCCCTCGGGAAGGAGCTATGACCTTGAATGAGGTGTCTCTCTTATTCTGAGGACAATTCTCAGAGAAAGATTCAGCTGAGAGTTGTCAACACCCCCAGCAGCTGGGGAATGAGTGCCTCAGCCCTTGGAGAGGAAGGGGGGATCTGGGTGGTAGACAATAGCATCCATTACAAGCACCCATTTGTCACCTGCTTCCTGAGTCACACATGGGCATGGCCTCTGCTTAGAGATCTTATCATTAAATGTTAGGTCACTTATCCAAGATTTCCTTGAGCACCTTTTATATAGCAAGCACTGAGTTTTGTAATGTCTGAAAGAAAAATATAAATTTTCTAAGAGTGTCACTAAAAGGTTTAAGAAGGATATTAATAATAAGAGCTACCAGGTCAACACTTTTCATGTGCCAGGCACTATAGTAAGTACTTTGCAGGCTCATTGAATCCTTGCATCAGTCTGAGATTGATATTACTATCCCCATGTCTTAGTCCATTTTGTGCTTCTGCAACAGAATACTACAGACTGGGTAACTTACAATGAACTTTATTGAATCATGCTTCTGGAGGCTGGAAAATCCAAGACCAAAGGGCCAGCATCTGGTGAAAGCCTTCTTGCTATGTCATACCATGGCAAAAGGTGGAAGGGCGAGAGAGAGAGTAAAATGGGGCTAAACTCCCCCTTTTATAAAAGAACCCACTCTAACAATAATGGCATTAATCCATTCACTCTACCTTCATGGCCTAATCACCTCTCATTAGGCCCTACCTCCCATCACTGTTGCACTGGAGAGTAAGTTTCCAACACATGTTTTTGGGGAGATACATTCAAACCATAGCACCCCATTTTATGAATGCAGAAAATTAAGCTCAGAAAGGTTAGTGACTTGCCTGAGGCCATACAGCTCATGAGCAGCAAATCTCTGATTCCCAAGTCCTTGCCTTTAAACACTATCTTATGCTGCCCACATTTGAAGATAGCAACTTCCTGTCAGAATGCTTTGCATATACTTTTATGTCCACTGGGAATGCATCCTGCTGTAAGTAACAGGCATTCCAACTTACAGTGGCTCAAACAAGTCAAGATTTAACTTTCTCATATTATGAAATATCTGGGGGTAGCCTGCCACTGGTGTTGGTTCAGTGGATGGATTATGTTATGTCTAGCATCTCTGCAAACGTCTTGGCCTTTACCACATGTTTATTGCCTCATGGTTGCAAAATGGCAGTTGACCCTGTAGATACCACACCCATTTCAAGTCAAGAAGAATGGGAAAAAACTTACATTAGTGCTGGCCTTCCTTCTCTTTCCACCAAAAAAAAAAAAAAAAAAAAAAAAGAAAGATAAAAGCTTTCTAAGAAACCATATTACCTTCCTCTTACATCTCATTGGCAAGACTGTTCATATGATCACCTTCCTGCACAGGAAACCAGCAGACTAAGTATTTAGCTTTTTGAACCCCTATGGGGGTGGCAGGCAAGGGGTCTGGGTACGGGCACTAAATTGGCCAGTCAGTCACATCTACCACAACCGCCTAGATGATCAGTCTGCCTTGTAGTCATTGTCTGTGCATGTGTCTGTCTCCCTCACATATCAGGCAAAGGTAGAAATCCCTTCTTACTCATGTTTGCATCTCCAAAGTTCCTGGCACTTAGTAAGTGAGAGTTTAATAAGTAGATGTTCTACAGAATTAATGCTCCATTCCCCAGGTCCTGCTCCAATGCTGAACCTTAGGGAAGAAATTATAACATCTTCTGGATGGCACGCTACCCAGTCTGCAGCCCTGCTGGCCATGAAAAGAAGGCATATCTAGGATTGTCAACAGTGTGTAGGATTCCAGACTCATATTCAGGCTTCAGAGCATCCTCCATAAATCCTGGACAGAAGGTATGGACAGAAGGACAAAGGGTGTGAGAAATTAAAGGGGAGACTTAGAAATTTTAGTGCAGCCCAAGGGTCATTATTTAGCTTTGTTAATAGAAAGAACACAGGTATCTAAGTCAAGGGCCCTAATTTTAGTCCAATATTTTCTCATAAGTAAGTACAGCCTTAAGAAAGTTGCTTCACACACCTCTTTGCCCCAGTGTCCCCACCTGCAAAGTAATAACCATTCAACTATGAAGATAGTTTCTTAGAATTGGAATAAACATTCATCTCTCCTTCTAAGTTTTTATTTGCCATTTTTTACTTTTTAGTTTTTATGGGTATATAGTAGGTGTATATATGTATGGGGTATATGGATATTTTGATCAGAGTAAATGAGGTAATCCATCACCTCAGGCAGTTAATCCTTTGTGTTACCAGCAATCCAATTATACTCTTTTAGTTATTTTTAAATGTACAATTATAAATTATTGGCTTTTGTAGTAGATTTCATATAGCTAGTAAAAAATACCTTTTATTATTGACTATAGTCACCCTGTGTGCTATCCAAACCTAGATATTATTTATTCTTTCTAACTATATTTTTTGTACCCATTAACCATCCCCTCTTCCATCCCATCCCCACCCCACTGCCCTTCTCAGCCTCTGGTAGTCATCATTCTACCCTCTATCTCCATGAGTTCAATTGTTTTAATTTTTAGCTCCACAAATACAGGAGAACATATGAAATTTGTCTTCCTGTGCCTGGCTTATTTCACTTAACATCATGACCTCCAGTTCCATCCATGTTGTGGCAAATGACAGGACTTCTCTCCTTTTTAGCCATTAGAAAATTGGGGCACAGAGGGGGAAAGTGACTGACACAGATTTTCTAGTTAGAATCACATGGAGTTGTCTAAATGAGCATTTACACAGATACAAGAAATATGATGGCAACCAACATAATCACAAACTCTGCCACACTTTTCTATTGGGTGGCTTGCTGCTGACCTGAAAGGGGCTCAAAATACCTCCAGGCTGAGGTACCACTGGCATCCTCACTCAATCAGGCTCAAGGGTGACATTTTCTAGTATCCAACCAGCCAGGTTATATTGAGCCACATGTGTCCTGAAAGAACCTTCTCATTCCTACATACATCAACAACAGCAGACAGGCCAGCCACGCTGGTGTCAAAGCTTGTCTGCAAGCAATCACTGAGCCTTTTAATTAGTCCTGGTGAAAGTCTGGGCTCTTTGCAGCTGCACTGCTTCCTGCACCCCTGAGGTCTCAATCAGTGGTGCCCAACTCCAACGTCACAGCAATTGAGAGAGCATCATCCACTGAGAAAACACAAGGGTCAAAAAGTACTCTGAATCCAACAATGCTTCTAAATAAATTTGTGTTTTACTCATTAAAACAAGCTCTACATATATTTTCAATCAGTCATTTTAAAATATGAATATTTATAATTCATTTAGTCGAGAGAGTTGATACTTGCTCTTAGGCTAGGAACCACTGGTCTAAAAATCAATGAACCAAGTCATCAGTAATGTGTCATCATTATTCATGTGTTTTCATACAGAGTCATGATGGAAATAATCTGGCTGGAAAAGAATAGATGAGAATCATGAGACCTGGTAAACATTCTCTGCCTATAACTATATAACATTTGGTGATTTGCATTATCTCTCAAAGCCTTTGTTTCCTTTTCTGCAGGATTCTCATCTCTAAGTGCACATGGGAATCACCTTGGTCCTACACCCAGATATTCTGGTTTATCTTGGTCCTACACCCAGATAATCGGTCTGAGTGTGGCCTGACATTGGGATTTTTTATGCTCCCCCAAATGGCTGCAGTATACACCCATATTGACAACCACTGTTATAAGGGACTAGATAAGGCACAACAATTACTGATCCATCTTCTGCCATAGCCCTCCTCTCACACCCATTGTGAACATCACTATTGATAGCAGTGCCCAATCTGCTGAGCCCAGATAGATATTGTCTTGCTATCCTTCTCAACACAAGAACCCACCCAACAGCTACCAATAGTTTAACACTGGCACAAGGAATGAGATCATTTTGCCATTCCCAGACTAGATAACTCTTGGGATTCATCTCTAAAATTCTGAGTCTGAGATTTCCTCTAGTACTGAGAAGTGAGAAATGATAATGAATTTCACAGGTTAACTCGTGGAATATTTGATGTGACTCAGAGCTATTTTTTTCCTGTTTCCTTGCTGATGCTCACACATTCTGCAGTGATAATGCTGATGAGTGATGAGTTAACGCACATAGAGATAACCAGTTTGTGCTTCTCCAGACACTTGGCCAAAACATTGTGTTCTATATTCTGGACATCAAGGTCTCAAACACTGTAATTAAATCTTTTTTAATTTTTTTGTTTTTTTTTTTATTTCAATAGGTTTTTGGGGAACAGGTGGTGTTTGGTTACATGAATAAGCTCTTTGGTGGTAATTTGTGAGACTCTGGTGCACCCACCACCCTAGCAGTGTACATTATACCCAATTTATAGTCTTTTATCCCTCCCCACCCCTGACCCTTTCCCCCAAGTCCCCAGAGTCCAATGTATCATTTTTATCCCTTTGCATCCTCATAGCTTAGCTCCCACTTGCAAGTAAGAACACACAATGTTTGGTTTTATTTCTGAGTTACTTCACTTAGAATAATAGTTTCTAATTCCATCCAGGTTGCTGCGAATGCCATTATTTCATTCCATTTTATGGCTGAGTAGTATTCCATTGTATATATATACCACATTTTCTTTATCCACTCATTGCTTGATGGGCATTAGGCTGGTTTCATATTTTTGCAGTTGCAAATTGTGTTGCTATAAACATGCATGTGCAAGTATCTTTTTCATATAATGGCTCCTTTTCCTCTGGGGAGATACCCAGAAGTGGGATCACTGGATCAAATAGTAGGTCTACTTTAGTGCTTTAAGGAATCTCCACACTGTTTTCCATGGTGGTTGTACTATTGTACTAGTTTACACTCCCACCAACAGTGTTAAAGTGTTCTCTTTTTGCTGCACCCACACCAACATCTATTATTTTTTTATTTTTTTAATATGGCCATTCTTGCAGGAGTTAGGTGTATCACAATATGGTTTTGATTTGCATTTCCCTGATAATTAGTGATGCTGAGCATTTTTTCATATGTTTGTTGGCCATTTGTATATCTTCTTTTGAGAATTGTTTATTCATGTCCTTTGCCCACTTTTTGAGGGGATTGTTTTTTTCTTGCTGATTTGTTTGGGTTATTTGTAGATTCTGGATAGTAGTCCTTTGTCAGATGTATCGATTGTGAAGATTTTCTCCCACTATGTGAGTTGTCTGTTTACTCTGCTGATTATCTCTTTTACTGTGCAGAAGCTTTTCAGTTTAATTAAGTCCCATCTATTTATCTTTGTTTTTGTTGCAATTGCTTTTGGTTCTTGGTCATAAAATTTTTGCCTAAGCCAAAGTCTAGAAAGGTTTTTCTGATGTTATCTTCTAGAATTTTCATGGCTTCAGGTCTTAGATTTAAGTTTTTAATCCATCTTGAGTTGGTTTTTGTATAAGGTGAGAGATGAGGATCTGGTTTCATTCTTTTACATGTGGCTTGCCAATTATCCCAGCATCATTTGTTGAATAGGGTGTCCTTTCCCTTCATGTTTTTGTTTGCTTTGTCGAAGATCAGTTGGCTGTAAGTATTTGGGTTTATTTCTGGGTTCTCTATTCTGTTCCATTAGTCTATGTGCCTATTTTTATACCAGTATCATGCTTTTTTGGTGAGTATGGCCTTATAGTATAGTTTGAAGTCAGGTAATGTGATGCCTCCAGATATGTTATTTTTGCTTACTCTTGCTTTGGCTATGTGGGCTCTTTTTTGGTTCCATATGAATTTTAGGGCGTTTTTTCTAGTTCTGTGAAGAATGATGGTGGTATTTTTATGGGAATTGTATTGAATTTGTAGATTGCTTTTGGCAGTATGGTTATTTTCACAACACTGATTCTACCCATCCATGAGCACAGAATGTGTTTCCATTTGTTTGTGCCATCTATGATTTCTTTCAGCAGTGTTTTGTAGTTTTCCTTATAGAGGTTTTTCACGTCCTTGGTTAGGTATATTCCTAAGTTTTTTGTTTTGTTTTGTTGTAGCTATTGTGAAAGGGGATGAGTCCTTGATTTGATTCTCAGCTTGGTCACTGTTGGTATATAGCAGAGCTACTGATTTGTGTACATTAATTTCGTATCCTGAAACTTTGTTGAATTCACTTACCAGTTCAAGGAGCTTTTTGGATGAGTCTTTACAGTTTTCTAGGTATACAATCATATTATCAGCAAACCGCAGCAATTTGACTTCCTTTTTACAGATTTGGATGCTTTTTATTTCTTTCTCTCATCTGATTGCTCTGCTAGGACTTCCAGTACCATGTTGAATAGAAGTGGTGAAAGTGGGCATCCTTTTCTTGTTCCAGTTCTCAAGGGAATGTTTTCAACTTTTCCCCATTCAGTATAATGTTGGCTGTGGGTCTGTCACAGATGTCTTTTATTACCTTAAGGTATGTCTCTTCTAAGCCAATTTTGCTGAAGGTTTTAATCATAAACTGATGCTGGATTTTTGTCAAATGCTTTTTCTCCATCTCTTGAGATGATCATGTGATTTTTGTTTTTAATTCTGTTTATGTGGTATATCACATTTATTGATTTATGTATGTTAAACCATTCCTGTATCCCTGGCATGAAACCCACTTGATCATGTTGGATTATCTTTTTGATATGCTGTTTGATTCAGTTCACTAGTATTTTGTTGAGCATTTTTGCATCTATGTCCATCAGGGATATTGCAGCTTTCTTTTTTTGTTGTGCCTTTCCCTGGTTTTGGTATTAAGGTGATACTGGCTTCATTGAATGATTTAGGGAGGCTTTCCTCTTTCTCCATCTTTTGGAATAGTGTCAGTAGGATTGGTACCAATTCTTTGAATGTCTGATAGAATTCAGCTGTGAATCTGTCTGGTCCTGGATTATTCTGTGTGTGTAATTGTTTTATTACCGTTTTAATCTCACCGCTTGTTATTGGTCTGTTCAGAGATTCTATATCTTTCTGGTTTAATCAAGGAGGGTTGTATATTTCCAGGAATTTATACATCTCCTCTAGGTTTTCTAGTTTATGCACATAAAGGTGGTCATAGTAGCCTTGAATAATCTTTTGTGTTTCTGTGGTATCAGTTCTGATACCTCCAGTTTTGTTTCTAATTGAGCCTATTTGGATCTCTTCTTTTCTTGGTTAATCTCACTAATGATCTGTCAATTTTATTTATCTTTTCAAAAAACCAGATTTTTGTTTCATTTATCTTTTGTTTTGTATTTGTTTGTTTCAATTTCATTTCATTCTGCTCTGATCTTTGTTATTTCTTTTTTTCTCCTGGGATTGGGTTTGGGTTGTTCTTGTTTCTCCAGTTACATCAGGTGTGACCCTAGACTGTCTATTTGTGCTCTTTCAGACTTTTTGATGTAGGCATTTAATGTTATGAACTGTCCTCTTAGCACTGCTTTTGCTGTATCCCAAAGGTTTTGGTAGGTTGTGTCACTATTATTATTCAGTTCAAATAATTTTTTAATTTCCATATTGATTTCATTGTTTACCCAATGATCATTCAGAAGCAGATTATTTAATTTCCATGTATTTGTATGGTTTTGAGGGTTCCTTTTGGAGTTGATTTCCAATTTTATTCCACTGTGTTCTGAAAGAGTACTTGATATAATTTTGATTTTCTTAAATTTACTGAGACTTGTTTTGTAGCCTATTCTATGGTCTATCTTGGAGAATGTTCCATGTGCTGATGAATGGAACGTATATTCTGCAGTTGTTGGGTAGAAGGTTCTGTAAATATCTGTTAAGTTCATTTGTTGTAGGATATAGTCTAGGTCCATTGTCTCTTTGTTGACTTTCTCTCTTGATGACCTGTCTAGTGCTGTCAGTGGAGTATTGAAGTCCCCCACTATTATTGTGTTGCCATCTATCTTATTACTTAGGCCTAGTAGTAATTGTTTTATAAATTTGGAAGCTCCAGTGTTAGGTGCATATGGATTTAGAATTGTGATATTTTCCTACTGGATTAGTCTTTTTATCATTATATAATGTCCCTCTTATCTTTTTTAACTGCTGTTGCTTTAAAATTTGTTTTGTCTGATATAAGAACAGCTAATTCTGCTCACTTTTGGTGTCCATTTGCATGAAATATCTTTTTCCACCCCTTTACTTTAAGTTTATGTGAATCCTTATGTGATAGGTGAGTCTCATGAAGACAGCAGAAATTTGGTTGGTGAATTCTTATCCATTCTCCCATTCTGTATCTTTTAGGTGGAGGATTTAGGCCATTTAAATTCAATGTTAGTATTGAGATCTGAGGTGCTATTCTCTTCATCATGCTATTTGTTGCCTGAATAGCCTGTGGGTTTTTTTTTTCATTGTGTTACTGTTATATAAGTCCTGTGAGATTTATGCTTTAAGAAGGCTCTATTTCATTATATTTGGAGGATTTTCTTCAAGATTTAGAGTTCCTTTTAGCAGTTCTTATAGTGCTGGCTTGGCAGTGGCAAATTCTCTAAGCATTTGTCTGGAAAAGACTTTATCTTTCCTTCATTTATGAAGCTTAGTTTTGCTGGATACAAAATTCTTGGCTGATAATTGTTTTGTTTAAGGAGGCTAAAAATAGGAAGGATCCCAGTCCCATCTAGCTTGTAGGGTTTCTGCTGAGAAATCTGCTGTTAATCTGATAGGTTTTCCTTTATAGGTTACCTGTTGCTTTTGCCTCCCAGCTCTTAAGATTCTTTCCTTTGTCTTGACTTTAGATAACCTTATGACTATGTGCCTAGGCAATGATCTTTTTGTGATGAATTTCCCAGGTGTTCTTTGAGCTTCTTGTATTGGGATGTCTAGATCTCTAGTAAGGCCGGGGACGTTTTCCTCAATTATGCCCTCCAATGTTTTCCAAACTTTTACATTTCTCTTCTTTCTTGGGAACACCAATTATTCCTAGGTTTGGACATTTAACATAGTCCCACACTTCTTGGAGCCTTTATTTTTTTTTAATTCTTTTTTCTTTGTGTCTGATGGACTGGGTTAATTCAGAAGCCTTGTCTTCAAGCTCTGAAGTTCTTTCTTCTGCTTAATTCTATCGCTGAGACTTTCCAGTGCATTTTGCATTTCTCTAAGTGTGTCCTCGATTTTCAGAAGTTGTGATTGTTTTTTATTTATGCTATTTCACTGAAGAATGTTCATTTCATATCCTGTATCACATTTTTTATTTCTTTTAGTTGGACTTCACCTTTCTCTGGTACCTCCTTGATTAACTTAATAATTGACCTTCTGAATTATTTTTCTGGCAATTCAGAGATTTTGTCTTGGTTTAGATCCATTGCTGGTGAGCTAGTATGACCTTTTAGGGGTGTTAAAGAACCTTGTTTTGTCATTTTTCCAGAATTATTCTTTCTGGTTCCTTCTCATTTGGGTAGACTATGTCAGAGGGAAGATCTGGGAATCAAGACCTGCTCTTCAGATTCTTTTGTCCCACAGGTGCTCCTTTGATGTGGAGTTCTCCCCATTCCCTTAGGAATGGGACTCTCTGAGAGCCAATCTGTAGTTATCGTTTTTGGTCTTCTGGGTCTAGCCACCCAGTAGAGCTACTGGACCCCAGGCTGGTACTGTGGATTGTCTGCAAAGGGTCCTGTGATGTAATCCATCTTCAGGTCTTGAAGCCATGAATACCAGCACCTGCCCCAGTGGAGGTAGCAAGGCAATGAAGTGGACCCTGTGAGGGTCCTTGGTTGTGTTTTTGTTTAGTGCACTAGTTTTGTGTTTGTTGGCCTCCAGCCAAGAGGTGGCACTTTCAATAGAGCATCAGCTGCCATCCTATAGCAGGGAGGCAAACTTGCCCTAGGGATACCTGGCTAAGTGTTCAGGTTTCTCAGGTGGTGGGCAGGGCCATAGAGCTCCCAAGAGATTATGACCTTTGTCTTGGGCTACCAGGGAGGGTAGAGAAAGACCGCCAGGTGGGGGCAGGGATAGGCATGTCTAAGTTCAGCCTCTCCTTGGGTGGGGTTTGCTGAGGCTGCTGTGGGGGATAGGGGTGTGGTTCCCAGGCCAATGGAGTTATATTCCCAGGGGGATTATGGCTGCCTCTGCTGAGTCATACAGGTCACCACAGAAGTTGGGGAAAGCTGGCAGTCACAGGCCTCACCCCACTCCCAAGCAGCCTCCAGTCCCAAAGGCCAGGTCTCACTCCCACCATGCCCCCACAACAGTACCGAGTCCATTTCCAGGCAGCCAGTGAACAGGGCTAAGAACTTGCCCCGGACCATGAACCTCCACATTGAGGAAGCAAGCAGACTCACAGTTTTTCGGCATCTCAGGGAGCCTGCAGTGGTGATCCAGTTCCTTCAAAGGGTCTGTGGATTATCTCAGCTTTCCTGGTATGTTCCTGCAGTAGTTCTTGAAGCAAAAGTCTATGATGTGAGTCTTCACATGCTGCTCTGTCCGTTCAAGTGGCAGCTGCAAGCTAGTCCTACCTCCTATCCGCCATCTTAATCCATTGTGATTAAATCTATTACAAGCCTCTTATGGGTAATAACACAGAAATTGGCTATCTGAATGGTGAAAAATCTAATCCAATCACAACAGAAAAAAATAATAATTAACAACATGGCTGCATCTAAGTACATTTGAAATTACCTAATATAAACTTTCTAAACTTGAAATATCATTTCCTGGAATTTTTTTACTTTCCTTATTTTGTTTTTAGTGGGAAGGGGTATGGATTGTAAATGAACTTACAGCAAGCAAATGAATAGGGAAAAGTTTTTACCTTCAGTTTCAGCATCATACTTTATCTTTCACCATTCCCAGGGTATAAATATGAAGAAAATATACCCATAACATAAATTATAATAAACAATATAATTCCATATATGCAAATTAGTTAATAAATGGTTCTTACTGAAGCAATTTCTAAGCAATACTCTATAACCTATAACTATAGCTTTAAATTGTTAATCGGGTGATGAAAAACTGTTGGATCTTTCATTCAAAAAGTCTGCAGTCTTTCTAAGACAGAAAGTTTCTTCAAGAGCAGAGATGCTCAATGTCCAGGCATCAGAAACACCTTGGGTGGTAACATTAGATCCACTATTTTCCAGGTTTGATTTATTTCAGGGAAATTAAAACAGAATTAGTCAATACCTTCCCACCAGCGTACACTAAGGAAGGTTTAAAATCACTCAAATAGTTTTAAGACAGTGGTTCTTAACTTTGGCTGCACCTCAGAGTTAATGGAGAAACTCTGAAAATCACTGATGCTTAGGTCCCACCCTAGAGATTCTGTGTAGTTGATCTTGAGGGCAGCCTGCGCATCAAGAGTTTTAAAGACTCCACCACCAACCCTGCTGTGCTCCTAACGTCAAGCACCACAGCCTCAGAAAACACCATCCACATTAAGCCAGGGGGAGAGTTACATAAACAAAGACATGCAATTCATCCCGTGTCACTAGCTATTCATGCCCACTGCTTTTTGGCTGAACTAAGGGGAACCAGGAGGTAGGAAAGTCTGGAAGTGAAATTGATAAACAAAGAACAAATCCAGAAACCATGAACCAAAGCCAGAAAAGCTACCACCACAGCCCAGAGGCCAGCACTTTGTTGGGACTGTCCTGGCAGAAAGCAAAGGTGCTCTATTAGAGGGCCTGGGAACTAAGCTCCCGGGGATGCAGTGTATACCTATGGATTTAGGAGGGTCAGAAGCCCTTAAAGGGCAAGAACTCTGCTCATCTGCTTGCTCTCTCTGCTCAAGAGGAGCCCCACATGGGAGACAGATTCCTGTAGTGAGATCAGGTGACTGCAATGAAAGCAATAAATGGGAAATTCTGGAAACTGATGACCAGCGTGTTTGTTTATATTTTGCCCCTGGAACAGGGAGACCTTTGAATGTCTCCTCTGCTCAGAGCGTCTGTTTTCCACATGTCCCAACACTGAAAAAAGGGAAAAAGAAAAAACAAAATGGACTTTTTTTGGGATGCAAAGCCTATTGGTCAAACATCCCCTTTGCCTGGTGCCAGACATTTACCTTTCATGTAGTCATAGCAGTTTGGCATGAAAAACATTGGCCTATAAAGATGACTTTTTTTTTTTTTTATTTGAGACAGAGTCTCGCTCTGTCACCCAGGTTGGAGTGCAGTGGCGCGATCTCAGCTCACTGTAAGCTCCAGGTGACCTTGTTGGAATAATTTTGCCATTATCTTTTCCATGTTTTCCAGCCCAGCACTAAGTTAATTTAAAATAAATGACCACTTCAGTGTCTGTGCCATGTAAGATGGGGAGTAATTTCAAGGGAAAGATGCTTAACAGAGCAGTGAAATATACACTGACTGACACCTGTTCTACACAAAAATTCTGAGGCTTTATACAAATGTATCATTAAGTTGCAAATATTTGTTGAGAGCTGAGTTTTTGCTCCGTAAACAATCCCAGCTTATGAAGACCTTTGAGAATTGTCTTGATTTCAAAACGCATTTCATGATCTGTAAAGGGCAGGAAAAAAATGCAGAAAACCACTACAAATAATAATTCCCATGTTCAACATGGGGAAGTAACAATGTATTGGTAATCATTAGGCTTTGTGTTTATCTAGATTCTCTCCAAGGAGGGTGTATGAATCTGCAACAAAGTAGAGAATCATCTGGAAAACACAGTGACTCTCTAAGTTAGCTCTCTGAACAAATGTGGGAGAGGCGGGGGATTTCTGTGTGTGTGCTTACACATCCCTCCTCCAACTGTTTGCTCGCTTTTCTCTTTTCCAATTTTTCTAGACATCGGCTGTTAGGCCCCAGTGCCAGCTAAATTTGGCAAGGATGGCATTTTTTTATTTCCACTTTCTTTTCCTAACTTATTTCTTTCATGTAGCAAATATGCATTGACTGCCATTACTGTCAGTGAAAATCTCAGAATAACCTCTGATTGAGTTCATACAGTGACTTTGGAACCAGAAATGAGCCAAAGATCTCATTGTTGGGCCTGCTTCTGACCCCTTTAAGATTCTGCGAGCCATTAGGTCCCCAAAGTGCCAATTCTTTCATTTACTCTAAATGGCCACATCTCTCAGGCAATCTGGGTTAGCTGAATGCAAACCAATGCAGCATCACTTTTCATTGCTTTCACCTGTTTGGTTTTTGTCATTTCTTCCTTTGTAACATCAGTAAAATCTGTCCTTGTTTCCACATTCAATTGTACAGCTCCAGTTGGTAAGGTAGGTAGACCTATACTTACCTAGACATGTGAGAGGCCTGAGCAATGAATAATTGGGTGACCCTACAGACCAATACTCTTTAAAGATTTGCTCAACATTTATTTCATGAAAGCAGAGAGAAACTGATTTTATATTAATAAAATTGTATTCTTTTCTATTTTCAGTCATGTGGGATTCATTACTAAGGTCTTCAGAATAAAAAAAAAATGTTTTGTAAGCAAATTGAACAATGTAAAGATGTAGACAATAAATCCCTCTAAAATAAATTACTGAGACCCACTAAACAGTAGCATGTCATATATTATTGAATTTCAAAATAAGTTGCAAACACCAGCTTCTCACAACTGTCAACAAGAGCTGGTCTCAGGGTTAATGGAACAGACAGAACATGTAACTTGTACATACATGCATGTTGAAAGATACTCAAAGATGGCAGTCAAGGGCAAATCTTTAATTTCTACTGTACAGCAGGACCTACTTTAGTGGGAGCAGAATCGATTTACATTTGGCCAGTATGGAAGTCATCACATGGAAACCTGAGTTAGTCTGTACTATATTTCTAGGAGGGTTTACAGATTGACATCTGGGAAGCTCCCTACCCCGCCACTCCCTAAAGCTAGTTCTGTTCCCAGTCTAGGGCCTGCCCATCTAACATGAGGACTGCTACTGATTTTTCATCATTTACTTCTATGAATGAATAGGAGTTCCTGCTTCCATTTTCTCTCCCTTCAAATAAGTCCCATTTAATCTGGTTTACCTTGTCCTGGTTGCCATTCAGTCACTAAACCCAAAATAGGCTTTCCTGTGCTTCATACAGTTTGTGAAGAAGTGATGAAGAAAACACAGGCTCCCTGAATTAATACAGCTGCCATATCTATGGGATGTTTCTATGAGTGTACAGTCTGGACTCCCAGAGTTACAATGGAAATTGGCAACCTGTAAATGCCACTTCTGCAGGGCTGCATTGCGCCCCCTCCAGGGATAGTGAGAGGTCCTCACCACTGCAAGGCTTTCTTTTTTTTTCAGTGAAAGCCTGTGTGGCTAGTTCCCTGTACTCCGAAGTGAAAAGATAATTAAGCTGATGAGACAATAATTTCATCCATCATATGTATCTTGGGAGGAGAAGAAATGAACTCTTCCCTTTAAAAATGAGGTAAATCCATTAAAAGCCTCTCTGTGATGAGCCTACTTAGAAACAGGTCACTTGCCTTGAAAGCACACGTGAAAATTGTGCTGCATGAATACCCAAGATCGTGCACACTGGCCAGAACAGCAAGAAGAGAACTGAGACCTAATCCTGCCTCTGACAGCTGACTGATCACCCATGGGCAGGCGCTCAGTCTCCTTGAGTCTGTTTCCTCATTTGTAACATAAGAAGAAGAATCTCTGTCAATTTCAGTATCTTTGAGATGCTTGGTTTAGGGGGAAATATATATATCATAAGCCAACTCTGTTTTCTATAACCTCCCTTATTTCAGATGGGACATCGGTAAGTGAACTAAGTTAATTCTTTTTCAATTAATCACTCCAGGAAAAATGATGTACCTTTAACGCAAAGAGAAACTCCAAAGCTGGTGGTTTTATTGAAAAGAAAAAAAAAGTTTTTACAATATTGAAAAACCTTTGCAAAAAAACAGTGATGATGGCTTAACTTTCTTGTTTGTTGATTTATCATCTCTACCCAATTCACTGTCATCTCCCTTTTTAAAGGAAGTTCTGAGGCTGCCCAAATGTGAATTGGGTAAAGAACCCCTTTTCTATCTTTTCTTCTCAATTTACTTCCCGATTGACTCAGGCATAGGCTTCACTCCCCAGCCCACTCCCAATGCTGAGACACCCCTTATGCCAAGAGCCTTCCTTCTCTCCTGCCTCCCCTTCCCCACCTCTCTGTGGTTTAGGGAAGGATAGGGTGCCATGCAGCATGGTTCCATCAAGCCATGCCCACCTCTGCCCACCTCCCTCCCTCCCAGCTCCCCTCATCACACTCCAAAGGGAAGGTGGATCTTCTAGCCTGATTAGTTCGGCCAGAAGACATTCACTGGGCCATGCTTATTATTTGGATGAGGGAAGGGGGCATTCAATGCCTTAAAAGCAGAAGCCCTTAGCCTCCCTTGTTCCCCTCTCTGTTAGGTCCTACTTCTGGCCTTCATGTGCTCATGAAGCCTAGGAGGGCCTGGCCCTGCAGGACACACTAGCCAGCCTCACTCTCTTCAAGACCAAGAGGCTGAGTAGACAAGGAGGCTCTGGGGCCCAACAAGGCCCAGGAGTCATTCTCTCACTGTGTGTGTCCCCACCTGTCCTTCTCTGTCCCTGCCACACTCCCACCTACCTGCCCCTAAACATCCCCTAGGGCCCTTCTGTACTTCTCTCTCTATGGAGAAGCAGTTTAGCAAAGTAGTTATGAGATCAGGCTCTGGGCTGGGACTTGACTTGACTCATGCCTGTAATCCCAGCATTTTGGGAGGCCAAGGTTGTTGGATCACTTAAACCCAGGAGTTTGAGACCAGCCCGAGCAACATAGTGAGACTCCTGCTTCTGGCTCTACCACTTACCAGTTTTATGAGCTTGACAATATATTCCTCGAGCCTCAGTTTTCTCATCTGGAAAACTGGCACCTGGGTCATTGTTTCTGCTCCATTTAGAACAATGTCTGGCACATAATAGTCCACAAGTGTTAGCTTGTATTCTCATCAGCACTGCTCCTATCATAGGAAAGAAAGAAAGAAAGAGAAAGAGAGAGAGAAAGAAAGAAATAAAGAGAAAGAAAGAAAGAAAGAAAGAGAAAGAGAGAGAAAGAGAGAGAGAAAGAAATAAAGAGAAAGAAAGAAAGAAAGAAAAAGAAAGAAAGAAAGAAAGAAAGAAAGAAAGAAAGAAAGAAAGAAAGAAAGAAAGAAAGAAAGAAAGAAAGAAAGAAAGAAAAAAGATGGGGTCTCACTCTATTGCCCAGGCTGGTCTTGAACTTCTGGCCTCAAGTGATCTGCCTACCTCAGCCTCCCAAAGTGCTGGGATTACAGGCATGAGTCACTGCACCCAGCTTCCTATCATTCTTTTTGAGTCCATGTGGCTGGGTAGGAAAGATGGCTCAGGGCCCCAGAAGAGCAGCATCCCCCACCTTCCTTTTCTACAGCACCCTTACATGCAGATTTAACTTGGTGATAGGTTAAACCAGGGCCTGTTTGCAGACCAACTGGCAGCCTCTTTCTCTCCTAAATGTCCTTCCTCCACACCACAGGCAGAGGGTAGTGTGAACCACGGTCTGAAATGGGGGTCACTAAAAGATATCCCCCATATAGGCTCTGAGCCAAAACTGCATGATCTAACCCAGACTTTACCAGTTTTCTGCTGGGCTTCGGCTGGCACACTTATTATAAAGAGGTCCTTTATTCTCATTCTGCTATTGTTTTCCCAGACACTCTCCAGGTGACAGGAAAAGCATTGTTACTGGGAGCCAGAATGGGGGCCTTCATGGGAATCTGGTCATAAAATTATCAATAAAGCAGCAAATCCACACCTTTATCTGTCATAAGCCAGGCACATACACAGGAACTCTTTTAGATACTGGGGGCACAAAGACCAATCGGGCTTATCATCCCTGACTTTGGGGAGCTGATAGTCTAACAGGTAAGATTATTTCTCGGCAGAGTGGTTCTCAAATGTTAATGAAAACCAGAATCCCCTGGAGGTCTTGTTAAGTTACAGATTTCAGGGCTCCAACTTCACCCTTTCTGATTCAGCAGGTTTTGGTGCTGAGAATTTGCATTTCTGACAGCTTCCAGGAAAGAATGATATTGCTGGGATGGAAACCACAGTCAGACCCACTGCTTCACTGTGCTCTGAGCAAGCACAGAATGTCTGGGATTCTATGGTGCTACAGATTTTTACCTCTAAACTACAGGGCTGTGGGTCCACACCCAAATTATCCAGGGGCTAGGGAATATTTCCTGGAGTACACAAACCTGCACCGGATCCTAAAGGATATGTACGGATTAAGCCTGGAGTGGCTTTTGGGCCAGGTGCTCAGCCAAGTGATCTGAGCATAGGGATTATCATCATTAGAATGACTTGGAATATTAGAGTGCAGCTTCAACAGCCTTTAAGAAAGCCGAAGTCAATAAAACAAACAACCCCATCAAAAAGTGGGCAAAGGATAGCAACAGACACTTCTCAAAAGAAGACATTTATGCAGCCAAAAGACACATGAAAAAAGCTCATCATCACTGGCCATCAGAGAAACGCAAATCAAAACCACAATGAGATACCATCTCACACCAGTTAGAATGGCTATCATTAAAAAGTCAGGAAACAACAGGTGCTGGAGAGGATGTGGAGAAATAGGAACACTTACACTGTTGGTGGGACTGTAAACTAGTTCAACCATTGTGGAAGTCAGTGTGGCGATTCCTCAGAGATCTAGAACTAGAAATACCATTTGACCCAGCCATCCCATTACTGAGTATATACCCAAAGGACTATAAATCATGCTGCTATAAGGACACATGCACACGTATGTTTATTGTGGCACTATTCACAATAGCAAAGACTTGGAACCCAAATGTCCACCAATGATAGACTGGGTTAAGAAAATGTGGCACATATACATCATGGAATACTATGCAGCCATAAAAAATGATGAGTTCATGTCCTTTATAAGGACATGGATGAAGCTGGAAACCATCATTTTCAGCAAACTATCGCAAGGACAAAAAACCAAACACCGCATGTTCTCACTCATAGTTGGGAATTGAACAATGAGAACACATGGACACAGGAAGGGGAACATCACACACCGGGGCCTGTTGTGGGGTGGGGGGAGGGGGGAGGGATATCATTTGGAGATATACTTAATGTTAAATGACGAGTTACTGGGTGCAGCACACCAACATGGCACATGTATACATATGTAACAAACCTGCACGTTGTGCACATGTACCCTAAAACTTAAAGTATAATAATAAAAAAAAAAAGAAAGCCAAAGTCCAATGCTGATTGTGCCATGACAGGCCCCAGAAACAACAAAGGAGATTTAGCTACTCATGAGTGTTTTGTGCCCTCCAGCATCCCAAGGGCCCCTGGTCCATACAGACCCTGACCAAGCCAGGGAATAAACCAGCAATTAGATCAAGAACAGATGAGGCAATCAGGGGAGAAAATGGTCAAGGGAAATAAAAAGTGGAAGATTAGAAGGAAATATCAATAAAGCCAAAGTTGTGAGACAAATCGTGGGAATTTCAGTAGACCTGACATGCAGAGGAGATCCAGTTTAGGGGAATAAGCATAGCCTTTGAAATAGCATAGATCTGAGTTTAAATAGCAGAAGTAACTAGAAAATAGTTAGTGCACAGTGACAGTTGTTGGATTAATTGGTATATGAAAGTATTTTCATATCTTATGAATTCAGTGGCCTTGGGAGAACAATGTACCTACCCTTTAGGGAGGTGGTAGATACCATCTAGAAAAGATGGTCTTTGATAAGCTTTTGGGCTCTAAGCTATGGGTCCTCTTGATCAATGCTTCTCAAACTATCTATGGAGGAGGACCTGTGGGGTTTCTTTTGTTGCTGTTGTTTCCTGTCATTCTAAATCCACATGTGGATCCACTGCACATGATGAGTATCTACAGGTGATTTTTTTTTTTTCGAGACAGGGTCTTGCTCTGTCACCCAGCCTGGAGTGCAGTGGCTTGATATCAGCTCACTGCAGCCTCCACCTCCCAGGATCAAGTGATCCTCCCACCTCAGCCTCCCAAGTAACTGGGACTACAGGCACTCACCACCACACCGAGCTAATGTTTGTATTTTTTGTACAGACTGGGTTTCACCAGGTTGTCCAGGCTGGTCTCGAACTCCTGAACTCAACAATTTCCCCACCTTGGCCTCCCAAAATGCTGGGATTACAGGTGTGTGTCCCTGCTCCCAGCCTTACAGGTGATTTAACACATGAATTTGAAGGCAACCAAACAAATCTATACCTTGTTCAATAAAATGAACCAGCTAATCATGTACTTGGATATTGTAGCTTTGTCAAATTGCTACAGCAGAACTGCTAGATGTCAGATTTTGAAGAAAGCAAGATTCCACACAACTTCCTTTAGATACCAAAAATGAAATTTTGAAGTCTGGGGAGTTTTACTTTGAACCACAGTAAGCTAGAAATCACTCTAAGAAGAATTTCAAGCTCTATTAGAGAGGTTTTTAGTGTGCAGAGAGAAAACAAGAACAAGGAGAAACAAGAAGTCAGACACATCTTAGTCACTTCCCCACTCCCAGCACTGCTATCATCACCATACCCAAAAACCACCAGGCAAAAATCCCAGGGCAGGGAGAGGGCCTTGCTGATTGTAGTAGAAACATGCAGACACACATGGAAAAACCAGAGGGCACCAGGACCAGCGGCCAGATTTCATGACACAGTTGGGTGGGGGCTGCTGCATGCTTCTCCAGAAGCCCCAGGTCCTGCACAGCATCACACCCAGTTTGGCACACTTGCAGATGTGCACCTTGGCAGAGGGAGGAGCAGATGTGGCACCTGGAAAAGAGGTCACCTTCTCTGACCTTCTGACCTAACTCCAGTGTTGTTTGGGTTTTGCTTTCTTTTTTGAGACAGAATCTCACTCTGTTGCCCAGGCTGGAGTGCAGTGGTGCAATCTCAGCTCACTGCAACCTCTGCCTCCCATGTTCAAGGGATTCTCCTGCCTCAGCCACCTGAGTAGCTGGGATTACAGGCACGCACCACCACGCCCAGTTAATTTTTGCATTTTTAGTAGAGACAGGGTTTCACCATGTTGGCCAGGCTGGTCTTGAACTCCTGGTCTCAAGTGATCCACCACCTCAGCCTTCCAGAGTACTGGGATTACAGGCGTGAGTCACCATGCCCAGCCCTAACTCCAGTTTTCTTCCCACTCTTGGCTCCATTCTGCACCACACTGGGGGTCACCCAAATGTCCACAGACTCACTAAACTGTTGCTCCCTGGCCATCCTTGGGCCCAGATAGATATACAGTGGTAGCCCGGGAGATGGCATGCAAGGTTCTGGATGCAGCCTCAGGGACGTTTACACAGGAATTTCAGAGTCCTGACTGCCCGAAGGGTGGTCTAAGAAAAGAGCACAAACTCCTGGCCCCGTGGACTCCTCACTAGAAGGAAGGGGTGCAGCCAGAGGAACAGATAAGGAATGGCCTCCAATGTGCAGGGCCCAGGGCTGCACTCAGTTGGCTGGACTCAGTTGGCTGCACTCAGTTGGCTGCACTCAGTCGCCTCGGGGCAATACAGAGAAAAGTCTAGACAGACAGCCTGAGCTGGCACTGGTGGTTTCTCATGACTGGTGCACTATATTCAGACAGTCTAGAAGTTCCCATGTGCCCTGGTTGGGGACACAGAGGTGGAGGGAGGAATGAGGACTAAGGAGGCCTGAGATGAGGAAGGCAAGCCCATCAAGAGCAGGAACCTTGAGACTGGAGACAAAAGCAAGGTCCAAGGTCAGCGACTGCTGATCCCAGCATGGGACCCAAAGCCAGACAGGACCAGTGACACCAACAGTGAAATCAAGAAGGACAGAGCTGGTATACTCAGTCAAGCAGGCCAAGACCCTTCCATTAAAGCCAGCAAGGATCTAGAAAACACAAGCCGAAGAACGGCACGCCCATACACTGGGAGCCAGCCCGGAATGAAAAAGGGGGAAGGAAAGAAATTTTGAAAATTCAAGCATTTCTGTGGAAGGCAATGAGCTAACTTGAAAAAGGCAGTTTAAACTGGGAAAGACAGAGAAGTCATCATCTCATCAACTGGGAAGCGGATGTACATACCCCTTTTGCCTGGCAGGGTGGGTCCCAAGAGCGAGGTCAGTTTCCAGTAGAGTTTCCCAACCTTTTTCACATGGTAGCACAGATGGAAAATGATAATACCTGTATAGAGCATAAAGGAAAGCAGTCAAGACAACTGGCTAGGGACTCCCAACCCTACCCAGGTTCCAAGAGGCAGAGGACATCAAGGTCTCTGCACCCCTGCAACTCAATTGCACCCCTGTGCCACAGAACATCAGTGAGGGGGCCTGAGTTACAGAAAACAAAGAACCTACATATTCCTCTGCACATACAAGTAATCGCTTGTAAACTTATAGACCCCAACTACAGGATGGATGAATGAATGAATGAAGAAACGAATCCATACCTTATCACTTCTGACTGAGTAACTTCTGTCAAGTTACTTAACTTCCTAGTTTCTCTGGGAAGAGTACAGATAATAATACCTGCCTTGAAAACTAATTTGTGAGGATTAAATGAGGCAATGTTAGCTTTGTCAATCAATGTGAGCTTTTTGGACCACTTCTCCTTATCCACTCTAAGCAGGCCATCCCAGGGAGACTAAATTAGCTAAAGGGACAAAGCTCAGCTTTTTGCCTCTGCCCATTAGGGCCCTTCCCTGGTAGGCCCTGGTACCCACAATTGCCTTGGGGTGATTTGTCTGGCTCTTGAGCTACAAATTGCTCTCACCTCCACCAGCCTATTGTGTACCCATATGTTAAGTTGCTTTTTCTCTTGATTCATTCTCCCTTTGGCCCTCAGACCTTGTCCTCCTTGCCTTCACAGCGAACTGGTTCTCATTTTTCCCTCTCAGAACCTGCAGCCCCCTCTTTCCTTACAGTCTTCAGAGGAAAGGACCCTAACAATATATCCTGGATAGAGGTTCACAGTTTCAGGGAGAAGCTGATATCAGGAGCCTATGAGAATGCCTAGAGAATCCCGGCAGATCTGAAAGAAACTCTGTGACCTGTAAGAACATGACACTTCAATCTCAGCAATTACTTTCCCTAAAAAGTGCTACATCCTTTCCTGAATATTGGTTATAGCACCAAATAAACCAGCAAATCCATCATCCTATCTCCTTGTGGGACATGTTTTTCCCCGATGTCTATGAGTCGTCTCATCAAGTCAGCACTCAGAAAGCTCTGAGACTGAATATCCCCACTTATCCTGCACTTCAGCTATTAATGAGTAACAGCAATATAATTAAGGCTTTTCACTTAACGATGAATCAACCAAAGCACTTGGGAAAGATGTGACACTTACAAGAACATTTACATTTTTTGTGCTAAAATATTATTTTAAAACTGCACACTATATCACCAAAAACAGTTCTGGGTGGAATTAAACACCACATTTCATGTAACTTGGTGCCATATGTTTTGTTAAACCTTGTGCTCTTGAAATGTCTGAGTCTGCACTGGAACCGAGGCAAGAAGGGTGGCTCAATAGGAAGAAATATGTACATACATCAAGTGTGTTTTCAGTTCTTATGTGCCAAGAAAACTGGAACCAGTGTGAATGCATTAGATGACCCAAGTGGGTTGACAGGATGCAATGCCCTGAAGGTAATACATGAGTTCCTAGGAAGAATTGAGAGGCAGAAAAGTTCACCAACTTGACAAGAACATGGCTTAAGATACTGACTACTCAGTGAATTGCTTCTAATCTGCCCTTCCTGACAGCTCATTAGTTTCTTTCCTAAACATGCTATATGCTAGACTGCCTTCTCTGGGGCTGAGGAAAAATGAAGTGAACCTTTTGAAATATAGAGTTGAGCCCCTCCTCTCCACAGATATCCAGAAGTATCATTGCTTAGGGAGCTCATACAGAGACAAATGGTGGCCGAACTCGATAAGGAATGGTATGGGGCTCACCGTCTCAGCCAAAAGTGCTCCCTAGATTTTAACATCTTTCACATTTTGCTCTCTCCTTTGAATTTATGACTTTAGCAAAGCAACTCATGCACGTAATTCAGAAATGCAACCTTTTTTTGTCGTGGGAGACAGGTTGAACAAATAGACTTATTTTAAATAAATGATTCCCCGTGAATTGTGCATGAAACATGGGGATGTCTCCTTTTTGGAAGAGTGTGGCTAACATTTTGTTCTTCTCATTGGAATGGAGTTTGTTTCTGCTGTGTTTCTTTCTTCTACTTAGCTGAGTTTTCCAATATGTCAGAGGCTGACATAGCGCACACCTATGGTTCAGTGACCCCTCTGGAATATTTGATTTTCGGGTGATCCATTTCTCCTTGGCCATATGATAAACTCAAATCAGGCTACTTTCAACAAAATGTTGTTGATTAAATCATTGTGTTGCAAATTAAGTTTTCTTCCCAACTTCCCTTCCTGGGGACAAGTGCCTACCGAATATTTTTGTAATGGTACTTAAGACTCTGAGGGATGGTGTATGAGTTCAAATATGAGTTCAGTTGTGTGTGACAGCAATGCAAAATAACACTGGTATAAACAAGATAGAAATATATTTCTCTCTCACATGAAAGTTGCCCTCAACCACATGACCCCAGATGACTTTTCATTAAGTCCTCATTCCAGCCAGCAGGAAGGGGAGAGAGAAAATATATTCCTTCCTTCTGAGATTGGTGAAATGTTACATTTCATTTCTACTTATGATCCCATTGGCCCATACTTAGTGACATAGCCAGACCTGGCTGCAAGGAAGTCTGGGAAGTGTAGTTTTTATTCTAGCTTGCCTGATAATGTACTTTTCAGGCTACTATAGCTTGCCTGATAAATTACTTTCAGGCTACTAGTTTATCAAGGTAATTTCCCACGTGACAACTGTGAAGTCAAAACAATCTGTGACTTTGGACCAGATTGGTATTGACTTTGGGCTGGTATTTGTGAAGGGTACTCCCTTCAATTTATAACTCTGGGGAGCAGCATAGACATAAAATACGGTGCTCCGTATTTTTGAATATGGATTTCTTAACCCAGGGAAAAGTCTATTTACAGAATGAAGTGCTTGAAGAAATTATCCAGATAATTCAAGGCAAAACATAAAGCTCTTAGAAACCAGACTTCTTGTTTTGAGGGACTTGAACCAGAAGAACCCTATGCAAGGAGTCTGACATTATCTTGAAGGATGCTAAGTAAAACTCTCTTTGGCAGAAAAAAATCTATTTCAAGTAGCTGTGTCAGAGGCGTTCAAAACAAAGTGACTCCATCTTGAGTGAGGGTTATGAAAATGAGGCTGGGGCTGGCTGGGCTGCATTCCCAGAAAGGTATTCTTAGCCTCTAGATGTTTACGGTTAAAGGAACAAATTGATAATGTTTACTAAACAGACCCAGGAAAAGGCATTCCTAATTTTGCCGTAAAGATGATAATATTGATTCTTGCAAAATATAGTAATTAAGAAAATAAATCCTTTATCACAAACCCTTGTAGCACAGCACATCTCCCCATGATCTTTTTTTATCCTATATATACAAGCATTGTACCTAGAATGGACGTGTTCCTCCTCTTACTTTCGGGAACACCGTACTCTCTCTATGCAGTAGCTATTCTTTCACCACTTTACTTTCTTAATAAACTTGCTTTTGCTTTGCACTGCAGACTCACCCTGAATTCTTTCTTGTGTAAGTTCCAGGAACCCTCTCTTAGTGTGGATCAGGACCCCTTTCCTGTAACAGCTGGGATCAGCAATCCCACTTGCCATATCAACATTATGTGTCCAGAGAAGGAAGTGCTGGTTACACTGTGGATTCTGAAGTCATTGTCTTGTAAGACAATGTTGTAGAACAAAAGGCAGGGGTCAATTTGTCAAAAATCACAATCCTGATACTAGCCGGCCTTGGTTCCTATGTTAGGCAAATATGCGATCTCTGTTGTTCTCTCTAGCAAGGGTGCTGGCTGTTACTTATAGATAATGCTTGAATGGGAACTTACACTGAGAAATCAAACTTTGAGTTTTACCCTGACTTCAGGAAAAAGATATCAAAAAGGGAAATGTTAGGCTATTTGACAGGTGTACTTTTTTGTTTCCTGACAGAAATTATCTAAGCAGTGGTTCCAAACTCTCATAGTACATTGGAATCACCAGAGGAATTTCCTAAAAATTAAAAACTAATTAAAACTAATGTCTAATCCCAACTTCAAGGATTCTAATTCAGTTATCCTGAGATGGGGCCAAAGGATCAGAATTTTTAAAACCTTCCTAAGTGATTCTAACATGCAGCCAGGGTTGAGAACCAATAACTTAAGGACCCTCCTCCCTGCCCTGATCCATTCCAATCATTACAGGATTGTGCAATCCAGATTAAAAGATTTCAAATGGGCTGAGCAAGGAATCCCTTTGCCATCAATAGCTGTAGCCAATTATCACACACCCACAGCTCTGATATCAAGCCCTGGGGAAGAGCAGATATAATAAACGGAGGGAAAAATAACAAAGGAAGGAGGTTAGCTTTAGTCATGCTCATTTTGTACAAGAAATCCACCCAAGGTACCCCACAAAAGATGTAGGTTTATTATAACCCTACATAAGTACCTGCAGTAGATGTGAAAAATGGGATAATTCCAGCGACCAGCTCCTCATTGAGTCTCCTTCATGGACCTAATATTGAAGACTGCCTGCAATGTCACCTGAATGACTCATCTTTTCATCCTATTTTGCATTATTTTCCTACAGTCACCCAACTCTCTAGCCAAGCTGGACCACTGTTTGTTCCCAGTGTCCCAACTTCTTCATGAAGTCTCTTTTCTTTTCCCCAACAGGAGGTGATCTAGCCCCCCTTCTTAATCCAACACGTTGTATCGTTGTTAGACATGTGTGTTATTCTGCTTATGCTGTGCTTACTTGTATTCTTTTCCTTCCCAATAATATAAAAACATCTTGCAAACAAGCTCTGCATCTTACTCATGTTTGTACCCCTTTAGTCCCTAACATAGCTCTTTCTGTGTGTTTGGCCCTCAGCAAATATTTACTAAGTGGAAATGAATTTTCAGAAACTTCTCCAGATGGTTCTTTCATATAGTGGATTGGTTCCGAGTATATGTACTTTATACCTTATCTGCTGCTTCTGAACCATGAAAGCCTGAGCAACTCTGTCTTTGAACGAAGGCTCTTCTTAGGTCTACACATGCTAAGAGAAATTGCTCTGGGCATGTCAACTATTATTTATTCAGCAGTTCAGCATCCACTATCTTAAATGGCCCTCTTCCAACTGCAGTGACTCATCTGACATTTTGGAATAAAATAAATATCCCTTTTAGGAAAAAAAAATCCCAAAGTTTCTCTTTAAAAGCTTTGGGGTTACTAGGGGGAAACAAGAATGGAAAGGAAAAATATGGGAGTGGATGCAGTGGTGAACGTGCAAAGAAAGTTCTTCCAATGACAATAGAGCTTTTAAATATTTATGCAGAAGGAAAGAACACTTTTCAGAAGCCAAGTCATTTTTCAGTTAAACAAACCTCTCCATCTCCAGGGAGACATGGGTATTCCCATTTGATCTGCAGGGGGAAAGTGGAGGATTAGCAAAAGGATTTTACTCCTAAGCACATTTCTGTTTTTTAAACTTTAAAAAGCCAGCTAGACACTCTGCCTCCAATACAGGAGTAACTATATCCACAGAATTTGTGAGGATTGACAGATAAATATTGTCATAGTAAAATTAACATAATTGGTATTTATATTTACATGACTCCTTCCAAGTTATAACGTTTTTCACATGTGTTATCTCATTGAAACTCACAACAACCCTGTAAGTAATAGGAATTATAATCCCCATTTTACAGAGCACGAAACTGAGGTGCTGGTTGCTAGAGAAGACAAAGTGCCCAGGCATTCTTTCCAACCACACACCCTGTTAATATGCAGGACAAAGCTAAGCAGATGGAGCCCTGTACAAACAGTTCCCTACTCAAATACATCCAGGGTCAGTGCAGTGATTAAGGGCTTATGCTTTGGAGTCAGACAGAACAGACCAAGAGGCAGAGATTCCAGCTCTGCCTCTCCATAACCCTGGGCAAGGTACTTATTAACTTCACTTGGTAGCAGGCTTCTAATTTGTAAAATGCACATAAAAATAGCCACAGGGGTTTTCTGAGAATTAAATGAGTTCGTGAAGTGCTTACCACAGGGCCAGGTACAAGACAAACCCTTAACGAATGATAGTTATTAATATTAGTATAGGTTCATCTATGAGGAATAACACATTGCACATTGCAAAGTGCTCTATAATTATGACTTCTAATTAAATGCATGGCCTAATGAAAAACACATCTGGGAGTTTTCTCCGGCTGAGAGTAAACACTAATTTCAAATGAAAAATCGGTGCTAAACCATTGTACCTCAAAAGGGACTCCAATATTTTTTCAAGATTATGTATTCTGTTACTGAAAGTGCATACACCAGTCAAAGTTGGGTTTTATTTATTTTAAAATACCCTGTGTTTTAAAATTTTTACCAATAAACCATGTCTACCAGATTACCCCATATTTCACTGCACACTTCAATAATCTTTACACGTTAATCAACCACCTTGACTTTGCACCCTGTATTTATTGTGCCCATATTTTATTATTTCTTTGGTAAACCTTATGTTTCAAAAGCTTTCCAGAAGAACTCAATCACAAAACTATGCTTCTGGGTGACACTTAAGATATAAGGTTTTAACCCAGTGGTGAAATAATTTTAATGATAAAAACAAAACCATGAAATGGAATCCTAGTGACAGTTAAACAAATCTGTAATTATCCAGCCAGTGTGTAAATCCCTTCTCTCCCCTTTCTCATTCAATTTGCAGACCTGGATGTCATCTCATTAAATCAACAGCTCAGATGTGCACACAAACGTCTTACACCAAATACATATTCCTCTTTCCACCTCTCTCCCAACATCTAAGCTTCTCTTACGTAATGGCAACATCAAATTAAATCAGGGGTAAAAAGTAAATGGGAAATCAGGTATCCAAAGCAAATGCAAGCAGCTACAGCTGGTGCTTCACACCAACAATCTCCAGGTGTTGAAAGAAGATTATGTGAATGGGAATGCTGTGTGCGTGTGTGTATGCACGCACACATGCAATTCAACAATTACTGAATTCTTCCCATTTGCATATTTCCAGCACTAAGCCACATGCCTGGCATATGTGAGTCTTAATAACTGTTCATCAGATGAATCTATGAATTACAAACACTCCACTGAAATCACTCTCTGTAATGGTCCTTGCATGACCCTCTGATCCCACTTATTCAGCATCTGTATTTAAGACTTTGTTTTGGTAATTAAAAGTCTTAACAGTTATGCTTTGTTCAAGCCCAAAATACCATTCAGATGAGATGGCGCTTCCTGTAGCAGTTTCTCTATGTCATCCATCTACGCCAAGCTTCACCCTTACCCTCAAGAGCTTGCTAAAGTTTTTGCAAGAGATGGGAATGTCTGTCATCCATAGAAGGAAAAGAGAGGGTGCAGTGCTGCCTGAAGTGCTGAGAAGCACAAGCCAACACTCTTACTTCCAGGAAATCCATGGCCTTATGGACTAAGTTGTTGTCCATGGTCCCCAGCTGTAAGCCTTCACTCCTTTCCAAGCTGGGCCCCAAAAAGGGGACCCGGGGCCCAGGCCTTGAGAATGGCTTGCAATGGCAGGAAGTGATTCAGGAGTATGCTTTTGGAAGTCCTAATCTCCGATGCTCCTGGCACTCATGGGATATCATTGTGGAATAAACTCTCAGTGAGAAAATAAGGAACTGGACCCAACCAAAGTCATTTTAAAAACACATCTGCTATTGGAAAGAGAAGTGAATCTAATATCTTTCTCACAGAACTGACTTGCAGATAAGTGGAAACTCTAAGTGTCATTCCTGGGGATACCGCGTCCTGCTACACAGCTGGAGTGGATCCTTATCCTCCATCTGGGACTCATCCAGAAACCCAAAGCCATCATGTCATCCACTTGTCCATTTAATTACCAGGCTTTTTTACTTTTAATATTCTTTCATTCTCACCATCTGGAATTGGTTTTTGTCAGATGTTAGGATCCATAATATCTTCCTCTGAGTTGCTAAAATTGGATGAATTTCTTTGGGATTAATTTGGGAGGAGGTGTTTTCTTTAATTACAAACTCAAACATCTCAAAATGTTTTAATGAGCAAGGGAATTGTGTTCAAAACCAGAGCAGTCCAGCCAGACTTGGTCCTTTTGACTTCTGGAGAAGAACACAAATAAGTCCTTCCCTCAGTGTCAGGAACCAGATGGGTATTTACTGCTCACAAAAGGAAGAGTTCATATTAATTTAATAACAAACTTTTTTTTAGGAAATTCTCTGTGTCAGTTCTTTAGATATAAACTAAGAAAAAGGAGTCATTCTCATCGTGACAGAGACTGAGATGAGACCTGTAAGTGTGGAGTCCACTGGGAAGGTGGCTCTGTTGGACAGAGGCCCTAGCCATAGGCCAACGGGCAGAGAAAGAAGGTGGCAGGTGATTAAGGAGTTGCAAGAGGAGGCTATGTTGCAGAAGAATTACTCTGCCAACAGTAAATGGGGTGGATAGGAATGGGAGAGGATGGGGCCTGCAGTGGAAAGCCAGGCACCTCTGTATCAGGGACGGGCCAGGAGAGGTGGCAGTAGGAAGGCAAACACCTCCCCCACCTCAGACATTCTAAAGAAATACAATGATTGGGACTTAACTAAATAAGTGATGAGATAAAGGTGAACCTATAAGCAAGCCTGAGTCAATGCTAGAAATGGATGAGGAAGTAGCCGGGTGTCTTGGTCTGTTCCAGCTGCTATAACAAAGTGCCATAGACTGGGTAGCTTATAAACAACATAAATATATTTCTCACAGTTCTGGAGGCTGGAAGTCTGAGATCAGGATGCCAGCATGGCAGGGTTCTGGTGAGGGATCTCTTCCAGCTTGAAAATGGTCTGTTTTATAAAAAGAGGTCCTCATAAGGGTGCTAATCCCATTCATGAGTGCTTCACCCTCATAATCTAATTACTTCCCAAAGGCCCCATCTCCTAAAACCATCACACTGGGGATTAGGATTCCAACATAGGATTTGGCAGCAGGACACATACATTCAGTCCATTGCAGTGGGTTTGAAAAGTTCTGGTGGACTGAGCTCCAGCAAGCACCTGAAAAATGGCAGAGCTCCTGCATGCCAAAACACCTGTGGTTGACTCACTCTTCCCACAGCCCTAGTATAATCGGCTAGCTTCATTTCCCTCCATGATGCTCTGCAGAAGAAACAGCATCCAAACAGGAGAAAGAATGGAGTCCACTGCTTTGATTTTGCATGTAGCAGACACTAAGCTACTCAATTTTTTCAGACCTTCTAGTTCATTTTTTTTAAGATATATTTATTTGACAACATGGAGTTTGCCCAGAGGAAGAAAATCAATGTGGGAAAATGTTTGGAGATGGTGTCAAAAGAAGAAAGGCTATTGTCTATAAACAGCTGTCATATGGATGGAGTAGACTATTCTCTCTGTTGCTTCAGAGGGGCCAAACAAGGAGAAAAGGATAGAAGCTGCAGGGGGATACATATTGATTCACTATAAGAAAGACTTTTTCTTATAATTAGAATTTGCAACCACACCTCTTGGAGGAATGCATTTCCTGGGATTTTTGCATGATCACAGAGTTATTAAGTTGGTAAGAGCTATAGAGCCCAACTTCTTCATTTTATAGAAAGTAAAATTAAAGCCTGAAAATACTGCAGGCTTACCATTGGTTCTGGAGGTTAGAGTAGGGTCTCCTGCATTGAAGAGGGTATTGAGATGACCTTCAAAGCGTATTCCAACTTGTGAGCCCAGGTTCCCAAAACCTAGCTCATAATAGAAGCAGAAAGGCAGAGTATAATGGGAACTAAGAACATTGGCTTAAAATTGACAAATGGGATCTAATTAAACTAAAGAGCTTCTTCACAGCAAAAGAATCTACCACCAGAGTGAACAGGCAACCTACAGAATGGGAGAAAGTTTTTACAATCTACTCATCTGACAAAGGGCTAATATCCAGAATCTATAAAGAACTTAAACAAATTTACAAGAAAAAATCAAACAACCCCATCAAAAAGTGGGCGAAGGATATGAAAAGACACTTCTCAAAAGAAGACATTTATGCAGCCAAAAAACACATGAAAAAATGCTCACCATCACTGGCCATCAGAGAAATGCAAATCAAAACCACAATGAGATACCATCTCACACCAGTTAGAATGGTGATCATTAAAAAGTCAGGAAACAACAGGTGCTGGAGAGGATGTGGAGAAATAGGAACACTTTTACACTGTTGGTGTAAAAGTTCAACCACACTAGTTCAACCAGTGTGGAAGACAGTGTGGCAATTCCTCAAGGATCTAGAACTAGAAATACCATTTGACCCAGCCATCCCATTACTGGGTATATACCCAAAGGATTATAAATCATGCTGCTATAAAGACACATGAACACGTATGTTTATTGCGGCACTATTCACAATAGCAAAGACTTGGAACCAACCCAAATGTCCATCAATGATAGACTGGATTAAGAAAATGTGGCACATATACATCATGGAATACTATGCAGCCATAAAAAAGAATGAGTTCATGTCCTTTGTAAGGACATGGAAGAAGCTGGAAACCACCATTCTCAGCAAACTATCTCAAGGACAGAAAACCAAACACTGGATGTTCTCACTTATAGGTGGGAATTGAACAATGAGAACACTTGGACACAGGATGGGGAACATCACACACCAGGACCTGTCACGGGTTGGGGGAAGGGGGGAGGGATAGCATTAGGAGATATACCTAATGTAAATGACGAGTTAATGGGTGCAGCACACCAGCATGGCACATGTATACATATGTAACAAACCTGCACGTTGTGCACATGTACCCTAGAACTTAAAGTATAATTAAAAAAAAAAAGAACATTGGCTTTGGTATCAGAACTGAGCCAAATCCTGGCTCCACCACCAACCAGCTGTGTGACCTTGGGCCACCCAATATCTCTCTCTCGTACCTATCTTGCTTCTTTACCTAATAAAATGGGACTGATATTTGTAACTACCTCAGAGGGCTCTCATGAGAGTTAACTGAGAGAATGTATGTTAGCTATTATTACCTTTGCCTGGCCCCAATACCTGACTGATGTAGGTGTTTTCATTGGATTCAAAACATAATTTATCTTACTGTCACTATGCTGAGAAATGCGACACAAAACATGAGATTGCTTTGCATGAACTTACTTACCGCCACGTGAATTCCATCCTTATAGAGCCTTTGGCGCTTCCCTGCCATGCCAGGTTTCTCTTGAAGAAAAGTGGTATCTGAATAAGTATTTACAGTCAATTGTTCACTTACTGAGCAACTACATACTGTACCACTATTCTTCAGGAGACACAGGTCTTGCCCTCAGGAAATGCAACCCAGAGAAGAAGACAGAAGACAGATGGATGCTTTTCTTCCCAAAAGGACTCCACTTCATATCGACTCATTAATGAATCCTTTTTGGGAAAATAGTCATTATCATTTGAACTGTGCCCCCAAACAAAAGATATATTGGTGTGTTAACCTCCCAGTACCCTTAGAATGTGCCCTTATTTGGAGATAGGGTCTTTATTGAGGTAATCAAGTTAAAATGGAGTTATTATGGCAGGCCCTAATCCATGACTGGTGTCGATAGATAGATAGATAGATAGATAGATAGATAGATAGATAGATACATACATACATACATACAGAGATAATCATATATAGATATATATTGATATATATATAGATATAGATAGACAGATATATTGATATATAGATATAGATATATAGATATAGATATAGATATAGATATAGATATAGATATAGATATAGATATAGATATAGATATTGAGTCAGAGTTTCGCTCTTGTTGTCCAGGCTGGATTGCAATGGAATGGCGTGATCTCGATTCACTGCAACCTCCACCCCCTGGGTTCAAGCGATTCTCCTGCCTCAGCCTCCCAAGTAGCTGGGATTACAGGCACCCACCACCACGCTAGGCTAATTTTTTTGTATTTTTAGTATAGACAGGGTTTCGCTGTGTTGGCCAGGCTGGTCTCCAACTCCTGATCTCAGATGATCCACCCACCTCGGCCCCCCAAAGTGCTGGGATTACAGGCGTGAGCCACCGCACCCGGCCTGGTCCTTATAAAAAGGAAACATTTGAACAGAGACAGACACAAACACAGGGAGAGCACCACGTGGAGATAAAGGCGGAAATTGAGGTGATATTTCCACAAGCCGACGATGCCAAAGGTTGCAGCAAACTACCAGAAGCCAGGAAAGGGGAGCAGGACAGATTCCGTCTAATGGTCCTCCAGAGGAACCAGCCCTGCCGACACCTCGATCTCAGCCTTCTAGCCTCCAGAAACAGTGAGACAAAAATTTCTGTTTTTTAAGCCACATAGTTATCACAGCCCTAGCAAACTAACACAATACTCTATGCCAAGTCCTCTGCTAGGCACTATGGGAGATAGATGCAAAATAAGAGCTCTAACGGGTTGTAATGTACTGTCATGTTACACCAGCAGGATGAACAAAGTGTTGGAATAGCTTACAAAAGTGATTAATTTTGACTACGGAGGGAAAAAAGCAAAGGAGTTTTTATAAGGGAGGTGACATTTGAGGTAGCTCTGAAAGGATGAGTCTATGATTTCATGAGGTGGGGAAATGGAGAAGGAATCCTTGAGATCAGGGAAACAGCATAAGTGGAGGAAGATTGATGGTATGTTCGGGGAAGTCTGGCGTGGTTAGAGATGGGGTGCAGGGACAAGGAGGGAGTGGTTGCAGAAGAGACTGTGGCCAGTCTGCAAAGAGTGATGGCAATCTGGTGGAGAAGTCTACTTTTATTTTGTCAACAATGGGGTGTCATCAACAGTTGGGGAAGCTGTGTTATAATTGTACAGATTCAAATCTTTTATCTAAGTGCCCTTTGCCTTCAAACTGACACTGGCCTCATGGTGAGTTCAAACATCCTATCCATACAAGGAACTCGTGTAGCTGGAGGTACCACTAGGTGGGTCTGGATCCCCTGATGCTTGCCCAATAGTGGAGATGCACACCTAGCTTAGTGCCAGGTGCATAATACAAGCTTGTTAGACAACAGCTAATAATCATTCATCCATTCCATAAATTGTTTTTAATGAGATAGGGTCTCACTATGCTGACCACGCTGGTCTTGAACTCCTGGCCTCAAGCGGTCCTCCCGTCTTGGCCCCACAATGTGCTGGGATTACAGGTGTGAGCCACCACGTCTGCGTCCGGCCATTCCATAAAACTTTAATAAGCATCTATTATATCCAGGCTCACTGTTCCAGACACCATGTAATGAAAATGACAAAATCTTTGCCTTTCATTCTAGCAAAAGGAGGCATAGAATAAACACAGAAACAAATAAAAATGATTTCAGATAGAGTGATGAGGAAAACAGAACACATTAAGTGGGATGGTGAATAACAGGGCATGGGGAAGGATGCTGATAAAGGAAGGTTGTTCTAAGGAGATGATATTTTTGCTGATTCCAGAAGGATGTGAAGGAGCTAGGTAAGCAAAGATCTGGGGAAGAGACTTCCAAATATAGGGAGCATCATACCTGAGGTGGCAATGAGTTTGGAAGTTCAAGAAACAGAGAAAAGGACATTGTGGCTGGAGGATCATGGTGTGGAGAAAATAGTAGAAAAATCATCAGAGAGGTAAGTAAGGAAAGGCCCGTGTATTTGGGGCCTTGCAAGTTCTCATAAGAAATTTGGATTTTATTCTGACTGCAATTTAAGCCATTGAGAGTGAGTCTAGTCACCAAGAGAGATGTTTGACATGATTTACCCTTAAAATGACAAAAGTAGAAGCAGGAAAATGAGTTAGGAGGTTCCACAATAGTCCAGATGATGAATGGAGGGAACTTGACTAGGTAGAAGCCATGGAGATGGTGAGGAGTGATAGAATTGGGGGTATATTTTCAAGGGAGGATTACAGGGCTTGATGATGGATAGCTCATGGGCATAGAATGTTGCGTTAGTCCGTTCTATGTTGCTATAAAGGAATTCCTGGGACTGGGTAATTTATAAAGAAAATAAGTTTATCGGCCGGGTGCGGTGGCTCATGCCTGTAATCCTAGCACTTTGGGAGGCCAAGGTGGGGGGGATCATCTGAGGTCGGGAGTTCGAGACCAGCCTGGCCAACATGGTGAAACCCCAGCTTTACTAAAAATATAAAAAAAATAGCTGAGTGTGGTGTCAGGTGCCTGTAATCTCAGCTACTCGGGAGGCTGAGGCAGGAGAATCACTTGAACCCAGGAGGCAGAGGTTGCAGCGAGCTGAGATCATGCCATTGCACTCCAGCCTGGGCAACGAGAGCAAAACTCCATCTCAAAAAAAGAAAAGAAAAGAAGTTTATTTGACTCACCGTTCTGCAGACTGTACAAGAAGTGTGGTGCCAGCATCTGCTTCTGGTGAGGGCCCCAGAAGTCTTGTAATCATAGCAAAAGGCAAAGAGGGAGCAGGTGTATCACATAGCAAGAGTGGGAGCAAGAGAGAAAGGGAGGAGGTGGCAGGCTCTTTCAGACCAGATCTTGAGTGAACTCAGAGTGAGAACTCACTCTTACCACAAGGACAGCACCAAGACATTCATGAGGGCTCTTCCTCATCACCCAAACACCTCCCAGGAGGCCCACCTTCAACAATGGAGGTCACATTTCAACATGAGATTTGGAGGGAACAAGGCATCCAAACCATATCAGCCGTTCAGAGGATTGAGGCTGCATATGTGGCAAATGGTGTCACGCACTAGAGGGGAAGGTTGGAAAAGGGCATGTTTGGTGGGAGAGGGGTAAGATCAAGAGTTCTATTTTGAATGTTTAAACGTCAAGGTACCTATTAGCCTTCTAATGGAGATTGCTATTATGCGCAGCCAGGATTAAGAATTATCTTATTGTGTCTATTAAAGTATAATCAGTCTGACCTGAGTGGGGCATGGAAAGCTAAATCATTCCTGAATCTCGAGCAGTCATTATCCCAAGGCCTATGAGATGTTCCCAGTATAATAAACAAAACCCTCTGGGATGCTGGCCCTGTCTGCACATTCCTGCCCTCTCACTCACAGCTTTCCTCTCATCCCTCCTTCAAAGCATCTCAGCTGGATGGCTACCCAGAAAGCCTCCCACTGCTGCAGAATTGGAAATGTGGGTCCTCCACCTAACAGCTGGGTTGGATCCTGGGTCAGCAGCAGATTAAGGCTACACTGCAGGGGCCTGACCCAGGAGTGTATTTAGGAGCTTCTCAAGTCAGGCAGCAGGAAGTGAGTCATCACTCACCATCAGAGATGTAGGACTCCCTGCAGCTGGACACTGCCACAGCCTGTCAAGCCTCCTAAAGGCAGCTGAGTGCGCTGGAAAGCAGAATGGAAAATTACACTCACGGCCACCCCTTTTAAAGAAAGTTTATGAAACTGACCAGTATATGTTGTGGAAAAGTCTGGGCTCACAGAAGAGGAAAAACATAAACCTGGAAGCTGAAAGCAAGGAAAATTGATTAAAGAAGAACATAAAAACTGCCACACCCTTAGCTATTCCACTAAGACTACCCTGGTTTACTAATTCAGCTCTCCTCTTTTTTTTTTTTTTTTTTTTTTTTTTGAGATGGAGTCTTGTTCTGTTGCCCAGGCTGGAGTGCAGTGGCACAATCTCGGCTCACTGCAACCTCCGCCTCCCGGATACAAGCAATTTTCCTGCCTCAACCTCCCGAGTAGCTGGGACTACAGGCGCGTGTCACCATGCCCGGCTAATTTTTTGTATTTTTAGTCAAGACCGGGTTTTGCGGTGTTAGCCAGGATGGTCTCCATCTCTGGACCTCATGATCCGCTCGCCTCGGCCTCCCAAAGTGCTGGGATTACAGGTGTGAGCCACCGAGTCTGGCCAGCTCCCCTCTTTCTAAGACCCTCTTCTCTCCTGCTTTTCCCTTCCTTCCTGCTCTCTTGTATCAATTTGATTTCTCAGGGAGAGCCTTGGTTTATGGACTCAATTAGTTTTCAAGTGTTTGCTGATGAGCCAATCGCATCCTCCCTTCTTATGTCAGATTCTCTGCATCTCAGTGGCAGGAGAGATGAGCACAGCTGCTCAGATGCCCCTCCAGGAGCAGCCTCTGTGCACCCTGTTGGCTTTGGAGGGGCTAATAAACAGCATCCCTATTCCCCACTGGAGTTCTGAAACAGTTCAGAGGTAGACATGGGAACCTGGAGGTTGAAGGTGGAGAGAGCACCCTCAATACAGATGAAAAGCTCTATCGGAGGCCATGGCTTAGTTGTTACTCACCAGTGACAGCTGCAGTTGGAAAATGACAGGCTCCTCCTTGGAGACCAACCCTGTCAGGCTTTCCTCATAACAGAGGACAAAAGAAATCTCGTCTTTACTAAAGGCAGGTAAAGCTAAGCTCCTTCTCCCAGACTCATCAATCAGGTCAAACACTCCTCGTCTGGAGAAGAGTGACACACGACACAGGAGCAGAGGGAGAGCGGAGTGTTCCTCTAGAAAGGATCCTCCACACAGAAGGAACCATGGAGAGTGGAACCAGATCATAAATATTTTAGGCTTTGCAAGCCAAAATCCCAAAATCAAGGCCATTATTTATGTAGTACTCATAAGAAAGGACATAAACTTCTACAATTTTTAATTGGTATGTTTTTAAAATACGATAATAGTAACAATTTGGTATAATTTTGTACTACAGGTCTACTCATAAGAATAAATTTTCAACTTTTGATACAAATGTATATGGTACACGTGCAATTTTGTTACATGTATAGACTGCTTAGTGGTCAAGTCAGGACTGTTAGGGTACCCATCACTCAATTAATGTAGATTACAATGCTTGCTGACACCTCGTCTACCTTTGCTCCCTTCTAATGTTTCTCTACACTCAACAACACGAATATATTTGAAATACTTACCTGCTTAAAATACTTCAAAGGATTCCCACTATCCTTAGGTCTGAGACTGACATCCTTAAAAGACCCTTTATTGCCTTTCGATAATCATTTTGTTTTGTTTTGTTTTATTTTATTTTATTTTATTTATTTATTTATTTATTTATTTATTTATTTATTTATTTATTTATTTTGAGATGGAGTCTTACTCTGTTACCCAGGCTGGAGTGCAGCGGCACAATCTCAGCTCACTGCAACCTCCACCTCCCAGGTTCAAGTGATTCTCCTGACTCAGCCTCCCAAGTGGCTGGGACTACAGGTACACACCACCATGCCGGGATAATTTTTGTATTTTTGGTAGAGATGGGGTTTTGCCATGCTGGCCAGGCTGGTCTCGAACTCCTTACCTCAAGTGATCTTTTCGCCTCGGTCTCCCAAAGTGCTGGGATTAGAGGCGTGAGCCACCGCGCCCAGCCTTCGATAATCATTTTGTACCATATTACTTAGCGCTCACTCCATTTCACTTACACTAGACTTACTTATTCTTAGTCACCATGTTCTAACCTGCCTCAGGGCACTTGTACATACAGGTTCTTTTGCATGAAACACTATTCCCTCTCCTCTTGCTTATTTAATATTATCAGAGTTTAGATCTAAAGTACACTGTTGGCTGGGTGCAGTGGCCCATGCCTGTAATCTCAGCACTTTGGGAGGCCGAGGCAGGAGGACTGCTTGAGCCCATGAGTTCAAGACTAGCCTTGGCAACATGGCAAGACCCTGTTTCTACAAAAAAAAATAATAATAAAATAAATAAAAATTAGCTGGGCATGGTAGCACACGCCTGTGGTCCCAGCTACTCGGGAGGCTGAGGTGGAGGATCACCTGAGCCCAGGAGATTGAGGCTGCATGAACCATGATCGCACCACTGCACTCCAGCCTCAGTGACAGAGTGAGACCCTGTCTCAAAAAAAAAAAGAAAAGAGAAAGAAAATAAATGGTCAGTTCTTTAGAGAATACTTCCCTTATGTCTCTTTGTCAACCACACACACAACCATATACATTGCTTGCTTTCATAATACGAGTGTCTTATTTACATTATCATACTACAATTGAAATTGTAAGGTGGCTCTAGAAGTCATTTAGAACTGAGCATGATCATTTCTTCTCAAAACTCTCTCCAGGTCTCACTATCCTGTGATTTGAAGTCTAAACACTTTAGGCTGGAATGACATAGTCTGCTAACTTTTCCCCAATATCCACTCTCTCCTTACTTTTTTTTAATACAACCCTTGCCCTCCCCCACACACACCTACGTTTTAACTGGGCACAAGGTTTTTCAGCTACAGTCTACATTTTCTATGTTTCCATATGACTACTTTCTAGCTAATGAGACGTGAGGAAAAATACTGTGGGCAATGTCTAGATCATCTTCTTAAAAGAAAATTGCTTGCCCTCTATGTCTTTTTTTTTTTTTTTTTTTTGAAACAGGAACTGGGTCTTGCTCTGTCGCCCAGGCTGGAGTGCAGTAGCATGATCATAGTTCACTGCAGCCTCAAATTCCTGGACTCAAGAGATCCTCCCACCTCCCAAGGTGAAGGGACTACAGTCTCAGCCTCCCGAGTGGCTGGGACTACAGGCACGAGCCATCACACCCAGCTAATTTTTTATACATAATATTTGTAGAGACAGGGTCTCACTATGTTTCCCAGACTGGTTTCAAACTCCTGACCTCAAGCAATCCTCCCTCCTCGGCCTCCCAAAGTGCTGGGATTACAGGTACGAGCTACCATGCTCGGCCTATGTCCTCTTTCTTCCTTTCCATGCACTAGAAGAGAGATGGGGTAGGAATGAACCAGATTCAACCATGCAGAAGATATCTCAGGGGACAGAAGCACAATAAAATGAAGGCACGTGGGACTCTGGATACCTCTGTGAAGCAGAACAAATCACCTCCCTGGGTCACCTACCAGCTTGGACATTTACAGGACTTAGAACTAAATCTTCTACCTTGATTTCTATTAAAGTGACCAAACCGATGTACTAATACCAGTACTCAAGGATCTGTGAGTTCTGCTCCTAGTCATCCTACTTCCCCTTCCAGTCCTGCAGGAACCCACAGTCATGCTCCTGAACTTGCCACCTGCATCCTTGCTCTGGCCTTTGACAAGTTGGTTCTGGAAACATCCTCCTATCCTCCTCACCTATTTTTCATCTGTCCAAGTTTACACATCCATTGACATCCAACTCACACTCATTTCACTAATTTAACAAACTCTTTAATATTAAGCACCTACTATGTGTCCAACACTGAATGATTTCTGCCTATAATCTAAGGGCAGCTATTTCTAAATGTCAGCTGTTACATGCAACTCACCTGCCTCTCTAGTGTCAGGTGTCCATTTGGACTCCCTGCTGTGGGCTCTACCCACCAGATTATATCCCTGGGCACCAACTCTATCCAAATCATTGCTGAAAGCATTTCCCGTGTAATAAAGAACTTGGCCTCTGTCTCCAGGTCCTGGAAGGCAGTGTCTAAATCCTTAAAATTTCCCAAATGATAAGAGTGTCTTTGTTATTCATGGTGGGTCCCCTGATAGTTGTTTAGGCTAATGAGGTGACTCATGGTGGACCGTGACTCATGGTGGACCCCCTAGATAGTTTATAATAGAGAGATAACTCAGGATCGGGACTAGCCATACCAGAAAGAACAATGACGCGATCAGAGGTTTGGTGCTTTGAGCCACACGGTATCAGCCCAGCCTTTAGGAAGAAAAGGAAGGCTGAAGATTGAGTTCAATCATATAGCCAATGATTCAATCAATCCTGTCTACATAATGAAACCTTAATAAAAACTCAGAACACCAAGATCAGGTGAGTTCCCTGGTGGTGATACTCTGTCACACTACAGAGTGTCTGTTGTACTGAAAGGTACTGTTGTATCTGGTGTACTGAAAGGAAAATACTTCCTGACTCCACAGGGAGAGGACACAGAAGCTTTTCTCAGAACTCACCTATGTCTATCTTCTCTGGGCTGGTTCTAAATTGTATTCTTTTTGCTATAACAAAACCCACAGTCATAACTGTGCAATTTCCTGAGTTCTATAAGTCCTTCTAGCAAATTACCAAAACTGAGGGGTATAAGCTTCCAAATTTGTAGCCAGTTTGTCAGATGTAAATGCAGCCTAGAGACCTCCAGATTTGCAGCCAGTATCTGAAGTGAGAGTAGTCTTACGGAGGGCTGAGCCTTTAATCTGTAGTTTGGCTTAACTCTGGGTAGTGTCAGAAGTCATGGCAGTGTTCTTCCTGCTGGGGCTGAGTATCTGGATTACCTAATTATGTGCTTCATTCATTTAATCATCTAGCAAAACTATATTGAGCATCAACAATGTGCTAGGTACTGAATTCAGGGTTGGATAAAACATAGATGAGATAATTCTAATCCCTGCCCTCAAACAGTTTGAAATCTTGTACAAAAGGAAATTACAACAGTATGGTAAATATTCACAGAATTGTGTGTGAAGTTTGCCACAATCAAAGGGAGGATCAACTACAAGGTGTGGGGAGAGGGCACTCCAGGGGACTTCCCAAAGGAGGCCGCCTCTGAGCTGGCTTTTGAAAGATGAATAAGCATTTGCCTCATGGGCAAAGAGAAAGGGCATTGTATTTAGCAGGGATTGCATGTGCAAAGGCACAGCGGTGTGAAAAGGTGCACTGTATTCAGGTACAGTCATCTGTCCTTATCCTTGGAGGACATATCCCAAGACTCCCAATGGATGCCTGAAACCACAGATAGGACCAACCCCTGTATATACTGTGTTTCTTCCTATACATACATACATACATACATACATACATACATGCCTACGATAAAGTTTAATTTATAACTTAGGCACAATAACAGATTAACATCAACAACTAATAATAAAATAGAACAATTATAGCAATATTGCCAACATCACTGCTCTTGTGCTTTGGGGCCATTATTAAGTAAACTAAGGGTCACTTGAACACAAACACTGTGGTACCATCACAGTGAATCTGATAACCAAGCTGGCTGCTAAGTGACTAACAGTCAGGGAGCGTGTCCACAGCATGGGTATGCTGGACAAAGGGAGGATTCACATCTCAGGAAGGACAGTGAGAGGTTTCATCACGCTATTCAGAACAGTGTGCAATTTAAAACTTATGAATTGCTTATTTCTGGAATTTTCCATTTAATATTTTTGGACTACTGTTGAGGAGAGTGAACCTGTGGATAAGGGGGACTACTGTACCTTTAAGTTTATTCATATTTTTGGAACACAGTGTGGGAATGAGAAGTAGGGAGTAGAAGAAGATAGGTCTGGGGAGTAGGAAGAGGCCTTGTTTTCCATGCTGAGCAGCTTGAACTTTGTTCTAGAAGTTTCTCAAAGTGATGCCTAGAGTCCAACTGGAAATAAATAAAGTTTAACAAGCAAGCCTTTTTGAGAATGACAGCAGTGGATAATAAGAAACCTGCACAGACTTGCATTTTGAAAGACCACTCAAGACTTGCAGTGTCTGGAAAAAAACAGCTAGGTTGCTCAGATCAATCTTCCAGCTGAAATCAAAGAAAAATGAAATGTTGTAGAAACAACAACTTAAGGCCAGGTGTGGTGGCTTATACCTATAATCCCAGCACTTTGGGAGGCCAAGGAAGGGAGGATTGTTTGAGGCCAGGAGTTCAAGACCAGCCTGGATGACATAGCAAGACCCCATCTCTACCAGAAACCAGTAAGGGGGCAACTCAAAAATACTGAAGAGCAGAAAAGATAAGAGGAACTTCCCAGGCTAATTTTTGGATGAAAACCCATAACCAGAAAGGTAAGCCAAATCCCTCAGATCATAAGCCTCACTTTCTGAGGCTCTAGGGCAAAATTATTTCCTATTCTGTCAATTGCATTTTGGTAAATTTCCAAGTGGTGAGCTGCCCTTTTACGGAGCATACCTGGTAATAACTACTTTTTCTTCCTCAGAGAGGCTGTGATTCCTGGAATGTTTAATGTGGCGGTTGATTGGACTTATGCCTTTGGTCAGCAGCTCAAAGAATGCTACAATTCACTCTTCTACAAAGCAGACATCCAGCCTTGATACCCAACCCAGAACTCTGAAAGAATGAAAATTTGCCATCTCTAGCAGGTGGAATTATCAGTAGGTACTTTATTAATGCCCAGTAGCTCAATTTCATAATGTTTCCCTTTTTTTATTAAGAACTAACATCCTTTTGTTGGTCCATATCACCAGCATGCTGTGTCTGGGGTGTTGCACTGTTAACAGAAATCAACAATCCTCCTCACAGCTCCATAAAGATAAGTGGGTGAGAGATTGTATGGCACCTGTAGGGCTGGGAAATTTTATCTGAAATTCCCATAAGCAAAACTGCAGTAAAGACCTCTTTGCCCTTTGTTAATTGAAAATAAACTACTCCTTTTTTTGGAGGAGGCCTCTGAAAGCTGCCATGGAAACAAGCTCACTAAAGGCTTCAGCAACTGCTCAGATATTTAATTTCACCCACAGTGAATGTAATCCAGGCAAGAAGTGCTCACAATATGAAAACATTGATTAGCAGGGGACTGCATGTGTACCTTGCTGGGTACAGGCCCCACTTTCTTTCTCTTTGAGGACGCTGAGCTTGAACATCCAAGGGGAAAGACATCCAAAAAGCATCGCCACAAACCAGCTGTGAAGCTGACCAAGAAGATCATGGGTTCTGCCCGCAGGGAGGAAAACACAGGGTAAATTACTGGAGAAGTCAGCTTCTTCTGCCCCTCAGAGAAATGAGGAAGCTCAAGTCAGGATCGGGAGACTAGAAGACTCCAGAAAAAAAAAAAAAAAAAAGGCTTATCTCTGATTCACCCTCTGCTGCAGTAACCAAGCCTTCTATCAGTGGCTGAGATTTCAGAGTCATTTTCCCAGAACGAAAAAATGATATTTCCAAATCAAAGAGAGGACAAAGGACAGGATTAATAAAAGGGGGTTGGCGACCTCTTTGAAAAGGAAGGCAGAGCTCGGCATCTTTTATATTCTCCCAGTTGTCCAGACTCCCACCCCCAAGCCATGTCGTCATAGCATTCCAAGCGGGAAGAAAAATGAGCAACTGTCAGTCTACCATTTTTACATTCTAGAGGAGGAACTGAGATCCAGCAATGTAGATGAGTGATGTGGCCAAAGCAGTGACAAAACCAGACCCAGAACCCAGGCCCTCTGAGTTCACCCCCTGCACTGACCGTTCACTCACTGACCCTTCCTTGCCTCAATTTTTCAGCAGCCATCAATCAGCAAGTTCTACTGAGTCTCATTTTCCCATTTACTTTCTTGCCAGTGCTACTACACAAGCACAAGCCCTTATCATCTTGACCCAAGACAAAAGGAGAATAAGGTCAGGGTTCTGTGCTAAGCCCTTGGCAAACATGCCTTTAAATCCTTACCACAACCTAAGAGGTGAGTAATAATTCCTCTTTTGTAGATGAAGAAACAGGAGCTTGGAGACTGAGAGAGGCTACACAATGACAAGTGACAGAAGCTGGACTCAGACCCCTCATTCCTCTGAGCCCAGGTCCATGCTAATAACCCATCACTCTATTGCCTCAGGAGACTATGTCCATGGCCTCCTAGTTGTGTTCATTCCCTTCCCATTTTAAACTATCTTGTACCCTGAAGCCAGATTGATCTTCTTTAAATTTCCCTTTAATCATGTCACTACCTTCCTCAAAAGCCCTGCCCCTTGTCTTGCGCTTTGATGTGGTCCTACTGACAAGTTCAGCTCTGCCCTCCAAGCTCACACACTGTCCTGTGGATGTTCTCACATGCCTCTTTCCCTCCCCTAGAATGTTTTCCCCTGCCTTTTCCTTCACCCTCAAAGCCCCAGTAATGGCTTCTTTATTTCCTCAATACTAACTGAATGCCTACTAACTCTTCTACAATATTTATTGCTAAGAGGCAGTATTGCTCAGTGGGCAAGGCACAGACTCCGGAACAATTTGCCTGATTTGAATCCTGATTCCACCACTTATTAACCACGCGACCTCAGGCAAGTTTCTCAACCTGTCCATGCTTCAACTTCCCAAAACATAAAATGATGATATTTACGGCTCCTATTTACAAGGTTCTTGGAAGGATTAAATTAGTTAATACATATAACACTTTTGGAATTGTGCAAGGAGCAGACTAATAGCTCCAAAACCATGAGCTAGTCCTAGCAGTAGTGGTAGGTACCAAGCACTGGCCTCATTGCTGGGATCCAGAGATGAGTAAATCACAATCAGTCCCAGCCAAGCACAGTGGCTCACCTGGCCAAGATGACGAAACCTCATCTCTCCTAAAAATACAAAAATTGGCCGGGCGGTAGTGGAGTGCACCTGTAATCCCAGCTACTTAGGAGGCTGAGGCAGGAGAATCACTTGAGCTTGGGAGGCAGAGGTTGCAGTGAGCCGAGATCATGCCACTGCACTCCAGCCTGGGTGACAGAGCGAGGCTCTGCCTGAAAAAAAATAATAATAATCACAATCAGTCCCTTTCCCATACATCTAGTGAGCAAAGTGGACATGTCAACCGATAATCATAGCCCAGTGCCCTAGGTGCTGTAATAAAGGCAGGTACAGAGGGCTGCGGGGAACAGAAGAGATATTAAGTGTCTGGAGTAGGGTAAGATTTCAGAAAAGAAAAAAAAGTTTCATCTCAAAATTAAAGAATAATTGGAGTTCTTCCTAGTGCCCCTGCATGCACATGTCGCTATCATCCAGAGATATCATCCAGAGGTTGCCAGGAGCCCCAGTGGCTGGAACATAGCATTTGTGGGGCTGGCAGTGAAGCTGGCAAGGCAAGCAGGCGCCTGATCTCACAAAAAACCTTGTGCCTTTCAGAGAAGGTTGTCCCTGAGACTGTAAGCAGAGGAAAGCCCACCCCAGACCATCACGATCTCAGCCTCTTCTGGCCTCATCTAGAGTACTAATTGCATATTTTACTAATGCCACACTTATTTGCTATCTTATATTATTATTTCTGAAAATCTTGACTATACCAACCCACCAGCAGCGCCTCTCTGAGGCTTCTTATCCCAGGTTGACACATTTCGTACCAGGTAACTCTGCTACCTTGGTCACAGGTGACTGGACCAGGGATTAGCATCTGACCTAAGGGCAGCTACCCTATGGTTGGCCAGTGCCCTACAGGAGGTGGCCCAGAACAAAGCCCAGCTCATTGGTGCCATTCTATCCTGCACGCTGACTGCCTAGACAGAGTACCTCTCTCAGGGAATTTCAAATGTGAGACACAGAAAGGAAAACAGACACAGGGGCAACAGACGTGGAAAAACTCACTTGGAAGAAAGCAGTAAGCAGAAGACGTGACAAGCTGAGCCTAGAGGTAGAGAACAGAGTGAGTCAGTCATGTCAGAACAGCGACATGGACAGAAGCCGCTAAGACTCAGTGAGACAGAACACTGGCCGAGGGATCCCAGAACGAGATAAACCACGGTATATGGTTTATCTCATATGAGGCCACTGAACTGTGGCCTCATTCCCAAAGATCATTCCTATCATTCCTGTTTTTTGTGAGTTCGGGCAGTGTCACTGACTAAGACAATTTTCTGTTTCTCATGATTTCATGAGCATCCTCGTAATAAACCCCAAAACACCCTGAGCACATTGCTTCTCCTTGCCACATGTCCTTTCTGCTCGATTAAAAAGTGTGTTCTGTCATGGGGGAATGATGGCCGGTGGTGTGAGGGTGAAAGAATTTACCAAGACAGTTGTAGGTAAAGGAAGGCAGATTTATTTGAGAAAGTAGGAAAATACGTGGCCAGAGAGACAACGGGCAAGTCCGCAGAAGCTGACTGTGAAGAAACAAAGGCTGGCTGGAGAGTGTATGGGATGGTGTGTACGCTGTCTGTTGAAGGAGGCTTTGTGCAGCACTGGTAACGCCAAGGTTGGGCTGCAGGGAGCTGACTTGCAGGTGTCTGGTGAGGGTTGGGCACAGGAAAATTGTGAGTTACTTTCACAGGAGGGCTGTGTGTCCTGGACCATGCAGAAAGGTGGACTTGTTGCTCACTTCCTTTCTCTTTTTGCTTTCCCTTCATTCCACCAGCCTGGCTCCCTTTTCCCCATGGAACGCCCATGTTCCATGAGGGCTTTCTTATGGAACAGAGAAACAGCCCATGCGTTAGCAGAAAAGCAAGACCCAGAAGGGCTGATTCTGAGCGATGTCCAGGATTTTCGTGGGAGAGGATGGAGGCAACTTTAGGGGGACTGGGGAGACATGAGGCAAGAGAATTGCAGAGGAAGCAAATCTTACAGGGATCTGGGCTTTCTCCTGAGGTTCTGGGGCCCGTTTAAGGGATTAGGAATGAAAAAATATGATCAGGTTTGGGATTGCTGGATAAAATGTTGCCGCTTCATACAATACACACTGTTATCTCCAATACACATGAGTGTCTCCATGGAAGTAAACATAAGGTATTTGGGGTCTCAGAGCAACTCTCTTCTGTGAAAATGTCTGATTCCTACATGACCAGGAAGGAAATCCATCTCTCCAGGAATATTCACCCAGCCAAAAATGTAAAGCAGAGAAAAAGAAATTTAGACACATCACACATCTAGTGCCTAGATAAAGGACCTCCCCCAACCCCATCCCCCGCAACCCCTGGAAGAACAACATCAACAGTGATTTTCTTAACACAAAACACAACACGCACACAAAGAAGACCCAGAGCTGGTGGGGGCTTTTGTTTTTTTTTTTTTTTTGAGACGGAGTCTCGCTCTGTCACCCAGGCTGGAGTGCAGTGGCGCGATCTCAGCTCACTGCAAGCTCCGCCTCCCGGGTTCAAGTGATTCTCCTGCCTCAGCCTCCAGAGTAGCTGGGACTATGGGCGCACGCCACCACACCCGGCTAATTTTTGTATTTTTAGTACAAATGAGGTTTCACCATATTGGCCAGGCCACTCTCAAACTCCTGACCTCTTGATCTGCCCGCCTCGGCCTCCCAAAGTACTGGAATTACAGGCGTGAGCGACCGCGCCCGGGCTGATGGGGGCTTTTTAAAGACATGTGTAATAGCACACAAATTTCTCTCTCAGGAAAAACAATCTCTAAAGAAAAATTTAATGGAAAATTCACACCATGAGTATCTTACCTACCTTACCTTGGCCCGAGTTTCACAAATACTTGCTTCTACCCCACACAGCCAGGCACTGAGAAGTGTACAGAAAGACTCCAACTGCCCGAGATTCCCAGAGAAGCAGAACACACAGAGCCACGACGAGAACTCAGGATGGAATAAACTTCCAGGTCCATGTGAGCTTCCAGGACCCAGCCCACATCTGCCAACCCACCGTGTCCTCTGCTTCATGTTTACCCTGCATCCTTTTCACTGATGCCTTCAAATATCCGTGTGTGCACGGGAACAGTGGTTATGCTGCCAATTTAAAGAACCAAGGCTTCAGAGGAAAGGAAACTCATGCGTGCCCCCACCACCGACTCCCCGGTTCCTGCTGGTTATTTGTAAAAGTTATTCACAGGAGGAAGAGAAAGAGCCTTCGTGTGTGATTCCCTGCTCACATCACGGTGGGGTGAACCAAGGTTCTCTGTGCAGCTTCCTCCACCATCTGTTCGCACTGCCTTCTATCGGAGACTTGGCAGGGAAACACTCACTGTTTTTCATCCCAACTCAAAGACAGTGAGATTTTTCATACCTGCACAGGAACCATGCAAGTTGTGATTGAAAAGAGCATCATGGGATGCAAACAGAAAGAAAAGCGGTGAAGGCGCCAAGCTGCGGATTCTAACAGCTTCCAGAACGCTTGGCCATAAGTGGCCGTCAGACTGCGGAGTTCCATTTCCTTCTTTTCTTTACAGGTTAAACTCTGTCAAATTTGATCCAACTCCAACCCAAACTTCTGTTGAATGAAATGATTGTTTTCTAAGCTCCAGCTGGTAGCGAACTCATTCTGAGACATATTCAGTATAACTGAACCGCAGTGTAACATAAGGGGGTGCCTTGGCCTGAATTTTCCTTTCCTTCCTCTGGTTCTCAGTCCCCTTCTTCTCTTCCTCCCTTCCTTCTCACCTCTTTCTTTTCAGGGTTTTTTTTTTTTTTAAACCCTTTGTTAAGTTCACTTTTCAGGCCTCATTTCTGCTTCATTTTCTTTTTTTTTTTTTTTTTTGAGATGGACTCTCACTCTGTCACCCAGGCTGTAGTGCAGTGGCACAATCTCGGCTCACTGCAACCTCTGCCTCCCAGATTCAAGCAAATCTCCTGCCTCAGCCTCCTGAGTAGCTGGGATGACAGGTATGTGCCACCATGCCCAGCTAATTTTGTATTTTTAGTAGAGAAGGGGTTTCACCACGTTGGCCAGGCTGGTCTCGAACTCCTGACCTCAGGTGATCCACCCGCCTTAGCCACCACGTCCAGCCTTCTTCATGTTCTAGACGTCTTTCACCCTTTCCTATCTTCACCCTCACTTATTTACACTTCACTCTTTTGCCTTTTGTTTCTCTCTTCTTTCTTCTGTCTTCTTGTCCCTTCTCAATCTTAATGTAGAGAGAAGCTACAAACTCAAAACCAGGTAATGTTGAAAATGTTACCAAACGGGACCACACAGCACTGACTCATCAGAACAGACACTAGCGGTTGAACTGCAGCAAGGTCTAGAAGGTTTCCCGCTCTACCACTAACCAGTGGGTTGTGGGGAGGTCTGGGGGAAGCAGGCACCAGGCAGGGAGATGAGAAAGCCCTCAGAAGGCTCATGGCCATGGCTAAATACTACGCAGTACAGAAGTATTTCTATATTTTAACAATCAATATAGCTGTACAGAGTGTACCAAATTGAGAACAAGAAAAACAGGTCCTAACATCCCAGAAATGGCCTGGTTCTGTCAGCCAGGACTTGGTGCTGCTAGGAGCTGGTGTTGGCACTCATAGTCTTGTTGAACACAGACAATTTCACAGAACCCCAATATCACGCCAGTCCACTCCACAACTGTAATGAATCAAAGCAAAAACAAGAACACTCCATAAACATGCCTGAGCATGGACAAAAATATAAACATTGTTCAACGCACAAAAATGACCGGACATCCCCCTGTTGTGCTAATGAGTGACAGCTGCTGCTTTTTCCTTTTTTCTTTTCTTTTTTTTTTTTTTTTTTGAGACAGAGTTTCACTCTTGTTGCCTAGTCTAGGGTGCAATGGCGCGATCTCGGCTCACCACAACCTCCACCTCCCGGGTTCAAGCGATTCTCCTGCCTCAGCCTCTCGAGTAGCTGTGATTACAGGTATGCGCCACCACGCCCGGCTAATTTTGTATTTTTAGTAGAGACAGGGTTTCTCCATGTTGGTCAGGCTGGTCTCGAACTCCCGACCTCAGGTGATCCGCCTGCCTCGGCCTCCCAAAGTGGTGGGATTACAGATGTGAGCCACCGCGCCCAGCCAGACAGCTGCTTCTTTACCAATCAGAGCTCTGGCCTGATTCCTTACTCCTACCTTATAGAGGCCTGTTTAAGATACCCAACAATAAAATCCCCCTGCTTCCTGAAAGCATCCAGGTCTTAAACGCATCTAATCCTGATTTTCCTTTTTAAAAAAATTTTATTTTAGATTCAGGGGATACATGGGCAGGTTTATTATTTGGGTATGTTGTGTGATGCAGAGGTTTGAGCTTCTAATGATCCCATCGCCAAGTAGGAACACAGTACCTCATAGGTAGTTTTCAATCCTTCCCTCCCTTCCTATTTGAAATCCCCAGTGTTCATTGTTACCATCTTTATGTCCATATGTCATGGACAATGATTAGCTCCTACTTATAAGTGAGAACATGTGGTATTTGGTTTTCTGTTCCTGTGTTAATTTGCTTAGGATAATGGCCTCCAGCTCCACCCATGTTGCTGCAAAGGACATGATTTCATTACTTTTTACAGCTGTGTAGTATTCCATGGTACACATGTATCACATTTTCTTTATTCAAACCAGCATTGATGGACATCTGCAATCCCAAATTTTTTTTTTTTTTTTTTTTTTGAGACAGAGTCTCAGTCTGTCGCCCAGGCTGGAGTGCAGTGGCATGATCTCAGCTCACTGCAAGCTCTGCCTCCCAGGTTTACGCCATTCTCCTGCCACAGCCTCCCAAGTGGCTGGGACTACAGGTGCCCACCACGCCCGGCTATTTTTTTGTATTTTTAGTAGAGATCAGGTTTCACCGTGTTAGCCAGGATGGTCTCCATCTCCTGACCTTGTGATCCATCCGCCTCGGCCTCCCAAAGTGCTGCGATTACAGGCGTGAGCCACTGCGCCCAGCCTATAATCCCAATTTTTTTAACCCTCCCCCAAATCACCAAACACAAGCCGAAACCTTCTAATAGGTCTTTTGAAACATCCTTCTGCTGAGGCTCCCCACAGTTCCCTATGGTGTGGTCTCCCTCATTGCAACCAGCAATAAACTCAACTTGTTCAAACACAGGTGTGTGCCCAGTGGTCTTTGGCTGCAAGGTCATTGAGGAAATATGAATTCACACCCTGCCCAAAGCCTTAAGATCCCTTTGAGGAGGGGATTTGTGGCAAGGAGGACCTGAGCCTTCAATGAGGACTGCTGATTAAGTTTCCCTGTGAGGAAGAGAAAAGGGGGACCTGTTCCCCACCTTGTTTCTCTTCTGGAGTTTTAATCCTGGAAAACTTCCAAGAAGGGAGCATGACAAAGAGGGCAGTCTTCGGTGACAAGAAGAAGAAAATGATGGCTCTTAGATCTAGCAGGTGAAATCCCAGCCTCTTACCTGGGGAGCCCGTTAAGGCAGCAGGAGAAAAGTACACAGTTTGGTAAAGATGAATCCCTTTGCCTGCCCTGCTTGAGGGCGGATTTTTGACCACTTGGGCAGCTCTCTCTGTGTCCCGAAATGGTTCCAGAGCACCTGTATTATTGCTGCTTACCTCCCTGCCACAGCCACTTCCACTCCAGAACTGACTTCCCTTCCCACAGAGTTGGATCATAAGTGCAAGAAAATGGGACAAAACCAGGTGAACAAGCGTGCTCCTTCTTCCTCCCTGTGGCTAGGTTTTCAAGCTTGGTGCAGGAGCTCCAGCAGGCATTTTCCCTTTCATGATTGCTTTCAACTAACACAAGGGAAAGAGCTTAAAGCAAACAGAAAACTTACCAACCCATCAAGGCTAATGTCAAGAGGTAGGACCAACCTCTCTCTTTCAAAATGCAACTTTACTTTCAGAGAAGCACCAGGTTTCCAGGAACCTGATGGGCTACATGGCGTGCCCAAATTCACATAGCAATGTTTTCTTATAAAGCAATTCTTTCCTGCTTTCAGACACAGTGAAATATGCTGCTTCAGGAGGATGTATAATTGCCACACAACAAATTATCCACAAACCAAAATTTAGGATTGCTCTTAAATTATTCAAGATGTTGGAAAAATACATACACAAAACAGATCAATCAAAGAAATCAAATACATACCCCGCAGTTTTGAGAGAATTAGGTGAGAAACATTCTGCAATCGAACACCAGCAATTATTTCTCCCACTGAGCAGTATCAGAAAGCTCGGAAAAAATTAAATGTGGTATCATATCACTAACCCACAAGTAGAAAATGTCATCCTGAGCACTGATATCAGTATACAGAATTACAAAGCCTAATAGAATCACAGAACAAATGCAAACCTGAGGGAATCACCATCTTTAAAATAAAACGATTATCTCCACGTGTGAGCTTTTTGCTGACAGGGGAGCTGCTACCTGATTTAAGGATCTCACTGTGGCTGGACTAGCGCATGGGCATGCCAGGGCGGAGGGGCGTCTCTGCATCCCACCAGCACCTTAGTTGCCCACCTGTGGGACAGTTTAATCCGACAGAACAAAGCAGATGGCAGGTGTTGGGATGAAATCTCAGCATGCTAAGGACGCATTCTCTCTGTGCTCATTAAAAAGGTATAATAATCGGGGTAACTGAGCTGCTATCACAAATAAATCCCAAATTTCCAGGGCCTTAATAAAAAAAAGGTTTCTCACTTAAGTAATTTTCCAGTGTGAGTGTTCCTGGTCTATGGGCAGCTTTCTTCCCCATGATGCTTTCCATGTTATGGCTATAACCCCCCTCTACAGCAACAGTCCTCCTACTTGGTTGTCTCCTAGAATCACTTATGGAGCTTTTCCTGCTGCTCAGACTACACCCCAGCCCAATTAATTAGCATTCCTAGGGGTGGACTCTGAGCACTAGGACTTTTTAAGGATCCCCAGGTGATTCCAATGACTGCAAAGGTTGCAATCACCATGTCAGAGCCCCAGAGTCCTTCACATTGGGCTGGTGGAAGAGGAGAGAGGCAGCAGAGAAGGCACCCCACTCTCTAAAGCCCTGACCCAGAGATGAGATGTTACTCTGCTCACATTCCATCATGGCAAACGTGTATGCAAGCAGGGACAGAAAAGGTAGTCTCTGCCTGGGCTGCCCTCTCCCGGTAACCTTCCCACAACACAGAAGGGAGAGTACATATTTTTGGTGGACAGCTGAATATCTTGATAAAGCGGTGAGCATATGAGAGGGGCTGAACAGAAGCAGACATCAGAAAGGAGAAAGGAGGTGAGGGTTAGGAGTAGAGAGACAGAAGAGGAGAGAACCACAGCAGTTGGAAAGTCGATGTCAATTGGCCCCTCACTCCATCTGGTGCCATTGCTCACCTGGGAATATAAGTGCCACCCTCTGCTCAGTCTCCCACCCTGGACACACTGCTTCACCAGTGTTTTGGTTTGGGTTTGGGTTTGTAGTTTTTTCAAAGTACAATCTCAGTGACCGCCAAATCACTTTTTCTGAAATTGGCATCAAATCAAAAGCAAAACACTGGGAGGCATTCTCATCTCCCCAACTCAGTTGAGGGACCCTGATGAATCAAGATCAAATTATATGACCATATAGGATCAATTCCTCTCCCTACCAAATAAGGAGCATTGCTTTGGGGGTAGTTGGTACTTCGATACACCTGCATACTCCATGCTGAGGGGAAAGACATGGAAAGATAAGCAGTAACATCAAGATTTTTAGCAGCCAGAGGAAGTGCTTGGTAGAGCCCCATTGGCTGGGACATACAATGGCCTGTGTTTAAAGCCAAAATAGAGCCCATCTTCTGCTTGGCTCCAATACAGAAGTCACTCTTTTTACCAAATTAAGCCAAAGCGGAAACTCCTTCCCAATGCCATGGTGTAGCAGAAAACATGGAGGCAGAACCCAGGGGTAGTGGCACACGGCAACTGCTCAGAACAGAGATGAGCAAGCCCTGGAGCCTTGGGAAACGGACACTTCTGACAACTATGCAGCTGTTTTTGCAGAGCATGTTGAGAAACATCAGTCTCCTTTAAATACTATTCACATAGACTCATGCTGAAAATGAACTCAGACCAGTGGCAGAGAGGGACTTAGAATTCTCTAAAAATGCTAATAAGGGCCAGATACAACCAATCAATAGTCCCACAGAGTGGCTGGGGACAAAAACCATGCTGACCACATGGAAATGGTCAGCAGGATGAGGATGGTGTAAGAAAAGATGCCTGGATCAGACCAGGACTGAGATGATTTCTTGGCTACAGTTTGCTGAGGGTTTCCCCAGGAGGTTAGGAAGTGGAAATGAATCTCACAACACCACTGGATAGTATTCATGATTGTTGTAAATAATCAAGCTTGGGTAACCCCTAGAGTAATCTACATAATGTTCTAATTCCATGGTGGGAGTTACATCACACCCAGCATGTCCTGTTTGTTACCTTTACATGGCATGGCATGGCATGGTGTGGCATGGCATAGTAATACCCTTCCAGGTATTAATAGAAATATAGACCTAATCTGGATATGCCCCACTAGACTGACATAGTCATAATCCCAGTGTCCAGAGGGGGGCGCCCAGGCAAGCAGTTTGCTCCACAAGGAATACAGGTGTCAGTAGCATTGGAAAGAAGAAAGAAGAAGGAGAAGGAAGAGGAGGAGGAGGAAGGGATAGAGGGAAGGAGGAAGAGAGAAGGAAGAAAACAGGCCTCACTTCTGGGAGGAAATACAGTATACAGAAAATAATAGATTCAAGCATGATGAAAGCAGAATTCAGTGCAGACTCTGGCAAAAGCTAATGTTTATGACCTTGGACAAGTCCCATATCATCTCTGGGCTTCAGTGGCCTCCTGTAAAATGACAGTATTGGACTAGAAAATCAAAAGGCCCCTTCCAGTTCTGCAATCCTTCCTTCTATTCAATGATAAAGATAATTATAGAAAAATGACTACCTAAAATCAACTTGGTTTCTTGTAAGAAATGACTTCATATAAGTCTCTAGTCATTTCTAAATTATTGATGCAAAAGAACTCAGATTAGAAATTATGCAGGCCTCTGCTTTCTCCTTTTCTGGTTCTGCTACTTGTAGCCATCATCTTGTTCATTGAAGTTACTGTAAGATGAACAGCAGGAAAAAAAAGAGAGAAGGAGCTAAAATGCAATCATTTCATTTTCCTTACTTGGTGAAGAGCAAATATTGAGCAACAACATGCCAGTAGGTACCAGTGGGGACTTGATACATCAAAGAGGAAAAGGAAGGCTGGGTGCAGTGGCTCACACCTGTAATCCCAGCACTTTGGGAGGCCAAGGCAGGTGGATGACTTGAGGTCAGGAGTTGAAGACCAGCCTGGACAACATGGTGAAATCCTGTCTCTACAGAAAATACAAAATTAGCTGGGCGTGGTGGTGCACACCTGTAATCCCAGCTAATAGGGAGGCTGAGGCAGGAGAATTGTTTCAAACCCAGAGGCGGAGGCTGCAGTGAACCAAGATCGCACCACTGCACTCCAGCCTGGGCAACAGAGTGAGACTCTGTCTCAAAATAAATAAATACATTTTTAAAAAAAAAAAAGGAAGAGGAGAAGAAGGAAATGTAAGCCTTGTTTGACATGCCCATGATTTGCTGCCCTGTCGTTGGCATGTAAGGAGAGCTGGCACATAATGACCAGCCTTCTTTGCTGTCTGCTGGGGAGGCCTCTGAATGTATGTGAGCCTTAGATTGGATTTCTCATGGTAACTTAGATCTGATGTATCTTTTCTCATTAAAGCTCTGGTCTTCTCGTTCTTAAAAATTTGTACTTTCATTCTATTTATGCTGTCTCACATCACACATAAAAAGGCAGCAGTAATTGTGTGAATCTGGCCATCTTACATGTACCAAACTCAGTTGTTCAGTGGACACTTGGTGATGAGGTCATCTTTCAGGACTTTTGTGTTCATGAGGTGTTGGGATAAACTCCTGTCTTCTTAGACATATTTACACCAGCACTGTATACCTAAATGTGGCCCACAGCTACAAAGGACAGTCTTAAGCAGAGATCTGTCGTCTCTCAAAAGTCAAACCTCTAGGCTAGGGGAGGGATAGCATTAGGAGAAATACCTAACATAGATGACGGGTTGCTGGGTGCAGCAAACCACCATGGCACATGTATACCTATGTAACAAACCTGCACATTCTGCACATGTATCCCAGAACTTAAAGTATATTTTAAAAAAAAAGAAAGTCAAACCTCTACTTGGTCATTGGATAAGTGAGGATAAGCTTAGTTGTCCTTACAGATAGCCACAAAGATTTAGGTGTCTAAAGAACAAGGAGTTTATTCTTTTTCCTGTAACAGTCCAGGTACCCAGGCTGACAATGGCGCTGCCATCTTCAGAAAGTGGCTACCAAGGCCTCTCTGGGAATTGTCATCCAGTTAGCCATGAGAGGAAAGGAGCATAAAGGAACTCACCAGGGAGGTTTTTATGGGCCAGGCCTGACAGCTATACATATTACTTCCATTCACATTCTGCTAGACAGCACTTAGACACCTGGTTAAATCTCAATGTATAGAAGACTAGGAAATGTAATCTCACTGTGACCAGAGAAAGGGCAAATGGATTCTGATGAATGCCTAGTGGTATTTACCACAGCATTTTTCAATTACAGGTCACAACTCAGTGCATCATAAAATCAATCCAGGAAGTAGAAATTAGCACTTTTAAGATGGAGTGGAAAAGAGCAGAGAAGGGAAGAGAACAGAACTGAATGGAATGGGGAGGATGGAAGGGGAGGAACAGAAGGAGAAGAGAGCAAGGGCCTGGGTGGGGAGGGATCAGAGAATATTGCATGTGTAAGGGTAAGTACTGTTTAATGAAATGTGTGTATCAGTTTTGTGTATGTTAATAAGTTATAAGGCAAAATGAATTTCCTCCTGTGGGTCACAGTCAGAAATGTTTGAACGTCCACTTGCTTAATGTATTAGTCCATTTTCACACTGCCGATAAAGACATACCTGAGACTGGGCAATTTACAAAAAAAAAAGAGGTTTATTGGACTTATAGTTCCACGTGGCTGGGGAGACCTCACAATCATGGTGGAAGGTGAAAGGCACATTTCACATGGCAGCAGACAAGAGAAGAGAGCTTGTGAAGGGAAACTCTCCTGTTTAAAACCATCAGATCTTGTAAGATTCACTCACTATCATGAGAAGAGCACAGGAATGACTCACCCCTATAATTTAATCACCTCCCACCAGCTTCCTCCCACGACAGGTGGGGATTGTGGAAGGTGCAATTCAAGATGAGATTTGGGTGGGGACACATCACTTAGTCTCCGTCTCTTCTTAAGTTTGTTATTTAAAAATCTAGGAAAAATAAAAATAAAAAAATCCCAGAAAAATGTGGGGGTTTTTTCTTCCCTCAGCCTACTATTATAATATGTCTCATTGAACAACAAACTAACACTATTCATTATTCACTATAGGGTGGGATTCTGTCTTGGACACCACTGAGTGGGGGAAATACATTCCTTTATTCATCTATTTATCCATAACAAAACAGAACTAGATGTGGAGTTGGAAAACCTGGATTCAGATCCCTGCTGTTAGGCTACTTCATGTATTCATCCCCTTCACAAATACGTATTGAGTACCCACCATGTGTTAGTCACCATGCTGGATGGTGGAGATAAAGCATTCAGCAAATAGTCAAGGTCTCTGACCTCACTTTTCTTTGGAGAGACAAACAATAAACAAGGAAACAAACCAGGTAACTATAGATTATGAAAGGCATATTCTCTTAACCTCTTAGGGCCTCTGTATTAGTCAGGGTTCTCTAGAGGAACAGAACTAATGGAATAGATATAGAGATGATAGAGATAGAGATAGAGATATAAAGGGGAGTTTATTAAGTATTAACTCACATGATCACAAGGTCTCACAATAGGCTGTCTGTAGGCTGAGGAGCAAAGAGAGCCAGTCCGAGTCCCAAAATTGAAGAACTTGAGGTCTGATGTTCAAGGGCAGGAAGCATCCAGCACAGGAGAAAGATGTAGATTGGGAGGCTAGGCTAGTCTCTTTTTTCACATTTTTCTGCCTGCTTATATTCTAGCTGGGCAGGCAGTTGATTAGAAGATGCCCACCCAGATTAAGGGTGGGTCTGCCTTTCCCACCCTTAAATGTATTTCCCCTACTCAGTGGAGTCCAAGACAGAATCCCATCCTATAGCCCACTGACTCAAATGTTAATCTCCTTTGGTAACACCCTCACAGACACACCCAGGATCAATACTTTGTATCCTTCAATCCAATCAAGTTGACTGTCAGTATTAACCATCACAACCTCCATTTTCAAACTTAGAAAATTAGTATTGTATAATCTATACCTCAAAGGTATGTGAGGGTGCTTTGTAAGTGTCTATACCTAGGTAAGGAATTACTTTACTTATTCAACTATGATTTGCTAAATTCTGACCCCATGCCCAGGAGTGTTCCAGGACCACGGAATTTAGTTATTAAGAAATTAAACAACCTTGTTATGAAGCCGCCTCACCTGGTGTTAGGGATTGAATTGTATCTCCCAGAAAAGATATGTTGAAGCCACAATCCCAGGCACCTCAGAATAGGATCTTATTTAGAAATAGAGCCTTTGCAGATGTAGTCAAGATAAGGTCATTAGAGCAGACCTTAGTCCAATATAACAGGAGTCCTTATGATCAGGGGAAACTTTTGGGCTAAGGACATGCATACACAATTCTCAAAAGAAGAAAGACAAATGGCCAAGAAACATCTAAAAAAAGGTTCAACATTACTAATTATCAGGGAAATGCAAATCAAACCCACAATGTGATACCATCTTACTCCTGCAAGAATGGCCGTAATTTAAAAATCACAAAAGAATAGATATTGGTATGGATGTGGTGAAAAGGGAACACTTTTACACTGCTGGTGGGAATGTAAACTAGTACAACCACTATGGAAAACAGTATGAAGACTCCTTAAAGGACTAAAAGTAGAATGACCATTTGATCCAGTGATCCCACTACTGGGTATCTACCCAGAGGAAAAGAAGTCATTATATGAAAAAGATACTTGCACATCCATGTTTATAGCAGCACAATCTGCAATTGCAAAAATATGGAACCAGCCTAAATGTCCATCAATCAATGAGTGGATAAAGAAAATGGATATGTATATATATATATATATATATATATATATATATATATATACACACACACACACACACACACACCATGGAACACTACCCAACCATAAAAAGAAATGAAATAATGGCATTTGCAGCAACCTGGATGGAGTTGGAGACCATTATTCTAAGTGAAATAACTCAGGAATGAAAAATCAAACATCGTATGTTCTCACTTGCATGTGGGAGCTAAGCTATAAGGACGCAAAGGTATAAGAATGACATAATGGACTCTGGGGATTCAGGGGGAAGGATGGGAGGGGGATAAAAGATTACACATTGGGTACAGTGTACACTGCTCAGGTGATGGATGCACCAAAATCTCAGAAATCACTACTAAAGAACTTATCCATGTAACCGAACACCACCTGCTCCCCAAAAACTACTGAAATAAAAAGTAAAACTCAAACTGAAAAAAAGGAAAGGGGAAACTTTGACACTGGCATGCACACAGGAAGAATGTCATTTGAAGATGAAGGCAGAGATCAGGATGATACGTTTACAAGCCAAAGAACACAAAACCACCAGAAGCTATGAGAGGGGCATGACACTGATTCTCTCTCACAGCCCTTGGGAGGAACCAACGCTGCTGACACATTGATCTCGAACTTCCAGCCTCCAGAAACTGTGAGTGAATAAACTTCTACCCTTTAAGGCATCCAGTTTGTAGTGCTTTGTTAAAACAGCCCTGGCAAACTAATATATCTGGATAGCAAGAGCCAGGACAGCAACAAAAAGAGTCTAGACAGCTCTGCAGCAGGACTTCAGGTCTTTTCTTGATGGATGGATTCTAGGGCTCGAGGCCATCTGCTGAATGCAGAAACTTTGAAAATGAGGGCTATTTTCATTCAAATGCTCCTCATTTTCTTTTTTTCCTTTAGCATTAGGCTAGAATCAGAAGTCAGAAAGTGAATACAATGCCATTATTAACATCATCATTAACAACTCATTTATACAAATCTTAGAATTAGATTTTAATGTTTCCTTACACTGAGTGCCAGTGCTGACTACACCCAGTTAATTCAAGGCGACAAAACTGGTTAAGCCCATGCGTGATTTATTTTTACTCCTATAGAAAGTTGACACTTTATTCATTAAACTACTCCCTTTAACACATTTCTAAATCATTGCTTTCCACTCTGATCCGGTCTAGTTTTCATTTCTGAGTTTCAGCTGGAATGGCTTTCATAATTATTTCTTTTTTTACCTGACAAGGGAAGTTAAAACCTCCCCCTACTGAACATTTAAAAGGGAAATTGGGGGTTTTTGTCAGGCTGTTTATCATATCTTACAAATACTCAAATCTATTTCCTTTGGAAAAGGTTTGTCTTTCTATGACAGGCATATAAAAAGGTTTTATTACAGTGCTCTATTCGCTGGAGCTGCTCTGCCGAAAGATAAAAAGGAATTCATTTTCTGGATTTTCCTTGAATGTCAGCTCTATAGTTTCTTTCTATTATCAGAGTTCTTAACTCAAGAAGAATGAAGGGGAAAGAGAATTCAAGCTGATATACAATATCAAGATCCATTATGGACTAACATGAAAATCAAAAATCCCAAAATAAAATCCAAATCTAAATGAAAGTGGTAAGTAAAAACAGGGAAAAAAAATCTCTGTAGGTTTAATAGCAAGCATGGATTTACTTCAAACATGCAATGCTGCATGGTTCCCCAGATCTGAAAAATCTCCCCAGCATCATTTCCTAAGTACACCCCGATCTGTCAGCTATGGTATCAAGCAGCGCTTCTCAGGCTCTGCTATGTGTGTAAATCACCCAGGGATCTGGATAAAGCGCAGATCTGCATTCAGTAGGTGGGGTGGCGGGCAGCCTGAGCCTCTGCATTGCTAACGAGCTCCCTGGTGACACTGCTGCTGGTCAGGCACAATGCCCTGAGTGCCAGGGGATAGAGCTTAAAAGGCCCAAGCAGCGTGTTCCAGGCCTGATTGGAAACATGAGCTCCACTCCAATCCTTGAGCTGGGTTTGTCGGAATAACAATCTGGATATTACATGAGAGTCTTGGATCCCACTAATTTGTACCCACTCCTGGAATTCACCATTGTCTGGGCATGACGGATGGGTTGATGGAGAGTCCACATCAGATTCTGACCCCAGCCAGCCCCATAGACTCATGTCTGAGGCCTTCGGAGAAGGAAGGGTGCAGACAAGCTGGAAGAGCTGTACGCAGACGGGACTCTGGGAGACTCAGAGACCCATGCAGAGGAGAGCCATTGAGCGTAGCTGGCTTAGGATCTGGAAAAAAATGCAGAGGGGCCAGGACCAAGGCCACTGTTAGGGTTTGCAATGTGGGAAGCATCAGGAGACTATACAGTGGCAGCAACGAGGTGCTCCTGTCAAACCACAGACATTGACAAGAATCCAAAACAGAAACAGAGGCAGTCCCAGAGACTCCCAGCAACAACTTGGAGATCTGAATGGGGCTGGAGATCATTCATTACACAGCTGCAGGAATGAGCAGAGAAACTTGACTTTCCCTATGCATGTAAACACAGGAGGCTTAAGGAAATTTGGATTACACTTCCTTCTAGTCACTGGGGGCTTAGGGCAATGAAACAAGGATGAGTCGTTGCAAGTCTATCTCTATGACCAGGAAAATAACTCCAACACAGTTAGTAAACCTTCAGACAGTAGGGTCACAGACCTCATTTCATAAGTCAGTGAGGTGGCCAATCCCACAGCACAATAACTAAGTATGATATAGGAATTTTAAAATAGAGGGGAAGTAAAGAGGAACCATCAGCTCAATATCTGTAGCATCAAATTTGGGGAGCAATGTAAGTTCAAGAGAAGTCCAACAAGGGATAAATTAAAATCTGCCCTCATTCTTCCTTGCTAAGCCAAAAACATGTTCCTTAAACTTCTGAGCCTGAACCTGGCCACATGTATGAGTTCAGGCCTGAGTCTAAGGTATGGGCATCTTTGCAGCCTTGAAACTTTACTTTAAGCAACTTCTATATTCTATTGGTTGTTGCTCCTGTTTTCTTACCTGAAAAAGAAGAAGAATTATATTGGCAGCAGAAACTGAGTGATAGAGAAAAACCTGAAATTGCCTTCTTCTATTTCTTTATTACAACAAACCAACCAACCGATGACACTGTCTGTCCATCCACCTTTATCCACACCAACAACCAAAAGGCTTTCCACTCCATAGACCTGGAGGGCTGGGCTCTGGGCAGTGAGGTGCTCAGAGCAGCAACAGGCAGGACCTTGCCAAAGGTAATGTGGGCATCAGTTGCTGTGGAAGGCAAGTCCCAACCTCAGTGCTATCCCTGGGTGGCACTATGGCTAAGAGAAATCACATGTTTTTGCATGGTCTGGACATGCTCGTAACCAGTTATGTGAGACCCCAGGGTTGGCCTGTATGAAAACTTGCATGTGTCCCTTGCTAGTGTTTTTACTCACTCTGGTGGTCAGTTATAGCAGCTCAGGGCAAGTTGACGCTTCACCACCACCCCCAGCTCCATTCCACTGATTATATGACATATGCCTCAATTGCTTCTGCTGTCAAATGGGAATACAATGGTACCAACCTCATTGTGTGGTTAAGAATATAAGTGAATAATGCATTTAAGAAACACAGTACAGTGCATGGCATATAGTAGATGCTCAGTAAATGTTTCCTGTTCTGCTGCTGCAGTTTTTGCCCTGTCTTCTACTGCTAAGAGACAGGGCAGCATAATGGTTAGAAGCATGGGCTAAGGCTTCAGACTGCCTCAGTTTGTAATCCTATCTCCACTGCTACTCAATGGCAAGCTATTCAACTTCTCTGTGCCTCAGTTTTCTTGCCTGAAAAATAGGGGTGATTATAAGAGTAACTACCCACAAGGTATGAAAAGACGAAATAGTATAATCCATGGAAAGCATTTAGCATAGAGCACCTAACATACAGTAAGTGCTAGATAAGTTTGGGTGCAGTGTTATTATTACTATTATTACTTCTGACTGACACCTTTAAAGAGAAAGTCACTTCCATTTGAGCTTTGTACAATATGTTACAAACCAACACACTGGCACAAGCTCCTCTGTGCAACTCACTCCCACCTTGACACCATCTCCCTATTCAAATGATTTCTGAAAATGCAAGCAGCATTTTTAGAAATGCAATCCCAGTGGAGAAAAACGTAAAGTCACTTTCTCAAACTGTACTTAAGCTCCTGCTCTTCCCCAGACAGAAAACAGTAGTCAAGAGAAGAGATGCAATTTTCCGAAGCCTTGATAACATCTTTATTTAAACCTTGTCGACACTGTAAAATATTTTTGAGGATTTGGCTTTTTCCCACCTGCCAGCTCCTCACAGCTTGTCTGAGAAACAAAGACATACAGTTAGGTAAATGAAAGAATTTTAATCAAATGATTCTGTCTCTTTTGTTTTTTGGCATAAACAAAAATTCTTTTCCAGAACCCTCTAACAGGCTGTAAAGAAGCCTTCTTTGGGATTCCCTTTCAGTTGAAGCTGGCTTCTCCATGAAGGCTTGGAGGTCAGGGCAGGGGCTAAATAAGCCTCCAAAAAAATGAATCCGATGAACCTAGCCATCAGCACAGAACCTCAAGTCTGGCCTGAGCAGCTTGTCCCATTACAAGTTTGCAGCAATGACAAAAAGTAGGAGTGTTTCAAAAGACCAAACTCATAACATAGCCAGCTTGAGGCCACATTTGTCTCTGCTTCCCTCTGCTCTTCTGTCACTCTCCCTCAATGCCTTTCGGAGACCTCACCTCCCACCACACCCCAACCCTCAGCCTCCAATCCCCAGCATATACCCACACTCCATATCCCTAATATCCTCCAAATGTCCAGGACCCATGGTAGGGAACATCTGCCCTATCCTAGGCCTGGTTCTCTTCCCTTCCTTCATCAAATTTTCCCATGCCAAATCCTAAAAGTCAGCAGGTGCCTGCTCTCTTCTATTGAAAATGAGTTGAACTTACCTTACATGAAGGCAGGAAAGGCAATTGCTTATATGATATGATTTAAAGCACACCACCTAGAATGTTCTCTGCTCCCATACTAAAATTTTCCCCATCCCTCTCCCACAGTGCCTTAAATACCACCTTTGGGAGGTTTTCTGCTTTGGGTTCAATCTTTACTGTTTCCACGGGTCCTCTGTTGAATTACAATGCACCTGGGTTAGAACAACACATGAAGTCATAACCAGGAATAGAGAGCTCATGGAGAAGGAAACAAAAGACAAAGCAGTTGTGATAGAAAAGTAGGAAGGGAAAACTCAGTCTAGAGCACAGGAATTATTTTATTTAGAAAGAATAGATAAGGTCAGTCAGGCGTGGTAGCTCACGCCTGCAATCCCAGCACTTTGGGAGGCTTAGGCGGGCAGATCACGAGGTCAGGAGATCGAGACCATCCTGGCCACATGGTGAAACCCCGTCTCTGCTAAAAGTACAAAAATAAGCTGGGCTTGGTGGCATGCACCTGTAGTCTGAGCTACTCAGGAGGCTGAGGGAGAAGAATCACTTGAACCTGGGAGGCAGAGGTTGCAGTGAACTGAGATTGCACCACTGCACTCCAGCCTGGGTGACAGAACAAGACTCCATCCAAAAAAAAAAAAAAAAATAGATAAGGTCATTGGGTAAACAAGGCACGGCATAAAGGCCCTGGGTGACAGAGAAGAAGCCAAAAAAAAAAAAAAAAGAAAGAAAGGTTAAAAAGAATTGGGAATAAATCTCACCCACTTCCTGGTTCTGCTCAGTTCCAGCACAGTGGTGGATCTGAAGCGGAATAATAATTGGATAAACTAATCATCCTTTCACTGTGTCATCTGCTAATGTGTTACCTCCCACTGTCTTGCGTGTCTCATCAGCTTCTCCTTCTGCCCTACGCAGAAAACTTCTGCCTAGAACCAATCAGAATGTGCACTTTACTTTAAAAATGACATCAATACAGGAATAAGGTACTGCGACAAAACAGCAAGGGACACAATTTGGTGGGAGGTAAGGACTTTTCAACAGGCCTCTCAAATCACTACATTTTTGTGACAGTTTGTTTCATTATACATAAAACGGGGTTGGATAGTTTTATTCCATTTGTGTCCTATAGAGCCTAGTTACAGTCTCTTCATTCATTCATTCATTCATCAAATACGTACTGAGTACCCACCATATGCCAGGAACTGTTAGGCTCCAGAGATCCAAAATGAAAGCCCTATTCCTGACTTCACGAAACTCATGTGCTGACCAACCAGCTCCCCCCACCCAAAAAAAGCTCAACATCACTGATCATTAAAGAAATGCAAGTCAAAAAACCACAATGACATACCATCTTGCACCAGTCAGAATGGTTTGTTACTAAAAAGTCAAAAAATAACAAATGCTAACAAGGTTGCAGAGAAAAAAGAATGCTTATACACTGCTGGTGGGAGTGTAAATTAATTCAACCATTGTGGAAAGCAGTGTGGCGATTCCTCAAAGAACTAAAAACAGAACTACCATTCGACCCAGCAATCCCACTACTGGGTATACACCCAAAGTAAAATAAATTGTTCTGCCATAAAGACACATGCATGCATATGTTCACTGCAGCACTATTCAAAATAGCAAAGACATAGAATCAACCTAAATGTCCATCAACAGTAGACTGGATAAAGAAAATATGGTACATATACAACATGGAATACTATGCAGCCATAAAAAAGAATGAAATCATGTCCTTTGCAGGAACATGGTTGGAGCTGGAGGCCATTGTCCTCAGCAAACTAACACAGGAACAAAAAAGCAAATACTGCATATTCTCACTTACAAGTGGGAGCTAAGTGATGAGAACACATGGACACACAGAGTCAAACAAAAGACACTGGGGCTTACCTCAGGGTGGAGGGTCACAGGAGGGAGAGGATCAGGAAAAATAACTGATGAGGACTAGGCTTAACATCTGAGTGACAAAATAATCTGTACAACAAACCCCATGACACAAATTTATATAATAAATCTGCATATGTACCCCTGAACCTAAAATAAAAAATTAAAATTAAAAATTGAAAAAAAGTCTTAATAATTTTTTTTAAAACCCACAGGTTTGGAGCATTTGCCAAATGCCATGGTGTAAATATCCTCACTATGGCCAATCTCAAGTTACCCATAGTTTAGCAACTGGCTAACATCACTCCTGAACATGTAACAATCAACTCTCCCCAGTTGATACCAGCAGGCTCCAGTACAAACATAGTCAAGCAAGGGAGAGGGGGTAGCCATCAGAATACTGAAGCAGGCACAGGGCTATGGAACCACGAAGGTAAGAGACAAAGTCTACCTACAGAGAGTCAAGGGAAACAGAAGAGAGAGAGATCATGAACTCCAGCCATTGAAGGAGAGAAATTAAATTTTTACAATGCCCCACAAGACTGTGAGCTGAGGGAAGACAGAGACTGCGGTTTCTTTTTTATTGTATCTTTCTGGTAATGTCTTTCAGTGGATTTCTCAGTGTATGACATAGATACACAGTACAGCCATTAACTGAGATTCTGAAGGACACAATTAACATAAGTAGCTTGTCCCTTTTTCCTGGTGGCTGTGCAGTGGTTTTCAGATTTTATAAAAGGAAATCTTGCCATTGCTAAGTGCACCCTGAAAACTCATTTTATTATTTTGACTTCAGTTTTAATTAACTGTACATATGGCTGCTCACTCATTAGGGTCACATGGCCCAGCTGGGGACAGAGCTTCCTGGCATCTGGGCTGAGCTAGCAGGTGCCTTTGGGATTTGGGTCTGTGATGAGAGGTTGTGAAGGAGAAATTCCGGAAAGGTTACAAACTCAGGTGCCAAAAGCAACTGCACAGCTCTTCCAAAGTGAGAGCAAAGAAAAAACGGCTGTAGGAAAATGTTCCAAGGTAACAAATAAAATTCACTGTACAGCAGAGGCTGGCTGGGCGCAGTGGCTCATGCCTGTAATCCCAGCACTTTGGGAGGCCGAGGCAGGCGGATCACCTGAAGTCAGGAGTTCAAGACCAGCCTGGCCAACTTGGTGAAACCCCATCCCTACTAAAAATACAAAAATTAGCCGGGCATCGTAGCATCCCTGTAATCCCAGCCACTCTGGAGGCTGAGATGAGAGAATCACTTGAACCCAAGAGGTGGAGGTTGCAGTGAGCCGAGATCAGGCCATTGCACTCCAGCCTCAAGAAAGAAAGGTAAAAAAAATTCACTCTACAGCATACGTTGGCCAAGGACTATTCAAGCCCACTGGAGGTCTGGAGAGGGGCTAAAATGTCTGCAGACTTTTTAAGTTGGCAAGTTTCAAAATAAAAATTCAATGACATACTACTAAATCCAATAGCAGAAAATACCAGTGACCCAGAAAATATCACTCCACAAAAATGCACGTCAATCTAGCAACCACTTTCATCTGTGCTACAGCTAAATCTCACTTTTTTAATGCAAACCTCAAAGGACACTTAGCAGAAAACAGGTTTGTAACACTGGTAGACCATATGGCTTGCTGACTTCCAGAAAAGAGACTTCCTTTCTGGAAGGCTTATGTTTCCATATGATTATTTAAAATTGACTACTGAAGCCATGTCAAACAATGCCAAAAAAAAACCCAGCCTGCTTGATTATTGTAGATAAAAAAAATAATCTGTCAATCCATTATTAATATTGTGTAGAAAAACAGTCGATACACTAAAGTTTTAACTGGCTGCCTAAAGCACCTAGAATGAAGACACCACTTCAAAAGAAAGCCAGAAAGAAAGAGAAAGGAAATGGTAACTGTGTGAGGTAATGAATGTTAATTAGCTTGATGCAGTCATTATTTCACAATGTATACATATATCAAAACATTGTTGTACACCTTAAATATACACCATTTTATTTGTCAATTAAACCTCAATAAAGATGAAAAAGAGAAAAAAAGGACCCACTCTAGAACAAACATAAGAATTACAAAATAAGAAAAATAAAGTAACTAGCAAAAGCCTCTAGCATCTTAAAACATCAATTATAAAAAGCCAGTTACTATCAAGTTTTCTTTGATTCCTTTATCGAAATGAATAATTCTTCACTAGTGGCCATCAAGCTCAGCCCTTCCCCTTTCAACAAAAATCTTTGTGCAAACTCTATTGAATTCAAATTTTCTACAACAAAAATACATCATCAGATTGCTCCAAGGGCCCTGATGACATTTTCTTAGTAGCACAAGCACAGTGGTAACTAATATCTCATTTACTATATGTTGAGTATAAAAAGTCATTGGTCTGGAGACCCCCTAAAACACCAAATATTTTTCTAAAATCATTAGCATTTTCCCTATGAAATGAGAATATTATATATTGAACCATATTTGTTATTTGTATTCTAGCTACTTGAAAAAAGCACCTGAGGTGGTTGAGACAATAAACATATATACTTCTCAATCATTAAAATATGGATAAAATATCAGCTGGGCTTGTTGGATCATGTGTGTAATCCCAACACTTTGGGAGGCTGAGGCAGGAGGATCACTTGAGCCCAGGCATTCAAGATCAGCCTGGGGAGCAAAAAATAAAAAAATTAGCCAGGCATAGTGGTGCCAGCCTGTACTCCCAGCTACTCAGGAGACTGAGGCAGGAGGATTGCTTGAGTCCAGGAAGTAGAGGCTGTGGTGAGCCATGTTTGTGCCACTGTACTCCAGCCTGGACAACACAGCAAGACCCTGTCTCACAAATAAATAAATAAAATAAGGAGAAAATATCATAAGTATGTACTTGAGAAGAGGAAGATTATTATACTAGAAGCCCAGGCTAAGGGGAGTTACTATAAATGAGTCCTAAATCTTGTTTTAGATTTTTCAGTGGCAAACAGGAAATTTGGTGAACATTATAACTCTCACTTATTAAAACAGAAACAAAGCTTTTTCTTTTGTACTAAAATCTAAGAGAAAATTATTGTATGAATCCTTATATAAAGAACACTAAACAACAATAGGCAACTTTTAAGGCAATTTTAGGGAAGCAAACTTTTTTTCATATGAACATTTCATATAACCTCAAGGGGATCATATTAAATAATCATTTTATGAAGGTTGTTCTCCAGAGAAATAAACTAATATAGTCCAGGTATGTGATTTTTCTGGAGCTGTAATTTGATGAGGAGATATAGCCTGGAAAATCTAAAAGATTAGATTATTAGAAGTTCTGTTAGATAACCTTAGTCAAGTATAAAACACTGTGGCTGTGTCTTTAACAGACAACTAAAGACTGAGCTCCCTTGAGTGTGTCTATTTTCTGGTCAACACCTAAAATCAGACCTGCATGCTTTTGATAACAGAAGTGCAAAGAGCCAGATGCCACTTGGTTAAGATAATCAAAAAGCAGCACAGTGGATCTCAATCATGATACTTGCCCTGCCCAGAGCCCTTGCAGACATCTTTGCTGAAGGGGTTGTACCACATGTACCTAGCCAAAGCTAACTGGACAGGGGCAGTCACCTAACTTAAAGGCCAATAAGCCATAGGCCAATTAGGCCCATGATATGTGTAGGGGAGAAAAAGCAGTATCTTTTACTTATCCATCACAAGGTTCATGGCTGAGGCTCCTATCATAAAAGACAGGTTAACAAGAGAAAAGCACACACATTTATCTAATAGATGTTTTATGTGGCTCCGGCACCTTCAGAAATGAAGACCCAAAGAAATAGGGAAATATGTATTTGTATGCTTACGTTTGATGAAGAGTAGATGGTTGAGGAGAGGTAAGATCGAAGGATAATAGGATATGATCTAATAGCAATAAACTGGGGGAAACTTAGCAAGGCTGTTCAGATACTTCTCTGGGTCCGTGTCTTCGGAGATAAGGATGTTGTTTTCCTTTAGGTATAGGACAGGCACTTCTGGAATGATAATTTTATGACCTCTTTCAGGGAAAGTTTAGCTGGGTTTTATGGCCTGATTCAAGGGAAGAGGAGCAAGGAAAAGGTGAGAGTGACCTCCCTGCTTCTTCTGTTCCTCAAATGACAAGCTGCCATATTTTGGGGTAGCATGTCTTGAGCCCCATCACATGGCTTGGCTTGAAAACATAAACTTGTCCATTCTGATTGGCTCTCTTCATCATTTAAACAAACAAACAAACAAACAAAAAATACTGAGATTGGGACAGAAGCTATGAGAAGCAGAAGATTTGAGGCAGATGAGTGCATGGAGATAAAGATGAGAAATCTGAGCAAAAAGGATCCAAGGGTGTTTTCCAGAGGGGGCTGACCCACGTGCATTTCCAAGCTCTAGAATTCAGATCATTCTGCTTCTCTCCACTCTATGGGTCCTGCCCTTTCCTGTCTGGTTCTTCAGTTTTTCCTAGCTTTCTCTGTGTATGTACCCTTCAAGTAAATGGTGAATTACCTAAAGTAATTTGTCTAAGTCACTTTTTTTGCACCCAAAGCAGATAAATTAAAATATATTATTTTATCTATGGAAAGAGCTTTTCACCTTTACTAGAGATTAGCTAAATCAATCTTTTGGGGCTCTGTTTAGCCAGAGGCAAAATTGTTCTCCAGCAGCATCCTCTTAGGAGCCTGGAAAAACTGAAATCAATTGAAGCCCCTGAGTTTTCACCATGAAGTACAAAAGAAACAGATTTAACCTGAGATAAATATTTAAGGACAAATATTACCAGTTTTCTGTCTTTATGGGGAAAAAGAATGATAGTACAAGTCTCTTGAATATCTGATTTTAAGCAGCATGGCTTCCTGGCCAGGACCAGGGTTGGTTAACTGCAGATGGGTTAGTCCTAGATAATCCAATATATTTTGTGTTACAGTCCATCTAAATATTGAAAAATGTCAATCCCAAGTAACAATTTTGATTTCAAAGTACTAATGAAAGTAAAATAAAAGATAATAAAGTTGACTAAAGACATTTTCTGGGAACAGACAGCCTGGATTTAAATGCTGGCTCCTAAATCTGCTAGATGTGGAAACTTGAACAAGTTTCTGCATCTTCATTTCCTCATCTGTAAAATGGGGACGGTTATAGTACCTTTCCAAGTGAGTGATTATGACTTTCAAACAAAATGATTTATGGAGATCAGTTAGTACAGTGCCTAGCATACAGCAGGCACTCAATAACTGTGAGTTATTACTAACACTCCTTCTGGGTTATCTTCTTTTAGTTACTCCAGTCACTTTATTCAAAGATACTGTACTTGGGAGTCATCTTTAGAAAAGTTTTAAAGAAGCAAAATCAAAAAGCAAAACATACAGAAGGTAGTTTGCATTAATATGGTAACATGAAGCTATTTGGGACTGAAGTGCATGGATTTGAAGAACTAGAGTTCCAAGGGCTCAGTGGAGGATGAAGAAGCCATTTTATGATAGTGAAGATGTAAACATCCATTCAAAGATCTGGCATCCTGGAGGAAAATACCTATATTTTTAAAATAGGTATTTTAAATTGGCTGGGTGTGGTGGCTCACACCTATAATCCCAGCACTTTGGGAGGCCGAGACAGGAGGATCGCTTGAGCCCAGGAATTTGAGATCAGCCTGGACAACATGGCAAGACCGCATCTCTACAAAAAAATATAAAAATTAGCTGGGCATGATGACACACACCTGTAGCCCCAACTACTAGGGAGACTGAGGTGGGAGGATCACTTGAGCCCAGGAGGTTGAGGGTGCAGTGAGCCATGATCATGCCACTGCGCTCCAGCCCAGGCAACAGAGTGAGACCCTGTCTTAAAATAAATAAATACAAAGACAAATTAATTAAAACAACAACAAAACTACTTTTTAAACACCTTCTGTTCTTTTATTATTTTCACACTCACTATTATTGCTGCTAGGTTCTTAAAAGCTTGTGTCAACACAATTTCTTTACCTTCCCAAAATAAAATCCCCAATCTAAGCACCCGTAGTTGACACTATCAATGTCCCACTTTTACTCTTTATCCACAGCCTTCTCACTGCAGGTATCTGCATCTCTGTTCCTGCAGGTTTTTTATAGAACCAAAGTGTTGCTCCCCACCAAGTGGCAGAACAAAAGTGCTAGGAAGAAATACCCTACCCTTGGGAATAGCCTTCAACCAAAGACTTTTGGGAGTCAGTGTATAAATACCCCAGCTCCCTCACTCTTCAGATAGAATTCAAAGACAAGTGTTTTACCCGACTTCTCAGGGATTTCCTGCAGAATTAAGCCCTAGTCACCCACAGTAGTTGCTGAGTTAATAACACACCCTTATTGGCTGTCTTTTCTTCTCAATATTACTTTTCCACTCCCACCCCTAATGTTCCCTGCACCTCTTAAATAAACTACTTGCCTTGAATCCTTGTCTCAGGGTCTGTCTATGAGACAACCCAAATCTCTGCAGACATCTTTTTCTTATTAAGCAATCTAAAGTGTCCATGAGAGCAGTTAAAACTCCCAAGCAGCCTTCTGCGTTGATATTTTTTTGCTCTCTTCCCCACAGATTTGCCAAACTGCAGAGATGTCTGTCAAGATGTCGAGCCTAAGAACTGGGAATGAAAAACACCAATGCAGCTGTGCAAAAGGTAGCCTCACTTTTTCATGGGTAGTATCCCAAGAGACAGAGACAGAACTCGGTGGCTGCTTTTCATCTCCACTCTCCAGTACAAAGTGGCTGGATAGCCTTTGCCAAGGTATCAGTTTTCCCATGGTGAGGACTGCCAGGCAATTAGATTCTTGCTCTCTCCAAATTTCAGGAGGAGCACATAAGTTTTATTTTTAACTGTGCAGGAAGATGTTGCCATAGCAACATAACAAACTACAAGAGCAATTTGATTGATTGATGATGTTGTGGGGAAGGAGGACTGGCATGAAAGACACTGAAAAAAATCATTTAGCTTTATCACCCTGGATTGAGTTTATAGATCTTGGTTATTAGACACAGTATGTGACACATGTTTATCATTATGCAAAAGGAAACATAGACCTTTTTCTGCCTTGGTTCCCCAAAGCAAGATGATGACAAACTAGTGAACTGGCCATCAAGAAAGTGAGCTGGTCTCATGAGTTAAAGAGGCATGATAAACGTGGCTGAAAGAACATAGTATTTGCTAGGCAGGCTAGGCATAGTGGAACATTCATATGCCCCACTCATCAATTAATGGGGAACATTCTGCTATTCCCTGCCCTAAAAACATTTCACTTTCAGCCATCCTCTCCTTTCAATTAATCTTCCTCACCAACTTCCTTCCCTACAGCCCAGGGAAGGCAAGGGAGCATGCCAGTAGGGAAGAAGGGGGATATGACTAAAGAGCGGTTCTCATCAGACAGGAAAGGAATGTGGAAAACCTTTTGGTAGGGCAGGGAGAAAGTTTTAGGGCAGCAGCTCTCAAAGTGGTCTGGATTCTCCTGTGAGTCCCAAGATCCTCTCAGGCGCTGCATAAGGCCAAAACTATTTTCATGATTCTACTAAGACATTATTTGCTTTTTACACTGTGTCTACTTCAGGAAGGTACAGTGGAGTTTTCCAGAGGCTACATATGATTATCATTAACAGTTTAAATGTTGAAGCATATATCTTCCATTAGATATATGCTGAAACAGACACTGTCTTCTGTGAAGCCAAACATAAAAGAGGTTTCCAAAAAATGTAAAATGATGCTACTTTTCTCACTAATTGTTTTGTTTCAGAAATATAGTTATTCATTAAAAATGTAATTTATGTTAATAAGTAATGAGATTTTTTATTTTTAAATAAATCAGTAACAGTTTTAATTTCTAATGTGGTTAATATTAATAGAAATAACCCATTTAAGCGGAAATTCTTTGCAGTTTCAATAATTTTTAAGAGTATAAAGGGGCCTTCAAGCCAAAAATCTTGAGGACCAGTCACAAGAGATCAGATTAAGATAACTACGTTACTGAAGTCCCTGAGAAAGGAGTCAGAATCTCAGCACAAGATGGGCTGGAAGGGATTAAAGAATATCCAGTTTGCCGGACAAAGCCTCTGGGAGAAGTTCCACACTCACTCTGGCACCACCATTAACAAGCTCTGGAGCAGTAGAATAGGCAGCAGCAAGGATAGAAGGGCCTGGGTGAACAGTTCCACTTCCGATTACCCATGGCTGCGCTTGGTGTGAAGGGATTCAGAAGCCCAGTGGGGTCCGGCGGAAGTGATAACTCAAAGAGCTGGAATCGTCGTGGAAGCAAGGCAGGAAGACTGCAGACTGTGGTGCTAATCCCCCAAAGGCTTGGGCAGGGACCATTTACTTCCACTAACAGGCAGGAGCCATCCTTCAGCAACATCAGTATCAGATGTCCTATGACCCAACAGGGCCGGGAAGATTCTCGGCACCAGAAGGCGAGGGTCTCGAGCCACAGGCCCCGGTTCTTGCAGCCCATGAGATATCAGCCTCACCATCTTGAGAAGGAAAAAGGGAAAACACCTTGAGGAGCTGAAAGAGGCCCTCTAGGAAGCTTGTGCTTTCTGTTAACTACATATTTACTCACAAAGGACTATGTTATACCGGAAAACCCCAGTTACTAGATTTAAGCAAATTTAAGGTGACTTTTTTCCTACATCAGTTGAAATTTTTGGTCAGAACAATATGAGCTCAACTAATTTTTTTGTACGTATAAATCATAGTGGTTACATTTTGACATCAGCTCAAAGTTCTCTTTCTCTGTTCCTGTCCTATAGAAAGCTTTCCTTAATAATTTCTTCATCTTTTTCCTTTATCGTTCTCATTTTTTTCCTCCATTTGTTTCCCTCTCCTTATCCATCTGCTTTTATTCTCCCTCCTCTATATTCTTTTTTATTGTTCTCTGCCTCAAGCAAGTTAATCGTAGCCTAAACTTACTGACCCAACAGTATTCAAAGCTGTTTTCAAGAGTTGCTAATTCCTGTGTCATTTACTGTGAGCATACAATAGTACACCAGGAACTTTATACAGAGCATTTCATTTAATCTTCACATCAACCCTATATTTAATGTTTATACTTAATGCTTTATTGCAGCTCAGAGTAATGAAATTTGTCCAGTTTACACAACTGGTTATATATGTCAGGGTAAGGATTTAAACCCACACTCGTCAAACTCCAAGCCCATGACCCTTCCTCTATATCAAGCAGCCTCCACAGGTAGAGTATTTTACAAGTTACAGTCCAAGAGCTATTTGCACCCCAATCTTCCCTGCCCTCTCTTACTCTTCGCTTATGACATATGTTTCTCCTGTGCCCATACTCTTCATGAGTTGAGGTTGTAGACAAACCAAGAAATGGGGAGCAGTCACACACAACATTATACCTAGACCATTATCTAAGAATAAAATGCAGAAGCTTTAGCAGTGGAACTCCAATTTGTATTTTTCTTTAATCACATGTGCCTTGGAAGTTGATGATATGACAGAAGTTATATGATGAAGTCAAAGAATTGCCAAAATTCCCAGAATTTCATTAGATACAATTCTTAAATTATCTTTAATTGAGCACTTGCTATGTACCAGGCACACAACTAGTTAATTTCCATATGTTCTCTAATTCAACTCCTGCAACAACTCTACATGACAAATTTTAATTCCCTTTCACAGATGAGAAAACTGAAGCCTTAAGGGTTTAAAATACTTTCTTATGATATCACAACTAGTAAATTCAAACTCAGGTCTGTCAGATTCAAAGCTGAAGTTCTTTTCGCTCCCTGCAACGATTATGTTTCACTGATATGTTACAATCCCACTGCTAGCATGTGACTTGGAGTTATTAGATTTTTTTTTTTTTTGGTATAAACCTTTTAGGATTCAACGTGCCCCCTCAGGCAGAAAACTGCCACATAGAGATGATGCATTGTCCCAGGAATGTGTTTTTTAAATCAGAAACAAATCCATTTCTCTGCTTTTATATTGCATTGATGTCCTTCCTCCTTTTAAAGTTCTCCTGAATGATAGAGGCATTGAAAATCACATTTTGCCTGCTAGTTTTCTTGTTACCATCTACTACCTTTTGGTGCCACCCTCCTCCTTTTTATATTTTTTGAAGAAAATAGTGAAATAGCTTAGATATTAAACTATAAATTATACTAAGATGTGATTTGGAACTGAAATAAACCTCATGCTTTTTTAATGGGAATTTTCAAATACTGAAAATTTATTACCCAAAGGGAAAGACGAGTCTAGACTTTTCTACTTCTCCCCAGTGCCTGGGTGACAAGTGACCTCAGGTTTCACCGAGGAATCACCAGAGGAAAGGGGATAGATTCAAGAATTTCATAATCAGAATGAACTTTTCAAAGACATACAACCACCCTGTATGCATTCAGGCATGAGCTCCAAAACATTTAAAGTGACTAAAACATGCTACAAAGTTAAGCACAATTTCATCTGTGCTAAAAATAATAATAAAGAGTTCCAGCTAGGTGCAGTGCCTCACAACTGTAATCTCAACTCCTTGAGAAGCAGACAAGGGAAGATTACTTGAGCCCAGGAGTTCAAGATCAGCCTGGGCAATGTAGTGGGACCTCATCTCTACAAAAAATAAAAAAGCATGTGGTGGCACATGCCTGTAGTCCCAGCTACTTGGGAGGCTGAGGCAGGAGGATTGCTTGAGCCTAGGAGGTGGAGGCTACAATAAGCCAAGATTGTGCCACTGCATTCCAGCCTGGGTGACAGAGAGAGACCCTGTTTCAAGAAAATAAAATAATTTTTTAAAAATTTTTTTAATTTAAAAAAAAATTTACACCCATTTTCCAAGATGGCAGATTAGAAGCTTTCAGCATACCTCAGCCACTTGGAAACAGCAAGATAGTATATAAAGATCAACTCTGTGAGCTTTATTCAAGAAAGAAAATGGGAATGCACTGGAATCATGAAGGACACCCCAGATCCCAGAGAGGAGAACATCGGCAAACGGCCCCCATGATGGCATTCAGCTGATAAGTGGATGAGGCCCTAGTACATGAGAGAGGCAGAGAACCGTTCTCTGTGACTTACCTTTCCACTGGGGATCTGAGCAACCCAGGCCAAGGAAGAGCACTTTGCTTCTCCTGAGCCAGAGTTAATATGGGGAAAGTCTTGGAGACACCATGAGGGAAAGACACCAGGAAAAGCTGCAGGCATTTTCCCAGATCCAGGACTAGAAGCAGGACACCATTTTTAATGTGGGCACATACAAAGTCAGTCATTCTTTGGTAACCCAGCAGCAGGGCTGCATAGGCATTTTAATCTCAAGCCAAAGATTGGAGTGCCTGCTGGAGAGTGGAGTAGGGGCCTCCACAGCAAGAACTGTGGAAAGCACCTCAGCAGTAGGTGCTGGGATTCACAGGCTACAGCTGCGGTTTTTCCTGGGCAGTGAGACTTGCAGTCAGGCCAGCTTGGCAACCTGGAACTGATCTGCATGTGCCAATGCTGGTTGCCCCACCCTGCTCCCCTGAGATTTTAGTGCAGTGGGGACTTATCGTCTCTACCCCCAGGCAGAAATCCAGACATTTGGAGCACTCACTTGCCTGGACCAACAGCCTGAGCCGCCCCACCCCTTCTGGACATAAATCTTGGTGCAGTAGGGCTCTCTTTGCTCCATGCTCATGCAAATCTCCAGGCATTCAGAGAACCTGCTCATCTGGATCAGCAGCCTGGCCCACCCCACCATTCCTGTGCAGAGATGCGGGTGTAGGGAGACCCTCTCTGCTACCCAGGTAGATCTCCAGACATTCAGAGCACCTGCTTGCTTGGTTCAGCAGCCTGAGTCACCCCACTCCTCCTGAGCAGAGATTTTGGTGCAGGTGGTGACCTCTGCTCCACACCTAAGCAGATCTCTAGGCATTCAGAGCATCACTCATTAGATTAGCAGCCTGAGACACCCTACCCTTCTTGTTTAGAGGTCCTGTTACAGAGAGATCCTCTCTGCTTCACACCCAGGCAGACAGATCATTAGGCATTCAGAGCACCCACTCATCTGGTTCAGCAACTGGAGCTGCCCCAGTCTTCCTGGACATAGATCATAGTGCAGCAAGACCCTCTACGCTTCACACCTAGGCAGATCTCCAGGTATCTGAAGCCCTGACTCTCCTGGATTAAAAGCTTAGGCTGCCCCTGATCTCTGTGCAGAGAACTCGGAGCCAAGGAAGTTTCTCAGCTCCATGCCTAGGCACACCTCTGGGCATCTGATGGCTACCCACTGGATTCTCCCTTGGCACTGGTGCTTGTGCCTGCCATCAGGGGGCCTGCACATGGACCTGCCCAGTCCAGCCTCACCCTTTGTGTCTCTCCTTGCCCTGGGATGTGCAGAGAGCTCAGATAACTATGCATTCTATGAATCAGCCCACGGCCTGAGGCAACGGACAGCTTCTGCCAGTAACAAGAATCAAGTATATACCCAGCCACATTGGCTGCATCTGGCTCTTACCTAAAAGTGCCAGGCTTGTAGGATGAACTGCATAGGCCCACATAAAACCTGCCAAAAGAAGTGCATAGGGCTATAAAAACAACAAAAGACCCTTCCCAGCATTCTCTACAGTCACATCCCCTAGGAAGGGGGAGGGAAAGGGACAGGGGAAAGAAAAAATAATTTTTTAAATAACAAAATTTTGGGGGAAAAAAGAAAAGAAAAAAAATCCTATCTGCATAAAAATAATTACAAAAATTAGAAGTGCCAGTATCTCCAGAGATGAGAAGCACCCAGAGCAAGAATTCTGGCACCCTGAAAAATCTGAATGTAGTGACACCACCAAACAATTGGCTCTCCAGCAATAGTCTCTAACCAAAATGGAAACTCAGAAATGACAGATACATAATTCAAAGTATGGATTGCAAGGAAACTCAATGAAATTGAAGACAAGATTGAAAATCAACACAAAGAAACCTCTAAAGCAATCCAGGAAATGAATGAAGAGATAAACATCTTAAAAAGAAATCAATTAGAGCTTCTGGAATTGAAAAACTCACTTAAGGAATTTCAAAATACAATTAAAAGCTTTATCACTAAACCAGACCATGCAAAAGAAAGATTTTCAGAGCTTGAAGACCAGTCCTTTGAACTAACCCAGTCTAACAAAAATAAAAATTAGTTTTAAAAAATGAGTAAAGCCTTTGAGAAATATGGGATTTTATAAAGCAACCAAACATACAAATTATTGACATTCCTGAGAGAGAAAGAGAAAAGGCAAACAACCTGTAAAGCATATTTTAGGGAATAATTCAAGAAAACTTCCCTAATCTTGCTGGAGAGGTAGACATCCAGATATAAAAAATCCAGAGGACACCTGCAAGATACTGTACAAAACAAACATCACCAATGCATAGAGTCATCAGACTGTCCAAGATCAATGCTAAAGAAAATATCTTAAAGGCAGCTACAGAAAAAGGACAGATCACATACAAAGGGAACCCCAGCAGGCTAACAGTGGACTTCTCAGTAGAAACCTTACAAGCCAGGAGATATTAGGGGCCTATTTTCAGCGTCCTTAAAGGAAAGAATTTCCAACCAAGATTTTATATCCTGCTGAGCTAAGCCTCATAAGCAAAAGAGAAATAAAATTTTTCCAGACAAGCAAGCACTAAGGGAAGTTGTTAGCACTAGATTATCCTTACAAGAGATCCTTAAGGAAGTTCTAAACATGGAACAAAAGAATCATACCTGCCACCACAAAAACACACTGAAGTACATAACCCTCAGATCCTATAAAGCAAAAACAACAAAAACTACAAAGCAACCAGCTGACAACTTTATGACAGGATCAAAACCTCACATAGCAATATAAACTTACATTCAAATGTAAGTGGTCCAGATGCCCCCACTTAAAAGGCAGAGTGCAAGTTGAATAAAAAAAAAAAAAAAAAAAACCTATCCATCTGCTGTCTTCAAGAGACCCCTCTCACACATAGTGACACCCAAAAACTCAAAGTAAAGAGTTGGAGATAGTTCTACCATGCAAATGGAAAACAAAAAAGAGCAGGGGTCACTATTATTATATCAGATAAAACATACTTTAAACTAACAATAGTTAAAAAAGAAAAAGAAAATAAAGGACAAAGAAGACATTACATAACAATAAAGGGCTCAATTCAATAAGAATACTTAACAATTTTAAATATATATGCTAATAAAACAAGTACTTCCAAGCCTACAAAAAGACTCAGCCACACAATAATAGTGAGGGACTTCAACACCCCACTGATGGCATTAGATCATCAAGGCAGAAAACTAACAAATAAATTTTGGACTTAAACTCAACCTTTGACCAACTGAACCTAATAGACATCTACAGATTATTCCACCCATCAACCACAGAATATACATTCTTTTCATCTGCACACGAAACATACCAAGATTGACCACATGCTTGGCCATAAAGCAAGTCTCAATAAATTTTTAAAAATTGAAATCATACCAACCATACTCTCAGACCACAGTGAAATAAAAATAGGAATTAATACCAGAAGATCTCCCAAAACTATGCAAGTACATAAAAATTAAACAACTTGCTCCTAAATGACTTGGATAAATAATGAAATCATGGTGGAAATCAAAAAATTCTTTGAAATAAATGAAAACAGAGACACAATATACCAAAATCTCTGGGATGCAGCGAAAGCAGTGTTAAGAGGAAAGTTTATAATGCTAAATGCCTATCTCAAAAAGTTAGAAAAATCTCAAATTCATGATCTAACATCACACCTAGAGAAACTAGAAAAACAAGAACAAACTAACCCCAAAGTTAGCAGAAGAAATAATTAAAATCAAAGCACAACTGAATGAAATTGAGACCCAAAAATTCATACAAAGAATCAATGAAACCAAAAGATGGTTATTTGAAATAATAAACAAGACAAATAGACCACTATCTAGATTAGCAAAGAAAAGGAGAGGAGCCAAATAAGCACAATCAGAAATGACAAAGATGACAGTTAGTCCCACAGAAATACAAAAGACCCTCAGAGACTACTATGAACACCTCTATGCACACAAACTAGAAAATCCAGAGAATATAGATAAATGTCTGGATACACACAATCTTCCAACACTGAATCAGGAAGAAGTTGAAACACTGAACAGACCAATATTGAGTTTTGAAATTGAATCAATAATAACAAACCTACCAACCAAAAAAATCCCCAAACCAGATGGATTCACAGCCAAATTCTACCAGATCTTCAAAGATGAACTGGTACAAATCCTACTGAAACTATTTCAAAAAAATCAAGGAGGAGAAATTCCTCCCCAACTCATCACCCTGATACCAAAACCTGGCAAAGACACAAGTGAAAAAGAAAACTATGGGCAAATATCCTTGATGAACATAGATGTAAAAATTCTCAACAAAATACTAGCAAACTGAATTCAACAGCACATCAAAAAGTTAATTCACCATGATCAAGTAAGCTTCATTTCTGGGATTCAAGATTGGCTTAACATATGCAAATCAATAAATGTGATTCATCATCACATAAACAGAATTAAGAACAAAAACCATGTGATTATCTCAATAAATGTGGGAAAAGCTTTCAATAAAATCCAACATCCCTTCATGATAAAAACCCTCAAGAAACTTGACATCAAAGGTATATACCTCAAAATAATAAGAGGCATCTATGACAAATTCATATCTAACACCATACTGAACAGACAAAAACTAGAAGCATTCCCCTTGAGAACTGGAACAAGACAAAGACGTCCACTCTCACCACTCCTATTCAACATAGTACTGGAAGTGCTAGCCAGAGCAATCAGGCAAGAAAAGAAATCGAAGACATCCAAATAGGAAAAGAAGAACTCAAACTATCTCTCTTTGCAGATGATATGATTCTATACCTAGAAAACCTTAAAGACCCCACCAAAAAGCTCCTGGAGCTGATAAATGACTTCAGCAAAGTTTCAAGATACAAAATCAATTTACAAAACTTAGTAGCATTTCTATACACCAATAACATTCAAGCTGAGAGCCAAATCAAGAGCACAATCTCATTTAGACTAGCCACACAAAAAGAAATACTTAGGAATACATCTAACTAAGGTGAAAGATTTCTACAAGGAGAACTATAAAATACTGCCAAAAGGAATAAGAGATGACAGAAACAAATAGGGAAAAATTTCATGTTCATGGATTGGAAGAATCAATATCATTAAAATGTCCATACTGCTCAAAGCAATCTACAGATTTAATGTTATTCCTATCAAGCTCCCAATGTCATTTTTCACAGATTTGGATAAAAAACTATTCTAAAATTCATATGGAACCAAAAACAAGCCCAAATAGCCAAAGAAATGCTAAGCAAAAAGAACAAAGTCGGAGGCATCACATTGCTCACTATACTATAAGGCTACAGTTACCAAAACAGCATGGTACTAGTACAAAAACAGACACATACACCAATGAAACAGAATAAAGAACCAGAAATAAAACCAAACACCTACAGCCATCTAATCTTCAATAAAGTTGACAAAAAATAAGCAACGAGGGAGCAACTGTCCATTAGATAAATAGTGTTAGGATAGCTGGCTAGGCATATGCAGAAGAATGAAACTGGACCCCTACGTTTCACCGTATACAAAAATTAACTCAAGATGGATTAAAGATCTAAATGTAATACTTCAAACTAGATGAATCCTAGAAGAAAACCTTAGAAACACCATTCTGGACATGGGCCTTGGGAAGGAATGTATTACTAAGTCCTGAAAAGCAATTACAACAAAAACAAATTTTGACAAGTGGGCCTAATTAAACTAAAGAGCTTCTGCCCAGCAAAAGAAACTATCAACAGAGTAAACAGACAACCTACAGAATAGGAAGAAATATTTTGCAAACTATGCATCTAACAAAGGTCTAATATCCAGAATCTATAAAGAACTTAAACCATTGAACAAGAAAAAAACAAATAGCCCATTTAAATGTGAGCAAAAGACATAAATAGACACTTCTCAAAAGAAGATATACAAGGTGCCAAGAAACATATGGAAAAATGCTAATCATCACAGAAATGCAAATCAAAACCACTATATCTCACACCAGTCAGAATGGCTATTATTTAAAAAGTCAAAAAACAACATATATTGGCAAGGCTGCAGAGAAAATGGAACACTTATATGCTGTTGGTGACAATGTAAATTAGTTCAGTTCCTGTAGAAAGCAGTTTGGGGATTTCTAAAAGAACTTAGAACTACCATTTAATCCAGCAATCCCATTTCTGAGTACATATCCAAAAGAAAACAAATTGTTCTACCAAAAAGACACATGCACTCACACATTTATTGCAGCAATATTCACAATAGAAAACATGCATGGAATCAACATAGGTGCCCATTAATGATAGATTGGATAAAGAAAATGTGTATATATACATTATGGAATACTACACAGCCATAAAAAAGAATGAAGTCATGTCCTTTGCAGCAACATGGATACAGCTGGAGGCCATTATCCTAAGAGAATTAACACAGAAAGAGAAAACCAAATACTACATGTTCTCACTTGTAAGTGGGAGCTGAACATCAGGTGCTCGTGGACATAAAGATGGCAGCAATAGACTACTAGAAGGAGGGAGGAAAGGTAGGGAGCAAGAGTTGGAAAACTAACTGTTGGGTAGTATTCTCAGTACCTGGGTAATGGGATTATTCGTACCCCAAAACTCAGCATCATGCAATATACCCAGGTAACAAACTTGCACATGTACCCCTGAATCTAAAATAAAAGTTGAAAGATAAATAAATAAACTATACTACATGTCATCTAAATTCTATTTAGCAAAGACTGTTTTTTATTTATTGTACTTTAAGTTCTGGGGTATATGTGCACAACATGCATGTTTGTTACATATGTATACATGTGCCATGTTGGTTTGCTGCACCCATTAACTCATCATTTACATTAGTTATGTCTCCTAATGCTATCCCTCCCCCATCCCCCAACCCCATGACAGGCCCCAGTGTGTGATGTTCCCTGCCCAGTGTCCAAGTGTTCTCTTTGTTCAGTTCCCACCTATGAGTGAGAACAGGCAATGCTTGGTTTTCTGTCCTTGCGATAGTTTGCTCAGAATGATGGTTTCCAGCTTCATCCACATCCCTACAAATGACATGAACTCATCCTTTTTTATGGCTGCATAGTATTCCATAGTGTATATATGCCACATTTTCTTAATCCAGTCTATCTTTGATGGACATTTGGGTTGTTCCCAAGTCTTTGCTATTGTGAATAGTGCCGCAATAAGCATACGTGTGCATGTGTCTTTACAGTAGCAGGATTTATAATCCTTTGGGTATATACCCAGTAATGAGATGGCTGGGTCAAATAGTATTTCCAGTTCTAGATACTTGATGAATTGCCACACTGTCTTCCACAATGGTTGAACTACTTTACATTCCCACCAACAGTATAAAAGCGTTCCTATTTCTCCACATCCTCTCCAGCACCTATTGTTTCCTGACTTTTTAATGATTGCCATTCTAACTGGTGTGAGATGGTATCTCATTGTGATTTTGATTTGCATTTCTCTGATGACCAGTGATGATGAGCATTTTTTCATGTGTCTCTTGGCTGCATAAATGTCTTTTTTGAAAAGTGTCTGTTCATATCCTTTGCCCACTTTTTGATGGGGTTGATTTTTTCGTGTACATTTGTTTAAATTCTTTGTAGATTCTGGATATTAGCCCTTTGTCAGATGGGTAGATTGCAAAAATTTTCTGCCATTCTGTAGGTTGCCTGTTCACTCTGATGATAGTTTCTTTTGCTGTGCAGAAGCTCTTTAGTTTAATTAGATCCCATTTGTCAATTTTGGCTTTTGTTGCCATTGCTTTTGGTGTTTTAGTCATGAAGTCCTTGCCCATGCCTATGTCCTGAATGGTATTGCCTAGGTTTTCTTCTAGGGTTTTTATGGTTTTAGGTCTAACATTTAAGTCTTTAATCCACCTTGAATTGATGTTTATATAAGGTGTAAGGAAAGGATCCAGTTTCAGCTTTTTACATATGGCTAGCCAGTTTTCCCAGCACCATTTATTAAGTAGGGAATCCTTTCCCCATTTTTTTTGTTTTTGTCAGATTTGTCAAAGATCAGATGGTTGTAGATGTGTGGTGTTATTTCTGAGGGCTCTATTCTGTTCCATTGGTCTATATCTCTCTTTTGGTACCAGTACCATGCTGTTTTGGTTACTGTAGCCTTATAGTACAGTTTGAAGTCAGGTAGCGTGATGCCTCCAGCTTTGTTCTTTTTGCTTAGGATTGTCTTAGAAATGCGGCCTTTTTTTTTATTCCATATGAACTTTACAGTAGTTTTTTCCAATTCTGTGAAGAAAGTCATTGGTAGCTTGATGGGGATGGCATTGAATCTATAAATTACCTTGGGTAGTATGGCCATTTCCACGATATTGATTCTTCCTATCCATGAGCATGGAATGTTCTTTCATTTGTTTGTGTCCTCTTTTATTTTGTTGAGCAGTGGTTTGTAGTTCTCCTTGAAGAGGCCCTTCACATCCCTTGTAAGTTGGATTCCTAGGTATTTTATTCTTTTTGTAGTAATTGTGAATGGGAGTTCACTCATGATTTGGCTCTCTGTTTGTCTGTTATTGGTGTATAGCAATGCTTGCGATTTTTGCACATTGATTTTATATCCTGAGACTTTGCTGAAGTTGCTTATCAGCTTAAGGAGATTTTGGGCTGAGACGATGGGGTTTTCTAAATATGCAATCATGTCATCTGCAGACAGGGACAATTTGACTTCCTCTTTTCCTAATTGAATACTTTTATTTTTTTCTGCCTCCTAATTGCCCTGGCCAGAACTTCCAACACTATGTTGAATGCGAGTGGTGAGAGAGGGTATCCCTTTCTTGTGCCAGTTTTCAAAGGGAATGCTTCCAGTTTTTTCCCATTCAGTATGATATTGGCTGTGAGTTTGTCATAAATACCTCTTATTATTTTGAGATACGTCCCATCAATATCTAGTTTATTGAGAGTTTTTAGCATGAAGGGCTGTTGAATTTTGTCGAAGGCCTTTTCTGCATCTATGGAGACAATCATGTGGTTTTGTCTTTGGTTCTGTTTATGTGATGGATTACATTTATTGATTTGCGTGTGTTAAACCAGCCTTGCATCCCAGGGATGAAGCCAACTTGATCGTGGTAGATAAGCTTTTTGATATGCTGCTGGATTTGGTTTGCCAGTATTTTATTGAGAATTTTCACATCAGTGTTCATTAGGGATATTGGTCTAAAATTCTCTTTTTTTTTGTTGTGTCTCTGCCAGGCTTTGGTATCAGGATGATGCTGGCCTCATAAAATGAGTTAGGGAGGATTCCCTCTTTTTCTATTGATTGGAATAGTTTCAGAAGGAATGGTACCAGCTCCTCTTTGTACCTCTGGTAGAATTCGGCTGTGAACCCATCTGGTCCTGGACTTTTTTTGGTTGGTAGGCTATTAATTATTGCCCCAATTTCAGTGCCTGCTATTGGTCTATTCAGAGATTCAGCTTCTTCCTGATTTAGTCCTGGGAGGCTGTATGTGTCCAGGAATTTATCCATTTCTTCTAGATTTTCTAGTTTATTTGCATAGAGTTGTTTATAGTATTCTCTGATGGTAGTTTGTATTTCTGTGGGATTGGTGGTGATATCCCCTTTATAATTTTCTATTGCATCTATTTGATTCTTCTCTCTTTTCTTCTTTATTAGTCTTGCTAGGGGTCTATCAATTTTGTTGATCTTTTCAAAATCCAGATCCTGGATTCATTGATTTTTGGAAGCGTTTTTTTGTGTCTCTATCTCCTTCAGTTCTGCTCTGATCTTAGTTATTTCTTGTCTTCTGCTAGCTTTTGAATTTGTTTGTTCTTGCTTCTCTAGTTCTTTTAATTGTGATGTTAGGGTGTTAATTTTAGATCTTTCCTGCTTTCTCTGGTGGGCATTTAGTGCTATAAATTTCCCTCTACACACTGCCTTAAATGTGTCCCAGAGATTCTGGTGTGTTGTGTCTTTGTTCTCATTGGTTTCAAAGAACATCTTTATTTCTGCCATCATTTCATTATTTACCCAGTAGTCATTCAGGAGCAGGTTGTTCAGTTTCCATGTGGTTGTGCAGTTTTGAATAAGTTTCTTAATCCTGAGTTTCAATTTGATTGCACTGTGGTCTGAGAGAAAGTTTGTTGTGATTTCTCTTCTTTCACATTTGCTGAGGAGTGCTTTATTTCCAACTATGTGGTCAATTTTGGAATAAGTGCAATGTGGTGCTGAGAAGAATGTACATTCTGTTGATTTGGGGTGGAGAGTTCTGTAGATGTCTATTAGGTCTGCTTGGTCCAGAGCTGAATTCAATTCCTGGATATCCTTGTTAACCTTCTGTCTCATTGATCTGTCTAATATTGACAGTGGGGTATTAAAGTCTCCCATTATTATTGTGTGGGAGTCTAAGTCTCTTTGTAGGTCTCAAAGGACTTGCTTTAGGAATCTGTGTGCTCCTGTATTGGGTGCATATGTATTTAGGATAGTTAGCTCTTCTTGTTGAATTGATCCCTTTACCATTATGTAATGGTTTTCTTTGTTTCTTTTTATCTTTGTTCGTTTAAAGTCAATTTTATCAGAGACTAGGATTGCAACCCCTGCTTTTTTTTTTTTTTTTTTTTTTTTTGCTTTACATTTGCTTGGGAAATCTTCTTCCATCCCTTTATTTTGAGCATATGTGTGCCTCTGCACATGAGATGGGTCTCCTGAATACAGCACACTGATGTGTCTTGGCTCCTTATCCAATTTGCCAGTCTGTGTCTTTTAATTGGGACATTTAGCCCATTTACATTTAAGGTTAATATTTTTATGTGTGAATTTGATCCTGTCCTTATGATGTTAGCTGGTTAAGTTGCCCATTAGTTGATGCAGTTTCTTCCTAGCATCGATGGTCTTTACAATTTGGCATGTTTTTGCAGTGACTGGTACCGGTTGTTCCTTTCCATGTTTAGTGCTTCCTTCAGGAGCTCTTGTAAGGCAGGCTGGGTGGTGACAAAAGCTCTCAGTATTTGCTTTTCTGTAAAGGATTTTATTTCTCCTTCACTTCTGAAGCTTAGTTTGACTAGATATGGAATTCTGGGTTTAAAATTCTTTTCTTTAAGAATGTTGAATATTGGCCCCCACTCTCTTCTGGCTTGTAGAGTTTCTGCTGAGAGATCCGCTGTTAGTCTGATGGGCTTCCCTTTCTGGGTAACCCAACCTTTCTCTCCAGCTGGCATTACCATTTTTTCCTCCATTTCAACCTTGGTGAATCTGACAATTATGTGTCTTGGAGTTGCTCTTCTCCAGGAGTATCTTTGTTGTGTTCTCTGTATTTCCTGAATTTGAATGTTGGCCTGCCTTGCTAGGTTGGGGAAGTTCTCCTGGATAATATCCTGAAGAGTGTTTTCCAGCTTGGTTCCATTCTCCCCGTCACTTTCAGGTACACCAATCAAACGTAGATTTGGTCTTTTCACATAGTCCCATATTTCTTGGAGGCTTTGTTCATTTCTTTTTACTCTTTTTTCTCTACACTTCTCTTCTCGTTTCATTTCATTAATTTGATCTTTGATCACTGATACCCTTTCTTCCACTTGATCCGATTGGCTACTGAAGCTTGTGCATGCATCATGTAGTTCTCGTGCCACGGTTTTCACCTCCATCAGGTCATTTAAGGTCTTCTCTATGCTGTTCATTCTAGTTAGCCATTTGTCTAATCTTTTTTCAAGGTTTTTAGCTTCCTTGCGATGGGTTTGAACATTCTTCTTTAGCTTAGAGAAGTTTCTTATTACTGACCTTCTGAAGCCTACTTCTGTCAACTTGTCAAAGTCATTCTCTATCCAGCTTTGTTCCATTGCTGGTGAGGAGCTGTGATCCTTTGGAGGAAAAGAGGTGCTCTGGTTTTTAGGATTTTCAGCTTTTCTGCTCTGGTTCTCCCCATCTTTGTGGTTTTATCTACCTTTGTTCTTTCATGATGGTGACCTACAGATCAGGTTTTGGTGTGGATGTCCTTTTTGCTTATGTTGATGCTACTCCTTTCTGTTTGTCAGCTTTCCTTCTAACAGTCAGGTCCCTTAGCTGCAGGTCTGTTGGAGTTTGTTGGAGGTCCACTCCAGATGCTGTTTGCCTGGGTATTACCAGCGGAGGCTGCAGAATAGCAAATATTGCAGAACGGCAAATATTGCTGCCTGATCCTTTCTGTGGAAGCTTCCTCTCAGAGGGGCACCTGGCTGTATGAGGTGTCAGTCGGCCCCTACTGGGAGGTGTCTCCCAGTTGGGCTACTTGGGGGTCAGGGACCCAATTGTGGCAGTCTGTCCATTCTCAGAGCTCAAACACCACACTGGGAGAATCACTGCTCTCTTCAGAGCTGTCAGACAGGGACGTTTAAGTCTGCAGAAGTTTCTGCTGCCTTTTGTTCAGCTATGCTCTGCCCCCAGAGTGGAGTCTACAGAGGCAAGTAGGCCTCACTGAGCTGCGGTGGGCTCCACCGAGTTTGAACTTCCCAGCCACTTTGTTTACCTACTCAAGCCTCAGCAATGGTGGACTCCCCTCCCCCAGCCAGGCTGCTGCCTCACAGTTCAATCTCAGACTGCTGTGCTAGCAGTGAGCAAGATTCCGTGGGCGTGGGACCTGCTGAGCCATGCTCGGGATATAATCTCCTGGTGTGCCATTTGCTAAGACCATTGGAAAAGCACAGTATTTGGGTCGCAGTGTCCCGATTTTCCCAGTACAGTCTATCATGGCTTCCCTTGGCTAGGAAAGGGAAATTCCTTACCCCTTGTGCTTCCCTGGTGAGGTGATGCCCCGCCCTGCTTCAGCTCACCCTCTGTGGGCTGCACCCACTGTCCAACCAGTCCCAATGAGATGAACCAGGTACCACAGTTGAAAATGCAGAAATCATCCGTCTTCTGCGTCAATCATGTCGGGAGCTGCAGACCGGAGCTGTTCCTATTCTGCCATCTTGCCATCCATTCAGAAATATTTTTTTTGAGACAGAGTCTTGCTCTGTCTCCCAGGCTGGAGTGCAGTGTCATAATTTCGGCTCACTGCAACCTCTGCCTCCTGGACTCAAGTGATTCTCATGCCTCAGCCTCCCGAGTAGCTGGGATTACAGGCATGCCCCACTATACCTGGCTAATTATTGTATTTTTAGTAGAGATTCAGTTTCACCATGTTGGCCGGGCTGGTCTTGAACTCCTGGCCTCAAGTGATCCACCCACCTTGGCCTCCCACAGTGGTGGGATTACAGGCATGAGCTACTGCACCTGGCCTAGTAAAGAAAGATTCAAATATTTAATATATAATACTTAGAGTAAAACAGAAACAGGGAAAGATTAACGACTAATCTATATTTATATTTCTTCAAAATGACAACTTGTATAACTCAACAGTGCTAAATATTTCTCCTAGTGTTTTGCATTTCTTTTCTAATTTGACTCACAGACCATTCCATAGCTCTGATACTCACCTAAATAGTCTAGAGGAAATTTTGACTCAAAACTAGAAACTTTGAATAGAATCTTTTTTTGTAATTTATTTGGTGTTTGCATTTTGAATACAAAATATACATGGTAAAAATTATATATATATAAATTAAAATTTTCATCTGAGCTCAGCACTGGTTCTTATATTATCTCTGTGAAATCTGTTTTCTTTTTATTTGACAGCCCTAGCAACAATAAAGTCATTTTCTACTTGGTTAAAAAAATACAGGGCTAGAAAATATTTGCAAAATACATATCTCCTAAAGGAGAGTTTTCCATAATATACAAAGAACCCTTAAAACTCTACAATAAGAAAACAAACAACCTGATTTAAAAATGAACCAAAGGCCTTAATAGACACCTTACCAAAGAAGACATACAGGTGGCAAATAAGTGTATGAAAAGATGCCCCACATCCTATGTCATCAGGGAAATGCCAATTAAAACAACAATGAGATACTGCTACACACCTACTAGAATGGCCAAAATCCAGAACACTGACAACATTAAATGCTGTCAAAGATATAGAGCAACAGGAACTCTCACTCTTTGCTGGTGGAAATGCAAAATGATATAGCCACTTTGGAAGACCATTTGGTAGTTTCTTGCAAATCTAAACATACTCATCAGCAATCATACTCCTTGGTATTTCCCCAAAGGAGTTGAAAACTTATGTCCCTGCAAAACATCTTTATTCATAATTACCAAAACTTGGAAGCAGCCAAGATACTTTTGGTAAGTGAACAAATAAATAATAATCTCCATTCCGTCTAGGCAATGGAATATTATTCAGCACTAAAAAGAAATGAACTATCAAGCCATGAAAGACATGGAGGAAACTTACATGCATGTTACTAAGTGAAAGAAGCCAATGAGAAAAGGCTACATACTATATTATTCCAACTATATGACACCTGGAAAAGGCAAAACTATGGAGACAGAAAAAAGATTACTCAGGAGGCTGAGGCAAGAGGATTGCTTGAACCCAAGAGTAGAAGTCTAGCCTGGGGAACATAGCAAGACTGTGTCCCTAGGGAAAAAATTCAGTGTTTTCCAGGTTTGGGGGAAGACAGGATGAATAGGAGGAGCACAGAGGGTTTTTAGGGCAGTAAAACTACTCTGTATGATACTTGATATGGTTTGGCTGTGTCCCCACCCAAATCTCATCTTGAATTGTAGTTCCCATAATTCCCACATATTGTGGGAGGGATCTGGTGGGAGATAACTGAATCATGGGGGTGGTTCCCCCATACTGTTCTTGTGGTAGTGAGTAAGTCTCATGAAATCTGATGGCTTTATAAGGGGTTTCCTTTTTCACTTGGGCCTCATTCTCTCTCACCTACCACCACGTAAGACATTCCCTTTGTCTTCCACCATTTGTGAGGCCTCCGCAGCCATGTGGAACTGTGAGTCCATCAAACCTCTTTCCTTTATAAATTATCCAGTCTTGAGTATGTTTTTATCAGCAGTGTGAAAACTGACTAATTCAATGCTATAATGGTGGATATTTGTCATTGTATATTTGTCCACAGAACATACAACATCAAGACTGAACCCTAATGTAAATTGCAGACTTCATGTGATTATGATGTGTCAATGGATGTTCATCTATTGTAACAAGTGCACCACTCTCATGGGGGACGTCGATAATGGGGGAGGCTATGCATATGTGAAGGAAGGGGAAATGGGAAATCTCTATACTTTCCACTCAATTTTGTTGAGGACCTAAAACTGCTCTAAAAAATAATGTATGTACAAAAATAATTATAATAAAAGGTGTAGGATATATATATATATATCCACCCCTGATCTTTTATATACTAGGTAGACTCTGCCCCTGCAGAGTTGAGGAGCAGAGGAAGAACTGTAAAGGGCAAGGACAGATCTTACTTGAGAGGTATTGTAGTATTTTGGTCTTGGTGCTCTTTGGACTCTTGCTGCATTGTATTAGTGGATTCACCAGAGACCTGTTTAGTGACCTCTCACAAAATTCCCTTAACACATCTGATACTCCCACCAGCCAGCCACTTATTACCCATCCTTTAGCCCCTTGTTTCTGAAAGGCCACCCCATAGACCCTCTTTTAGGATCTTAACACCCCCTGCAGGCTATCCTGTTGAGACTATGTAAAATCACTCCAGATCATGATCCACACTGGATCGACTGGAAATTCACACATTTTCTCTCGCAAATTAGGAGTGCAGACTATTCTGTAGGCAACCATTTTTCTTTGCTCTGTCTTCTGGCCATCACAGTCCTCTGGCTTTTAGACTTTTCTAGAGCCTCTAAACCCCACAGTCTCCAGAGCTATCACATGCCTCCCGAGTCTTCTCTTCTACAAGGGCATATTAATAGATGCTTTAACAATTCTTTATATGATGTGCTTTTGAGGCTGTATTAGCTAGCTATTGCTGTGTAACAAACCAATCCAAACTTAGTGGTTTGAAGAACCGTTACTATACCTTGTGAGTCTATAGGCCAGCTGGATGGTTCTGCTTATCTAGGCCAGGCTTAGTTGATCTCAGTTGGACTTATATATGCATTTGCAGCCCCAAGCATCAGGTCAGCTGACTGGTCTAAGATATTCCTCTCCATGTGTGGCAGAGGGCTGCCTTGACTTAGGCAACAGGTATAACTAGGTTATGTGTTTCTCATCATTCAGCAGGCAAGCCTGGGCTTGGTCACATGGCAGAGGCACAATTACAAGAGAAAGTGCAGAAACATGCAAGGACTCATGAAGCCTAACTCAGAACTGCTATCCTGCCATTTTTGCCATTTGCTATACAGGCCAAAGTAAATCATAAGGCTTGATTCAAGGGATGGAGAAATATTCTTCATCTCTTATGGGAGGAGCTGCATGATCAAACTGCAAAAATCTCTAGTATATGGAAAAAGGGGACATTTCTGCAATCAATCTATAATGCAAGCAATTCCTTATTCTGGTCTTTACAATAAGCTCCAGCTCCTATTGACCCCACTTAGCCCTACCTCTATTAGTCTAGCCTAAAATGGACATTAATATATCAAGGAAGTTGCTGTTAAACTAAATTTGGCCTGAGGATGCCTCCATACTTTGAGTCCCTAGTAACAAACTGCAACCTATCTTAGGATGTAAATTAACTAAAAGCCTAATTTAGGAATACAGTTTTGAAACAACTTGAGTCTCATCCAATCACAGCAGCTGAGCCTCAGTCAATCACAGGCAGCCAACTGATCAGACCATGTCCAAATTAGGCAAATGCCAAGTTGTAACCAATCAAAATGTTTCTATACCTCACTTCTACTTTCTATCAATAATTGCTGCCTGCCCACCTTGTGGAGTGGAGGTCTCTGAATCTCTTCTGGTTCTAAGGGCTCCCTGATGTGAATTATCCACATATACAGGGCCCCTCTGACCTGATTTAACACAAAAATGAAGTCAAATCAGGAGCTGTAGTCTCTGCAGTTTGTGGTGGGAGAATTATGATTCCTGTTAGAAAGACCCTTCTTATCCAGAGCAAACCTGGTAAGACCAAGCACAGATGTGTGATGTCAGGTCGGTCCAGCAGTACCTTGTGGATATAAGCCTAATACCATTCAGAAAGCAATAAGAGGGAAAAGAAAGGAAATCAAAGAGCAGGTCAGTGAAGGAATAAATCAAAAGGAAGAATCCAGAAAAAGAAAGAGAGAAATTATACTGTAGTACATTTATTTTTATGGGGAGAAAAAAACATATTGGGATATGAGACGGTAGGCAGGGGAGAGGAAGCGGGACACATCTCTGATGAATTCCCTGCTCATTCTTTAGCATGCAAAAGCTAGTGCCTATTTGGCAGATCACTTTAAAAGGCTCTGCTCATTCCAGTCCCAGCAGGTGGAGATTTAAGGGGTAAGGCTGTCTGATCCACTGAGTGGATGGGCAGTATTTGGAGTTTCTGGGGAGCCATTTTAATCTCTCTTCAAAGGGGCCAGTTACTATTGTATCACCGCAAGAATGCATCGTAATGCCAGTGGTCCTTACCACACTAAACTGGGATTGCTTTTCATAGAGAGCCTCCCTAGAGACCAAAACTTTTGCTCTGAATCTTAGGGATTTCTCTGGTGGAGAAAGTTTTACATATCCTTCACCTATCCCCCCAAAATAAACAAATAATTAAAACTAACAAGGAAACTGGGAAACCCAAAATAGAATACAAAAAGTAAAAATGGACCTCACTGTATTACAAATAAATAACCACACTGAAGAGGATGAAGAAGAAAAAAACTAGCCTAAATAACTTTGGGAAACAGTATCCTAACTGATTATATGGTGGTGGTTGCCTGTAATCCCAGTTACTCAAGAGGCTGAGGCAGAATTGCTTGAGCCCAGGAGGCAGAGGTTGCAGTGAGCCGAGATTGTGCCACTGCACTCCAGCCTGGGTAACACAGCAAGACTCTGTCTCAAAAAATAAATAAAAATAAATAAAATATAAGACTAAGAAAAAAATTAACAGTACACAAGACTAAACAAAAAATTAATAGTATACAAATGCTATAATATAGTTATTAAAGTGTTTCTCCCAAAGGTATGGGTTAGCTAGTCTTTTTTTTTTTTTTTTTTTTTTTTGAGATGGAGTCTCGCTCTGTCGCCAGACTGGAGTGCAGTGGCACAATCTCGGCTCACTGCAATCTCCACCTCCCAGGTTCAAGTGATTCTCCTGCCTCAGCCTCCTGAGTAGCTGGAACTACAGACACACACCATCACTCACAGTTAATTTTTGTATTTTTAGTAGAGGCAGGGTTTCACCATGTTGGCCAGGATGGTCTCGATCTCCTGACCTTGTGATATGCCCATCTCTGCCTCCCAAAGTGCTGGGATTACAGGCATGAGCCACCACACCCAGCCCTGGGTTAGCTATTCTGAAGCACTTTACATGTGTACTAGAATCAAATAATTAAATAGTGTATATTGTAGATAAAGAAAGCTAGACTATTAGGGAAAATTTACAAAGAAAGACTAAAATGGACCTGGCACGGTGGCTCATGCCTGTAATCCCAGCACTTTGGGAGGCTGAGGCAGGTGGATCACCTGAGGTGAGGAGTTCAAGATCAGCCTGGCCAACATGGTGAATCCCCGTCTCTACTAAAAATACAAAATTAGCTGGGCGCGGTGGTGCGACCCTGTAGTTCCAGCTACTTGGGAGGCTGAGGCAGAAGAATTGCTTGAACCTGGGAGGCGAAGGTTGCAGTGAGCCTTGATCGTGCCACTGCACTCCAGCTTGGGTGACAGAGTAAGACTCCATCTCAAAAAAAAAAAAAAAAAAAAAAGAACCCTCTGGTCTTGAACTGGAATCAGAAGTATTAGGATAAACTCATTGTTTTTAATATCTATACAGACAGATACGTGCAGAAATATAAATGTGGGGGTGTTGCTATACATACATGTATTTTCTAGCTCTGTCTGCTGGATAAGCCTAAAAGCAATGACACTCCAGTAGCAATGAGCATGCCTAATTGCCCAGATTTTTATTTCTACTCACTTTTCCCCAATTTCTTAGAGAGTAGGTGATTCTAAGGCTGGGGTGGGAAAAATACAAGACGGATGTCTTGTGGTGGCAGAAAAATGAAAGTACTCAAAAAAGATTGTGAGCTTGCCAGAGAACACGAGCTAACCTGAAAGAGCTCCTAACAACTAAAGATGGAAAAGGTTAAACAACAAAATAAATAATGACAGCATTATATTTTAATCAGTAAAATAAGCTAAATGTCCATGAGTCTACACTGATATAAATAAGCAATGAAATGCATAAAGAAATGGGGAGAAAGGACATATCTTCCCTAAAGAACAATTTCAAGCAATATACAGAGAAAAGAGAAACAAAAAATCACTATTTGGTAAACACCACAGTAAAAACTGTTGCAGACAAGATCTGCTTATGAATCTTAAAATTACTGGAAAAATTTGAGGGGAAATAAATATTTTTATATTCTCAATACACCTACTCAAGATATTTATGAACTACAAAGGGAACGATAACTCTACAGTGGGAAGACTCATCAGGTACCACCTGAAAGAAGTAATCATGGTTAATATCACCAGTAGTAAGACCTACTGACATAATGAACCCCTTAATATGATGCCCTGAGGATACAATATCATTTTTGTTTTGCTCTTAACAAAAACATACAACCGCATTCTAATTGTGAGAAATGATCAGGCAAGCCAAATTGAGAAATATCCTACAAAATAACTGATTAATACTCTTCAAAATAAGTCAGTCCTAAAAGGACAGACTGAGGAATTGTCATGGTTTAGAGGAGATGAAGGAAAAATGACAACAAATAAGATGACAAGCGGGATTCTAATTAAGATCCAGGAACATCTGATAAAGGAATCAAAAAAGGAATTCCATTTACGATAGTCACAAATAAAATTAAATGCCTATGTATTAACCAAAGAAGTGAAAAATCTCTATAATGAAAACTATAAAACACTGATGAAAGAAATTGAAAAGGACATCAAAAAATGGAAAGATATTCCACATTAATGGATTGGAAACATCAATATTATTCAAATGTCCATACTGCCCAAAGCAATCTACAAATTCAATGCAATTCCTATCAAAATTCCAATGACATTCTTCACAGAAATTTTTAAAATCCTAAAATTTATATGGAACCCCAAAAGACCCAAAATAGCCAAAGCTATCCTGAGCAAAAAAGGACAAAACTGGAGGAATCATATTATCTGACTTCAAATTATACTACAGAGTTAAAGTAACCAAAACAGTATGGTACTAGCATAAAAACAGACACATAGGGGCTGGGGTGTTGGCTCATGCCTATAATCCTAGCACTTTGGGAGGCCAAGGCAGGTTGATTGCTTGAGCTCAGGAGTTCAAGACCAGCCTGGGCAACATAGTAAAACTCTATCTCTACAAAAAATACAAAAATTTTCTGGGCATGGTGGCACACACCTGTAGTCCTAGCTACTCAGGAGGCTGAGGTGGGAGGATGGCTTGACCCAGGGGGTGGAGGTTGCAGTGAGACAAGATCATGCCACTGCACTCCAGCCTGGGTGGCAGAGCCAGATGCTGTCTCAAAAAAAAAAAAAGAAAAAAAGACACAGAGCCAATGGGAAACCCAAAAACAAATCCATACACCTATACACCTATAGTGAACTCATTTTTGGCAAAGGTGCCAAGAACATACACTGGGGAAAATGGATTAAAGACTTAAATCTAAGACCTCAAATATAAAACTATTAAAAGAAAACATTGGGGAAAAAAGAAAAAACACTGGGGAAACTCTCCAGGATATTGGATTGGGCAGATTTCTTGAGTAATACCCCACAAGCACAGGCAACCAAAGCAAAAATGGACACATCAAGTTAAAAAGCTGCTGCACAGCAAAGGAAACAATCAACAAAGAGACAACCCACAAAATGGGAGAAAATATTTGTAAATTACCCACCTGACAAGGGATTAATAACCAGAATATATAAGGAGCTCAAACAACTCAATAGAAAAAAAATTGAAAATGGGCAAAATATTTGAATAGACATTTCTCAAAAAAAAAAGACATAAAAATGGCAGGCATTTGAAAAGGTACTCAACATCATTAACCATCAGAGAAATAAAAATCAAAACTACAATGAGGTATAATCTCATCCTAGTTAAAATGGCTTTTATCCAAAAGACAGGCAATAACAAATGCTGGCAAGGATGTGGCGAAAAGGGAACCCTCGTACGCTGTTGGTGGGAATGTAAATTAGTACAACCACTATGAGAATAGTTTGGAGGTTCCTCAAAAAGGTAAAAATAGAGCTACCATATGATCCAGCAATTCCACTGCTGGTTATATTCCTAAAAGAAAGAAAAATCAAGATATTGAAGAGATATCTGAACTCCCATGTTTGTTGCAACACTGTTCACAATAGCCAAGATTTGGAAGCAAATAAGTGTCTATCAGCAGATGAATGGATAAAGAAAATGTGGTACATATAATGGAGTACTATACAGCCATAAAAAAGAATGGGATCCTGCCATTTGCAACAACAAGGATGGAACTGGAGGTCATTGTGTTAAGTGAAATAAGGCAGTCACAAAAAGACAAACTTTTCATGTTCTCACTTATTTGTGGTAAGTAAAAACTAAAACAATTGAACTCATAGAGATAGATAGTAGGACAGTTACCAGAGGCTAGGAAGTACAGTGCTGGGGTAGAGGGCATGGGGGAGAAGTGGAGATGGTTAATGGGTACAAAAAGTAGTTAGAAAGAATGAATAAGACCTAGTATTTGATAACACAACAGGGCAACTATAGTCAATAATAACTTAATTGTACATTTTAAAATAACTAAAATAGTATAATTGGAATGTTTGTAACACAATGTTTGAGAGGATGGATACCCCACTTACCATTATGTGAGTATTACACACTGCATGCCTGTATCAAAGTATCTCATGTACCCTATAAATATACACACCTACTATGTACCCACAAAAATTTTTTTAAAAATTAAAAAAAGATCCAGGAACAGAAAAAGGACATTACTGAAAAAAACTAGGGAAATTAAAATAAGAGCTACAGTTAGTTAATAATATTATAACATTGTTAATTTTTTGGTTTTGATAATTGCAGTATGGTTATATAAGATAAATATTAGATTAAAATTAAAGTGAGAGGTATATGAGAATCCTCTATATTATTTTTGCAATGCTTCTGTAACTCTAAAATTAGTTCAAAAAAGGGTTTTAAAAAGAGAAATTCAATTAAAAATGTGAGCAAAATATTTGAACAGATACTCATTAAAGATGTGTCAAAAGAAGCCAGTGAGAAGATGTTTAACATGATCAATCATTAAGGAAATAAACATTAAAACCACAATGAGATACCACTACATATCTATTAGAATAGCTAAAATTAAAAAAAAAAAAAACTAACAATACCAAGTGCTGGTTTGAGAATGTGCGGCAGCTGCATCTTTCATGCATTGCTGGTGGGAATACAAAATGATAGTGATTTGGGAAAACAGTTGGCAGTTGCTGATAAATTACATACTATATGACTCAAGGATCCCACTCCTAGATATTTACCCAAAAGAAATTAAAACTTATGTCCACCCAAGAACTTAGTTGCAAATATTTATAATGGTCTATTTATAATAGCCTCAACCTGGAAATAAAATGTTTCTTACTAAATGATTAAACAAACTATGGCATATTCCCACCCTTTGATTCTTGGGAAAGGCTGGGAAAGTTGGTTATCTGAAAGTTTTACAAAAATAACGGGAATCAATGATACACGCACCTAGAGGTCAGAGGATGAGAAAACACACAGTATGATTTATCCCACTGAGTCACCTTTTGGGCCCCATGGTGCCCATGTTGAATGGATTCCTGCAAATCTCTTCTCTCTTGGCCACCCTCCCTCTGTCCCATCCCCACTCCCAGGATCTAGCCTCCTCTCTTCCAGCACCTACAAGGTCAAGGGGAGACCTTCCTCCCTGGCGTCATTGAGGATAAACACAGTGTCTTCACAGTTCCCTGGGCTTCACAGGGAAGCCCAGGAAGCCTCGGTTCCCTGGGCTTCACAGTTCCCTGGGCTTCTCGGTTCCCTCCACAGTGTCTGGAGGCTGAGCAATCAATGCTGTTCTTAGCATGATTTTAGATATTTGGCTAGACATTTATTGAGTTCTGACTGTATGCCAGTAATCAGAGAAACAATGACAAAACAGACAAAATTCCTGCCCTAATGAATAGTGATAATAATAATTTAATTTTAAAAGAGAAAAACTAATGGAATCAAGGCTCGAGGTAGACACCTTGAGCAGCAAGAGGTCCTGGAGGGAAGAAGACAAATCTGGGGGGTGGCTTGCCCTTTCCTCAAATACGATGCTTGCTTATCTCCTTAGGGAGCACAAAGATCTTTCCTTCTTTAACTTTCTTTAAATAGCCTCCAGTGGACTCTTCCACATCACAGTTTCTATCAAATATATTTGAGTTTAGAAATTCTCTAACTGATGGTAAGATATAAGTAATATTAATGGTATTGGAATTTAAAAGTACAAGGTAGAAAGAAGACCCATTTTTCCTTAAATATCCTGATATGCTTTGAATTTTTATCATATGTGTATACTATTTTTATCACAAATAATATTAACAAATTTTTATGTGTTCTTCTTTCTGTGGTCCTATGACAGAATGTACTATCACTAGCATTTTCTCCTAAGCTAACAATATATAATCAAATCCTTCAAAAGCCCATGACTTTTTAAGAATTGAGCATCAAGACCGCACAAGCCTCCTGATCAAACCCTGCCTTCTATTTCCATCCCTGCTCCCACTTCACTTCACTGTAATTATATAACTAAGGTGATCCTTCACCCTGATAATAAACACTAATGTCTATGTCATTCCTCTGTTCATAACACTCCCATTGCTCCCTATTAAAAAAAAAAAAAAGAATTGAGCATCAAGTAGCAATTCCATTTCTAGAAAATTATTCTGCAGAGGTAGTGAAGCATATCAATATGGAATGTGGGCTCTGGAATGAGACCTGGATTTAAAACCTAGCTCTGCCACATTCTACCTGTGTGACCCTGAACAAACTACTTAACATTGTTTCTACTAATTCCTGCCTCCAATACCTACCCCATTGGCCTGTTAAGAAGATTAATTGAGATAACACATGTAAAGTTCTTTGCCCACAGCTTAGACCAAAGAAAATACAATTATGCTTCACTTAATGATGGGGATACATTCTGAGAAATGTGTTGTTAGGCAGTTTCTTCAGTACTCAAACATCACAGAGTGAACTTACACAAACCTAGATGGTACAGCCTACTACACACCCAGGGTAGATGGTATAGCCTATTGCTCCTAGGCTACAAACCTGTACAACATGTTACTGTCCTGAATACTGTAGGCAATTGTAACAGAGTGGTATTTGTATACCTAAACACAGAAAAGGTACAGTAAAAATAGGATATAAAAGATTTAAAATGGTACACTTCTTTCTTTTTTTTTTTTTTTTTTTTTTTGAGACAGAGTCTTGCTCTGTCCCCCAGGCTGGAGTGCAGTGGCGAGATCTCGGCTCACTGCAAGCTCTGCCTCCTGGGTTCACACCATTCTCCTGCCTCAGCCTCCCGAGTAGCTGGGACTACAGGCGCCCGCCACTGCGCCTGGCTAATTTTTTGTATTTTTAGTAGAGACGGGGTTTCACCTTGTTGGCCAGGCTGGTCTCGATCTCTTGACCTCGTGATCCACCCACCTCAGCCTCCCAAAGTGCTGGGATTACAGGCGTGAGCCACTGCACCTGGCCGAAAAATATTTCCTTTATGTCCTTATTCTATAAGCTTTTTTCTATTTTTAAAATTTATTATTATTTCTTACTTTTTAAACTTTTTTGTTAAGAACTAAGACACAATAACATTAGCCTAGGGCTATAAAGGATCAGGATCATCAATGTCACTGTCTTCCACATCCACATCCTGTCACAGTGGAAGGTCTTCAGAGGCAATGACACACATGGAGCTGTCACCTCCTTTGATAACAATGCTTCTGGAACACCTCCTGAAGGACTGCCTGAGGCTGTTTTACAGTTAACTTTTTTCTCCTCTTTTTTAAATTTTTTATTTTTATTTTTTTTTTTGTTTCAATAGGTTTTTGGGAGAACACGTGGTGTTCGGTTACATGGATAAGTTCTTTAGTGGTGATTTCTGAGATTTTGGTGCACCCATCACCCGAGCAGTGTACACTGTACCCAATGGGTAGTCTTTTATCCCTTGCCACACCCATCCTTCCCACTGAGTCCCCAGAGTCCACTGTATCATTCTTATGCCTTTGGGTCCTCATAGCTTCGCTCCTACTTATGAATGAGAACATACAATGTTTGGTTTTCCATTCCTGAGTTACTTCACCTAGAATAATGGTCTCCAATTCCAACCAGGTTTTTGCAAATGCTGTTATTTTATTCCTTTTTATGGCTGAGTAGTATTCCATGGTGTGTGTGTGTATATATATATACCACATTTCTGTTATTCACTCATTTATTGATGGGCATTTGAGCTGGTTCTATATTTTTGCAATTGCAAGTTGTGCTGCTATAAACATGTGTATGCTGGTATCTTTTTTTGTATAATGACTCCTTTTCCTCTGGGTAGATACCTAGTAGTGAGGTTGCAGTGTAAAACAGTAGGTCTACTTTTACTTTTACTGTTTGACTTATTTCTTTAAAGACTCTTCACACTGTTTTTCATAGTGGTTTTACTAGTTTACATTCCCACCAACAGAGTAAAATTGTTCCCTTTTCACCACATCCATGCCAACATCTATTTTTTAAAGCTTTTTTGATTATGGCCATTCTTGCAGAAGTGAGGTGATATCACATTGTGGTTTTGATTTGCATTTCCCTGATAATTAGTGATGTTGAGCATTTTTTCATATGTTTGTTGGCCATTTGCATATCTTCTTTTGAGAATTGTCTATTCGTGTCCTTAGCTCACTTTTTGATGGGATTATTTGTTTTGTTCTTGCTGATTTGTTTGAGTTCCTTGTAGATTCTGGGTATTAGTCCTTTGTTGGAAGTATACATTGCAAAGATTTTCCCCCACTCTTTGGGTTTTCTGTTTACTCTGCTGATTATTTCTTTTGCTGTGCAGAAGCTTTTTCGTTTAATTAAGTCCCACCTATTTATCTTTGTTACAGTTAACTTTTTTTAATAAGGAGAAGTACACTCTAAAATAATGATAAAATATAATATAGTAAATACATAAACCAGTAACATAGTTGTTATTATCATTATCAAGTATTATGTACTATACATAGTTGTATATGCTATACTTTTATATTATTAATAGTGTGGTAGGTGTGTTTACACCAGCACCACCACAAATACATGAGTAATCTGTTGTGCTATGATGTTATACCACTAGTTGATAGAAATTTTTCAGTTCCACTATAATCTTTTGGAACCATTGTCATTGACCAAACAGTCATTATGAAATATATGATTGCATATAGTGTATCTGAAGGTAATGGTGCTGTGGGTAAAATAAGCAAGAAACAGGAGGGTAGGGAGTATCAGTTGTTGGAGGGAAGATGTTTGCTGTTTCAATTAAGGTGATCAGGGAAGTCTTCAGTGACAAGAAGGCAGCTGATTGGTGACACCAAGATGGCGAGGGGGCAAGCCAGAAGACACTTGAGAGAAGAGCAGGCCAGATTAAGAGAACAAGTGCTAAGGCTGTGGGCTGGGAGCAGGCTTGCCATGTTCAAGGACCAGCAACCAAATAATTATGGATGAAGTGGCATGAACAAAGGGTGAGAAGTGGGAGAAGGGGTGGGAGAGGTAGCAGAGGCCAGACCATGTAGGGTCTTGGGAGCCATATTGATAGCTTTGGATTTAACTCCAGGTGATATCATAAGCCACTGGATGTTCTGGGCAGAGGAGTGCCATGAGCTGACATATTTAAACTCGTTCATACTGGCTGCTGTGTTAAGAATGCCTGAAGGAAGCAAAAAGATAGATGTATTGATACCAGTTAGAAAAATATTGCAATACTACGAGAGAGATGATAGTGAGTTAGACCATGGTGGTAATAGTAAGAGTAGTGAGAAATATTCAGATTCTAGGTAAATTTTGAAGGTAGAACCAACAGGATTTGCTGACAAATGGGATTTGGGGTAAGAAGAAAAGAAGAGTCAAGGATAAATCACAGGTTTTTAGACTGGACTAGAATGAGAGAATGGCCACTGATTGAGCCAAGGAGATTAGAAGAGGCACAGATTTAGGGGAGAATCTGATTGAAAGAATTTGGTGTTAGACGTTAGATTTAACATGCAAGTGGAGATGTTGAAAAGGCCATTGAATATATATGAGTCTGAAGTTCAGAGGAGTCCATTGCCATGAGGTATGAAAAATATTTAAAGCCGCAAAATTAGATCAATTGTTCAGGTTTCACAGGACACAGTTTGGCCTGTATTGTAGTTTTTATGAATAGTGTCCCCTGGAATTAGACAGTAAGCATACATGGTGAACATACAATGATTCCTTAAATGATGTCCCTAGATAAAAGTCATCTAGAAACTGACTAAGCTTTAAGAGTCTCCAATATTTAGAAGCCAAAGAGGTAAGTTGGAATGAGCAAAGGCTAAGAAAAAGTAGTTACTAAGGTAGAAAGGGAACCAGGAGACTGTGGGGTCCCAAAAGGTACATGAAGAAAATGTTTCCGGAAAGAAGAAGTAATCAATTGTGGCAAATTCTTCTGAAAAGTCAAAGAAGGTGAAGGCAGAAATTGTTCCTTGCAATTACTTCTATTACATGCAAGTAAGTATAGTCCCCACCCCAGACCCCTTGCTCTGGAGTGCTTTCCTCAACTTTTTCTAAGCCCCCCTCCAGTGCTTGAGTCCAGACATAGCCATTAATGCCATCTAGGAAAAGTGACTCAAGTCTGATCCTGGTACCCTGGTAGTCACCAGAAGTACCTCCCTTGAAATTGTCTAAGTCTCCTTTCAATGCCTGGGACTGGCTGGGACCAGCAACACCATCTGAGTGGGAAGTCCCAAGCCTAGACAGTTACAAGCATAGACTCTGGGATCCATTTCTGCCCTCCAAGACACTCTCTATCACTCTATCCCATATGTGGGGTCAACCAGCTGCCCCAAGACACTCCTGGACCCATGTGTATGGAGGAATTTTGAGGCTGCATGGCTGGATCTGAGTTCCAGGAGGCATCCTAGTCAATGTTTCCTTCCGACTCACCACCAGAACAGTATTTCTTTTGTAGGATTGTACAAAACCAGGCCACTAGAATGGTGCTGACCTACTGATTTTTGGTGATTCACATAGGATATTGGATGAATTCTGGGACTGGGGCAACCAATAGTCTGCCACCATCTCTTGGGTGTGAATGCACCTGTATGACAATTCTCACTCAGCTGTATTTTGACTATAATACCACCTCTGGTCCACAGTAGAAGGTGGTGCCAAGAATCCTTTATCCTGTGTGCCCCTGTTCCTAGCACCCAAGGCAGTCACCCACCCCCTCTACAGGCTCCACTCCATGTGTCAGGCAGTACTCCAGAAGGGGCATGCCTATCTCCTCTAAGAACTTTTTAAGACCATTGCTCTGCAATACCAGTGGGCCCTTCCAACTGATGTCCTCTCTTGTGTCCACCTGATGTGGTGATGTCATGCTCTCCCAAGTTGATCTTAAATCATGTTGAAAGGACAGTGAGTGTTCCTGGAGTGAATGGAACCACTCTCCTCATTCCATCCGTGGTCCCCTCTCTTATCCTTCCTTCTTGGTGGCAGTGTGTGCACTTAGATACTTAGAACTAGGAATACAGAGATTACAGCCTAGACACTGTGTTGTTCTACACTCATACAATAAACTTCTGAATGGTTCATCTAACATGACCAAAAAATTAAGCATTTTTCTCATTTTCCTGCATGCTGTGGGTGAGAATTCCATTTGTGGTGGTGAGCAATGAAGCTCAAAGGTTATTTTAGAGAGTCATTGCAAGCTGGCATTCACAAGCAGCATAATAAACGATACAGCATGATGAATAATAAGATAACCAGCATCAAATAATGATATCAGGGAAATGCAGAGGCAAGAAGATCAATATTGTTTTAATGCAAACAGGTTCTGAAGCGCCACTGCAAAGTAATTATAGCCTCACTACCTTTTCTTGTGATAGGAGATGTGAAATTAGTTGGAAACATCACATTGGGCAACAAAGAACACAAAGGCATTGTCCGTGGATCTGAACAGGAGAGTTGTTGCCTGGACACAATGATGAATCTTCACTTCCACTGATGGGATAATAACTAAATACATAAGAACTTCCTCTCCATCCATTATCCTAAATCTTCATCAGTAAATCATTAGACCTCATATGAATTTTGCAATACATCTTTTAATCAAAAACTGTATATGGACAGGACCCACACACATACATGCAAAATTTGTAATGTTCATGAGTAGATGAGAGAGAAGGGGAATTTGTGAAAAACTGGAGGTGCTGCCCATAAATGGAGCATAGATAATTCATCCATAAAGGACAGCAGGCTGAGTATAAAGACCCAGATGCAGTTAGGTGGGTAGATGTGGTGATGGTCACATGTGGATGTTTTCTTTTCTTTTCTTTTTTTTTTTGAGACAGAGTCTCGCTCTGTCACCCAGGCTGGAGTGCAGTGGGGCGATCTCGACTCACTGCTGCAAGCTCTGCCTCCTGGGTTCATGCCATTCTCCTGCCTCAGCCTCCCGAGTAGCTGGGACTACAGGCACCTGCCACCACACCCGGCTAATTTTTTGTATTTTTAGTAGAGATGGGGTTTCACCATGTTAGCCAGGATGGTCTGGATCTCCTGACCTCGTGATCCGCCCACCTCAGCCTCCCAAAGTGCTGGGGTTACAGGCATGAGCCACCACGCCCGGCCAGTGGATGTTTTCTAATGGCTTCTATTTTCTCAGTGACAATAGGCAGCAAGCCTGTCTCATAGTAAGGATTGTGGATGGGGCTTGAGAAGAGAGAAAAAGATGTGAAATAGCTAACCAGAGGGGTGGGAGTGTAAGTGGACTAGGAAAACGTAATGAGATTGCCAGGCAGCAACAAAGGCCCACTTGAAGTTAATGGCCATGAATTTAAAAGAGCTCCAGTCAGCATGACCATGAGAGTTTTTCTCCAGCTGTACTCATTGAACAGACACAGAATCAGCACAGTTGAATTTAAACAGGAATTTGCCAAGAGAATATAATAAAGGGAGAAAAAGAAAGGAAATTAAGAGTATACATGAGGGAGTGATAGAATTTGGACCATGGAATCCAAGTGAAGCAAAAGAGGGAGGGCTTGATGGATTGTGCCTGTCAGTGGTGCTAAAAGTTTCATCATTAGGATACTAGAGGGAGTAAGCTGCAAAGAGTGGTATGCTTCCAGCTGATATTGTGGACATGGCATGGTTATCAGTGATGGTGAGGCCTAGGGTATGACCTTGAAGTGGAGGCTGAGATATGGTGGAGCAAAAGATCATTGGAGGAGAGAGAGTAAAAGAACTGAGAAGCAAGGGTGCTAGCACAGTCATGTATGTGGATATTAAAAACCTCCCAGACTCATATCAAGAGAGGTTGTATCCCTATAGAAAGCATGACACAGAGCACCACTCTTCGAGGGATGAGAGGTGGGGGAAGGTAGAGGTTGGAAGACATTTGCAACAGAAGAAATCATAGGTGCTACCATTTGATTGAGGTTCAAAGCTAGGGTTTCCAGGAAGAAGACAAGGAGAATGATCTGAAAGTGGCAATGAAGAATAAGGAGGACACCAAACCCATCTCTAGGCTTCATGAAGGAATATAGGAGAGAAAGCAGCCCCTGTATCAAAGGGAGGCAGAGGGGGGCCAGGGTTCAGTTGTTAGAGCAAGGAGGAGAAGAAGAATTTCTGAGAAGAGGCTGGAGATACAGGTCAATAGCTGACTGTGGTTCCAGAGGGCACAGTATAACAAATTTGAGAATTCTGGGTGTGAGGGGCAGAGAGAGTAGGTCAGAAAAGGGGATGCACAGAGCCTTACAGGCACTAGAGTCCTGGGGAATAAGGGTGACCAGGAAGATGGAGGTAAACTGACTCCCGGATGATTCATGCTGATGGTTTCAAGTCAGCAATGGTATTAAAGCCATCAATGTTGCAGGGAGGGGGGCAGTAGAAGACAAGTTTGCAGAGTTCTGGGAATCCCTCTGCTCTCCTGCCAGCAGATGAAGATGCAGGGAGAGGGCTGACCTGCTACACGTACATTTCTGGAGCTTTTCATCACTCATTGGATGGGGAGATTATAGACAATTTTAATTTTCTTTTGCTTATCGGATTCTACAATTTATATCATGAAAGCATACCCCTTTTGTGATAAGAATATTTTACCCAATCCCAGAACTTTCCAATACTTCCAGCTATTGTGTGACTTTGAATTAGTCATTTAAAAAATTTAGAGAGTGTCTCCATCTGTTTATTAAAAATGTAAATGGAAGGTTAAAGTATTTCCTGTATGTACAAATATAGGAGAGAGTTCTATCACTTACATAGGAAAAGCTTTCACATTCATGTAAATCTACATTCCAGAATCATCACCAATTGGCCTAGAACCTGATCTTTCCATGCTGTTACTGAAATATTTACCCCTAAGAATGACAGTGCTCTATCTACTTTCTAAGAGTTCTATTTGTTTGTATTAACCCATGGAAGTCAAGACATTATAAGCCAGAACAAGATCACAGAAAGCAGAAATCACCTGCTCTGATTAAATCAACCTTAGGAAAGAGGCTGTGGCAAGCCTCACAGGTGTCTATTTCCAGACACTAGAAGAAATTCATCTGTAAGAAATCCGCAAAAGCCAATTCAAATTATTTTTAAAGCATTATGAGGTGAGGTAGATTATTGCTAATACCAGGAAAAGCTACTCATATAGCCCAAGCCCCTGTTAAAACCAAAGACAGAACATTTCCTTCTCTGCTAATAGTGACAAGGTACATTGTGTTGCCCTGTCCCCTTGTGAATTCCTTCCCACCAAAAGAACCCCAGCAATGCTCCCATAGAATTCATTCCTTTCTAACTAACAGACTATTCAACTCTCCAAATTGCAATAAAGACTTCTAAATGGGTCTTTTAGAATAAAATGTGTTTCCTGAAGAAGAAATTGGAATGGCTGTTTGGAGCACTGAAAGCCTGTATTTATCCAGGGAACGGGAACTTCTTTTGGAGTTACTTTGCCCTGAAATGTTGTCTTGCTATTACATGAAAAACAACAGCTCTCAGCCAGACCAGTACTTGCCAGCCTTCCTGTGCATTTAGTGATCACAGCAATGAGGCCTCTCCCCAGAATGGCCATCCATAATCCAACGATAGTCTCAGGCTGTGAGCCATCTTTAGGAAGACCAACCCGACTTTACCCCAATTGCTTTCTGACCCAAAGCCCATTAAACTAGACTCCTGATCAGGTCCATTTGTGCTTTATGTCTAATTTTAAAGGAGTGTGTTCTGGGTCAAGAGATTATTTCCAATCCTCTTTTAAATTGTCTAAAATTCACAGGCTGATATAGTTAGACACCAGGAAGATCAATGGGGATAGAATAGATGCCCATCTGTCTAATGAGATTTGGATGTTCAATTTTACTGGCCTGTTGATTCTAGCTACCATCCAGTTGGCCAGAGGTTACTTCCACAGTGTGTTTCTATTTTCTTGTTCAGTCAAATTTAAAAGTATTGGAGCGAGGGGCCCCCATTGCTTCCTCAGGAGCAAGAATGAGACAGATCTTTTCATGAAGACATTTTCTTGCACCACCTTAAGAAGTTTTTGTTGCCCTCAGCATTGATGCATTTTTTTTCCTAGATGTTTCCTCTTGGAGCCCAGTAAACTATTTACTCCATCCCTAACATTCATGCTTCAGGTACTTGCAGATGATTTGGATTCTCCCTCCTCAACCCTGTTTGGCTGTATTGTAAACACATCTAACCATCTCATTTCTTATTCGTCCTGACTCCTGCCCTTCCCCTGATAAATCGGACATAACTAGTCGTGGCTTTTCCTAAATATTCTAGTATTTTTCAACCGTTTCCTAGCACTTGGTGAAATGTAATTGTATCGGTTTGCTATTTCTGTGTAACAAAAAAACCACAATATCTTAGAGTTTAACAGTAAGCATTTAACTTTTATATCTGTGGGTTGGCTGGGAGTCAGCTGATCTAGGCTGGGCTCAGCTAGGGTGGTCTGACTGGGAGGGTTCAGCTGGGTTGCATCTGTTCTGTGTACCTCTTTTCCCCCTCCTAGCATCAGAGGCCTAGATGTGTTCTCCTCACAGCAATGGCAGAACATAAAAAGGAAAATGGAAACACATAGACCTCTTGAAAATGAGGCTCAAAAATGATGCACTATTACTTCCACCTCTTTCTCTTGGCCAATGCAAATCACATGGCCCAACCCAAGTCAAGAGACAGGGAAGTATATACTTCCATCCCTTTCATAGGGGGAACTACAAAGTCACATGGCAAGTGGCATGGATATAGGACATAGTGAAGAGCTGGGGCTAAAAATGCAATCTACCATAGTAGCCAATGCATCTGAAGCATCACACAAGTGTCTTTCTAAGACCTGGTATTTTTCATTGTTCTCTTTAAGTACCATGAAACAGCTACATTATTGGTATTTTTAGCAGTATTGCTGATGCTTATCAGAGATTGTGAGTCCTTGAAGGGCATCTAGAACATGATTTCCCTAGCAGAATAGAGATACAGCCTGTTTAAGAGAGAAGCCTTAAGTCCCTCCAGAACCAGATCAGGATGATTGTGGAAGCACTAAAAAGTAACTAGTGTCATTTTAAACTCTGGTGATGAAGTAATAATGATAGGTAGTTTTTATTGAGTATCTAATATGTTCTAGGCCATTGATATATACTCTTTTATTGATAATCTCACTACAAACCTGCACAGTATTATTATCACTACTCTCAAATGAGAAAATTGGCTCTAAAAGATTAAGACATTTGTCCAATATTACATGAGTTTCAAATGCAAAAGGTAAGTTTCAAACCCATGTTGGTCCTAATCGCAGTATCTATATTCTCTCCAATACCTCCCATGAAATAAGATTTAAGAATCCTCTTGATGCCTGTAATATGTACATACATACACAAAATATACACGAGATGGAGTAAAATAACAAAAGCAAGATAAAGAACATTTAGTATAATATACTATCTTTGGGGTTTAAAAAGCAGGGGGCAAGGATAGGTAGGAAGAAAATTAAAATTTGTGTTTGTATTTGCTTGTCTATGCATGAAGAAACTCTAGAACAATACATAAGAAACTAAGAACTGTGATTATATATGAGGAAGTGGAATGAGGACAAGGATGGGAGGGAGAATTTCATGGTGTATCTATTGATACTTCCTGGTTTTTTGAACAATGTGAATGATAGAGCTATCCACAGAATTAAATGTAAAGATAAATAAATAAATACTGGACCAAACTAGGGTAGGACAGAGAAATGAGCTAGGGCTTTGAGGAGTTTAGTGTCTACAAAGCTCCATTAAAAAGAGCAGCAGTTTGTGGGGGAAGGTGAGATTTAGAGATCCAGTGTCCATCTATACCCTACCAGGCTATTATTTGAACAGCAAAAGGTATTGGCATAGACGGTCTCATCCAGAAGAGTGCTACCAGGACAGTGACTCAGAGCTATTAATGGGAAAAACAATTATTCCTCTGTACTAGATGTTAATCAATCCTGGCTGCATTTAGCCCCATGTTGTGCTACTATGTGATTTGCTGCCTGCAATCCCTTTGTATCTCAATGTGACAGATCCTAAGGTCCTTTTCTCCCTACCATGAAATTCTTTTTACTGGATGCCACTGCTTGAATTGTCTTCATTATTATTTATCAGTTTCTCCTATTTATAGGTTCTCTGTTACCAATTCCATTTGAATTATATCTCTTGAATCAGTGACTGTTTTTACCATTTAGAGATCATTGTTAAGCATTTATTTAGTGTGAGGTTTGACTATAAAATAAAGTGAACATTTCTAATACACTATGACTTGCATATACAAATGAGTGTTTTCATTTCAAAGTAGTCACTTCAGGATGTTATTCCCCTAACAATTTAAGAGATTATACTCATAATTGTTTCCTTGCTATTAACTGAAAAACATGCTAACACTTACTCTTGCCAAGTTCATCCTTTAAGACTCAGATTAGGGATCCTCTCCCTCTGACAGCCTTTCTGGAATCTTCAGATATTCATTCTTTATGATCCAATAGTTTCTGATCATGGCAGATTATATTTTCCAAAATGGCTACAATAGCATCTCCCATCCACAGGCTATTCTTCAATAACTTTGATACTTCTTCCAACAAGAGAAGGTCTATATTCCCTCTCCTTAAATATGGGCAGGTTTGTGACCATATCAGAAAGATGTTAAGGCTCTATTATTTGTAGAGCTATATCTTAACAGGTGTTATAATTTCTCCCTGATTCTCTTTGGAGTTTATTCTTGGAACCCAGCCACAAAGCCCAGGCAGCCAAAGGAAGAGGCTGCATGTAAATGGTCAGGCTGACATTCCCAGCTAAGGTCCCAGACAACAGCCAGCATCAACTACCAGACATACAAGTAAACATATCTTCAGATGAGTCTATACTTGAGTCATCAACTCATCCTCAGTCTTCAAGCATCCCCAACTGAGGTCCCAGACATCATGGAACCAAAACAAGATATCTCTACTGGCATGTCTAGAATTCCTGATGCACAGAATCCGCAAACTAACAAAATATTTGCTCTCATATGCCAGTAAGTTTGGGGTAGTTTGTGGTAAATCAATAGTATCTGAAATAGGTTTTGATACCTATTTCAGTATCAAAAAAGAAAAAAAGTATGCTGCCATAGTAAAACCTAAAACATTTAGCATTGACTTGGTGTTGGTTGATTGGTGGAAACCTATAAGGCTTTGAGGGGGCTGTTGGTGAAGTATTAAAGGAACATTTTTTTTTTTCAATGTTATTGAAAGCTGGAGAAGAGGACACCCTTGCTAGTAGAGGCAGAAAGTTTAGCAACACTGTCACTTGCAGTAACGTAGAAAGTAGGGTTGTATCTAATAAACTCAGTGAACTAGATTAGGAGATTTCTAGTCACAATATTGAAAATGACAGCCGGCTTCTTCTTGTATCCTACAAAAAAATGTGAGGAAAGAAATCAGTTAAGGAATGGAGTGTTGAATATAAAGAAGACAGGACTTAGTGGGTTCAAACATAAAACTGTTTTCCATTCTCAGCCTCTTGAGTGGCAAACAATTATTAAATTAACAAAGGATTTCAGGCCAAAAGTCAAATCTAGGCTGGGACACTAAGAACCTTTGTTTGAACCTTGTAGCATCTTTCCAATGAGCAAAAGTTCTGAAGATCTGAAGGGCATACTTCAGAGACATTCTCCATTAAACAATGTGGTTTCTAACAACTACAAGGGTATTGTCCCACAGTAGTCTCACAGAGAGCCTGAGGTAGAAAAGACTTACTGCCAAGAGTTTTGTGGCATGGGTTTTAAGCAATGGAGGGGTTTATAAATAGATACATAGGAAATCTGCAAAGATTTTTTTTTAATTATATCAGCTTTGATTTTAAAAGACAAAGAGCAGAACAGAAACAGGAGTTCTTCTTTGATCCTTAAAGTACTACAAGTAAAGAAACCAGCTGAGAAAACTACTCAGTGGCAAATACTAGCAGTTTCTTATGGAAAAAGAAAGATAACTCAGAGAATAGAAGCAAAAGCCAAGAGAAAACTCCCAGGCAGTAGGACTGAGCCCTAATTAAGGAACTGACAACATACGTCCAGCTCAATTTCAAAATTGCTATGGACTAGTGATAATAGCTGGGAAATCAGTGTGTTTCCTATTTTTTCTCTTTCTAAATGGGAGCGCTATTACAGTTAGTCAAGGCCTATCCCACATTGTATATTTGATGGGTAAGGGGGAAGGCAGATAACTTGTCTCTTTAGTTCACTGGTCTTTAGAGAAACTGCATCAGAGGAGCTACGTGAAGAGTTTCATCACGCTGGACTTGATGTAAGTGATAAGATCCTGGATTTCAAGCTGATGCCATTTTGAGATGAGACTTGGGCTCTTGGAGAAGGGGATGTGTGTATTTTGCATGTGAGAGGTATGTGAACTATTGTGGCCAAAGGGTAGACTGTGGCAGATTGTATTTTCTAATCCCATTACGATCTTCTTACAATATGACTTTGGGACTCCTCACATGAAAAGTGGGGTTTACATCCCCTCCCCTTGAGTCTGGGGTGCAAGTCTGGCTTGGAATTCTGGCAGAAATGACACTGTGTGACTTCCGACCTGTGTGGTTAGATTTTTTAAAGCTATACAGCTTCTGCCTGGTTCTTTTTGGGATTCTCACTCTTAAAACTTAGTCAAAAGAAAAAAAAAAAACTCAGAAACCATGCAGTGAGGAAATTCAATAAGTCACATGGAGAGGCCACATGTGGGTGTTTTGTCTAATGGCCCAAACTAAGGTCCCAGTTGACAGCCATTATCACCACCAGACATGTGAGTAAGTTAGCCCTCCAGTCCTCAGCTGTTGCGTCACCCCAGCCTTTCAGTGTGCCCAGCTGAGATCCAGACATCATGGAACAAGATGTTCCATTTTATGGATACATAGCCCACCAAAACCCATGAGTATAATAAAATTATTATTGTATTATGTCACTAAGTTTGAGGTGACTTATTACTCAGTTATAAAAACTGAACACCTATGAAGTATCTGTCAAGGGCAGAACTCAAGCCTCAGACTCTGGAGACACATCTAGATTTCAGTCTCAATTTCATCCTTTACCAGCTCTACGACTGCAGACAAGTCCGCCAGGTAATTATTACTGTTTTGTGGTTGTTTATAAGGATTTAATGGGATAACACACATCAAGTACAATGCAGAGCACATGACACAGTCATTGAATGCCTGTCTGCTTTGATTGTTCTTCAGATATGCCTTTATTACTATACTTACCATTGAAATTATCTGTTTATGTGCCTGTCTCTTCCACTAGACCATAAGTGCCTTGATACTGGGAACTATATCTTGTTCATCGGAACAGATTAGTGCCTAGCCCAGTTTGCTTAGCTATTTTAAATCTCAAATAATACAACGTATACAAAGTATTTTGTAAGTGGCAATGTGTTTCCGAAGCATACAGTATAATTATAGCTAATTAACTTCGAATTTGATTCATAGCCACAGAGCACTTAATGTGTGGTAAAGCATTTTCATAAGCATCTGACATACTGTTAAAAGTGATCCTCTTAGCAGCATTAGGAAATACTATTTTCATTTTACAAGTGAAGAAACTGAGACTCAGGTCATTTAAAGACTAGCTCAACATCACTCGTGGGGCTGAAATTCACCCACACGCACAGCATTTCCTACTGCACTACAGCTGACATTGCTAAGCCCTCTTGTCCCCCTCTTTCAGAGCCCAACCCTTCAAATATCCCCATCATGAACAAATTTTCATCCTTCAAAAAGGTCAGAAATTATATGGAGATCACACAGATGAATAAAGAAGACATCTATTTGTTTTCTCCAAAACCAGGCATGACAATATAGTAATAAAACTGATTTTCTCCCAAGCTTTAGAAATTCTTCCAAAATAAGAGGTACGACAATGTTTCTAATAACTTTGGAATAAATACTTAAAGGTGAAGATAAATACTTATTTCAATGCATTACTTTATACATTTTCCATCTTCTGAGTGTTCCCTTTAACTATTATGCCTGGCCAAAAGGGAATAGGAAGCTTTAGAAAGATACTTCGCAATCCATACCAGCAGCTTCAAAGAAAGGCGGAAGGCACCAAGTAAAAGGTAAGGAAGATACTTTCAACAACTTGTTGACTCATTTCATAGTCAATGAATAGTCCTGTTATTCCCTTAAGTGATGACTCCATAAAGAAAATGATATTCAAAATATATTCTAAATTGCATTTTAGAGAGGAAAAAGGAGAGGGAGACTTCACACAATTTAAGCAATATTTTTTTCTTACTGTTTCCATCTTGAAAACTATTTCTATAAAAGAAAGCCTAAATTTTTTTTATTACTTTGAAGAAAAATATTATGACTAAGCATGAAAATGCTGGATTTTAAGCTTCCAAGAAAGTAATCCCTTCTTTCAAGTAAAATGAGTTTTAATGAGAAAATTTCTGTTCATAAACTGTTAGCCCCCAGATAATTGTGAAACGCTAGAAATAAAGTTTTAAAATATTATTTACTCATTATTCATTGTTTCATTGAACAAATATTTAAAGAGTGGATGCTGCTGGCAGATACCACCCTGATTGCTGGGAATGCAATGATGAGTCCTAGAAACATAGTCTCTCATTTCAGAGAGTTTCCAATCTAATAGGGAACTCAGCAGTAAGTGCTAAATGTCATAAGGGCAATGAAGGAAACGTTGAGGTGGTAGGTGATCATATAGCAGGAGGATATACCCTAGGCTGTGGGAGGATCTGGAAGGCTTCTCCAAAAGATGACATTTGAACTCAGAGCAGAGGGATGGTACATGAGTTTCCAAGGGCTGTCTAAGAAACCATCACAAACTAGGTGACTTAAAGCCACCGTTTATCCTCTCACCATTCTGGAGGCTGGAAGTCCAAAATTAAGTTGTCAGCAGGGCAATGTTCCCCCTGAGACCCTGGACAGAATCCTTCCTTGCCTCTTCCTTGCTTCTGGTCATGGTCGTCAATCCTAGGCCTTCCTTAGCTTGCAGCTACATCCCTCCAAGGTCTGACTCCTGCCAGATAGTGTTCTCCCTGGGAGTCTTTCATGGCCTTCTTATAGGGACAACAGTCATGTTAGATTAAGGGCTCACCCTACTCCAGAATGGCCTCGTCTTAACTAACAGCACCTGCACCAACCCTATTTCCAAACAAGGTGACATTCTGAGATACTAGGGATCAGGACTTCAACATATCTTTTAGGGGAGCACAATTCAACCCATAACAGAGGGTTAGGAACTAATCTGGAAAAGACAGGTGGGGCAGAGGGAAGGCCCCAGCAAGGCCCTGTGGTAGGAAGGAGCACAGCACATTTGAGGAACAGAGGCAAGGCAGGGTAACTGGCAATGTGTGATCTTGCTTCTTCTCAGCTTATCCAGTTGTGCCTATCTTTCCTCATGACAATTTATCAAAACTATCTTTTTTTTTTTTTTTTGAGACAGAGTTTCGCTCTTGTCCTCCAGGCTGGAATGCAATGGCATGATCTCGGCTCACTGCAACCTCCGCCTTCCGGTTTCAAGCGATTCTCATGCCTCAGCCTCCCAAGTAGCTGGGATTACAGGCATGCACCACCATGCCCAGATAATTTTTGTATTTTTAGTAGAGAGGGGTTTCACCATGTTGGCCAGGCTGGTCTCCAACTCCTGACCTCAAGTGATCTGCCCGTCTCAGCCTCCCAAAGTGCTAGGATTACCAAGGTGAACCACCACACCCAGCCAAAACTATGTTGATAGTTATCTTGATCAGAATCAGAAAGCATGCCATGAGCCTACCATTTCTCTGACTCTGTTTCTGACATCCTCATGGGTAAATCCCTAAAGATGGAACACAGAGATTTCCTGGGCACTATGTCTCTTAGTAACCATGACTGCAACATGATTTAAAATAGTTTGCCCTGTGGAGAGGATGTGGAGAAATAGGAACACTTTTACACTGTTGGTGGGACTGTAAACTAGTTCAACCATTGTGGAAGTCAGTGTGGCGATTCCTCAGGGATCTAGAACTAGAAATACCATTTGACCCAGCCATCCCATTACTGGGTATATACCCAAATGACTATAAATCATGCTGCTATAAAGACACATGCACACGTATGTTTATTGCGGCATTATTCACAATAGCAAAGACTTGGAACCAACCCAAATGTCCAACAATGATAGACTGGATTAAGAAACTGTGGCACATATACACCATGGAATACTATGCAGCCATAAAAAATGAGGAGTTCATGTCCTTTGTAGGGACATGGATGAAATTGGAAACCATCATTGTCAGTAAACTATTGCAAGAACAAAAAACCAAACACCGCATATTCTCACTCATAGGTGGGAATTGAACAATGAGATCACATGGACACAGGAAGGGGAATATCACACTCTGGGGACTGTGGTGGGGTTGGGGGAGGGGGGAGGGATAGCATTGGGAGATATACCTAATGCTAGATGACACGTTAGTGGGTGCAGCGCACCAGCATGGCACATGTATACATATGTAACTAACCTGCACAATGTGCACATGTACCCTAAAACTTAAAGTATAATTAAAAAAAAATAATAAAATAAATAAATAAATAAATAAATAAATAAAATAGTTTGCCCTTCACTCCTTCAGATCCTGGGGGATTTTGCATGCAGTTTGAAGTCTCTGAATAAATTACTAAACCAAGCCTCATTAAAAACAAAAACAAAGAAAAACACCTTGATGGTCTCTTTCATGGTACAAAACAAGTTTGGTTCCCAGAAGGCTGCATCTGAATGAGCATCCACCCTTGTTTTCAAGACCAACCCATATCCTGATGCTGTGGTCATTTGCTTCTTTGAATTCAGATCAACACCATAACCAGTTGTGAGACCACAAATCAAGATGCAATGCCTAGTTAGACAATTCCTGTAAACCCTCCATCTGCTTCCAACATTTAAAGTTGCAACAGATCCCACAAGGTAGCAAAACTAGATAGTTTATGCTGGACTAACTCAACAGCGCTAGAGTGTCAAAGAAACAGTAAACCACAGAGTACCTAAGAGTTGGATCCAATTTTTGGCTACTGTCCCTTGGGAGAGTGGGGTGGGTGCATATGTGTGTACGCGTTTTGCTGTTATCCAGACCACAGTTTACTTTGGAACAGGTTCTTCTAAGAAGTTACATGGGACACTGAGAACATCATGTATTCTCAGGTCAGCTTTTCCTGGAATACAACACAAGTAGCTTGAAATCCATCATGTAATATATTTGTCTCCCTTTCGCAAACTTTATTCAACATCCGTGAACCTGGGCACCAAAGCAGCAACATCAAGACCTGTTGTTGACATGAAAATTCCTCCTGACTCTGTCAGCTTGCTTGTAGTTCAAAGCTCTCAGAGCAAGGCTGGCCAATGCAATACAGAGAGTCACATTATGCCATTTACTTCTACTCGAACCTTCTCTTATCCTACTCATATCATTTGTGAAAAAGGCAAAAAGCCACTCTGGCTCCTTGCATACTAAACAGAAAGTTTCTCCAGAACTGCCCCTCACTAGTTAAGAAGCCAGTAGGGGACAGCTACCAGGTAGAGGAGCTAAGTAAGAGGCTTAATGGTATCCTGGAAAAACATCTGGAGTCAGATGTGGATTTCAATGTGATCCTGCCTACAAGGTACTATTTGGCTGGAGCAAATGATTTGTTTGCAGCTCAATGCCCCTTTCTTTAATTGAGCATACCATGTGCCCCATGCACCTCACAGGGTCATCGAGAGGATTTAATGAGTTAATTATGGGACAAAACTTTGAAAATGATAAAGGGCCATGAGTCCAGGTGCAGTGGCTCATGCCTGTAATCTTAGCACTGTAGGAGGCCAAGGTGGAAGGATCCCTTGAGCCCAGGAGTTTGAGGTTATAGTGAGCCATGATCACGCAGCTGCACTCCAGCCTGGGCAACAGAGTGAGACCCTGTCTCTAGAATTAAAAAAAAAAAAATGAATATTAGAGGTCTGATTATCGATTCCCTTATCTCCAAACCTCTCTCTGAAATCAGTTCCTCTCTGTCCTCACTCCTCACTGTCACCTTCACTCCATGCTCCTCCAGTTGCCCTGTCATGGGAGGCAAAGCATCCCCGTGGGTACCCCCACACTCCCTCTCGGGCATTCTCGCCCACAGCTGCATATTTCATCCCAGTGGCTGTCAACCTGGCTGTACGTTACAGGCAATTTCTTTCTTTTTTTTTTTTTGAGACAGAGTTTCGTTCTTGTTGCCCAGGCTGGAGTGCAGTGGTGTGATCTCGGTTCACCGCAACCTCCGCCTTCCAGGTTCAAGTGATTCTCCTGCCTCAGTCTCCCTAGTGGTTGACATTACAGGCATGCGCCACCACGCCCAACTAATTTTTGTATTTTTAGTAGAGATGGGGTTTTACCATATTGGTCAGGCTGGTTTCGAACTCCTGACCTCAGGTGGTCCACCTGCCTCAGTCTCCCAAAGTGCTGGGATTGCAGGCATGAGCCACTGCACCTGGCCATTAGAAGTAATTTTTTAAATTACCAGTGCCTGGACCCCAGCCCAAAATATTTCATTCAATTCGTCCAGGCTATCCGTAATTCACAATTTTTAAAGCACTCCTGGTGATTCTTGTGGGCCATGAGTGGCTGGTTTTTTTTAAATATCACTGTTTTGAATACAAAAATTAGCCGGGCATGGTGGCGTGCACCTGCAGTCCCAGCTACTTGGGAGGCCAAGACAGCAGAATTGCTTGAACCTGGGCAGCAGAGATTGCAGTGAGCTGAGATCACATCATTGCACTCCATCCCGGGCAACAGAGCAAAACTCCGTCTCAAAACAAAAAAAATTCACTGTTTTGAATCTTACAAACTAAAATCACAATAATAATAAAACTTTTTTGTATATTTACAATGTACTGGGCACTATGATAAATATTTAAATACATTATTTGATCCTCACAGCCACCCATTGAACTAAGTGCCTTTTCTCTCCCCCTTTGCAGAGAGAAACTGAGGCTCACAGAGCTTAGATACCATACTTCCTGACACACAGCTACTAAATGATGCGGTAAGGATTTGGACTCAGCTGTGTCCGACCAGGACACGTGAAGCCACATCACTGGTAAATGAATATGGAGGAACACTGAGAAATCTGATTGTAATTGAGAAAAAGAGGGAAGGTGAAGAAATTTGTCATGCACAATGAATCTTAAAACTCAAACGTCTTCTGAGCCAGCATGGTTAGAGCATTTTTCTCTCTTATATTTCAAATGTCTGGTTGACCCTGGAATACATTAAAATTTGAGGTTAAATTCAATTTTATATTGCATTCCATAAAGCAGCGTTATCTCACTCTCAGATTTCATAGTCCAAATGAAAGCATAAATGATGAGGTTTAGTGGAGGGAAAGGGATTGGGGACTTCCAAATCTTTCCCAGCCAAGAGAGACACCCTTTTCTTTTCCCCTTCTCCACCTCCCTGCAAGTCACAGCAATATGTAATGTGTAATAAGCTTAGGCCATCCACAAGCAATAGAATCTCTGCCTTCTGTGTTTGTTTAGAACAGAGTTCATTCTCATGAAAACGGGTAAGTTCTGCGGTTTTCTAATGGTGCTGGCAGAGCCCTAAGGGTTCCTGGGGTGTCCTGGGTGGAGGAGAGGAAGTCAGACTGAGCTGGGCTGCTGGAGGCAATCGGGCTGCACCAGAGCCACTGAGCTTTTATTCATTCCCTTGACCTTGTAAACGTCACTTAAGTTTCAGTTGTAAGAATGGGCTGCTCCTCTGGTGAAAAGCAAATGCTTGGAAACCACAGTTCTAGTTAGTAAGCTGTGATTCAGACCCTACATGAATTACTAATTTTCAAAGAATAGAATCACAATAAAAAGCACTTAATCCTAAATCTGTGCTGAGCCAATCTGGATGATTCAGAAAGTACCACAAGATCTTACTATAAAAGTAGTGGTTAATAAGATGTTCTGGTTAGTAGAATGATGGTAATGGCATGTGCCACGCTTGGCTCTCCCGATATATCATATGTACACAAAATAAACCCTCAAAATTGCTCTTAGTAGATGTTCAGGAGCTGCTTACAGACCAGTTGGAAAGGATGGATGTCTCCTAATCTCTCCACAGTGTGCAGAAACCTTGTCCAGCCTCCCCATCCTCTACAAAAGCAGCAGCAGCAGCAGCAGCAGCACAAGCCACAGCTCTTTGGAGTCAGTAGCATGGTTTTGCCAAATGGCATTGCAGAATTTTTTTCCATGATGTTTAAAGTGGGAATTTTAGTTGTATTTTTTAATATAAAGCCCAAAACTATAAAAACTCTGGAAGACAACCTAGGCAATACCATCCTGGACATAGGAACGGGCAAAGATTTCATGACAAAGATGCCAAAAGCAATTGAACAAAAGCAAAAATTTACAAATGGGATCTAATTAAACTTAAGAGCTTCTGCCCAGCAAAAGAAACTATCAACAAGGTAAACAGACAACTTACAGAATGTGAGAAAATATTTGCAAACTACGCATGTGACAAAGGTCTAATATCCAACATCTATAACAAACTTAAACAAATTTACAAGCAAAAATCAAACAACCCCATTACAAAGTGGGCAAAAGACATGAACAGACCCTTTTCTAAAGAAGACATACATGCAGCTAACAAGCATTTGAGAAAAAGCTCAATATCACTGATCATTAGAGAAACGCAAATCAAAACCACAAAGAGATACCATCTCACACCAGTCAGAATGGCTATCATTTTAAAAGTCAAAAAATAACAGATGCTGGCAAGGTTGTGGAGAAAAGGGAACACTTATACAATGTTGATGGGAGTGTCAATTAGTTCAACCATTGTGGAAAGTAGTATGGAGATTCCTCAAAGAGCTAAAAACAGAACTACCATTCAACCTAGCAATCTAGCAATCCCATTACTGGGTATATACCCGGAGGAAAATAAATTATTCCACCATAAAGACATATGCACACGAATGTTTGTTGCAGCACTATTCACAATAGCAAAGACATGGAATCAACCTAAATGCCCATCAATGACAGATTGGATACAGAAAAGGTACATATGCACCATGGAATACTGTGCAGCCATTAAAAAAGAACAAGACCATGTCTTTTGCAGCAACATGAATGGAGCTGGAGGCTACCATCCTTAGCAAACTAACACAGGAACAGAAAACCAAATACTGCATGTTCTCACTTATAAGTGGGAGCTAAATTATGAGAACTCATGAACACAAAGAACGAAACAACAGACACTGGGGCCTACCTGAGGGTGGAGAGTGGGAGGAGAAAGAGGAGCAAAAAAAAATAACTACTGGGTAAGCGGCTTAGTACCTGGGTAACAAAATAATCTGTATAATCCCCTGACACAAGTTTACCTATGTAACAACCTGCATATGTACCCTCCAACTTAAAATAAAAGATAAAAAACAATAATAACGTTTCTGTCATTTTCTGGTTACAAAAGTAATATTGTGATAGGTAACTGCCTTCATTCTCTTCTGCTTGCTGCTCAGATCTCTCAGGCCAAGAATTATAAGGCCTGCCTTCTTATTTAAAATAGGGAGGCCAGACACAGTGGCTCACGCCTATAATTCCAGCACTCTGGTAGGCCCAGGCAGGCAGATTACTTGAGTCCAGGAGGTCAAGATGAACCTGGGCAACACAGCCAAATCCTGTTTCTACTAATAATACAAAAAATTAGCTGGGTGTGGTGGTGTGTGCCAGTAGTTCCAGCTACTCCAGAGACTGAAGTGGGAGAATCACCTAAGCCTGGGAGGTCAAGACTGCAAGCCAAGATCATGCCACTGCACTCCAGCCTGGGCAACGGGAGAGAGACCCTGTCTCAAAAAAAAAAAAACAAGGAGAGGCTGGGGTGCAGTGGCTCATGCCTATAATTGCACCACTTTGGGAGGTTGAGAGGCTGAGTGGGGAGGATCGCTCAAGCCCAAGAGTTCCAGACCAGCCTGGGCAGCATAGTGAGACTCTGTTTCTACAAAAAAAAAAAAAAATTTTTAATTTGTCAAAAGGTCTAATATCCAGAATCTTTAAGAAACTCAACATGTCAACAAGTCAAAAACAACCCCGTTAAAAAAAATGGGCAAAGAACATGAATAGACACTTCTCCAAAGAAGATATACTCATGGCCAACAAGCATATGAAAAAATGTTCAATATCACTAATCATTAGGGAAATGCAAATCAAAACCACAATGAGGTACCATCTCATGCCAGTCAGAATGGCTATTATTAAAAAGACAAAAAACAACAGATGCTGGCAAAGTTGCAGAGAAAAGGGAATGCTCATACACTGCTGCTGGGAGTGTAAATTAGTTCAACCATTTTGGAAAGTCATCTGGAGATTTCTCAAAGAACTTAAAATAGAACTACCATTTGACCCAGCAATTCAATTCAATTATTGGGTATACACCCAAAGGAATATCAATCATTCTATCATAAGGACACATGCACACATATGTTCATCACTGCACTATTCACAATAGCAAAGACATGGAATCAACCTAGATGCCTATAAACAGTAGACGGGAGAAAGAAAATGTGGTACATATACACTATGGAATACTATGCAGCTATTTTAAGAAATGAGATCATGGCCTTTGCAGCAACATGGATGGGGCTACAGGCCATAATCTTTTTTTTAATCTTTTTTTTAATTATACTTTAAGTTCTAGGGTACATGTGCACAACATGCAGGTTTGTTACATATGTATACATGTGCCATGATGGTGTGCTGCACCCATTAACTCGTCATTTATATTAGGTATATCTCCTAATGCTATCCCTCCCCCCTCCCCCCACCCCACTACAGGCCCCATTGTGTGATGTTCCCCTTCCTGTGTCCAAGTGTTCTCATTGTTCAATTCCCACCTATGAGTGAGAACATCCGGTGTTTGGTTTTCTGTCCTTGTGATAGTTTGCTGAGAATGATGGTTTCCAGCTTCATCCATGTCCCTATAAAGGACATGAACTCATCCTTTTTTATGGCTGCATAGTATTCCATGTTGTATATGTGCCACATTTTCTTTTGTTTGTTTGTTTTTTTTTTTGAGACAGTCTCTCTCTATCGCCCAGGCTGGAGTGCAGTGGTGTGATCTCGGCTCACTGCAAACTCCACCTCCCAGGTTCACGCCATTCTCCTGCCTCAGCCTCCCGAGTAGCTGGGACTACAGGTGCCCACCATGGCACCCAGCTAATTTTTTGTATTTTTTTTAGTAGGGATGGGGTTTCACCATGATAGCCAGGATGGTCCAATCTCCTGACCTCGTGATCCGTCCGCCTTGGCCTCCCAAAGTGCTGGGATTACAGGCGTCAGCCACCGCGCCAGGCCGTGCCACATTTTCTTAATCCAGTCTATCATTGATGGACATTTGGGTTGGTTCCAAGTCTTTGCTATTGTGAATAGTGCTGCAATAAAAATAGGTGTCCATGTGTCTTTATAGCAGCATGATTTATAACCCTTTGAGTATATACCCAGTAATGGGATAGCTGGATCTAATGGTATTTCTAGTTCTAGATCCTTGAGGAATTGCCACAGTGTCTTCCACAATGGTTGAACAAGTTTACAGTCCCACCAACAGTGTAAAAGTGTTCCTATTTCTCCACATCCTCTCCAGCACCTATTGTTTCCTGACCTTTTAACGACTGCCATTCTAACTGGTGTGAGATGGTATCTCATTGTGGTTTTGATTTGCATTTCTCTGATGACCAGTGATGATGAGCATTTTTTCATGTGTCTATTGGCTGCATAAATGTCATCTTTTGAGAAGTGTCTGTTCAAATCCTTTCCCCACTTTTTGATGGGGTTGTTTGATTTTTTTTCATAAATTTGTATAAGTTCTTTGTAGCTTCTGGATATTAGCCCTTTGTCAGATGGGTAGATTGTAAAAATTTTCTCCCATTCTGTAGGTTGCCTGTTCACTCTGATGGTAGTTTATTTTGCTGTGCAGCTCTTTAGTTTAATTAGATCCCATTTGTCAATTTTGGCTTTTGTTGCCATTGCTTTTGGTGTTTTAGTCATGAAGTCCTTGCCCATGCCAATGTCCTGAATGGTATTGCCTAGGTTTTCTTCTAGGGTTTTTATGGTTTTAGGTCTAACATTTAAGTCTTTAATCCACCTTGAATTAATTTTTGTATAAGGTGTAAGGAAGGGATCCACTTTCAGCTTTCTACATATGGCTAGCCAGTTTTCCCAGCACCATTTATTAAATAGGGAATCCTTTCCCCATTTCTTGTTTTTGTCAGGTTTGTCAAAGATCAGATGGTTGTAGATGTGTGGTATTATTTCTGAGGCCTCTGTTCTGTTCCATTGGTCTCTATTTCTGTTTTGGTACCAGTACCATGCTGTTTTGGTTACTGTATCCTTGCAGTATAGTTTGAAGTCAGGTAGCATGATGCCTCCAGCTTTGTTCTTTTTGCTTAGGATGGTCTTGGCAATGTGGGATTTTTTTGGTTCCATTTGAACTTTAAAGTAGCTTTTTCCAATTCTGTGAAGAAAGCCATTGGTAGCTTGATGGGGATGGCATTGAATCTATAAATTACCTTGGGCAGTATGACCATTTCCACGATATTGATTCTTCCTATCCATGAGCATGGAATGTTCTTCGATTTGTTTGTGTCCTCTTTTATTTCGTTGAGCAGTGGTTTGTAATTCTCCTTGAAGAGGTTCTTCACAGCCCTTGTAAGTTGGATTCCTAGGTATTTTATTCTCTTAGTAGCAATTGTGAATGGGAGTTTACTCATGATTTGGCTGTTTGTCTGTTATTGATGTATAGGAATGCTTGTGGTTTTTGCACATTGATTTTGTATCCTGAGACTTTGCTGAAGTTGCTTATCAGCTTAAGGAGATTTGGGGCTGAGACTATGCGGTTTTCTAAATATACTATCATGTCATCTGCAAACAGGGACAATTTGACTTCCTCTTTTCCTAATTGAATACCCTTTATTTCTTTCTCCTGCCTGACTGCCCTGGCTAGAACTTTCAACACTATGTTGAATAGGAGTGGTGAGAGAGGGCATCTCTGTCTTGTGCCAGGTTTCAAAGGGAATGCTTCCAGTTTTTGCCCATTCAGTATGATATTGGCTGTGGGTTTGTCATAAATAGCTCTTATTATTTTGAGATACATCCCATCAATACTTAGCTTATTTAGAGTTTTTAGCATGAAGGGCTGTTGAATTTTGTCGAAGGCCTTTTCTGCATCTATTGAGATAATCATGTGGTTTTTGTCTTTGGTTCTGTTTATATGATGGATTACATTTATTGATTTGCATATGTTGAACCAGCCTTGCATCCCAGGGATGAAGCCAACTTGATCATGGTGGATAAGCTTTTTTATGTGCTGCTGGATTCGGTTTGCCAGTATTTTATTGAAGAATTTTGCATCAATGTTCACCAGGGATATTGGCCTAAAATTCTCTTTTTTGGTTGTGTCTCTACCAGGCTTTGGTATCAGGATGATGCTGGCCTCATAAAATGAGTTAGGGAGGATTTTCTCTTTTTATATTGATTGGAATACTTTCAGAAGGAATAGTACCAGCTCCTCTTTGTACCTCTGGTAGAATTTGGCTGTGAATCTGTCTGGTCCTGGACTTTTTTTGGTTGGTAGGCTATTAATTATTGCCCCAATTTCAGAGCCTGTTATTGGTCTATTCAGGGATTCAACTTCTTCCTGGTTTAGTCTTGGGAGGGTGTATGTGTCCAGGAATTTATCCATTTCTTCTAGATTTTCTAATTTATTTGCATAGAGGTATTTATAATATGCTCTGATGGTAGTTTCTATTTCTGTGGGATCGGTGGTGATATCCCCTTTATCATTTTTTATTGTGTCCATTTGATTCTTCTCTCTTTTCTTCTTTATTAGTCTTGCTAGCAGTCTATCAATTTTGTTGATCTTTTCAAAATCCAGCTCCTGGATTCATTGATTTTTGGAAGGGTTTTTTGTGTCTCTATCTCCTTCAGTTCTGCTCTGATCTTAGTTATTTCTTGCCTTCTGCTAGCTTTTGAATGTGTTTTCCCTTGCTTCTCTACTTCTTTTAATTGTGATGTTAGGGTGTCAATTTTAGATCTTTCCTGCTTTCTCTGGTGGGCATTTAGTGCTATAATTTTCCCTCTGCACACTGCTTTAAATGTGTCCCAGAGGTTCTGGTATGTTGTGCCTTTGTTCTCATTGGTTTCCAAGAACATCTTTATTTCTGCCTTCATTTCATTATTTACCTAGTAGCCATTCAGGAGCAGGTTGTTCAGTTTCCATGTAGTTGTGCAGTTTTGAGTGAGTTCCTGAGTTCTAGTTTGATTGCACTGTGGTCTGAGAGACAGTTTGTTATAATTTCTGTTCTTCTACATTTTCTGAGGAGTGCTTTATTTCCAACTATGTGGTCAAGTTTGGAATAAGACCACTGTAGTGCTGAGAAGAATGTATATTCTGTTGATTTGGGGTGGCGAGTTCTGTAGATGTCTATTAGGTCCACTTGGTCCAGAGCTGAGTTCAAGTCCTAAATATCCTTGTTAACTTTCTGTCTCATTGATCTGTCTAATGTTGACAGTGGGGTATTAAAGTCTCCCATTATTATTGTGTGGAAGTCAAAGTCTCTTTGTAGGTCTCTAAGGACTTGCTTTATGAATCCAGTGCTTCTGTATTGAGTGCATATATATTTAGGATAGTTAGCTCTTCTTGTTGAATTGATCCCTTTACCATTATGTAATGGCCTTCTTTGTCTCTTTTGATCTTTGTTGGTGTAAAGTCTATTTTATCAGAGACTGGGATTGCAACCGCTGCTTTTTGTTTGTTTGTTTGTTTGTTTTCCATTTGCTTGGTAGATCTTCCTCCATCCCTTTATTTTGAGCCTATTTGTGTCTCTGCACATGAGATGGGTCTCCTGAATACAGCACACTGATGGGTCTTGGCTCTTTATCCAATTTGCCAGTCTGTGTCTTTTAATTGGAGCATTTAGCTCATTTACATTTAAGGTTAATATTGTTATGTGTGAATTTGATCCTGTCATTATGATGTTAGCTGGTTATTTTGCTCATTAGTTGATGCAGTTTCTTCCTAGCACTGATGGTCTTTACAACTTGGCATGTTTTTGCAGTGGCTGGTACCAGTTGTTCCTTTCCATGTTTACTGCTTCCTTCAGGCACTCTTGTAAGGCAGGCCTGGTGGTGACAAAATCTCTCAGCATTTGCTTGTCTGTAAAGGATTGTATTTCTCCTTCACTTCTGAAGCTTAGTTTGGCTGGATATGAAATTCTGGGTTGAAAATTCTTTTCTTTAAGAATGTTGAATATTGGCCCCCACTCACTTCTGGCTTATAGAGTTTCTCTTGGCTGAGAGATCTGCTGTTAGTCTGATAGGCTTCCCTTTGTGGGTAACCCAACCTTTCTCTCTGGCTGCCCTTAACACTTTTTCCTTCATTTCAACTTTGGTGAATCTGACAATTATGTGTCTTGGAGTTGCTCTTCTTGAGGAGTATCTTTGTGGCATTCTCTGTATTTCCTGAATTTGAATGCTGGCCTGCCTTGCTAGATTGGGGAAGTTCTCCTGGATAATATCCTGAAGAGTGTTTTCCAACTTTGTTCCATTCTCCCTGTCACTTTCAGGTACACAATCAGGCATAGATTTGGTCTTTTCACATAGTCCCATATTTCTTGGAAGCTTTGTTTGTTTCTTTTTACTCTTTTTTCTCTAAACTTCTCTTCTCACTTCATTTCATTCATTTGATCTTCAATCACTGATACCCTTTCTTCCAGTTGATCGAATCGGCTACTGAAGCTTGTGCATGCGTCACGTAGTTCTCGTGCCATGGTTTTCAGCTCCATCAGGTCATTTAAGGTCTTCTCTATGCTGTTTATTCTAGTTAACTATTCGTCCAATCTTTTTTCAAGGTTTTTAGCTTCTTTGTGATGGGTTCGAACATCCTCCTTTAGCTCGGAGAAGTTTATTATTACTGATCGTCTGAAGCCTTCCTCTCTCAACTTGTCAAAGTCATTCTCTGTCCAGCTTTGTTCCATTGATGGCCATGAACTGCGTTCCTTGGAGGAGAAGAGGCACTCTGATTTTTAGAATTTTCAGCTTCTCTGCTCTGGTTTCTCCCCATGTTTGTGGTTTTATCTACCTTTGGTCTTTGATGATGGTGATGTACAGATGGGGTTTTGGTGTGTATGTCCTTTATGCTTGTTAGTTTTCCTTCTAACAGCCAGGACCCTCAGCTGCAGGTCTGTTGTAGTTTGCTGGAAGCCCACTCCAGACCCTGTTTGCCTGGGTATCACCAGCGGAGGCTGCAGAACAGCAAATATTACAGAATGGCAAATGTTGCTGCCTGATCCTTCCTCTGGAAGCTTCCTCTCAGAGGGGCACCCAGCTGTATGAGGTGTCAGTCAGCCCCTACTGGGAGGTGTCTCCCAGTTAGGCTACTCAGGAGTCAGGGACCCACTTGAGGAGGCAGTCTGTCCGTTCTCAGATCTCAAACTCCATGCTGGGAGAACCACTACTCTCTTCAAAGCTGTCAGACAGGGACGATTAAGTCTGCAGAAGTTTCTGCTGCCTTTTATTCAGCTATGCCCTGCCCTCAGAGGTGGAGTCTACAGAGGCAGGCAAGCCTCCTTGAGCTGCAGTGGGCTCCACCCAGTTTGAGCTTCCAGGCTGCTTTGTTTACCTACTCAAGCCTCAGCAATGGTAGACGCCCCTCCCCCAGCCTTGCTGCCACCTTGCAGTTCGCTCTCAGACTGCTGTACTAGCAGTGAGCAAGGCTCCTTGGGCGTGGGACCCTCCGAGACAGGTGCGGGATATATTCTCCTGGTGTGCCATTTGCTAAGACCATTGGAAAAGCACAGTATTAGGGTGAGAGTCCCCTGATTTTCCAGGTATCGTCTGTCACGGCTTCCCTTGGCTAGGAAAGGGAATTCCCCGACCCCTTGTGCTTCCCGGGTGAGGCAATGCCCTGCCCTGCTTCAGCTCACACTCTGTGGGCTGCACCCACTGTCCAACAAGCCCCAGTGAGATGCACCTGTACCTCAGTTGGAAGTGCAGAAATCACCCATCTTCTGCTTCACTCATGCTGGGAGCTGCAGACTGGAGCTGTTCCTATTCGGCCATCTTTTAACCCTCTACAGACCATAATCTTAAGCAAATTAACATATAACAGAAAATCAAACACCACATGTTCTTACTTGTAAGTGGGAGCCAAACATTAACTACACATGGACACAAGGGAACAACAGACACTAGGGTCTACTTGAGGGTGGAGGGTGGAAGGAGGGTGAGGACTGAAAAACCACCTATCTGACATTATGCTGGTTGAAGTGAAAAAACTATCCATACCCCAAACCCCCAAGACATGTGATTTACCTGTATAACAAACCTGCACATATACCCCTTGAACCTAAAATAAAAGTTGAAAAAAAATTGTCGGATGTGAGGCATACAACTGTATTCCCAGCTCCTTGGGAAGCTGAGGCAGGAGGTTCACTTGAGCCCAGGAATTTGAGGCTTCAGTGAACCAAAATCATACCAGGGTACTCCAGCCTGAGCTGCAGAGTGAGATCCCATCTCTATAAATACATAAATAATTTTTTAAAATAGGGAGAAGGAAAAATTATATGAAAAAAGCATTATTTACAATGTCAATGAATTGACCTGCAGCAAAATGATTTTTTTGTTTTGTTTGGAGGGATGTGATGGAGCTGTACATACGTCACAAATATTTTCTCACTTCAATAAAAAATTCCAAAAAGCATTGTGTTGATAGTCTATCTACATAGGCACACTGTACTTTATTCAAACATTTTTCTATTGTTGACCTTTAAGATTGATTCCACATTCCCCAGCAAGATGGCAGAATAGGAACAGCTCTGGTCTGCAGCTCCCAGAGAGACCAACGCAGAAGCTGAGGTACCCAGCTCATCTCAATGGGACTGGTTAGACAGTGGGTGCAGCCCACGGAGGGCGAGTACAAGAAGGGCGGGGTGTTGCCTCACCCAGGAAGTGCAAGGAGTTGGGGAACTCCCTCCCCTAGCCAAGGGAAGCCGTAAGGGACAGTGCCATGACAGACAGTGCTATCCAGCCCAGATACTATGCTTTTCCCAGGGTCTTTGCAACCCGCAGACCAGGAGATTCCCTCGGGTGCCTACATCTCCAGGGCCCTGGGTATCAAGCACAAAAGTGGGCAGCCATTTGGGCAGACATTGAGCTAGCCGCAGGAGTTTTTTTTCATACCCCAGTGGCACCTGGTACACCAGCAAGACAAAACCATTCACTCCCCTGGAAAGGGGATTGAAGCCAGGGAGCCAAGTGGTCTTGCTCAGTGGATCCCACCCCTATAGAGTCCGGCAAGCTAAGATCAACTGGCTTGAAATTCTCACTGCCAGCACGGCAGTCGTGCCAGCACAGCAGTCTGAAGACGACCTGGGATGCTTGAGCTTTGTTGGGGGAGGGGCGTCCACCATTTCTGAAGGTTGAGTAGGCAGTTTTCCCCTCACAGTGTAAATAAAGCCTCCAGGAAGTTTAGACAGGGTGGAGTCAACTGCAGCGTCAGAAAGCCTCTGTAGCCAGACTGCCTCTCTAGATTCCTCCTCTCTGGGCAGGGCATCTCTGAAAGAAAGGCAGCATCCCCAGTCAAGGGCTTATAGACAAAACTCCCATCTCCCTGGCACAAAGCACCTGGGGGAAGTGGCAGCTGTGGGTGCAGCTTCAGCAGACTTAAACGGTCCTGGCTGTCAGCTCTGAAGAGAGCAGCAGATCTCCCAGCACAGCACTTGAGCTCTGCTAAGAGACAGACTGCCTCCTCAAGTGGGTCTTGGCCCGCATGCCTCCTGACATCTCCCAGCAGGGGTTGACAGACATCTCATACAGGAGAACGCCGGCTGGTATCTGGTGGGTGCCTCTCTGGAACGAAGCTTCCAGAGGAAGGAGCACGCGGCAATCTTTGCTGTTCTGCAGCCTCCGCTGGTGATACCCAGGCAAACAGGGTCTGGAATGGAACCCCAGCAAACTCGAGCAGACCTGCAGAAGAGGGGCCTGACTGTTAGAAGGAAAACTAACAAACAGAAAGCAATAGCATCAGCATCAACATCAACAAAAAGGATAACCACACAAAAACTCCATCCAAAGGTCACCAACAGCAAAGACCAAAGGTAGATAAGTCCAAGAAGATGAGGAAACACCAGTGCAAAAAGGCTGAAAATTCCAAAAACCAGAATGCCTCTTCTCCTCTATAGGATCACAATTCCTTGCCAGCAAGGGAACAAAACTGGATGGAGAATGAGTTTGACTAATTGACAGAAGTAGGCTTCAGAAGGTGAGAAATAACAAACTCCTCTGAGCTAAAGAAGCATGTTCTATCCCAATGCAAGGAAGCTAAGAAAACCTTGATAAAAGGTTAGAGGAATTGCTAACTAGAATAACCAGTTTAGAGAAGAACATAAATGACCTGATGGAGCTGAAAAACAGCACGAGAACTTCACGAAGCATACACAAGTATCAATAGCCAAATCTATCAAGCAGAAGAAAGGATATCAGAGATTAAAGATCAAGGTAATGAAATAAAGCATGAAAACAAGATTACAGAAAAAAGAATACAAAGGGATGAACAAAGGCTCCAAGAAATATGGGACTATGTGAAAAGACCAAACCTACATTTGATTGCTGTATCTGAAAGTGATGGGGAGAATGGAACCAAGTTGGAAAACACACTTCCGGATATTATCCAGGAGAACTTCCCCAAGTTAGCAAGACAGGCCAACATTCAAATTCAGGAAATAACAGAGAATGCCACAAAGATACTCCTCGAGAAGAGCAACCCCAAGACACATAATTGACAAATTCACCAAGGTTAAAATGAAAGAAAAAATGTTACAGGCAGCCAGAGAGAAAGGTCAGGATACTCACAAAGGAAAGCCCATCAGACTAACAGCAGATCTCTCTGCAGAAACCCTACAAGCAAGAAGAGAGTGGGGGTCAATATTCAACATTCTTAAAGAAAAGAATTTTCAGCCCAGAACTTCATATCCAGCCAAACTAAGCTTCATAAGTGAAGGAGAAGTAAAATCCTTTACAGACAAGCAAATGCTGAGGGATTCTGATACCACCACCTGCCTTACAAGAGCTCCTGAAGGAAGCACGTGGAAAGGAAAAACCAGTACCTGCCACTGCAAAAACAAACCAAAAGTTAAAGACCACTGACAACTATGAAGAAACTGCATCAACTACTGGAAAAAATAACCAGCTAGCATCATAATGACAGGATCAAACTCACACATAACAATATTAACCTTAAATGTAAATGGGCTAAATGCTCCAATTAAAAGACACAGACTGGCAAATTGGATAGAATCAAGACCTATCGGTGTGCTGTATTCAGGAGACCCATCTTATATGCAAAGACACACATAGGCTCAAAATAAAGGGATGGAGGAAGATTTACCAAGCAAATGGAAAGTAAAAAAAAAAAAGCAGGGGTTACATTCCTAGTCTCTGAGAAAACAGACTTTAAACCAACAAAGATTAAAAAAGACAAAGAAGGACATTACATAATGGTAAAGGGATCAATGCAACAAGAAGAGCTAACTATCCTAAATATATATGCACCCAATACGGGAGCACCCAGATTCATAAAGCAAGTTCTTAGAGACCTACAAAGAGACTTAGACTTCCACACAATAATAATGGGAGACTTTAACAACCCACTGTCAATATTAGACAGATCAACGAGACAGAAAATTAACAAGGATATTCAGGACTTGAACTCAGCTCTGGATCAAGCGGACCTAATAGACATCTACAGAACTCTCCACCCCAAATCAATAGCAGAATATACATTCTCAGCACCACATAGCACTTATTCTAAAATCAATCATATAATTGGAAGTAAAACACTCCTCAGCAAATGCAAAAGAATGGAAATCATAACAGTCTCTCAGACCACAGTGCAATCAAATTAGAACTCAGGATTAAGAAACTCACTCAAAACTGCACAACTACATGGAAACTGAACAACCTGCTCCTGAATGACTACTGGGTAAATAACGAAATTAAGGCAAAAATAAATAAGTTCTTTGAAACCAATGAGAACAAAGGCACAATGTACCAGAATCTCTGGGACACAGCTAAAGCAGTGTTTAGAGGGAAATTTACAGCACTAAATGCCCACAGGAGAAAATGGGAAAGATCTAAAATCGACACCCTAACATCATAATTAAAAGAACTAGAGAAGCAAGAGCAAACAAATTCAAAAGCTAGCAGAAGACAAGAAATAACTAAGATCACAGCAGAACTGAAGGAGACAGAGACACAAAAAGTCCTTCAAAAAAATCAGTGATTCCAGGAGCTCGTTTTTTGAAAAGATTAACAAAATAGACCGCTAGCCAGACTAATAAAGAAGAAAAGAGAGAAGAATCAAATAGACACAATAAAAAATGATAAATGGGAGATTACCACTGATCCCACATAAATACAAACTACTGTCAGAGAATACTATAAACTCCTCTATGCAAATAAACTAGAAAATCTAGAAGAAATGGATAAATTCCTGGACACATACAGCTTCCCAAGACTAAACCAGGAAGAAGTTAAATCCGTGAACTGACAAATAACAAGTTCTGAAATTGAGGCAGTATAATTAATAGCCTACCAACCAAAAAAAGTCCAGGACCAGACAGATTCACAGCTGAATTCTACTATAGGTACAAAGAGGAGCTGGTACCATTCCTTCTGAAACTATTCCAAACAATAGAGAAAGAGGGATTCCTCCCTAACTCATTTTATGAGGCCAGCATCATCCTGATACCAAAACCTGGCAGAGACACAAGAAAAAGAGAAAATTTCAGGCCAATATCCCTGAAGAACATCGATGCAAAAACCCTCAATAAAATACTGGCAAACTGAATCCAGCAGCACATCAAAAAGCTTATCCACCATGATCAAGTTGGCTTCATCCCTGGGATGCAAGGCTGGTTCAACATACACAAATCAATAAACATAATCCATCACATAAACAGAACCAATGACAAAAAACACATGATTATCTCAATAGATGCAGAAAAGGCCTTTGATAAAATTCTACACCCTTTCATGCTAAAAACACTCAATAAACTAGGTATTGACAAAATTCAACAGCCCTTCATTCTAAAAACACTCAATAAACTAGGCATTGATGGAACATATCTCAAAATAATAAGAGCTACTTATGACAAACCCAGAGCCAATATCATACTGAATGGGCAAAAGCTGGAAGCACTCCCTTTGAAAACCAGCACAAGACAAGGATGCCCTCTCTCACCACTCCTATTCAACATAGTATTAGAAGTTCTGGCCAGGGCAACCAGGCAAGAGAAAGAAATAAAGCGTATTCAAATAGGAAGAGAGGAAGCCAAATTATCTCTGTTCGTAGATGACATGATTGTATATTTAGAAAACCCCATCATCAGGCTGGGCACAGTGGCTCTCACCTGTAATCCCAGCACTTTGGGAGGCCGAGGCAGGCAGATCACGAGGTCAGGAATTCGAGACCAGCCTGGCCTACATAGTGAAACCTCATCTCTACTAAGATACAAAAAAAACCTCATCTCTACTAAGATACAAAAAATTAGCTGGGCATGGTGGCAGGCACCAGTAGTCCCAGCTACCTGGGAGGCTGAGGCAGGAGAATTGCTTGAACCCAGGAAGCAGAAGTTGCAGTGAGCCGAGATCGCACCATTACACTCCAGCCCAGGCGACAGTGCAAGATTCTGTCTCAAAAAAAAAGAAAAGAAAAGAAAAGAAAAGCCCATCATCTCAGCCCAAAAACTCCTTAAGCTGACAAGCAACTTCAGTGAAGTCTCTGGCTACAAATCAATGTGCAAAAATCACAAGCATTCCATACACCAATAATAGACAAAGAAAGAGCCAAATCATGAGCAAACTCCCAATCACAATTGCTACAAAAAGAATAAAATACCTAGGAATACAACTTACAAGGCAGGTGAAGGACCTCTTCAGGCAGAACTACAAACCACTGCTCAAGGAAATAAGAGAGGACACAAAAAAATGGAAAAACATTCCATGCTCATGGATAGGAAGCATCAATATAGTGAAAATGGCCATACTGCCCAAAGTAACTTACAGATTCAATGTTATTCCCATCAAGCTACCATTGACTTTCTTCACAGAATTAGAAAAAACTACTTTAAATTTCATATGGAACAAAAAAAAGAGCCCACATAGCCAAGATAATCCTAAGCAAAAAGAACAAAGCTGGAGGCATCACACTACCTGACTTCAAACTATACTACAAGGATACAGTAACCAAAACACCCTAGTACTGGTACCAAAACAGATATATAGACTAATGGAACAGAACAGAGCCCTCAGAAATAACACCACACATCTACAACCATCTGATCTTTGACAAACATGACAAAAACAAGAAATGGGGAAAGGATTCCCTATTTAATAAATGATGTTGGGAAAACTGGCTAGCCATATGCAGAAAACTGAAACTGAACCTCTTCCTTACACCATATACAAAAATTAGTTCAAGATGGATTAAAGATTTAAACATAAGACCTAAAACCATAAAAACCCTAGAAGAAAACCTAGGCAATACCATTCAGGACATAGGCATGGGCAAAGCTTCATGACTAAAACACCAAAAGCAACTGCAACAAAAGCCAAAATTGACAAATGGGATCTAATTAAACTAAAGAGCTTCTGCACAGCAAAAGAAACTATCGTCAGAGTGAACAGGCAACCTACAGAGTGGGAGAACATTTTTGCAATCTATCCATCTGACAAAGGGCTAATATCCAGAAGCTACAAAGAACTTAAACAAATTTACACGAAAAAAACCAAACAACCCTATCAAAAAGTGGGCAAAGGATATGAACAGACACTTCTCAAAAGAACACATTTACACAGCCAACAAACATATGAAAAAAAGCTCATCATCACTGGTCATTAGAGAAATGCAAATCAAAACCACAATGAGATACCATCTCACGCCAGTTAGAATGGCGATCATTAAAAAGTCAGGAAACAACAGATGCTGGAGAGGATGTGGAGAAATAGGAACACTTTTACACTGTTGGTGGGAGTGTAAATTAGTTCAACCATTGTGGAAGACAGTGTGGCGATTCCTCAACGATCTGGAGCTAGAAATACCATTTGACCCAGCAATCCCATTACTGGGTATACACCCAAAGGATTATAAATCATTCTGTTGTAAAGACACATGCATACGTATGTTTATTGCAGCACTATTCACAATAGAAAAGACTTGGAACCAACCCAAATGCCCATGAATGTTAGACTGGATTAAGAAAATGTGGCACATATACACCATGGAAAACTGTGCAGCCATAAAAAACAATGAGTCCATGTCCTTTGCAGGGACATGGATGAAGCTGGAAACCATCATTCTCAGCAAACTAACACAGGAACAGAAAACCAAACACCACATGTTCTCACTCATAACTGGGAGTTGAACAATGAGAACATATGGGCACAGGGAGGGGAACATCACACACCGGGGCCTGTTGGGAAGTGGGGGGAAAGTGGAGTGATAGCATTAGGAGAAATACCTAATATAGATGACGGGTTGATGGGTGCAGCAAACCACCATGGCACGTGTATACCCATGTAACAAACCCGCACGTTCTGCACATGTATCCCAGAACTTAAAGTACAATTTTAAAAAAAGATTGTTTCCACGTTTGAGTTATGATAAATAACAATGTGATGAACACTTGAGCATAAATCTTGGCCTGTCCATGAGGTTATTTTATTTGGATAAGTAAGAAAAATACAATAGTACAGTTTTTCACACCATGTTTTAATGAGATACCACTTTCTATTCTCCCCCTTTTTTTGACATTCCATGTCCTTTTATTCTTTGTGACCTTTCTTTACTGGGTGACTTTAGCAATTTCTGGATATGCTTTTGGGCTTCTGTCTTGTCTTATTTTGAAAGATTCTTCTGGGGATTCTATTTTCACTGAGTCATTTCAGTTGTCCTGGCCATTTGATTTGAGCTCTTAATCGAGAACAGCATTCTCTTGGTGCTGATGCAATCTCTTATTATCTTATATCCTATTATACTTTACAAGTCATTCCCCAGGATCTTTCAGTACATAACTTGGATCTTACATTTTCGTCTTCTTCTAATACCCTTGCCTGTTCAAAGCATATATTAAAATGGGTAGAAAACAGCCTTTACAACACAAACCTGCACTTTCTGAACTCTTTTTCCATGGGAAATCCTTCATGCTTAGAGAGAAAGTACAACCTTGTATAATTCTTTTAGATCAGAGTTTCACTGGGGAACATGGCAGAGTTACTGAGATTTGCACTTATTAGCATCCAAGTTGTAGTTAAACACCTTTCTATATTCAATGCTTGAGCAAAACAGGCCCACAGATCTATACCAGCTATCTCCCTATGGCTACGTTAAATGAAGCCAAATTTTAAAGTGTTAGAAAACACAAAAAGATTTCAAACATATCCAAGGGATTTCATTTCTTAAGAATTCACACTTTACTCTGGCATTTTCAGGATCTGAAAAAAAAATCAGTTCAGAGGCTGTTCATTTCTTTGTTTGTTGGTTTGTTTGTTTTAAAACTCTGTGATTTAAGGGTCAGTGTCCTTTAGAAAGCTCCAGGGGGCATTCAGCCCCCAACACTACATGGCTGCCACTGTTTCCACCACAGCTTCCCCATCCATTCTGCATGAGGGCTTACTAAATACCACTACAGGGACAGAGGTCCAGCGTGGTCCACAATCAGTCCCATCAGCCTGGCATTCAGCAGAGTTTTAGACAAAATCAATGTTTCTCTGCCCTGCTATGAAACCTGCATAAAGAGACTTCCCCATGAATAAACATATCTGATAAGATTACATAGATCATTCCACTGGGGGAAATTGAGGCTATTTAAAATGCAACCTTTCTCATCCTGCTGTAAACTCCACAGCATTCATTTTATTGAGAAAATGAACTTGACCAGGGCTAAAATGTGGCCCAAATGTATCTGGATGATTATGGTTGTGTGAAAATATTGAAATATTTACTAACTGGTACTGTCTGTTTACAGTACCAATATCTGTTTCCAGCATACCTGGCCCCGGACATCAGGCCCCTCCCTAGACCCCTACCTCCCCATGATCCAGCAACTGGTAAAGAGTTAGCATCTGGCACAGAAGGAGCCTCTAGCTCCTTAATCTAGCAACACTGGGTCAGGGTCCATTTTGATTGATGATCTAGTTCAGGAGTAATAAATATTTTGAATATCTTCTTGAATGGGACTAATGTGTCAGCTAACCTCAAAAAAATCATGGAATATGTGTTTACTATAGTTTTAGTGGAGTGTTATTTTATTCTCACCTTCAATTATACAACAAATGTTTATTAGGCACCTGCTCGGTGTTGAGCAGGGCACAGTCCTGGATGCTTACAATCTAGTAACAAAGAGAGGTAACTAAATAAATTTCAATCCTGTGTAAGAAGGCTACATAGAAGCAGGTACAGTGTGCTATGATAGCTCAGAGGAGAGGCCTTATACAGGTTTACAGGAGGAAGCAACGGTAAACATGAAACTTCAGGGGCAAGCCTACATAAGCCACGTTAATAGGGGTGGGGACAGGTGTTGTATGGGGAAGGTACAAGCACAGTAAACAGCCTACAGAAAGGCCTAGAAGCCAAAGAGAAGCAGGCAAGTTCAGGGAGCTACAAGGAGTTCCTTGGGGATGGACAGAGGGAAGTGATGAGAAAGAAGCTGTGGCGTTAAGCCGAAGAATGAACTGCTTTTTCCATCTCACAGTTGCATCTAAGCTGAGGATGCACTGTAATTGGCTATTTTCATCCCTGGGTATCTTAGAGTACTTGTGGTAGCAAGCTATATTCAAGCTTGCCAAGGTTCTGCTGAGCATTTGACTCCTAAGACTGCTCTGGAGGTCTACTAAGATCCCCCTGCATGGTAAACCCAACAGCTATGAAGAAGATATGCAGCAAGGGGCTGATAGTTCGTTCCAGGGGGACAGGGCCTCGCCAGGCTGATGGCTCCAGCATGGAGCCTAGCACCACAGGCACCCAGTGAAAATCTGTTGAATTAATACATGAATGGAGGCATGAATGGTAGGTAATAAGTGACAGTGACAGTTTTTAAGATGATGTTCTCAATAAGTGCATCACAAATACTTGACTCAGTGATCACAACAACTCAATAGTCACTGCTTCCATTTCAGAGTGATACTTTGGCCGGGCACAGTGGCTCACATCTGTAATCCCAGCACTTTGGGAGGCCAAGACAGGAGTTTTGAGACAAGCTTGAGCCCAGGAGTTTTGAGACAAGCTTGGGCAACATAAGGAGATCCTGTCTCTACAAAACATTTTAAAATTAGCCAGATATGGTGGCACATACCTGTAGTCCCAGTTAGTCAAGAGGCTGAGGTGGGAGGATTACTTGAGCCCAGGAGTTGGAGGCTGCAGTGAACTATGATCATGCCACTGCACTCTGGCCTGGGTGACAGAGAGAGATCCCATCTCTTAAAACAAAAAAAAGAAGTGATGCTTTTAACATATTTTAAGAGAAAAGATAAACACTTTACTAATTGTCTCTATCTCCAAACTGTCCTCATTGCTTGTTTTTCAAAGCCTGGAATGTGTGATGAGAGCCTTGCCACCATTTCACTCTTTTCTTCATCCATTGCCTCTTGTTCCTCAACCCCCTCTGGCTCCTCTTCCTCCTCATTCTTAAGTGGCTGGCATTCTAGAATTACCAACTCTTCCTAACTTTCCAGAATGTTTGTGGTTTTAGCATTGAAAATCCACATCCCTGGATACTTTTCTTCCCCAGCCCAATCCTGGCAAACTGGAAAGGTTTGTCACCCTTCTGGTAAACAGCTTCTTTTCCAGCTGGATAAACTCTGAAAACAATGGGACACTTCAGTCACCTCAATGGCAGGAAATTATTATGGAGGACAATTTCCAAAGCCTCACATAAATTCACATAAATCTGGCAGTGAACAAGCAGGAAATGGCACTCTAAGAAGGAACAGCATCTGCAAATGTATGGAGGTTATTCTGACTGAGTGAAACAGAAGTCCAAAGAACATCAGGAGGGCTGAAGGGAGGAAATCAAGAGATTTCTAATTTTGAAGACAGATTTTTCAGTAACAAAATACCAGATATTCTTGTGTTAATGTACAACTAATAGCTGCTGAAAAGAAACCCTTTTGAATGCCGGTTTAGATTAGCTGTGCTCTGACTCTCATCTATTGCTGGAAATAATCAGAAATTTGCAGAACTTCCCACTATTCCCAAGGGTGAGTGTGGTCTGGATCCGGTCCTATCTATCACACTCATCCTGTTCATTCCTACTGTTAACGTGAATAAATAAGCAATCTGATGTGACTAAACATCACCATGAGCTGCTTGATATAGCAAAGGGCTAATTTATTTTTGATCTACCACTGATGTATAAACATCTGACTCAGAGCATCTCGCCTTCTCTCCAGGGGCTCAAGCAGCTAAGTTGATGAAACACCTGACTGTTATGCAGCAGAACTTGGATTCATTTTGTCTCTCTTCTTTTCTAACTCTTCACTCTAAACATCTGTTTTCCCCTGTGGAAGCACGAGTTCATCAGCAGAACAACATAGCAGTCCTATATATAACAGTATTCTTGGCTATGATACTTCAATGTGTATGTCAAGGTCTTCTACTCACTATAGCTTCCTTGACTACCCTGATAACCAAGAAACTTCCACTTGTGTTTCTTTGTGTCACCAGAGTCCACCAAAATACTTCCCCATCATTTGCACCACACTGAATTGTGCTGGCTTTGCATAGGGGACATTGTTGCTTGCCTACAAAATCCCATTCCCCCTTCTTCTTTCCTAACAGAACCACAGTTTTGTTCAGGTGCCACACAGCCAAGTGCCTCAAGGGAAGATGACTCATTCCAGCTAAAGGCAATCCTTCTAACGGTGATACTACTCCTGTGGAGTGATTGGCTCAGGCACAGGGATATAACCCAGGGATGGCCAATGAGATGCAAGAGGCTGGAGCTTCTCTCATTCTTAATAAAAAGCCACTGGGAGACCAGATGGGTTGTCTTTCCAGATGTTAACCCTGCCTGAAATTGTTGCAGCCATGTTGCTGCCAGGCAGATGTAGCCAACACTGAAGATGACAGAACAGAGGCAGAAAGAACCAGATACCAGACCATAAGCTTCTGGTCAAGGTTTTTATCCTACAATACTCCTCCTAGACACTTTCCTGAAGGATGATTTTTGGGTGTGGCAGGTAGTGAGTAAATGCCCTAGACTTATTTCTCGGAACTAATTCCACTCAACTAATTTAGTACTAATCTGAAAATTATTTTCACTAATTTGCAGCAGCTAAAGTCATGGTTTACTCCGATATTCTTAGACAATATTCATTATTGGCAGATAATAAGATATTTAAAGGGAAAAATGGGAAAGGAAGTAATAATATCATTGATGAAGATAAAAGGAAAATAGGAGCTGAAAGTGAAAAAGAAAAATATAATAAGTAAAGACCTTTGAGAGTTCTTCTCTCTCGTTAATAGGAGAATTCTGTCATTGGAAACATACACTACAATGGAAAAACCCTAGTGATGGGAATGGAAGTAAACTTGCATAAGAAAGATGGATAGCAGACATGACAGAACCAACTGGGATCCAAAGAATAGTACATGTGGCTGTCATTTAACCCTTGACCAAATGGTAGAATTGTAAAAATAAGAAAATTGGACAGAAGTTACTATAAGTATTCACTGATCATGGATATTAAAAGCCATGAGATATCCTTTGTGTATGAGATTATATTATTGCATCATGATCAACAAGATGATTTTTCAAGCTACTTTTTCAATATGACAGAGAACTGGCACTGAGCCAGCTTCACCTAATTATCCAGTGCCTCTTTGAAAATAGTTGACCAAAGAGGGATGTGCAAGTTTTTGATTGTCTCTAAGTCTCAGGTACCTTACCTGTAATTAGAGACAATACATAATTCAAAGGTCTGTGAAGAGAATGAAAAAGATGGTATATGTGAAGCACTGAGCAAGTGTTTTGCACACTGAAAGGTCTCAAATATTTAAGTTCCCTTTCCTTTGTCCTCCCACTCCTGACACAACTGAAAGGGTCATTGCTCCCTTGGAGTATGTGTGAAGTCTGCCTTCTAATGAGTAATTAGAGGCATAAGGATAGAGACCTATTTGATTTGGGGCTGCCTCCTGGACTCAGCCACTTCCCACAGATGGCTGTAGGCAGAATTGCAATTCACCTCCAGTCTTAGCAGCTTATTTGACTCAGAGTCAAGTGTTCCCCCAAAGAATTACCATTGTATGGCCTAAGAAAGTACTTATCCCACTGACGGCAGCAGCTGCTGCCATCACACTGGCTACAGGAGGGAGGCGTGACTGGGGCTGCACACTCCATGGAGCCGGTGGAAGTCCCACCCCTTCTGGGTGGCGGGTCTACAGCCACCCAAACTGTGGCTGTGGATCCAAGCCTGTGCTCATGTAGGGGGCCAGGAGCAGGCAAAATCTGACCTCCTAGGTGCAGCTGCAGCTTCAGGATCCATGGCTGCAGACCTTGGCCTCTAGCTCCAAGGAGCAGGCAGGAGCCGGGGACAAGCAAAAACCCCACCCCTTCCAAGTTGGCAGGGCAGGAGCTCCCTGGGTACAGCTACGGCCTGCCCTCCCAGGGCCAGGACCTGGACATCTCTGCAGCCTGCATCCTGGGGGAACGGGAAGCCCCTCCCCACAGTCCCTGCTGGCTTGGGGGTATCTGCTCCCACTGCCTGGCCTCACAGTAAGGCTGGGGCCAAGCCCAGGGCCTTGAATGGCAGTGGGAGGCAGAGTCCTGGGTGGAAGCAGTGGGTCCCCCAGAAAGGCTCCACCTTCAGTCCAGGGAAGGCCCGAAGGCTGGGGGCCAGGCTGCCAGTCCTGCCGAGGGGAGTGAGGACTTGTGGGTCTCCTCTGGGCCCACCCATGGCTGCCCATGGACCAATCAGCAGGCACTTCCTCCCCTCTGAGCCCCATAAAAGCCCCAGGCTCAGCCAGAGCAGGGCAGAGGGCAGAGGACAGAGAGACAACAGGTGGACCAGCTGCAGAGAGGAGCTACCCTCTCTGCTGAGAGCTAAACACTTGACGGGATGACCTGCCTACAGAGAGGAGCTACCCATTGCAGGTCTCCTCTGAGCTGTTCTGACACTAAATAAAACTTATCTTCATCTTCTTCACCCTTTACTTGTCTGCATACTTCATTCTTCCTGGACACAGGACAAGAACTCAGGCAAAGGCGCCACCAGCTACAGAGGTTTCCAGGAAGAAAATTGACACCCCAAAGATCCCATAACAACACTATAGTGTAGTCATTTATATGACTTTCTTTACTACTAGACTGGAAATTGCTAGAGGGAATTCCTTTCTGTAACCAAGAGCCTCACACAGAACCTGAACATAGAAGATGCTCAGTAAGAAAGGGAGAAAGGAATGGAAAGAAGGAAGATGGAGGCAACAAACAACAGAATGGGCAATGCTTAGCTTCTAGACCACTGCTGTCTGGTATAAATGTAATGCAAACCCTAAGTGTGAACCATGTGTGTAATTTTATATTTTTTAACAGCCACATTAAAAAGTAAAAAGAAACTAGATTAATATTTAATAATATATTTTACCTAGCAAAATGTATCCAAAATATTATCATATCAATATGTAATCAATATAAAAAATTATTGTGAGATTTTAGAATTTTTGTATTGTCTTCCAAATCTGCCATATATTTTACACTCATTGAACATCTCAATTTGGACTGGACATACTTTAAGTATTTGACAGCCACATGGGGCCAGAGGCTTCCATATTGAACAGTGCAGCTCTAGACTCTACATACCTTCTCACTGTCTTCTCCATTTCAGAAGCCCTGCCTTCCCCAGCTGGAGCTCCACCTACTTAAAGGTGTCCAGCTCCTCCCGACTAGCCACTTAACTATCCAAGTTAAAAACATTCCTAATTCACTCTGACTTACAAAATGTACCATCCCATCTCCCAGATTCCTGCCCTAAAATGCCACTTAGTTTGGTGTTATTAAGTGCCAATCAATTTAAGTAGCTAATATTCCCAAGTAACAGTCTGGTTTTTAACATGTTTTAGGAAGGAAGACATTTTCTTCCCATTAAAGGCTTTACACATATCCTATATTGGAAAAAAAATGTGACTACGAACTTCGATGAAGGCACTTCAGAATGTCCCTGGCACACCCAAAGATGTGGGTGAAATATAATACTTTGGTCCAGGACTCACTGAATACAGAAACTATCATCTGTCTTCATGTCCGCAGTGCCAAGCACTGTGTCTGGCACAAAGAGAGCACACTAAATATTGGTATTATATGTCATTAAAATTAGTTGAGAAACACAAGTGAGAGTTCCATCAGAGCTAGTTAAGGTTACCCAGCAAGGAAAAGAAATTCATGAGGCATGACTAATGGCGTTCTTGGGTTTTTAAGTCAAAGAGTCAGTATTTTATTAGAAAGTGGAAAAAACAAAATGACATAATGGGAAAGAAATAAAATGGCAAAAGTCCCTTAAAGTCCATGGATCAGAGAGCAGAGCATTTATGACTAATCTTCAGGGATTGTGGGGGAGGATATTTACACATTCATTCAACAAATATTTCTTAAACTGCTATGCGCCAGGCTCTGTGCTTGGCAGAAGTCACACAAATGTAAGACATCGTTCCTAACCTAAAGGAGCTCTAGACTTGAGAATAGACAGGCATGAAAAATAAACAGCTTCCTACCTTATGATGTGATGAAAGCTATGCTATAAGGGAGATATTTGCAAAGAGGAATGGGGTCAAAGAGGAAGGAGGGACTGTTTAGGGAGTTTCAGGATAGCTTCATAAAGGAAGGGAAAATAAGACCTTGAGAGATCAGTAGGTTTCTGCAGGCAAATTTAACAACAAGTGCAAAGACAGAGGAAAGAAAATACATACAGAATATTCTAGATAGGAGAGTAATGCAGTGTAACTGGAGCACAGCACTGCATGAAAAGTGGAGAGTAGCAGGAGATGATATTGAAAAAGCAGACTGAGCTCAAATCACAAAGGACCTTGCAATGCTCTGCACAGGGATTTGGACTTTAGCCTAAAGTCAAAGTGGATCCACCCCAAAGTTCTAAGCAGATACACGATAGGAAAGAATTTCTCTGCCTACAGGAAGCCAGAAGTGATCATGTGACTTATTTGGGCCAGTGAAATGTGAATAGAAGTGATGCTACATTCTGGCCAGGCATGGTGGCTCACGCCTATAATTCCAAGACTTTGAAAGGCCAAGGTGGGTGGATCACCTGAGGTCAGGAGTTCAAGACCAGCCTGGCAACATAGTGAAACCCAATCTCTACTAAAAATACAAAATTGGCCAGGTGTGGGGGTGCATGCCTGTATTCCCAGCTACTCAGGAGGCTGAGGCAGGAGAATAGCTTGAACCTATGAGGCAGAGGTTGCAGTGAGCTGAGATCATGCCATTACACTCCAGCCTGGGCAACAAGAGTGAAACTCCATCTCAGAAAAAAAAAAAAAAAAAAAAGAAATCATGACACATTCTATTTTTTTCTAGCCAGTGACTAACAATTTTAAGATAGTGGCTTTTCAGAACTCAAACAAATTTACAAGAAAAAAACAAACATCCCCATCAACAATTGGGCGAAGGATATGAACAGACACTTCTCAAAAGAACACATTTATGCAGCCAACAGACACATGAAAAAATGCTCATCATCACTGGCCATCAGAGAAATGCAAATCAAAACCACAATGAGATACCATCTCACACCAGTTAGAATGGCAATCATTAAAAAGTCAGGGAACAACAGGTGCTGGAGAGGATGTGGAGAAACAGGAACACTTTTACACTGTTGATGGGACTGTAAACTAGTTCAACCATTGTGGAAGACAGTGTGGCGATTCCTCAAGGATCTAGAACTAGAAATACCATTTGACCCAGCCATCCCATTACTGGGTATATACCCAAAGGATTATAAATCATGCTGCTATCAAGACACATGCACATGTATGTTTATTGCGGCACTATTCACAATAGCAAAGACTTGGAACCAACCCATATGTCCATCAATGATAGACTGGATTAAGAAAATGTGGCACGGCTGGGCGCGGTGGCTCACGCCTGTAATCCCAGCACTTTGGGAGGCCGAGGCGGGCGGATCACAAGTTCAGGAGATCAAGACCATCCTGGCTAACACGGTGAAACCCCGTCTCTACTAAAAATACAAAAAATTAGCCGAGCATGGTGGCAGGCGCCAGTAGTCCCAGCTACTCAGGAGGCTGAGACAGGAGAACGGCGTGAACCTGGGAGGCGAAGTTTGCAGTGAGCCAAGATCGGGCCACTGCACACCAGTCTGGGCGATAGAGCGAGGCTCCGTCTCAAAAAAAAAAAAAAAGAAAAGAAAAGAAAATGTGGCACATATACATCATGGAATACTATGCAGCCATAAGAAAGGATGAGTTCATGTCCTTTTTAAGGACATGGATGAAGCTGGAAACCATCATTCTCAGCAAACTATTGCAAGGACAGAAAACCAAACACCGCATGTTCTCACTCATAGGTGGGAATTGAACAATGAGAACACATGGACACAGGATGGGGAACATCACACACTGGAGACTGTTGTCGGGTGGGGGGAGGGTGGAGGGATAGCATTAGGAGATATACCTAATGTAAATGACGAGTTAATGGGTGCAGCACACCAACATGGCACATGTATACATATGTAACAAACCTGCATGTTGTGCACACGTACCCTAAAACTTAAAGTATAATAAAAAAATTAGAAAAAAAAAAAAGATAGTGGCTTTTCTGTCCGCCTGGGTTCCTGAGTGATTACAATTGAGGTAGGAGGCAGGACTCAACTCCAGACCAGATTAAAGACTGACTGAAACATGGAAGTGGCGCTGAAAGCACCTCTCCATAAGATGTGCCCACCAGCACCATGACAGTTTACAATTGCCATGGCAATACACAGAAGTTACCACCTCTTCCCATGGCAACTAGCAGGAAGTTTTCACCCTTTCTCTAGAAATTTCTGAATAACCCACTGCTTAATTGCATATGATTAAAAGTTGGTATAAATATGACTGCAGAACTTCCCTGAGTTGCTGCTCGCAGCACACTGCCTATGAGGTAGTCCTGCTCTGCAGGAGCAGTGACCAAGCTATAACACCACCTCCTCAATAAAGCTGTTTTCTTCTACCACCAGCTTGCTCTTGCATTCTTTCCTGAGCAAAGCCAAGAACTGTCCTGGGCTAAGCCCCAGTGTTAGGGCTCACCTGCCCTGCACTGCAGTGAGCAGAGCCTTCCTGCTGAATGACAGTGGATTTGTAATGGGAGTAAGAATTAAGACTTTGTTGTCTTAGCCACTTTGATTTGCAGGGGCTTTCTTATTACTGCATAAAAGCTGCAGGCTATCTTGACTGATAGAGCAGGAGACCAGCATGATGAGATTTATATTTTTAAAAGATAATTGAGACAATATGGAGGATGGATTAGAAGTAGTAGAGGAAGTTAATTACAGGCACAAAACCAATACAGAGATATTGCAATACTCCAGGAAAGAGATAATAAAGGCCTAAAATAAGAGCAATAACAGTGGAAGTGAAGAAAATGAGTTATATTTAAGAAATATTTACATTGCAATATCAACAATATTACATTGCAATATCAAAGAATATAGTGATTATCAAAATGTGCTATATAGATTTTTTTTCACCTATTCCTATGTAAAAATTACCCCAAAACTTATTGACTTAAAACAATGATAAAAGACATTATCTCACAGTTTCTGTGGGTCAGAAAGTTCAAGAACAGCTTAGCTGGTGGTCCTGGCTCAGGATTTCTCATGAGGTTGCAGTCAAGATTTTGGCCAGGGCTGCAGTCATCTGAAGGTTTGACTGGGGCTGGAGGATCCACTTCCAAAATGGTTCACTTCTATAGCTGGGAAGTTGATGCTAACTGTTAGCAAGAGGCTTCCGTTTCTTATCATATGGACCTTTCCATGAGGCTGCTTGAATGTCCTCATGATGTGGCAGCTGGCTTTACCCAGAGTGAGTGACCCAAAAGAGAATATGGTACAGTGGCAATTTCTCTTATGGCCTAGCCTTAGAAGTCACACACCACGACTGCTTGTATATTCTTTGGCCATAGTGACCAAACATGATGCACTGTAGGAAGGGCCCCTAAAAAGAGGTGAATATAGGAGGTAAGGATCATGAAGGGCCAGCTTGAAGCCTGACTACCACAATGAACAAGATGGAAATAAAGAAGCTGACTGACTCTGAGACTTCTAGCTTAAATGATTCAATGGTCAGATTAAGCAAGATACAGAAAGGAGGTGGGGGGACCAGTTTGGGAAGGGAGAAAGCAGATCATTAGTTCTATTTTGGAACTGACATGGGGAGGAGCCTCGAAGACACGCAAACAGAGATGCCTAATTGTTAAATAAGCAGCTACTAAGAGAGGGCTGATAACTTAGGAATGAATACTATCTGAGTGGTGGGAGGAGCAAAGGCAGAAAATAATATGGCCCAGGAAGTATATACAGAAAAAAGAGGGAAGAAACTAAACAAAACACCAGGAATGGATCCTTATGAAGAGATTCTTATATTTTTAAGGGAAGGGGGAAAGAGGAAAAGTCAGTAAATGGCACAGGGCAGCAGGACTCAGGGAAGGAATCAGAGAATGGGTGTTGTCTGGATCGGGAGGCTATGGTGGACAGTTCTGTGAGTTTCAGCAGCAATGCCACATGACATAAAGCAGTCAAGCAATGTGAAAACTGAGACAAGCCCACTGGATTTCAGAGATACAGTGCGTGGCCATATGGTAAGTATCTCAGTGGAGGTGGGATGGTATTGCTCACCTAAATGCATAATTTCACCATTGAAAGATTAAACTCTTCCTCTCATGCAATAGAGGTGGCTTCCCTCATAACAGGCCCACAGTATAACACCTTGAGGACAGAACAACCACAGCCCACCCATGATGTAAGAACTAGTCCACACAGCAATGGAAAACTCCTTTCATCATGGGTCTGTCATGAGCATATCTATTGTGAATGGAGCATGAATGGGTCAGAGAAAGAACAATTTCTTCTTCCCAAACAACTTTGCCTTCATGAAAAGCTTAGGTTATTGATGAATTTCTTAGGGCAACCATATTGCTTGGTAGCTACTCTATGGATCTAGGGTTATAGGATAGGAAGTCCCAAACCCAGAATCGCAGGATTTGAAAATCGTAAGAAGAGATAATCTTGATGAATCTTCTTATTTTAAAGATAAAAGAAGACCTAGTAAGATTAAGCTATTTGGTCAAGGTAATTTTTTTTTTTTTTTTGCTATGATTGGGTCCTAGCTTTCTGGCTGACTGCTTCTCATCCAGAACCCTTTTAACTCATTCACATTTCTTCACATTATTTTACACACACATACACACACACACACACGTGCACATAGATATAAATCTGATATGAGGAGAAACTGATGTTCAGTAGTTTAATAGGCATCTCCAATTTAACATAGCTAAAACAGATCTCTTGATGTTGTTCCTGAAAATAGATCTCTACCCACCTCCCCCATAACTATAAAGGGTACTCTCACCCATACCCCAGAAACCTTTCTTGATGGCGCTCTCTCTCACCATCGTAGCATTTACCAATATCTGACGTTGTTTTAGATTTTTATCTGCTTATTATCGTTCCATTGAAATTTAAGCTCCATGGTGGCATTTTGTTCAGAGAAAACTCTTCACTGCTTTAAAAGTCCCTGGCACATAGTAGGCGCCCAAAAAATATATGTTGAATGAATCCATTGGTATTAAATCCTGTGGTCAGGAAACACTTATGGCAACATCATTTTTAGCTAAATGGGAACTTAATGTAGGGACTTACCAGAAACTGAAAGCAGAAATGTCACAGTCATTGCTATAGGCCATGTAGTTGCCTTCGATTTTAAAAACAATGAGGCCGGGTACAGTGGCTCACACCTGTAATCCCAGCACTTTGGGAGGCTGAGGCAAGTGGATCAATTGAGGTCAGGGGTTCAAAACCAGCCTGGCCAACATAGTGAAACCTGGTCTTTACTAAAAATACAAAAATCACCTGGGCATAATGGCACACACCTGCAATCCCGCTACTTGGGAGGCTGAGGCAGAGAATTGCTTGAACCCAGGAGGTGGAGGTTGCAGTGAGCCAAAATCACGCCACTGCACACCAGCCTGGGTGACAGAGTGAGAGTCCATCTAAAATAAATTTAAAAAGACAATGACAGTCACAGTACCTCTGAAATCTTTGTATAGGATCAAATACCAGCCTATTAATATGCTCAGGAGCAAGTGACCCTGATACGACAGGAGGTAATATGGCAAAATCAAAACTTACTACTACTCTAAATTAATGACTTTGGCCATATCATTGTCAATATCCACTGAGCCTCCCTCACTTCTAGATATCCTGCCAGGAAATTATAGAAACAAACTCAGTTACAAAGCAATAAAGGACACTGCCGTGAAGGATCCAATTCCACTAATTTATGTATTCATTTATTCTATTTATTCAGCAAACTTTCACTGAGTGGATACCATGTGCTTGACACAACTAGGTGCCAAGACTAAAATCCTGTCTGGAATAGTGTTTACTATTGATTTTGTTGCAGTCATATCTCTGTCGCCATCATCTTATTCATGCAAAGCTGAAGGCATATAAAGGTTACCATGGGAAACTAAAGAAAGGCATCTCGGTGTCCTTTACTTATTTTTCCTACAGTGGGCAGTGATGATGACATTTATCAAGCTGTCTCACCTAAACCACCGACAAGTTGTTGTATCCTAAGAACTGATGTCTCTATCTTGGGACCATATTATCTAAGTTACCTGAGTCATAAGGATGAGGGGAAGCATTCGTTCTTATTTGAGAGGGGAAATTCCATTCCCCTACTTTGACAATATTTTCCCAGTAGTAATTTAATCCTCAGAATCCTGTAATACCCTTAGGATAGTAATGAATAAATGAATGGCTGCAGTACATTAAATCCTTATTTTCATCCTAAGAGCTTGATCTTGGTGGTTACCATTTTTCAGCTCTTCAATCATTTATTGCAACATATCATGCTACAACAGAAACTATTTAGAAGCAAGCAAGATGCTAACTGCTGTTATGTGCATTTAGAAATGGTCAGTTGACGAGAGGAGAAATCAGATGGTTAAACTTCTGCAACATTTTTCAAAGACCTCCAGTAAGGCTTAATACATTGAAATACAAATTACAGGAAAAGAAAGATTTGCCTGTACTAAAATTTTGGCAAAGAAACAACAGAAACATATCTTCGAACCCATCAAACAATTCTCTTCTGTCTGACCCTTACCAAGAACTCTCTTTATCTCCTTGGAATATTGACTTCCTTCCAATATACATAGGACTTTTCTGCATTCCCCAGGTGGGCCTATTGTCACTAAGAGTTTTTAACATGATGCATTAACCTCCTTGGGCTGCTGTAACAAATTAGCCCAAACTGGGTGGCTTAAACCAGCAGAAATTTATTCTCTTACAGTTCCAAAGCCTAGAAGTATGAAATCAAGGTGTCAGCAAGGCCATCCTCTCTCTGAAGGCTCCAGGAAAAAAATCTTCCTTGCCTTTTCCAGTTTCTTCCATTCCAGGTTGCCAGGGGGATCTTTGGCATTTCCTGGTTTGTAACTGCATCACTTAAATTTCTGCATCTGTCTTCACATGGCCATCTTCCCCCTAAGTGTGTCTTTTTTTTTTTTCTTTTGAAACAGGGTCTCACTCTGTCACCCAGACTGGAGTGCAAGTGGCACAATCACAGCTCACTGCAGCCTTGCCTTCCTGGGCTCAAGCAATCCTCCTGCCTCAGCCCCACGGAGTAGCTGAAACTACAGGTGCACCACCACACCCCACTAATTTTTGTCTTTTGTTTTTTGTTTTTTTTTGAAGAGATGGGGTTTCAACATGTTGCCCCAGGCTGGTCTCAAACTCAGGCTCAAGTGGTCTGCCCGCCTTGCCTCCCAAAGTGCCGGGATTACAGGCATGAGCCACCACACCCAGCCCTGTGTGTGTCTTTCTGTCCTAATCTCCCTCTTTTTATAAAGACATCAGTCACTGGCTTTAGGGCCCATTCTAATCCAGTACAACCTCATCTTAACTGGATTACATCTGCAAAGAACCTGTTTCCAGAGGAGGTCACATTCATAGGTACCAGGGCTTAGGACTTCAACTTATTTTGGAGGACACAGTTCAACTCACGACAATGCCCAAACTCTGAGCCTTCTAATCCGAGAAAATTCCACCAAATGGCATCATAAACATGAGGTAGCACTTGGACTCTCTGGGTCTTCTCTGAGAAACTGGAATAATCCTTCTCATCTTCAAAAGCTTGTCACAAGTTATAATGAAACAATTTCCTCCCTTCCTCCTTCTTTCCTTCACTCTTTCCTTCCTTTATTTCCTCCTTTTCCTCTCTCCTTCTTTTCCTTCCTTTCTTCCTCCTTTCTTTCCTTCCTTTTCACAAATACTTATGAGTATTTACTATGAGATAACCCAATGTTTCTGCTTTGGAAGACAGAAAGATGAAGTGAGAGTCCCACATTCAAAATTCAGAATTAGGGCTGGGTGCAGTGACACCTTTATTCCCAGCTACTTGGGAGGTGGAGGCAGGAAGAACGCTTGAGCCCAGGAGTTCGAAGCTGCAGTGCACTATGAAGGAACCTGTGAATAGTCACTCCAGCTTGGGCAATATAGCGAGACCTCATCTGAAAAAAAAAAAATTAGACTTTGTTGGAAGATTCAAAAATCGTAATATAAGGCAGAAGGTGGTAGTTGCCATAAGAGAGTCATAGATCCTGTGGCACAAAAATACAGAGAAAATAGATCAATTCCTGCTGAGAAGAATCCAGCAAGACATTGGAGCTTGACCTTGAAGAATTATCTAGGATTTGGAGTTTCAAAGATATAGAAAAAGAGTTCCCAGTTAAGCTGGGGACAAAAGCAAGACAAGAAGCCAGCGTATTTATAAATTTCTCAATGTGTCAAGGGCCCCTTATGCGTCATTGCTACAATCACATTTCAGAAGTTTTAATAGAAAAGAGATTGGAAACGGAAAAAAGCACCAAAAAAAAAAAAAAAAACTAACAATGGTCATCTTTAAGTGGTTAAGAAAAATTGTGCTTTTATTTATTTTTCAATTTTTTTCTAATGAGCTTGCATTATTTTTAATTAGAAAAATTTTTTAATTTTTCAAGAAAGATTTTTCAAATCACCTCAAAATTGTTGCCTCAAGAAAAGGACAAATCAAATCCTTCCAGACACAGAATGTTTACTGAGTGAGACAACTATCATCATGTCCATTATGACACAGAGGAAGGAACGGCCATGAGAGCTACTTGATCAATCAGCTGGTTCCTGCAGATACAGGCATTTTAGCCTCTACTTGAAGGCAGAGTAGAGCTTGGATTTTTCCTTTAAGTAAGCAATGTCTGCCCTCTGCTGGGCATTTAAAAGTTACCAAACACAACACTTTGCCTTTCCCATGCGGCAAGACAGAGTGATCAAGAGACAAGAAAGGTAAAATCACCATTCTGATCTTAAAGGCATTCGTTTTATTACTTTGACCAGGTTTCCCATTTCTATAAGCATACTCCCACATCAGAGAGGAAAGCCCTTTGTTCACTTTCCCTCAGAGGTCAGTAGCACAGCCCATCCTTGGCTGGGACTCCAAACCACCATCTGAGTCAGAGGCACATGGTTTCAGTTGGCAGAGGGCAGGTATGCTTTGGTTTGTAGGGGATGGGGGCAGGGGTTGGGCCCAGTACCCCAGTGCTTGGGGTTGGCTGGAGGATCTGCCTAAAGCAACATGGACAGTCACGATGCAGAAAGGAATCAGCTGTTTCTCCTAACTCAACACCTTTGAGTGGGGTTTTTTCTGAATTAGGCTACATTCTCAACCTCAACACTATTGACTTTGAGGACAGGCTCATTCTTGGTTATTACATAGAGGACAGTGCAGGCTGTCCTGTGCATTAGAGGATGTTTGGCAGCATCCGTGGCCTCTACCCACTACATGCCATGGCACCCTGCCCTCAGTTGTGACAACCGAAAATATCTCGAGACATTGTCAACTTCCCCTCCTTCCCACCTGGAGGGAGGATGGGGAAAGCTGGGTAGGGGGAATGGCCCCCTGCTGAGAATCACTTCTTGAGCCCCAGCTTCTCTTCCTTTTAACCCCTGACATATATACAAACCATCACTCTCATTGTGTGCAAACAAGCAGCAATGACAAGGACAAACAACTAGAAGTTAAAGACCCTGGCCGGGCACAGTGGCTCACGCCTGTAATCCCAGCACTTTAGGAGGTCGAGGTGGGCAGATCACCTGAGGTCAGGAGCTCGAGACCAGCCTGGTCAACATGGTGAAACCCAGTCTCTACTAATAATACAAAAATTAGCCGGGCATGGTGGCACATGCCTGTAATCCCAGCTACTAGGGAGGCTGAGGCAAGAGAATCGCTTGAACCCAGGAGGCAGAGGTTGCAGTGAGCCAAGATGGCGCCATTGCACTCCAGCCTGGGCGACAAGAGTGAAACTCCGTCTCTAAAAAAAAAAAAAGAAGTTAAAGACCCTGTTTCCCTGTGCCACATCCTGGAGCCTCCTGGCCTTGGTTTCATCAACTGCAAATATAAATATATATCATTACTTTTATTTTGAAAGACTGTTGTGTGTTTAGTTAACAAACACTTACTAAGCCCCTACTATGTGTAAGGCAGTGTACTGATGACTCCATGAGGAACAGTTTCAAGTCTGAAAATGAGATTACTACACAGAGCATGATGCACTATACAGACGTGCTTCTATAGGAAAATTAATAATGAATCATTGGGAGATAGTACTTTAAGAAAGACAACATTGACCAGGTGCAGTGGCTCACACCTGTAATCCCAGCACTTTGGGAGGCTGAGGTGAAAGGACCACTTGAGCCCAGGAGGTCAAGGTTGAAGTGAGCTATGAGTGCCACTGCACTCCAGCCTGGGTGACGGAACAAGACTCTGTCTTCAAAAAAAAAAAAGAAGAAAGAAAGACTGAATACAGGCCCAGAACCTCTTACTCACATTTCTGAAATCCAAAAAATTCTGAGAACCTATTTTTCTTTTAATGTATTTGGCATCAAAATTTATTTGGTGGCAAAGCCTGACCTGAGGTGAATGACACCACCAACAGTCGTCATTGGTCCTGCTGAGTGTGACTATTCATGTTTTTCTACACAAATATTAATGTGTTTGGTGAAAAGGTGCTTGCTCAGGCTGTGCTGGGGGTGTTACATAATATATAACATGTGCACTGTTTTGCCTTTCTGAAACCCAAAATAATCTGAATTCCAAAACGTATATGGCCCTGAGGGTTTTGGATAAGGTATTGTGGACCAGAATATGTAAATTCTCAGGGAATTGAGCAAAACTGGAGCTAACACCTTCACACTATAAGCATTCATTATTCCTCATTTGCATCTTGTACCGTGCCCAGCAAACTGTGAGCTTACGAGATAAATAGGGAAAGATGGGAGTGTGAGTTTGCATGTAGGGCATGTGGATTTTGTCCCTTCAATAGCACAGGTAGCCTCTGTCCAAAGAAACCAGTCACTGTTTACATCCATCTCCCAGAAAGGAAAGAAGAGAAACTTAATCAGAGATGTGGCCCAGTCCCTCTCTGTAGCCCCAGGTACTGGAAGCAGCCCTCCTGCTGGAAATGACACTTCTCTCCAGTTCCAGCGAGCAGGAACCCACTTCAACTCACCCGGTTTGCACGTTCTGTTCTCCAACTTTCTTCATGCCCATTCAGCCCAGCAGGCTCAGACGGAGAGGAACGGCTCCTGCATCCTTGGGTCTAGTCTCCGCCAAGTTGGCGGTGGAGGCAGAGGAAGGCGTGGTGCTCTTACCCTGTTGTTTAATGTGCAGAAGATTTTATGGGAGCCATGGATTAATCGGCTCAAAAAATACGAAGAGATATTTATGGTAAGTTCAAGTTTCACAACCACTCAAGAGGTTTTTCACTTCAAAGGATTTTAGTTCAAACCAGAGCTCGATGTCTCATTACCACAAACTTCGATCTTTTGGCCTTCAAAGGTCTTGTCTCCTTGACTCAATTCTTCACTTCAATTTATTTGTTTGAAAATATATACTGAACCTGTATCACGTGCCAAGTGCTGTGCTGGGTGATGGAAATATACACACAAATAAGACATGGCCCCTGCCTGGGAAAAGTCATGGTCCAATAAGGGAGACACTGTTGGACAACAGGCTGTCTCCAATCACTTTATGAGCAAAAGCTACTTTTCTTTTACCTAAGTTTGTGGCTGAAAGCAGAGGTCAGGGCAGGACGTGATGGCTCACGCCTGTAATCCCAGCATTTTGGAAGGCTGAGGCAGGTGGATTACTTGAGTCCAGGAGTTGAAGACTGGCCTGGCCAACATGGTGAAACCCCCTCTCTACTAAAAATTCAAAACAAATTAGCCAGGTGTGGTGGCTCGTGCCTGTAATCCCAGCTACATGAGGCTGAGGCAGGAGAATCGCTTGAACCCGAGAGGTGGAGGTTGCAGTGAATGGAGATCATGCCACTGAGAGGTGACAACATGCTAGCAGCCCTCGCTCGCTCTGGGCGCCTCCTTGGCCTCGGCGTCCACTCTGGCCGCGCTTGAGGAGCCCTTCAGCCCGCCGCTGCACTGTAGGAGCCCCTCTCTGGGCAGGCTGAGGCCGGAGCCAGCTCCCTCTGCTTGCAGGCCGGTGTAGAGGGAGAGGAGTGGGCGGGAACCGGAGCTGCGCAGGGCGCTAGCGGGCCAGCGCGAGTTCCGGGTGGGCGCGGGATCCGCAGGCCCCACACTCACAGCGGCCCGCCAGCGCTGCTGGCCGCGGGCAGTAAGGGGCTTAGCACCCGGGCCAGCAGCTGCAGAGGGTGCGCCAGGTCCCCCAGTACTGCCCGCCCGCCCGCGCCGCGCTTGAATTCTCGCCGGGCCTCAGCCGCCTCCGCAGGGCAGGGCTCGGCACCTGCAGCCGGACATGCGCGAGCCACCCCTCCTCCCCGGCAATTGGCTCCTGCGCTGCCCTAGCCTCCCGGACACACACCGCCCCTGCTCGGCGGCGCCCGGTCCCATCAACCGCCCAAGGGCCATCTCTGTAAAATGAACCAATCAGCTCTCTGTAAAATGGACCAATCGGCTCTCTGTAAAATGGACCAATCAGCAGGATGTGGGGGGGCGTGGGACGGGGGTGAGTGGTCAGATAAGAGAATAAAAGCAGGCTGTCCTAGCCAGTAGCGGCAACCCACTTGGGTCCCTTTCCACACTGTAGAGACTTTGTTCTTTCACTCTTTGCAATAAATCTTGCAGCTGCTCAGTTTTTGGGTCTGCACTGCCTTTATGAGCTGTAACACCACAAAGGTCTGCAGCTTCACTCCTGAGGCCAGCGAGACCCCTAACCCACGGGGAGGAATGAACAACTCCAGAAGCAACACTCACCGCGAAGGTCTGCAGCTTCACTCCTGAAGCCAGCGAGACCATGAACCCACCAGAATGAAGAAACTCTGAACACGTCCGACCATCAGAAGGAACAAACTCCGGACACACCACCTTTAAGAACTGTTAACACTCACTGCGAGGTTCTGCGGCTTCATTCTTGAAGTCAGTGAGACCAAGAACCCACCAATTCCAGACACACCACCACACTCCAGCCTGGACAACAGAGCAAAACTCTGTCTCAGAGAAAAAAAAGCAGAGGTCAGCAAATGGACCTGCAAGCCAGCTGCATGTTCTTTTTTTTTTTTTTTTTTTTTTTGAGACAGAGTCTCACTCTGTCACCCAGGTTGGAGTGCGGTGGCATGATATGGTCTCGGCTCACTGCAACCTCTGCCTCCCAAGTTCAAGTGATTCTCCCGCCTCAGCCTCCTGAGTAGCTGGGATTACAGGCGCGTGCCACCACACCGGGCTAATTTTGTATTTTTAGCAGACATGGGGTTTCACTATGTTGGCCAGGCTGGTCTCGAACTCCTGACCTCGTGATCTGCCCACATCGGGCTCCCAAAGTGCTGGGATTACAGGCGTGAGCCACCAAGCCCAGCCACATGTTCTTATAAATAAGGTTTTGCTGGAACATAGCCACACATATTTGTTTAGGTATTGTCTGTGGCTGCTTTTGCACTACAATAGCAAGTCGGGTTTGCTCTGAGTATGCAATAGAGATCATACAGCTCCCAAAGCCTGAAACAGTTCATGTGTTGCCCTTAAAGAAAAAGTTCGTCGACCCCTGGACTTAAGGATAGGTGGAGGGCTGGTGGCAGGGAAAGCTATGAAGGAAGGTAAAAGGAAAGAAATTCCTGACAGTCAAGCCCCCGAGAAGAACAATAAAATGACAGTGTATAAGTTGGCATTTGGCTCAGCTGTGCATAACAGAAAATTCTAGGCTTAAACAAAATAAAGATTTTACGTCTCCTACATGAAAGAGGTCAAGAGGTGGACAGCCTAAGTTTGGGTTTGGTGGCTTCATGGTCACCAGGGAGCCAAATTCCTTTTATCTTTCTGCTCCCTGTCATTCCTAGCAGGAGTTTTCCTTCCTCGTTTGTCTCATGGCCCAGTATAGCTGCTGGAGCTCTGGTAATTACATCTGTGTTCCAGATAAACAGCGAAAAATGAAGCAAAAAAGAATCTACCTTTTATCCTAGTCAATTATCTTTAAGAACATGACCTGGAACTCCCACTCTAAAATTTCCATTTCTGACTCATTGGCCACCCCTAGCTACAGGGAAAATGGAGATCTAGTCTTCCACAGCACCCTGTTCATAAACCCTTCACATTTTTTCCCACAGAACCATAGAAGCGCGTATAGATGTTAGCATGTTCATAGCTAGGATGTGAGATCCTCTTAATTGAGTTCCAAAAGGAACACTGTGAACAAGGCTCACTAGAAAAAATAGGAAAACCTCTTCCCCGTCTTGCTATTAATGTATTTGTTCATTTTTTAAATATTTTTGAGCCTGTCCTGTGTTCCAGACACTGTGCTTGCCACTGCAACCCTCTTTCTTTTTTTTTCTTTTTTTTTTTTATGTGTCTTTTTGTTGTTGTCGTTATTTCAGAAAACAGTGGGATAGAAGAAAGCTTTTAAGGTGTCATCTAAACCATTCAGTTATTCCATGATTAATTATGTGAGTTGACTTTCCTTTACATGACATGCATATGTAACTGTTAGCAAGTAGTATATGTCTTTGGATGGTATGTCTTCCCAAATGGTATGGGTTAAAGTTGTTTTGTACTGTTGTTAATGTAAAGGGAATTTACATCTTATAAAAGCACCCATCCATTGTTATATTTGTTTACATTTCTCTCCTCCAATAAATAGACTGTAACTCCTTAAGAACTTTGTGTTTGCTAACTGCAGGCACTTAATAAATGTTCAATGAGGGAATAAAAGAATGGTCTTTCGACCTTCTGGTTGAGTACTCCCTGCCTTTAAAACTGAGCTTAGTGACTGTTTCCTGTTCTCTTGAGACAGATAACAGAGATGAGGATAATGCTTTCGTGTGTGCAGGACTTCAAAATTTTCTAAGAGCTTTTCACATACATTTTTTAATAATTTAAAAATAAATTAACCTAGAAAATATGCCTCAACCATGGGAGTGGTAGCAAGTATCCCTTTTACACTGAATGAAGTTAGGAGGCGTTGTCTTTTTCCTTCCAATTGGTTCTTCCTTCCTTCAGATCCTTTAAAGGCAGGATTTGAAAAATGTGCATTTCAAATGCCAGGAGAAGCGTGACTACCTTCTTCAACTGTAGGAAAACCAAGAAGTAGAGAAGTTAAACAGCAGTGAAAGGAATCCAGGTTAAGACTCGGGAAAATTTTGTTGAACATAAAATATATGAAGCAGGAAAATGCCTTCCTAAAAGAGGTATGGAATCACCACAAAAGTGGCACACACTGTGGTTGCTTCATTCGGAAGGGCTTGGTTCAATTTTCCTTGGGAAAAACATGCATGAAAAAAAATGGCCACCAGAGGGTGCTGTACCAAAATCCAATGGAACTTCTGCGAATTCCCGACAGAGTGCTCACGTGTTGAAGACGTAGCATGGGCCAGTCTCAAAGCTTTCCTGGTTTTCCCAATCAGTTCTCCATAAACTGTGCTTCATGGAAAAGCACCCTGACTTTTGCTCTAGACTTCCAGAGCAGAACACCCTTTCTTAGAAGCGGAGTCACATGGGACCAACACTGCCCTCACCGGGAGAGCTCTATCACCTACAACCCAGTACCCTTACATGAACAGTCCCTTTTCTATTCTTGCATCTGCTCATGAATATAGTAATTTACATATGGTTAATTTATGTCTGCCACTTCCCTTAAGTACACTGGTGATTAATAAATAAGGACAATATGAGAACCTATGAGACTGTTACATTTAATTTCATAATTAATAGTTAAGATTAAGAGACCTATTTGTCATTTAGGAACACCAGGATTCATCCTCTTAATTGCCATCTGGATTTCTTGTCAATTATTTGATTTGTTTAAGCCTTGTTTATTCTCATTCAAAAGCCCTCAGATTTCACTAATTTGACATGCCAGATACTCAGCTAATCGTCTTAGCAGAAAACAAAATATGCAGAAGCTCAACACTTGAACCACCATGGTCATGAAGAAAGCCGGGGGGCGTAGGTGGGGAGATACCTGCTCTCCCATCACGTTAGCCACCAATTACCTGTGGGACCGTGAGCAAGTCACTCTGTACTTCTCGACCTCAGAGAGAGGGTTGGACTAGAGTAGAGGATTTTACCTTTTCAAGTGAACCGCTTCTTCTGTAATGGAAGGGGTATATTCCACCAATGTCCTGGCTCTAAGGAGATGGTAAACAGATTACATTTGGCTTCACTCAAGTTTATAATGTTTTGCCTTTCATTCTACACCACCTCTCCAGGTTTCTAGAGGCTAGGCCCCCCAAAAATCATGTGGGCGGAGCTCATGAGTGCAGGACAGACATTCCAATGCTGGTTGTCTACACAAAGTAAGAGTCGATAGCATCGGGAGATATACCTAATGCTAAATGACGAGTTGATGGGTGCAGCACACCAACATGGCACATGTATACATATGTAACAAACCTGCACGTTGTGCACATGTACCCTAAAACTTAAAGTATAATAATAATTTAAAAAAAAAGAAACTAAAAAAAAAAAAAGAGTCATGGGGCCGGGTGCGGTGGCTCACGCCTATAATCCCAGCACTTTGGGAGGCCAAGGCAGGCAGATCACCTGAGGTCAAGAGTTGAAGACCACCTGGGCAACGGGGTGAAACCCTGTCTCTACTAAAATATATATATATATACACACACATGTATATATACACATTATATATACACATATATATACACATATATGTATATATTTATATATTTTTATATATACACGTATATATATTTATATATTTTTATATATATACACATATACGTGTATATACGTGTGTACATACACGTGCGTATATATACACATACACACATATATACACACAAATACACACACACACACACACACACACACACACACACACACACAAAAATGGTGGTGGGCACCTGTAATCCCGGCTACTTGGGAGGCTGAGGCAGGAGAATCGCTTGAACCCAGGAGGCAGAGGTTGCAGTGAGTTGAGATCGTGCCATTGCACTCCAGCCTGGGCGACAAGAGCAAGACGCTGTATCAAAAAAAAAAAAAGAAGAAGAAGAAGAGTCATGGGGACTTCATAATTGTGCTCAGGTACATGTTTCAGAAGCAAAAATAGTGGATTAAGTGAGGGGTTTATTTCTCTCAGGTAACCAGGAAACCGAGTACTGGGTAAGCCAGCCCTAATGGGGCTGCTCACAGAACAGGCTCCTGCTACCTCCCCACTCTGTCATCTTTGCAAGTGGTCATAAGATGGCTGGGGCATCTTTAGGCATCATGTCACCATTTCAGGCAGGAAGGAGGAGAAAGGAGAAGGCAAAGGGCTCACACCCGCTGAGTCTGCCTAATTTTCCTAGGAAAACAGTAGCTTTCCCAGAACCTCATGGAGTGGAAGATATAAACCTTTCATTCACAGGCATTGGCCAGACTATCCACATGACTTTGAATTGTTGATGGGCCCAACACCATCCCAAAGCAAATTGGAGCTATAACAAGCAAGGGAAACGAGGCGAGTGGAAATTGAGTAGGCCACTGGCTGCATATGTCAAAAGAAGGAGAAAAGTATTAGGACACAGATTCGGAGGTCCTCATGCTAGGGCATGCAGCAGATGGCTGTCTACGAGGAAGTCCTCACCAGACAGCAACAAGAAATCTGCTAACCAACCTCCTCCTTATGGTGGACGCAGCGCTCACTGCAAGGGAGTCTTGGCTTCTTTTGACAGCCTGCATAAGTGAGCCATTCATCAATGGCTGCTGAGCCAGCAGAGCATCACACCCTCTAGGTGCCAACTCTGCACCTGCTGGAGTCTGGTCCCTCATCCCAGCCCCTCTGACCTCCCTCCCAATTCTCTTCCTCTCCATCTTGACCTCTCCTCCAGCTCTGAGAGTCCCTTGCCCTTCCTCACTTCCCAAATCTCTAGTCTGCGCACAGGAATCTGCTCTTTCTGAAGCCTGAGCTTCTGAAACATAGAACCCAAGAATACCCTTCTTTCTTTGTCCCTCTGTTTTCTCTGTCACCTTTCTCTAAGGCAGTGAACACAGAATGCCATACTCACTGAATGCATAAAGGAACCAGGGGTATAAGGAAGTTCCAGGAACAACAACAAATTAGATTTCGGCCAGTGGCAGCTTGGTGGCTCACACCTGTAATCCTAGCACTTTGGGAGGCTGAGGCAAGCAGATCACTTGAGCCCAGGAGTTCGAGACCACCCTGGAAAACATAGTGAAACCCCATCTCTACAAAAAAATACAAAAATTAGCCAGGCATGGTGGCACACACCTGTAGTGCCAGCTACTCAGGAGCTGATGTAGGAGGATCACCTGAGCCTGGGGAGGTTGAGGCTGCAGTGAGCTGTGATCATGCCTCTGCACTCCAGCCTAGGCAACAAGGTGAGACCCTGCCTAGAAAAAGAAAAGAAAAGAGAAAAGTAGATGTTAAAATATCATTCCTCTGCTCTTCATGTGAAATCTTACCCAGAAACCCAAAATGTAAAACATAAAAACCAGAGTATGGTTAAGGGGTGGAAAGAATGGGAGATGAGAGGACCCCAGGGCCCTCCCCCAGAGGCCTGAGAGAAGTCTGCCAAGGAAAGTTTGAAAACTCACCAAACTGGGAAATCTCTGCAGTCTCTTCCAGCTTGAAAGTTCTACAATTCAGTGTTAAGGAGCAAACACTTGGCCTAATTCCCAAACTTGAGAATAGTCACGCATACTAAGTGTGACAGGTGAAGTAAATGATGATTAATGTGGGTGTGTTGCAGGCTTTTTTTTGACCCTGATCCTACTCCTTGGCCTGCTTCAGGCCCTTCAGCTTCCCCACCCTCCAAGCAGGGTTTTTTCTGTGTGTGTGATAAGGAATCAGTATGGAAAGATGAGAAACACAAGAGTCGCCCGGTCAAAAATTAAGCAGAAAAATAATGCATGACAGCAAATCCATACCCACATAAATACCAAAAAGAACTGGAAACAGGGACTCAAACAAACACTTGTACACACATGTTTATAGCAGCACTATCCATGATAGCCAAAAACAAGAAACAACCCAAAAGCCCATCTACAGATGAGTGGATAAACAAACTGTGGTATTTTACATACCGTGGAATATTATTCAGTCATCAAAAGGAAGGAAGTGCTGATACATGCTGGATGAGCCTCAAAAACATTAAGCTGCTTGAAAGAAACAAGACACAAAAGGCCACATATCGTATGGTTCCATTTATAGGAAGTGTCCAGAATAGTTAAATCCAAAGAGAGAGGTGGCAAATTGTTGGTTGCCAGGGGCTCAGGGAGGGGAGAATGAGGAGTAACTGCTTAATGGGCATGGGGTTGTATTTGGGGAGAATAAAATGTTTCAGAACTAGATAGAGGTGATGGTTCTACAATATTAAGAATGTGTTAAATGACACTGAATTTTTCACTTTAAAATGGTTAATTTTAGGTTTTGTGAATTTTATCTCAATTTTTTAAAAATCAGTTGAGCAAAAAGAAAAAGAAGAGATGGCACCAGGGAATGTTTGCAGAGAGAGTGTTTGAGGGCAGTGGCTGTGGAAAGAGCAACTGCAGGTATGAGTGGAGTGGAAGGGGAGGGCACTGTGGGAGATGTTCTGCCCTCTCCCCACGCTGAAGTGCAGGTAAAGAACTCCAGCACTGGCGTGGTTTGGAGCAGAAGCTCTGGAACCAGACTGCCTGGTTTTAAATCCCCATCCTATTACTTATTAACAGTAACCTTCGGCAAGTTGCTTAACCTCTCCATACCTTGTTTCTTCATTTGTAACATGGAGATAATAATAATACATAACTAAGGATTGTTTAAAAGGGTTAAATAAATTCTTTCATATAAATCACTTGGGATAGTGTAGACCATCTCCTCAATATTCGCTTCAGCCTTCAGTGAATGTTACCCAGTGTTCTTTTCTCATGTGGTTTCATAGGTCTTCCTCTTTGACTAGACCATTCCAGAATTGAACCATGTCCACTGTCCACTGTGCTTTGTAAATCTTCTATCAGTGTTTCCCTATTCTGCAGAATGGTTTTTGAGACAGGGTCCCACTCTGTCACCAAGGCTAGAGTACAGTGGCACAGTCACAGCTCACTGCAGCCTCCACCTCCTGGTCTCAGGTGATCCTCCCACCTAAACCTCCTGAGTATCTGAGACTACAGTTGCCTGCCACCACACCCTGTGAATTTTTGTAATTTTTAGAGACGGGGTTTCGCCGCATTGCCCAGGCTGGTCTTGAACTCTGGCACTCAAGCAATCTGCCTGCCTCAGCCTCCCAAAGTGCTAGAATTACAGGCTTGAGCCACTGTACCCAGACTGCAGGTGTTTTAATACAAACTTTGAAATAAGTATAAATAATATCCTTTTCAAGGAAAGCTGCCTTTACATCTCAGGTTCTAAAGAACTAAATCCCCTAGTTTCTTTGACTGCCATAACAAAGTACCACAAACTTGGCTTAGAACAACAGAAATTTCTTCTGCCCCAGTACTTGGGGCTAGAAGTCTGGCTACAGCCACCAGGCTCTTTCCCAGCTGTCACCCAAGGCGTCAGCAGGGTCATGCTCCCTCCAAGCCTCTCGTGGAAAGCCCTTTCTAGTCTCTTCCAGTTTCTGGCAGCCTCCCGGCCTTCCTTGGCTTGTGGCAGCAGAATGTTTGCCTCTGTCCTCACATGGCTGTTATTCTGTCCTCACATGGCCGGGACAGGGGTGCGGCGCAGAGAGCCCCACGTCCTGGGAAACGGGGTGCTGCTGGAAAGGCAGCTGCACCCTCAACCCTCACGTGGGGAACCTGACGCTAAACCATTCGTAGCCCACCTGCTTCTGGGTAGGGGTTTCATACGTAGCAGAGCAGCTACCTGCTGAGATCTATTGAAAGTCAGCCCTTGACACAAGGGTTTGTAAAAGGAAAAATAAATAAATAAATAAATATATAAATAAATAAATAAAATGAAATAAATGAAAAAAGAAAAAAGACTTCAACGAATCTCCTAGGGGACACAATTCAACTCGTAAACTTCCCAATCCCTATAGCTCTCCTAATGCATTCATAAGCTCCACCGCCACACTTCTATGGGCTTCCCAGACTAACCAGCTGCTGGAACAATCTTTTGTTTGGCTTTGTTTTGTTTTTTAGATACAGGTTCTCACTCTATGGTCCAGGTTGGAGTGCAGTGGCACAATCATAGCTCACTGCAGCCTCAATCTCCCTGGCTCAAGTGATCTTCCTGCCTCAGCCTCCTAAGTAGCCGGGACTATGGGCTCATGCCACCATACCAGGCTAATTATTTTATTTTTTGTAGAGACAAGGATCTCACTTTGTTGCCCAGGCTGGTCTCGAACTCCTGAGCTCAAGTGATCCATCCACCTCAGCCACCCAAAGTGCTGGGATTACAGGCACGAGCCACTGTGCCCAGCTGGGAGCAATATATTTTTAATGTTTTAAATGTTTTATTTGGCACACTAAAACCCACATGCTTAACCACTGTACTGCAATGAATGAATGAATGATGAGTGTTGAATCAAAAAATATGTGTTGATCATGTCTAAGAAGGGAGTGAAAACCACAACTGAAACCCACCAGCCTCTAAAAAAGTTATGAGTAAATTGGTGCAAAAAAATATTGTTTATCCACGCCTGTAATTTCAGCACTTTGGGAGGCTGAGATAGGTGGATCACTTGAGGTCAGGAGTTTGAGACCAGCCCGAGGAACATGGTGAAACCCCGTCTCTATAAAAAATTCAAAAATTAGCCGGGTGTGGTGGTGCACTCCTGTGGCCCCAGCTACTTGGGAGGCTGAGGCTCAAGAATCACTTGAGCCCAGGAGATGGAGGCTGCAGTGAACTGTTATCAAGCCACTGCACTCCAGGCTGGGTAACACGGCAAGACTCTTTGTTTCAAAAAAAAAAAAAAAAAAGAAAGAAAGAAAGAGTATGATTGATCTATACATTAACTCCCCACAAAGGCACAGAACAGCAGAAGCTGCCCTGGAGAACTCCTGTCTTCTGGCTTCTTTGTGAGTTAGACAGGAAGTGGGACAGACCTTGGAGACCAAGACTGGGGCTTACCAAAGAGCCAGGCAGCCCCTAGGAGGGAAACTGTGTGTCCCTCAAAGGGTGTAAACTCCTGGAATTTTTTTTTCACTTCCCACTACAAAAACAGAGAATTATTAAAAGAGAAAATAATTAACACATTTACCATGGGCCTGAGCCAATAGGAACCAAGTACCCAAACACAAGATTGCTAATAGACTGCTAATAATAGAACTTAATAAATGAAATAATTTATTTCATTTATTGTTGCTTGGAATACAGAAAGTGCTTAGTAAATATTGAATGAATCAACAAAGTGCCTCCCAATATAGAGAAATCACTTCTGAAAAGGATAAAACCAAGTTGATCCTATTCAATCGAAGGCATCTTTTGGGGCTGTTACAGTTATTTCCTTTATTTGAAGAAGGAATATGATATACCTACTTTGTTCCAAGTCACTGCTTATAATGTGCTAATGGTACTAATGAAGTTCTTAATTATATAAGAAAGACTATGAATGGCCTATTTTTCAAGTGTTCAAAAATGGAGGCATACTTTAAAAACCCATTTTACTCTTCTCTGTTTCTCTTTTAGGGTGGTTATGGCTATTTGTGTTTCCATTTGTGGAAAGGGTAACAGTGAGAACACCTGTGGTAGGGGGGGCAAGGAGAATGAAGAAAAAGTGAGAAAGCTGTTATGTGATGGAGTTCCCACACATAAGCCAAAGAAATGGGGAGAAAAATAAACTCAACTAAGAGAGTCCCAAGAAATCCCTTCCTTCCTCACAGCCATGGAGCTCCTTTCCAGTTCTCATGCCTCTAGGTATCTTCATCTCTGGGACTTGCAAAGAATTACCTACAGGTGAACACATTTTAAGAAAGCCTAATGTATGGACCCCTGTATCAGAACCACCTGGAGCACCAATAAAGAGCACAGACCCCAGGGCTCATTCAAGTAGGATAGGGCCCTGGCCTCCATCTATTTACCAAATTCCTGGAGCGATTCTGACCCACACCCAGGTTTAAAACCCACTGGTGTAGACCACCTAGACCTGGACCAAAATCCAAACAGAAAATAATTATCACTTGATAAGGTAATTCACCATAGGATTCCTATAACTTACAGCTTTTGTTACATTTTTAAAATAAATTTACATCATTATTTCATGTATTTTTAAGTGTCTACTGTGTAACCAGAACTAAGTTGTATGAGAGTTTGGAAATCCTTTCCCTTGCCTCAAATAACTTAAGGTTTCTTAAATAATAGCAAACCAAGAAGACGGTAGATTGGCATCCTAAGGTACCATCTTAAGTCAGTACAAATTTCAGGCTCTTTTTATGTTAAGGGCAGGGAGAAGAGAGAGAGGCTGGGATCAATGACCGCAGGGCTGATCCACAGCCGCAGACATCTGGGCACCAGCGTGTGTCTGAGGACTTCCTTGTCCTTGGTCAGGTCACAATGCTCCTATAAATCTTTAACAACACATAGTTGTTTACATACTTCCCCTTTCATCCCAGAATTAGTTTTTAAAACTACATGATTACTGTTTTTGCATATTACCTCAGTGCTCTAAAATTATCCTAGCGTATATGCAGGAATAGCTCCTTAAACTCAACTGTGCAGCTAACTAAAGGGCTTCGTTGCCAGGCATGGTGGCTTATGCATGTAATCCCAACACTTTGGGAGGCCGAGGCGGGCAGATCACTGGAGGTCAGGAGTTTAAGACCAGCCTGGCCAACATGGTGAAACCCCATCTCTACTAAAACTACAAAAATTAGCCAGGCATGGTGGTGGGCACCTGTAATCCCAGCTACTTAGGAGGCTGAGGCAGGAGAATCACTTGAATCCAGGAGGTGAGGCTGCAGTGAGCCGAGATCGTGCCACTGCACTCCAGCCTGGGCGATAGAGCGGGACTGTCTCAAAAAATAAAAACAAAAAAAAAAGGGCTTTGTTGGTTAGCTCCTTGGCTGTTTCACTGTTACAGAATCAGCAAGGACCATGTCGGGGTCAGGAACATGCCTGGTGTGTTTAAGGAACGTAATAAGGAATTCCTGAGTGGAAATGGAAAGAGGGGAGGGCGTGGTAAGAGACGAGGTCAGAGAGGTAGGGGAGGACAGATTGGGTGGTGCCTGCTAGTTATTGTACTGAGATGGAAGCCATGGAGGGTTTGGGGTAAAGGACTTACATGATCCATTGGTATCTTAGCAGAATCATCTTGCCCGCTGGACTGAGAATACACTGGAGAGGGGCCAGGCAGGAAGATGAGTCAGGAAGCTTTTGTTGCCCTCCTGGAGTAGAAGCCCCCCGCCGCCCCACCCACAGCATTCACCTCCAAAGGTTGGGCCACTTGAAAATGTATCCAGCCTGCTCTTGCAATGTCATCTCACAGCGATCATATTTAATCCCTGCTGTGCAAGAAAATAAAAAAAGAGAAAAGAGAAAATGGGGCTGGACATAAGGGTTACAGTTTCCCAGGAAATAAGGAAAAAATAAGTAAATTGCAATTTGCGTTTTTGACAGTCAGGGAAATTGAGTGGACCAAAGTTGCCTTGGAAAGAAAAAAGCTAACGTTAGTAAGTTAAAAATAACAATGCAATACAGAGTGTGCCTGAATAATTAGCCTTGAAAAGGGGTTTCCCCAGTCATCCCATTATATTTCCTCAGATGACTTTCCCAAGCAGTGGCAGGTGAGGAATAGGAAACCGCTGGATCACCAGACATAATGGTTTGATTTTAAAGCCTATAATTGAATGTTGAAATAAATGGCAGAGTTCAAAAACATCAAGACCAATTAGAGGATAGTTAAGGAAAATGGCATGCACTAGTGTCCTATACACAGCTCTCTTGGGATGTCCTATCATGCTGTGCCCTTCACTGTATGTCAGGACCGTGAGCCATGGTATCCCTGGACACCAGCCAAATACACGTGGGTGGGGGATTGTGTACATTAAATTGTACAGCGCCAATCAGTTTAGAGGCAGAAGGTTGGAAGAATTTTTTCCTAAACTGCACTTACGGAAACCAAGACCCACCATTTGAAGGGCTAATGCTTTGCTGCTGTCAGTGATTTTTTTTTTCTTTTTACCCTGCCTGCCGACTTGGTAAGCTGAAACAAAAACCAATTACTCTCTAAGATCAAAATCTTCAGGTGCCTCAAGAGCTGTTTTAATTTGGTTTTAGAATTATGGGCTGGCTTTCTCCCTCGCCTGTTCATGTCAGATGTGGCCAAATTAAAAACACTGCCAAGTAATGGAAAGTTATTTAAACCTTTCTCTTGTAACTGTTCCATATTTACATTTTAAATGACCATTTTCTGGCTAGCCACAAACACATTTCTTTTAAAATGGAATGCCCTATGGCTCATTTTGAGCTATTTTTCTCACCCTCTTTATTGACCTCTGTCCCTTTATCTCTTTCTATTGGAAGCCTGAACCTCAATTTCGTAAACATGTTAAAAATAAAAACTGACCCCATTTGCAATGAGGTCATGTTGGTGAATTTATTCTCAGATTACATCATGATTGAAACAGTTCTTGTTCACTCTATGATATGATTAGAATTCAAGTGTGGCCAAGCTTAAAACTCTTGGTTTCCATAGTGGTCAAAGTAGAGCTCTTAAGCTATGCTACTCCTTCCCCCATCCCAGCTGATTGCTGCTTTGGCCCTGCCTGTTTTCTAGGATAAATTGTCCTGCCATCTCTCTGCAGTTGGACTAGATAACAAGTAATGAGCAAGTATGATACTGCTTCCTGCCCATGACACCATCTAACTCAACATCTCAGAAACTGGCCTTTGCAGAAAGGTAGTCTCCAACCTTCAATGACATCTTAGTGCTATCCATGAATCCTTCCACATGTCCCTACTTGATATGGTTTGGCTGTGTCCCCACCCAAATCTCATCTTGAGCTGTAGCTCCCATAATCCCCAGGTGTCATGGGAGGGACCCAGTGGGAGGTAATTGAATCATGGGTGTTGGTTTTTCCCATGCTGTTCTTGGGATAATAACTAAGTCTCATGAGATCTGATGGTTTTATAAAGCCTGCACATGCTCTCTTGCCTGCCACCATGTAAGACATGCCTTTGCTCCTCCTTCACCTTCCTCCATGATTGTGAGGCCTCCCCAGTCATGTGAAACTGTGATTCCATTAAACCTCTCTTTCTTTATAAATCACCCAATCTCAGGTATTTCTCCATAGCAGTATGAAAATGCACTAATACACTACTCATTAATTCAATTCATTTTACTGAGCACCTACTCCATGCAAGGCATTGTGTCAGACACAGAGAGCTCATGGTCTGCAAACAGCTCCATCTCCTATTCCTCCTACACCTGTTTCTAACCCCAGGTGTTCTGAAGCCCCCAACTCCAACACCTTTATTTCTCTTAACAATGACCTAGGTTATTTTAGAAAAAGACTCCCTCAACTTTTTTTGTTCTTTTTTTTTTTTTCTGAGACAGAGTCTCACTCTGTTGCCCAGGCTGAAGTGGTGCAGTGGCATGATCTCAGCTCACTGCAAGCTCTGCCTCCCCAGTTCACGCCATTCTCCCACCTCAGCCTCCCAAGTAGCTGGGGCGACAGGCACCCACCACCATACCCGGCTAATTTTTTTGGTTTTGTATTTTTGGTAGAGATGGGGTTTCACTGTGTTAGCCAGGATGGTCTCAATCTCCTGACCTTGTGATCCACCTGCCTTGGCCTCCCAAAGTGCTGGGATTACAGGCATGAGCCATCGTGCCCACTGACCCCCTCAACCTTTTATACCATCCTCACACCTACACACATATCAGCACCTTATTCCTTTTCCCTCACTTCCATGGGAAAGGTATGACTTGGGTCCCATCACTTATTTTCTCAGGAGTTTCACTCCATTAATTTCCCCCCTCTCTCTTCTCTACCCTCAACCTCTTTCTTGTTAGTTGTTCTCTCCCAACAATATTTAAATGTTCAGGTCTATCCCAAATTAAAAATTCATAAATAAATGGCTGCTGTGGCTGGGCGTGGTGGCTCATGCCTGTGATCCCAACACTTTGGGAGGCCAAAGTAGGAGGATCACTTAAGCCCAGAAGTTCGAGACCACTGGGCTCAAGTGATTGTATGACAATGTAGTGATACCTCATCTCTACAAAAAAATTTAAAAATTAGCTGGGCATGGTGGAGTGCATCTCTAGTCCCAGCTACTTGTGAGGTGGGAGGCTCACTTGAGCCCAGGAGATTGAGGCTGTAGTGATTGCACCATTGCAGTCCAGCCTGGTCAACAGAGTGAGATCCCATCTCAAAAAAAAAATGGCTGCTTCCCTAAGTCCTCCTCTAGCATCCAACTTATCTGTGTCTCACCATAGCCAAGTCCCAGAAAGGGAAATCTATACTTTCTATCCTCACTTTATTATCTCAGTATCAACCTCTACCTAAATGGTTTCTAAATGTAAATCAAATCTATGTCCTGGATTCCTCACTATGTAATCAAACCCATGCTGGATACATCACCAAGTCAATGACCCAAGACCATTAAAACTTCATATACCTGAAATTTAACTCATCAATTTCCCCAAGCTATAAGAGTTTAGATACCATCTCTAGCAATTATAGGCCAAGTGACTGTGAAAAAGTTGGGAAACTTTTTGTGTTTCAATTTCCTCTTTTGTGAGCATCAAGCACTGCAAAGTGTTTGCAATGTTATCCTAATAACTAGAAGTTAGTCCGCCACTGTTTCATGGATGCTGGCAGAAGATAGAAAACTCCTGGGTTAGAAGAAAAGAACGGTTTGTTACTGACAACAACTGCAGTAACCAGAGTATCAATACATTTTGCTGTGGTTCCCTGCACCCTAACTTCCACAGGATAATGCAAAAAGGGCCAGATGGCACCCACACATGCAGTGTGGTTACTGGAAAGAAATCCTGAGCTTAGAGGAAGTGTTGTTTGCCCCAAAGGGAGACAATATATCTTTCAAGGCTGTTTTGCTACACAAATGTCTTGAAATGATAGACTAGAACAAAGGGCAATCAGCGCCTAGCTCACAAGATGCACAATAAAATGAGGAAAAGTATATAGCAGCTAACTCACCAGGTTGTGAGTATTAAATGTGTTAATAAATGAAAACCTTTAGAATAGTGTTAGGCAAATAGTAAGCCCTAATAGGATTTCATGACTCTGTCTCTCAATAGCTTGTTGCTTGAGACTGTGTGTTACCCATCTCATAAGCCCATGTTCAGCACAATGCATTGCACAAAGTAGTTGCATGATAAATGTTTACTAAATAGTTGATTGTCAAATATCTGAAGATCTTGAAATATCACATGTACTATTTTACATTCTAGGTGCTTTAGTGATAGAAATCTTAAATACTGACTCATTTTAGGTTTAACAAGTAAATTACAATGTTAATGCTAATTGTGAAAGCTGTCAAGTTAACATGAGTTGTGTGGGAAAGAAAATCATTTTATATCCTGCTTTTAAAAAAAGATTTAATAACATCTAAACGCTTGTTTTTAAACTATACTCCATAAAAAGTAATATTCCTGAGGCCAGGCACAGTAGCTCATGCCTGTAATGCCAACACTTTGGTAGGCCAAGGTGGGTGGATCACTTGAGGTCAGGAGTTCTAGACCAGCCTGGCCAACATGGCAAAACCCTGTCTCTACTAAAAATAAAAAACTAGCCAGGCGTGGTGGCACACACCTGTAGTCCCAGCTACTCAGAAGGCTGAAGCAGGAGAATCGCTTGAACCTGGGAGGCAGAGGTTGTAGTGAGCTGAGATCGTGCCACTGCTCTCCAGCCTGGATGTCAGAGTGAGACTCCATCTCAAAAAAAAAAAAAAAAAGCAACTGTATTAGTTCATTCTCACACTGCTAATAATAGAGATATCCTGGAATGGATAATTTATAAAGGAAAGAGGTTTAACTGACTCACAGTTCAGCATGGCTGGGGAGGCCTCAGGAAACTTACAATCATGACAGAAAGGAAAGCAAACACGTCTTTCTTTACATGGCGGCAGCAAGGAGAAGTGCTGAGCAAAAGGGGGAAAAGCTCCTTAGAAAACCATCAGATCTCCTGAGAACTCACTCACTATCATGAGAACAGCATGGGGATAACCAACCCCATGATTTTATTACCTCCTACCAGGTCTCTTCTGTGACATAATCATGGGAACTACAATTCAAGATGAGATTTTGGTGGGGACACAGCCAAACCATATCAGTAATATTCCTTTAAATAAGTTATAGGTTAATAGGGGCAATTTCAGACAAAAGTTTGCCTTTGCCCTTATGGTTAATTTGACCTATAGCACAGTAAGTCTCCAATGAATTCACAACCAAAACTTCATCAGCTATTGTATTTTGACATAAAATTTATTTATTAAATAAATATTTATTGAATACATTCTTTGTGCCAAACATTATCCTTGGCTGTAGGGATAGCCTAGGCAGAGAAAACGGCCAATACTCTTTCTTCCTTCAAGGACTCACATTCAAAAGGCAAAAGAAACATCAAAAATTTAAATACATAAATGTTGGGGGACTTCAGGGAAACACCAACAAATAGATTCACATTTCCCTGCCCAAGTTCCGAACCAATTAGGAATTAAGACAAAAGAGTCATCATAGGAGACCAAAATATTACCCTCATAACTGACAAGGCTGATATGGAGAATCTGGCAATCTGGATTTAGGTGTGGGAGCCATGTGAGCTTTCAACTCCCAGTTCCCCTAAATTGGGTAGACTCATCAACCCAGTCGTAGAAGATTCCAAATCACCGCAGGCAGTTATCCCCACATGACATAGATACAAGTTCTCTCCTACTTATATATATGACTGAAAACAATTGGGAACAAGTGTTCTCTGCAGGCAGGCAGATCCTGAAAGAGAAGGCAGCAAAAAGAACTTTGCTACTCATATCCAGTTCCTTCTTGCTATGGCTTCAATGTGTTCTCCAAAAATCATGTGTTGGAAACTTAAAGTAACAGTGTTGGGAAATGGGGCCTAATGGGAGGGGTTTAGGTCATGAGGGTTCCACCCTAATGAATGGATTAATGCCAATTATAAAGTCTAGAAGCTGCAAGTGTGATCTCTCGTGCTCTTATGCTCTCTTGCCCTTCCACTTTCCACCATGGGTTGATGCAGCAAGTAGGTCTTCACCAGATGTTGGCACCTTGACATTGGACTTCCCAGCCCCTAGAACTGTGAGAAATAAATTACTTTTTTAAATATAAGCTACCCAGTTTGTGGTATTCTGTTATAGCAACATAAAGCAGACTGGGATACTCCTCAAACTCACTACTCAGATAACCTGCTGTAGGGAGGAGAATTAAGTGGAACAAAACATCAAAAGTGTTGAGGAAAATGCCCTCCTCATGGAAATCAGGGGAGTGGGGATAAAATGTTCCCCTCTAACAATAAATCAGATATTTTTAGGAATAAATAGAGCTATGAAGAACATAATATAAAGCAGTATGAGAATGTGGGGTAGGGGGAGAATCTTCCTTGCCTGGGATGTTCATGGAAGGCCTCTCAGAGGAGAGGTATTCAAGCTGGAGTCAGCTCCCCAGTGCCTTGGGAGAAGGCCATTCTAGCAGAATGAATGCTTAGGGCAAAGGTTCTGAGGTGGGAATAAATCTGATGTCACTGAGAACAGAAAGAAGGCCAGTGGGGGTACAGCTGTGGAGTAGGCTGAATAATGTCCTGCCCCAAAGATGTCCATGTCCTAATCCCTAAGAACTGTGAACATGTTATTTTTATGGCAAAAGGAACTTTGCAGATGTGATTAAGGATCTTGAGATGAGAAAATTATCCTGAATTATCTGCCGGACCCAGTATAATTAATCACAGGGGTCCTTATAAGAGGGAGGCAGGAGAGTCAGAGAGAGAGAATGGAAGATGTCACCCCTGCTGGCTTTGAAGATGGAAGATGAGATCACAAGCCACAAACTACAGATGGCCTTTGAAAGCTGGAAAAGGCAAAGAAACAGATTCCCATCTAGAGCCTCCAGCAAGAACAGAAACCTACCAGCACCTTAATTTTGGGACTCCTTACTTCCAGAACTGCAAGAGAATAGATTTATATTGTTTAGGCCACTATTGGTGGTGGTAATTTGTTGCAGCAGAAATATAAAACTAATACAAGCTTGGCCGGGCGTGGTGGCTCACGCCTGTAATCCCAGCACTTTGGGAGGCCGAGGCAGGTGGATCATGAGGTCAGGAGATCGAGACCATCCTGGCTAACATGGTGAAACCCCATCTCTACTAAAAATACAAAAAATTAGCCAGGGGTGGTGGCAGGCGCCTATAGTCCCAGCTACTCGGGAGGCTGAGGCAGGAGTATCGTCTGAACCCAGGAGGTGGAGCTTGCAGTGAGCCAAGATCGTGCCACTGCACTCTAGCCTGGGCTACAGAGCGAGACTCCGTCTCAAAAAAAAAAAAAAAAAAAAAAAACTAATATAAGCCAAGTGAACAAGAAGAGAGTGGAAAGCCAGGTGTGGTGGCTCACACCTGAAATCCCAGAACATTGGGAGGCAGATCGCTTGAGCCCAGGAGTTCAAGAGCAGCCTGGGCAACATGGTGAAACTCTGTCTCCACAAAAAAATACAAAAGCTGGGGTGGGAGGCTCACCTGAGCCTGGGGAGGTCGAGGCTGCAGTGAGCTGTGATCATGCTGCTGCACTCCAGCCTGTACAAGAAAGTAAGACCCTATCTCAAAAAAAAAAAAAAAAACCACATATACACACACACAAATAAAGAAGAGAGTAGAAAAGATGAGATTCAAGAAGCTGTTAATAGCCAGATTATGTTGCCCTTGTAGGCTGTGATAGTTTGGGCTGGGTGTCATGGCACACACCTGTAGTCCCAGAAGGCTGGGGTGGAGGATCGCTTGAACTCAAGAGTTCAAAGCTGCAGTGAGCTATTATAACTGCACTCTGGATTGCGCAACAGAGTGAGATCCTGTCTCTAAAAAGAATAAATAAATGCAATTTTTAAAAAGAGTTTGAAAAGGGTTTTATTCTGGTTGCTATGGGAAAGAAGCCACAGGGTGTTTTAAGGAGAGGTGTGATCTTTCCCAAACCTATGCTTCAAAAAGATTACTCTGGGTATTGTGTGTAGAAGAAAGAGTAGAGGCCAGAAGACCAATCAGGAGGCTGTTGCAATCATCCAGGTGTCTTGAGCCAGGTTTGCAGCAGTGGAAAGAGAGAAAAATGGTCGCCTTTAGGCTCTTTCTTAAAGGCAAAGATGATAACACGTACTGATGGATTGACTGTGGATTTTAAGGGGGGAAAAAAAGAAAAATCAAAAAGGACTCCAAGGTTTTTAGCCAGAGCTACCAAACTAGAAATAATAGATGTTGGTACTTCTAACTCAAATGAGGAAGGCTTTGTGGAGGAAGAATATGGGTGTGGGGTGAAAGGGAAATCAATAATTCTATATTTGCCATGCTAAGTTTGCTATTCCTATTAGACACCCCAGTGGAGACGTTACTTCAAAATGTGGATATATGAGTTTAGAGACCAGAGGCAAGACCTAAGCTGGCAATCAAAATGTGAATGCCATGAGCACATCGATGGAATATAAAGCCCAGGACTGGAGAACTCTCCTAGCAGGAGGGCAAGGACAGAGCAGAAGGAGGATGGAGCCCTAGAGCATTTTGGCTTTTAATGGTCAGCTCGGGGAGGAGACATCAGTAAAATAAATGAAGACCTAGTGACCAATGAAGAAGGAAAGAAGTCAGGAGAGTGGGTGTCTCAGAAGCCCAGAGGGGGGAAAAAGTGTTTTCAGGTAAAAATGGTCTATCAAGGAATTCTACAAAACAAAGAACTTATTTTCAGCCACCGATTCAGATTCATGATGTCTGATTAGTAAAAGAGGTCTGAGAGTTAGAGTCTACCAAGCTTAAAAAAGGAAAAGGTACACACTTCTCCATAACAGATCCTAGCCAGTTTGAGAGTTTTGTTCAGACAGTGCAGAGTATGAATAAATCGTTTGGCATTTTTAGGGCCACTTTATTACGTTGCATGTTATCATGAAAATTTATATTGGGCAGATACTGACTTCCTTCCCTCATGACTCTTTTCAATTTCTTACAAGTGGAGTCAATATTTTTGTCATTTATCTCACTTTTGAAAAAATAAATGTCTGAACATTTCTTTCATGAATGCATTTTACACTCAGCAATTTTTTTAAATCACGTTCTTTAAGTAATCTTCATAGATAATTATAACAGATATTTGGAGCCTCATCTTTTCAAACCTCCTCTAAGATTGGATTCTAGAATTGGAAAGTTGTAGCACATCACAAGAAGTCAATGACAACACATTTCCCAATGTGTGTCTGAGTGAAAGAGAGAGAGAGAAAGAGACAGAGAACATGTGTGTCTGATGTTTCCCTGTGATTAAATCCAGGTTCTGTGTCATCTTTATCAGGAATATCATGGAAGTGATGCTGAGTTCTTCTCGATGCATTCCATCAGAATCTATTATTGGTGATGTTAACTTCTATCACTTGATTAAGGTGGTATCTACCAGACTTCTCCAGTGTAAATTTACACTTCTCCCCTCTGTAATTAATACATATTTTGTAGGGAGGTACTTTGAGAACATATAGACATCCTGTTCCTCACCAATCTTTCAAGTTAGTCATTTACTTATTTACGTCATATTGAATCATGGTTCTATTTTATTCAGTGGATTTTAATCCATTCCTATCAAGCTGGCTTCTGCATCCTTTGGCACAACAAGATATTTCAGGCTCATCCTGTGCTTCCCTACTCAAACCCTGTATCAGCCACTTCTCCAAGGGGTCCTGGATCCTTTTAGTGGAGAATGGTACTTAAAAATCAAGACCTCAGTGCTAGATTTGCTCATTGCTCTTGATGTGTACTACACTCAGGCCCTCAAAAGGAGCAAAGCTAGGGAGCATACATATGCACACGCATACACACACACACGTACACACACACACACACACATATCTATATTGATTCCCATATCTACCCATCTGTGTATACTGAAAACTATGAACTCACGGTAATATCTCCAATTCCAAACTCTAACAGTAGAGAGCTCATCAGTTTTCTCCCTTTCCATATTTTCACTTCCTTCTGTGACAGTGAGAAACTTTGCTCCTACTCTCCTCCATATCTTGACATATTGGAGCACTACTATATGTAATATCCCACCTTGTAGGCCCTGACACCCCCCTGCCAGGTTGCCCTCCCCTAGGCAGGCCCCTCTCACCCTATTCGGACTCCCACACCCAGCACCAGGCTGCTGATTCCCCTCATCTAAAGCCCTCCTCACCCCACCTGGCCTCTGATGCCACATGCTGGGCTACCATAGGAATGTGCATCCCACCTTGCTTGGTATCTGACACCCGTGCCAGGCCCCCATCAGCCCCTCGTGTGCATGCCTTTCTCACTCTGCATGGCTCCAACACCCCGCCCTGGTCTTCCTCCCTGCATGCCTCCGCACCTGAACTTGTTCAGACACTGATACCCTACCTTTTGTCACTGACCTGCCCAACCCCATCTAATAATGGCTTTTGAAATGGATTGTTCTGGAAGGAAACAGAAGGGAAAACAGATAAGAAAAAAGAATAGGACAACATTCTTCTTTAAATGCTAACTATGATTTCAAAGCTGTTTTTGAAAAATATTCTGTAAAAAGTGGTATGTCCCTTTTAAGTAAAGCTGTTTATAAAAGTTGTGTATTATTTAGGGACAACTCAAACAAACGAAATGCTATCATTTAAATTTAGGAACATGGAAGCAATATATAAGAAACTCAAGATGCAATAGTGGCTGAGAACAGAAATGTTTCCCTTTTTAGGTTATGTAGAAATTGGATTCTTTTTGTTCAGGAGAAAGGAGGTTTTGTTGTCATCAGAGTGAATGTGGGGTTGATCATCTGCAGTCTCTCTTTCTGCTTTGAAGAGAATACAGGGGAATCAGGGAAGGTGGCAGCCTCCCAAGACAGTAAGGAGGCTAGGAGGATACACTTAGGTTTACCTTTTATTAGCTTGGCTAATGCCACATGCAAATGAGGCATCCAGGCAGCTGGGAGAAGTGGAGGTGCCCAAAACTGGCCTGAAGTCCCAAAGTGTGTTCCTTCTTCAGGAGAGTCCTGACTCCAAGATAAGACTTTGAAGTGAATTATAAAGATTAGGACTGGTAGGCTGCGTGTGGTGGCTCATGCCTGTAATCCCAGAGCTTTGGGAAGTCAACACAGACAGACCACCTGAGCTCAAGAGTTCAACACCGGTCTGGGCAACATAGCAATACTCCGTCTCTACAAAAAATACAAAAATTAGCCAGGCACGGTGGTATGCACCTGTAGTCCCAGCTACTCAGGAGGCTGAGATGGGAGGATGGCTTGAACCCTGGAGGCAGAGGTTGCAGTGAGCCGAGATTGTACCATTGCACTCCAGCCTGGGTGACAGAGCGAGACCCTGTATCAAAAAATAAATAAATAAATAAAGAGTAGGACTAGCTATTTTATCAGGGTTACTTTACATCAGAACTGATAAAATATTAAAGACTGAATCCAACTATTAGGAAAGTTACCAAATTATACTATGGTGTTTCTTTTTTTTATGCTAGATATACGTTTAAATTTCTGCTTTCAGCCATGATAGACTAGATTACACCCAACCAACTCTTCTACCAGGAACAACTAGAAAAGTTGGATAAAATACAAAAGTCATTTGTTTAAAAGCATCAGAAAACTACAAAAATAGCCAGGAATTAAGAGCTCAAGATCCTGACTTTGAGTTCCCCCTGAAGCAGATCCCCAGGGAAGGATTTGAACATAAGGAGGTGATGTCAGGAAGCATTATTAGGGAAGTGAGGAAGAGAAACAAGAAAGATAAGACAGCCAAAAAAAGCTGGTTCTTAAACAAACTGCCACTGTGAGTAACTGGAGCTTGAGTCCACTGGGGAAATCAAGGAGACCTTTTTCCTCAGAGTTATCCCACCCAAAGGGCAAGGGGATCTGCGGCATTTATGATCCAATTGCATTTTATTGGGTCTTCTTGACCATGATAGCAAAACTAGATAATGATACTGCAAAAAAGAAAAATTGTAGGCCATTCTCTCTTATGAACATAGATGCAAAAATCTGAAACAAAATATGAGCCAATCAAATATGGCTATATGCTATATATCCCATCGAGACTGGGCTTATTCCAAGAACACAAGACTGGCCAGGCAAGGTGGCTGACGCCTGTAATCCCAATAATTTGGGAGGCTGAGGTGGGTGGATCACTTGAGCCCAGGACTTCAAGACTAGCCTGGGCAAAATAGCGATACTCTGTCTCTACAAATAATACAAAAATCAGCCAGGCATGGTGGTACGTGCCTGTAGTCCCAGCTACTCAGGACACTAAGGTGGGAGGATGGTTTGAGCCTGGGAGGCAGAGGCTGCAGTGAGCCGAGATCGCACCACTGCACTCCAGCCTGGGCAACAAAGCGATACCCTGTCTCAAAAACTAAAATAAAATAAAATTTAATTTAAAAATATATTTTTAAAAAAACAAAAGTGGAGCAAAAGGCTAATTTATACTTAAAAATCAATCAATGTGATTTTACCATATGAATAAAATAAAGGAGAAAATTATATGATCATCTACATAAGATGGTATTTAATATTCAGTGTGGATATTTATTAAATATTTCTCTCTTCTTCTGAGACAGGGTCTCACTCTGTCACCCAGGCTGGGGTACAGTGGTGTGATCTCGGCTCACTGCAGCCAGGACCCTTCAGGCTCAAGAGATCCTCCCATTTCAGCCTCCTGAATAGCTGGGACTACAGGCACATGCCACCACACCTAGTTATTTTTATTTTTTAAAAGAACAATATGTGTTCATTTCCACTCAGCTAATTGCATGGCTTATTTTAAATATAATAGGTAAAATGACCAGGGTACAAAAGTAGCACACATTAATTATAAAATCAAGTTTTAAGGGGCTTGGGTGGCCAGGTGTGGTGGCTCACACACACCTGTAAGCTCAGGAGTTCAAGACCAGCCTGGGCAACATGGCAAAACCTCATCTCTACAAAAAATACAAAAATTAGCCAGGCATCGTGGTGGGTACCTGTAATCCCAGATACTCAGTAGCCTGAGGTAGGAGGATCACTTGAGCCCAGGGAAGTCAAGGCTGCAGTGAGCCGAGATCGTGCCACTGCACTCCAGCCTGGATGACAGAGTGAGACCCTGTCTCAAAATAAATAAATAAATAAAAGGTTTGGGGGGACCTCTTGAACAGACAGATCTACATTGAGAATAATGACAATGACTATGAAAGAAAATGTGTATCTCTTATGAACCAGTGAGTTAAAACCAATTCTCAAGAGGTGACATATTAGAAAAGACTGAGAGAGGGCAAGACTCAGGCCAAATATATAGGTAATTTATAGTATAGCTATGAATGTAGGAACCAACACATAGAAGCTTGAGTCTAGCAGATAAAGGAAACCAACATATGGGTCCAGAAATGGAGAGATGGATACCTTAAGTCATGATCCAAGTAAACCCTTAAATGTCAGTCTAAGTAGAGATGGAGCAAGTGGAAAGTGCATTCCCAGAAATGTGTGCCTTCTCAATTCCTAGCTGTTTGGGTAGCTTTCTGATGCCTTCAAATAGATAATTTTTGTATTTTACCCAACTTTTCTAGGAATGAAGCTAGTCTAGCGGAGAGTCAGGTCTAGTCAGTGGCCTAAAAGTAAAGGCCTAGTCAGCCAGCGGAGGCTCCACTGGTGCACGAGGCAGTTGCCAGTGTCGGAAGGCCCAGTACTAATCATTCATTCAACTGACATTTACAGAGGGCAACCAAATTGCAAACCCATTCCTTTCCCTCAAAGTGGGCGCCATCTGGTGGGGAAATGGGAAAGACAAGAGCAAATGTTAAGAGAAACACAAAATTAGAGCAATGCAAAACGTATTTTATGAGCATGAAAAGGAGAACCCACCTCATTCTAGAGCTGCACTATCCATTATGCTAGCCATTAACCACATGTGGCTATTTAAATTAATTAAAATTAAAAATTCAGCTCCTTAGTCATGCTGGCCACATTTGAAGTTGTCAAAATCACATGTGCCTAATGGCTGCCATATAGAACAACACAGATATAGGATATTTTGTTATGGCAAAAAGTTGCATTAGACAGCATTTCAATTCTAGCAAATTCAGAGAAGGCTTTCTAATGCCTAAATTGACTCTAAAAATGCTTATCATGGCTCATGTCCATAATTTGAGCACTTTAGAAGGCCAAAATGGGAGGATTGCTTGAGCCCAAAAGTTCAAGACCAGCCTGGGCAACATGACAAGACCCCTTTCTACAAAAAAAATAATAAATTTTTTTTTTTTTTTTTTTTTTTTTTTTTTTTTTTTTTTGAGACGGAGTCTCGCTCTGTCGCCCAGGCCGGACTGCGGACTGCAGTGGCGCAATCTCGGCTCACTGCAAGCTCCGCTTCCCGGGTTCACGCCATTCTCCTGCCTCAGCCTCCCGAGTAGCTGGGACTACAGGCGCCCGCCACCGCGCCCGGCTAATTTTTTGTATTTTTAGTAGAGACGGGGTTTCACCTTGTTAGCCAGGATGGTCTCGATCTCCTGACCTCATGATCCACCCGCCTCGGCCTCCCAAAGTGCTGGGATTACAGGCGTGAGCCACCGCGCCCGGCCAAAAATAATAAATTTTTAAATGCATATGAACCAGTGCAAGATGTCACCAAATCACACATAGGTAAAAGACTAATTCAAAGTACAAGACAGGCCAATGGGTTTTATGTAACAGAGCTTGTTACTCTGTTTATTGTGGTTTCAGATTTTATATTGCAACTAACTTTTAAGAAGCTACCATTGGTTTTATCATAATAGCAAAGAATATCCCCCAATTACTTTAAAAGACTATTAAAATACTCCTACTTCCTTCAACTACATAACTGTGAGACTGGGGTTCATCCATTTTTTTAAAATGCATAGAATTTAGGCAAGGAAAAAACAAAAAAAAGTGGGATGACTATTAGTCCAAGAAGAGAAAATGAACATGACAAAAAATAATAAATGAATCTAGAAATTCAGGCAGAAGCAGATCATTCAAGCCTATATGCCAGTAAATGAGCTTAGGTTTCATCCCATATGTAGGAGGGCCCCAGATTAACTCTCAGTTCAACTCAGAATGCAAAGAAACCGCAGGCTTCTTTTAACCATGACTTATGTAATTGTCACAGTGGCAGGGAAAGAAGGTGTCAGAACGGCATCTAGATCCCTTTGCTGCTTTTGGATTCTCCCTGGCCTCTGTGGGGATGGGATCCCTCATCACTGCTTGCCCCCGATAATGGCTCTAGAGCCAGTTCATCCCAGCCATCAACATCTAATTGCACACATCTTTTCTCACATCTGTGTTGGGTAACATGTTGATAGCTTGAAATCAACTACATTAGTAGTTACACCACAGAAATTAGCAAACACTATGAATCTTTTAAACTGGGCTATTTTGGTTTTGTTTTCCTGGAGGGCTAATTTACCAGCACATCACCAATTCCCACTTCCACGATAGCGTAGCTTCTAGGCCGGCCTCTCAGGTGGGACTCCCTGGCTGCTTCGGCCTGGTCTTGGCCTTCACCGGCCTCTGCAGATCCCTCTGAGTCTCCTCCACATCTCCCCAATGATTCTGGGCCAGGATTCAGGATCCCCTTGCATTTTGCTGTGGTAGACCCCAGGGAAACTCCTGGCTCTCGCTTCAGAAGACAATGTGAAGATGGGGCTACACAGGGGGACAGAAGTGACTAATACTGAGCCCTCAGCTCAAGAGGCCTAGATTCAGTCAGTAGTTATTTCACACTTAGCCTGGATTTTTTTTTTTTTTTTTTTTTGCCTAGCAGTTTTGTGATGGTAATTCACTATTTCATAATGTTCAACATTTCTTTTTAGCCTAAAAGGTGCTATAGTCCTCCTTTTTCATTTGGCATATAATTAGGTATTCCCAGATAAGAGGCTTAAGACATGAAATTTCCGGGTTTTTTTTAACTTAAACAAGATTTGTAAAGTTCAAAGTGATGTTTTTGGTCACAAGATCCCTCTGAAAAATTTTGTGGATGCTGTACACCACAAGACATATAGAAGCCCAAAAAAGAGAAGATCACCAAGGGTCCCACGGATGACAAGACCTTGCGAATGGTGGCAAAGGCACCATTTACAAGCCCTCTGAGTCCACCCAGACACTCCTTCCCCTCTGCTGTGTTTGTGAGTTGTAGTTTGTTACGGTGACGGGGAGTAGGCTGAAGTCGGAGGTGCTTTTTGAAAGATTTGTGATATGCAATTTACAGTATAGGTCCTGTCAGCATTTACTCCCCTAAGCCAGCTTTGAGACAGCACATTCCCCACAGACACGTTTCCAGTGGACCCCACATGGTCAGTGATGTGGCCTGGAGGTCTGCAAGGCAAACTTCTGCCTGATGTCAGTTCACTGTCCTGGAACCCAGGGGAGGCTGTGGTTATACTGTGAGAAAAATAATCCCAGCAGAGGACCAGCTAATGATGGGACAAAAGACTGCATCTTGTCTTTCTCCAGAAATGCCTAACCTTATGTCTATAGGAAGAGAGAAGACAGATTTATTGAGGGTTTGAATTATATGGATGAGTGTGACAGAAGGGTAAAGGTGCAAAGGAAGTGGTAGATTACTTTAGTTGAATAACCATGAAATGGCCAGGTAGAGAATGAAGAAAGCCTAGAAGTCTGAAAAGACAGGAAGAAAACTGAGTGATTTAGCATTAGAGATGGTAGAAAGGAGGCCAAGAGGAAAGTAAGGTGGGAGTTAGGCCATAGGAAAGACAGAAAGACAGCTGGTTGGTGGGGAAAAATAGAAAATTAAAGTGAAACTTTTTTTTCTTTTTTTTTAGACAGAGTCTCGCTCTGTTGCCCAGGCTGGAGTGCAGTGGCACAATCTTGGCTCACTGCAACCTCTCCCTCCCAGATTCAAATGATCCTCCCACCTCGGTCTCCCAAGTAGCTAGGACCACAGGCATGCACCACCATGCCCAGCTAATTTTTTTTTTTGAGATGAGTCTTGCTCTGTTGCCCAGGCTGGAGTACAGTGGCACGATCTCGGCTCACCACAACCTCTGCCTCCCGGGTTCAACCGATTCTCCTGCCTCAGCCTCCCAAGTAGCTGGGACTACAGGCGAGCACCACCATGCCCGGCTAATTTTTGTATTTTCAGTAGAGACGGGGTTTCACTATGTTGGCCAGGCTGGTCTCAAACTCCTGACCTTGTGACCTGCCCGCCTCGGCCTCCCAAAAGTGCTGGGATTACAGGCATGAGCCACCGCGCCCAGCCTAATTTTTTGTATTTCTGGTAGAGATGGGGTTTTGCCACATTGCCCAGGCTGGTCTCAAACTCCTGAACTCAAGCAGTCCGCCCACCTCACCTCCCAAAGTGCTGGGATTACAGGCGTGAGCTACCGCACCCAGCCAAACTTTTGGTAGTTGTTTCCAATTTCAACACAATTGACGATGAGGCCCAGGAAGCAGGTGGTTACCAAGGATTAGAAGTGAAAGTCATGGGAAGCTCAAGAACTGCAAGGCCAAGCTCTGGGCTGGGAGATCTACAAGGCATCAAAATATTCTAGCTTGTGGCAGACTTCTTCAACAGGAAGAGTAAGCTCAACTCCCAGGTTTTCAGTGAATGAGGGGGATGAGCTCCAACTTACTAGTGGGTGACCCCCAGCAGAAGGTGAGGAAAATCTACCTGAACACCAGGCCCTCAAAGGAGGATGTTCTTGGACATGAGAACAAATGGTCCACAGCCAAGAAGAGGCTGAGATGAGCCAGGAGGAAGCCAACACCTCCTCCTTCCCTTCCTCCACCAACGGTCCTTGGTGGGGAAGAATAAAAGAGCTACAGAAGAATGTTTTTGGGGATTGAGCCAGATTTTAGTTAAGGCCAGGAGCGGGAGATAGGAGTCTGAAAGTATGGGAGATGTGGAGGAGTTTGCTAACAATGGAATAAGTGCTGCAGACTGTGCAGGGGAAGGAGGCTGAGAAAGTGCAGACCAGGAAGATAGGAAAAGTACAGAGAGGACGAGGGAGCAGAAACCAGGGCGGGGGGTTGGGGGTGGACTTGGCTTTTCCAGTGATCACAGAAAGGAGAGGACCAGTTGGAAGTGACTGACAGAGCTGGGGTTAGGATGAGACAAGGGAGGCACTTGCCTGGGGCACAAAATTTAAAAGTGCCAAAAAAAAACCCTCATTAACCAAAATAAATAGTTTAACACAGGGCCAGGTGCAGTGGCTCACGCCTGTAATCCTAGCACTTTGGGAGACCAAGGTGGGTGGATCACCTGAGGTCAAGTGAGACCAGCCTGGCTGGAACGTGCCTGTAATCCCAGCTACTCAAGAGGCTGAGGCAGGAGAATCGCTTGAACCCAGGGGGCGGAGGTTACAGTGAGCCAAGATCGCGCCACTTCACTCCAGCCTGGGCGAAAAAGCAAAACTCTGTCTCAAAAAAAAAATGTGTGTATATATATATATATATTTATATATATGTATATAAATGTATATATATACATTTATATATATATAAATATATATATACATTTATATATATACATGTATATATATTTATATATATATAAATGTATATATATTTATATTTATATATATATAAATGTATATATATTTATATTTATATATATATTTATATATATATAAATGTGTATATATATACATTTATTTATATATAGTTTAACACAAATATTTAAGAATCAAAGGTAATGCTAAAAAAAATTTCATGATGAACCAAATATCGACATTTTAAACAAAGACAAGCTGTGTGTTTTACTACCTGGTGTTATTGTACAGTGGGAACAGTCATTTCCAATCAGCCCACTGTTCTCAGATCCAGCCCTTCTAGCCTGTTGCATCCCCTAAGAGTTGACAGTGGCACATGAACAGATTGAGCAACACAGGGCTTTATATACAGTTATGTTTAGGGACTGTTCAAAATATGAGAAGAAATTTTGATAAATGTACATAGAGATCCACATTTCTCTTTTTGCCTCAGGCTTCCCTATGGCTTAGCAGGGCACTGGAGACCGACCTCAGATGTCATAACTTTAGCCCAAATCTCTGCGTGCCAAGAGTGATCAAGGGCCCAGGGAGAATTGGCCTGGCCTCAGAGAGGTGAGGAGGATTTCCCGAGACTGTGAGCAGTCTGTCCTTTAAACACACTGAGCCACAAAGTGCAGAGCAGTGGAAGAGCCATGGTTAGTGTCAGGGGTCGCACGCATTTGTGGAGCAGATGTGAGGTGTCCACAGACCCCAGAGACCCTAAGCAACTGCTCTCAAAAGCAAGGCAGTGGGAAGAACAGGCAATGCCAGACAGACCGATAAATCAAGAGCAGAAACCAGCCACAAAGCAGGTGGGTCACTAATGGGAGATGAATCGAGTTGCTAAAAACCTGTGTTCCAAGGAAGCATTTAAGACTCGATTACTTAGGACAGAAACCTGCTCTCAAACACCAGGCCACCAAGGTCAGGGAATATTCAGCAGCAAGACGACTGGATGCTGAGTTCTTGTCCGTACTTCCCAGGTGAGGATCAGGCTCGGGGTAGGCAGAGAGGCCAAGACACTGGGCAAGGGGTGAAGGCGGGTAAGGGGCTTATGGCAGAAAGAGAAAAAGACATGGGCCACACCTGATCTCAGGAAGGTAGACCAGCAAACGCTTTGTAAACTTTGTTCAAGTGAGGTTGGAATTTCAGAATCCAAGTGTTGGTGCCTGGTTTTCACAAATCAGCTCTGTGGTGGTGGGAAGGACATTACATTAGGGGTTAGGAGACTCACCATCCTGAGGTATGACTGAGTTTCAATTGCCTCTTCTATAAAATGACGATATCCATTCAACCACTTGCTAAATAGGTGTCAGGACTGAAGAATGTAATGTAAGTGAAAGAACTTGGGGGAGAAAGCAACCTGTTCTTAATGTATAGTGTCATTTATTTTTTGTTGTTGTTGTTTGTAAAACATATTTACATCTGTTTCTAACTTAGTCCTCAAAGTTGCTCATTCATTCATCCAGGAAATAATTAAGAGTTGATCATCTGCAGAAAGTGTTACACCAGGTGCTATGATATGTGTTGGCTGATCTTTTGGTTGCTAGAAATAAAAAATGAGGATCTTTGCAGATCTGGGCCTCTGGTAAAAACTTCTTTCTTTCTTTCCCTTATTTTCCCAGTATCTCTATAAACAGTCTCTGGTATGAGCCTGTTTGGGTGTACACAGTTAAATCTTCCACAGATAATAGAAAAATTATTTTAAAATGTCTGCCATAAGCTATGGGTTTTTTCTTGTTGTTTTTGTTGGTTTTTTTTTTTTAGATTCACTCTCTGTCACCCAGGCTGG